>NC_000004.12:173921381-174546381 GCF_000001405.40 Homo sapiens | reverse complement strand
CATTTTCATTTTTTTTAATTCAAGAGAAAAGAAAATTCAAATATTTACCTGCCTCATATCATTTGACTTTGTGTCCCCACCCAAATCTCATCTCAAATTGCAATCCCCATGTGTCAAGGGAGAGATCTGGTAGGAGGTTATTGGATCATGATGGAGGTTTCCCCCATTTCCCCCATGCTGTTCCCCCAATAGTGAGTGAGTTCTCACAAGATCTGATGGTTTTATAAGGGGTCTTCCCCCTTTGCTTGCCCCTCTCTCTCACCTGCTGCCATGTAAGATGTGCCTCTTCCTCTTCTGCCATGATTGTAAGTTTCCTGAGACCTCCCCAGCCATATGGAACTGTGAGTCAATTAAACCTTTCCTTTATAAATTAACCATCTCAAGTATTTATAGGAGTGTGAGAACATACTAATACAATGCTATTGGATTGATGCTATTATAGAAAAGGAAAAGAAACTGAAAATAACATAAAAATCAAGCAGATAAATTGTGAAGTAGTATTCCAATGAAGAGGAAAAGAACTAGATTTTGAAGTAAAAATAGAAAGATCTATAGTTACGGCAAAGAAGCGACATTGTTAGCATGATCTGGAAGCAAGCAAAAGGGAAGTAGTCATGGGTGTGTTAACAGTAATTAAAGGAATTTACACTTTATACTTTTAGGTAAAGTAAAATGTCTCCTACTCACAGGGAAGAAGATAGTTTAGTGACGGGGAGGTTAGAAGAGAGTGGAAATGCTTGAATTTGCTACAGTAGGTCATGAGAGTGAAGAGGGCCACATTTATTTTTGTAGTTTATTATTTGCTCTCATAACTCCCTAATAGCATGAACTTGAAAATACACAAGTTAGATAGATTCATCCATGTGGATACAACAGTAACATCATGACATTGACATTATTGACAAGAAAGTGATGCAAATAAAGGGTTGTGAAATCTGGAAAAGAATGAATAGAGAAAAGTCAAGAGAGGGCTGACAGAGAAGAAGTAGAATTGCCAAAGATCTACAGATCTAAACTTTAAGAGCCTCAAAAAGATTACAATAATGTATTTTCAATGATGAATGTCCAACTAAAGGTAAAAGTTAAAACATACTAATATATCTGAAAATTTATTGAAAAATTAGTTTTAAAGCAGAATGCTTTGGACAAATATTGATTTAACTGTTTGTCACCATATCTTAAATAATTACCAACTGTTTTATTACGTATTCTTAATTAACCAAGAAATTCAATTATGTTCAAAGAAAATAGTGGACTTATTTGAAATTAACAGAACATGAAAAAGATTTGGAAGTAGACTTTTGATTCATTGCTTAGGGTGAAATCTTACAGAAAAAGCTAGAAGATGACTGGAGGTACTGGTGGCATAGCTTCTCTGCTGTTTATCTGTTAGGGAAAAGAACAGAACTTTGGGAACAAAATCAATAGAACGACAGATACATTCTAGGGTGCTAGGGAGGTATTCACCAGTAATAATCAGAGAGATAAAACAATGTGATGAAAGGAGCTTGTTTTAGTTGCTCTTTCTTTAACAGACTATTTTTTGGAGCATTGGTTCACAGAAAAAAAAAAAGAGAGAGAGAGACAGATTGAGAGCAGAAGGTACAGATATTTTGTATATACTCACTGCCATCACACATGCACGGCCTCCCCAACTATCAACATCCCTCACCAGTGGTACGTTTGTTAAGACTGATTAATCTACATGGCCATGTCATTATTAACCAAAGTCCATAGTTTATATTAGGGTTTCCTCTTGTTGTACAACACGAGGAAATATATCAAAGCCAATATTTGTGATGTTGTACAAATGTATAATAACAGGTATTCGTTGTTATAGTTTTAAGCAGAATAGTTTCACTGCCCTAAACATCTTGTGTGCAATTACAGATCTTTGTTCTGTCTCCATAGTTTTACCTTTTCCAGAATGTCATAGTTGGAACCAAGGTACCCTTTTCAGATTGGCTTACTTCACTTAGAAATGTACATTTAAGGTTCCCCGCCCCCCGTCTTTTAATGGCTTCACAGCTCTTTTCTTTCCTTTTCTTTTCTTTCTCCTTCCTTCCTTCCTTCCTTCCTCCCTGTTTCTTTCTTTCTTTCTTTTCCTTCCTTCCTTCCTTCCTTCCTTCCTTCCTTTCTTTCTTTCTTTCTTTCTTTCTTTCTTTCTTTCTTTCTTTCTTTCTTTCTTCTTCAGACAGAGTCTTTCTCTGTCGCCAGGCTGGCATGATCTCAGCTCACTGCAACCTCCGACTCCCTGATTCAAGCGATTCTCCTGCCTCAGCCTCCTGAGTAGCTGGGATTACAGGCATGTGCCACCACGCCCAGCTAATTTTTGTATTTTTGGTAGAGATGGGGTTTCACCATGTTGGCCAAGATGGTCTCGATCTCCTAACTTGGTAATCCACCTGCCTCAGCCTCCCAAAGTGCTGGGATTACAGGCGTGAGCCACCGTACCCAGCCACAGCTCATTTCTTTTTAGCACTGATTAATATTCCATTGTCTGCTGTATCACAGTTTATTCATTCATTGACCTGCTGAAAGACATCTTGGTTGTTTCCAGGTTTTAGCATTTACATAAAGCTGCCATAAACATCTATATGCAGGCTTTTGTGTGGGCATAAGTTTTCATATTCTTTGGATAAATACCAAAGAGCAAGATTGCTAGATGAAATTTCCAGTAGAGATTTAGAAGTAATTTGAGTCCACTTTCAAATAACTCTATGCCACTTCATGGGTAGTGTAAGTACCTTATAATAAAAAAAATTCCAATTCCTCTCTCTTATCCATATCATTGCTGGCATTCATTACACTTATACATAAGCATACGTAAACATATATGTGTATATATACACACAAATACATTGTTGCTATTATTATTTTGAACAAACTGTTATCTGTTAGATGAATTAGGAATTAAAAATAGAAGTTTTTATTCTATCTTCATTTATTTCTTCTTTCATTCTCTTCCTATCTTTATGTAGATTCAAGTTTCTGACCTATATAATTGTACTTTTCTCTACAGAGCTTCTTTAACATGTCTTGCAAAGCAGGTCTACTAGCAACAAATTCCATGAATTTTTGATTGTCTGAGAAAGTCTTTATTTCTGCTTCACTTTTAAAGGATAATTTTGTAGGGTACAGAATTCTAATTTGGTGGGCTTTTTTCCGTGACATTTTAAATACTTCACTCTCTTCTTACTTGCACGGTTTCTGAGAAAAAGTACTATGTAATTCTTTGCTCCTCTATAGGTAAGATGTTTTTTCCTCTGGCTCCTTTCCAAATTTTTTCTTTATTTTTGATGTTCTGAAATTTGAATATAATATGCCTACGTGTAGTTTTTGTTGTGTTTTGGGTTTTTTGTTTTGTTTTGCTTTTGGTTTTTTTTTTCTCTCTCCCTCTCTCTTTTTGTTTTTTGCAACTGTCTGAGCTACCTAGATTTGTAGTCTGGTATCTGACATTAGTCTAGAAAACATTCTTAGTCATTATTGTTTTTGCTTCAAATATTTCTTCTCTTCCTTTCTCTCTTTTCCTTCTGGTATTCTCATTATGTGTAGTTAAACCTTTCGTTGTTGTCTCACAGTTCTTGGGTACTCTTTTTTGTTGTGTAGTCTTTTTTTTTTCCTCTGCTTTTCAGTTTTGGAAATTTTTTTTATTGAAATATCTCTAAGCTCAGAGATTCTTTCCTCAGTAATGTCTGAGGAATCATTTACAGAGGACCAGGCACTGGGCACCATTGCCATGCTAGGCAGTAGATCAGTGCTTTCCAGTCCATTTTATTAACTGGATCAGAAATACATGAAGATCTCTTGATAAGTGTGCAGATGTCCAAGGACTACCACATATCCATGGGGAAAACAGAGTACAGGTATTTGTATTTTCCCCATTTTAATAATCTGGGATTTATTTTCAATATTTCTTTCTACCCCATAGTAATCCTCACCAACACCAAGACACCACACTCATTTCAAAAATATTTGTGAGTCCTTTATCTAATCATAAATATTTCTCATATCTATCTACTTCCTTCCATCGTCATTTTTACTACAATGTAGTGTATGTTTCTGCTAGGCAACTACAATAACAGTGGTGAGATCTCGGCTCACTGCAAGCTCCACCTCCCGGGTTCACGCCATTCTCCTGCCTCAGTCTTCTGAGTAGCTGGGACTACAGGCGCCCGCCACCACACTCGCCTAATTTTTTGTATTTTTAGTAGAGATGGGGTTTCACCGTGTTAGCCAGGATGGTCTCGATCTCCTGACCTCGTGATCCGCCTGCCTCGGCCTCCCAAAGTGCTAGGATTACAGGCATGAGCCACTGCTCCCGGCCTACAATAACTTTTTAACTGGTATTCCTTTGTCCACTCTTGCCATTTACACCCATTCTTCCACAGCAGCCAGAGTGATTATTTCAAAATCACACTAAGGCATATCATGCCATTTCCTTGCTTAGTAACTTCCCAGCATAAAATCCCTATGCTAGTTAACTGATAACCTATTTTAGGAACTACGTCTTCTTATCTCCTGTAATAGTCTCTTTCTTTTACTATCATGGGTATGAATTTTCAAACTTAAAAATAAACTTGATTTTCAAAAGGGACAAAATTTTGGTCAATATGTAATTTGTACTGCAATACTCTCAAGAACATTTTTTTAAAAAATGGGAATAAAGAGAATTTAAGACTATGTTCACATCTAAATGTTGTCCAAAAGCACTTATTCAACACTCCTAATAAACCAGAGTACAGAGGCCAGTTCAGGAGTCTTAATTGACAATCAGCTTATGTAATTCTTTTCTCTAAAAGATTTCCATTTTACTATTGTACTTTTTTATCTTTTAAGGCACAGGTAGGCTAGATTTCTTTCAAAGTGAAAGTCGATTTAAACCTTTAAAAGTTTGTTTTAGTTCTTCAGATTTTTTTGTTTCTTTAAACACCACCATGTGGTCATGGCTGACTAGGTTAGGCTGAATGAAAACAGTGTGGTGAAATATCATTAATTTTGCGGTCAGAAGACAGGTTCAAACCCAAAATACATTTATTAATTTTAGGAACTTGGGCAATTTAATTAAGCTTTGTGAGCCTCAGTTTCCACATTAACATATTATATGGGCATAATAATAATAATAATAATAATGACTGCAAACAATTGTGAGGATTTAATATATAATACATGTAAATACAGAAAGCCCTACAAGTTAAATGCCTTCTTCTTAGGTGAATCAGAATTAAAAACAATTACTCTTTAAATTAAGGAAACTGTAGAATTTACCCTCTGGTTTTTCAGTTCCTTAATTATCTTTCCAATTTTTATTGTTAAAAACAAGCACACAAGGTATGTAAAGTGGGTTTATTGAAATAAGCTGTTCTTTCATGTTCATATCTTTGACAGATCTACACACTTGGAGTCCTTGCTAGGATATCTCTATGCCTCTAATCTGGGAATTGAAAAAATAAATCGCAAAAATGTACACATGTTATACACGTACTTCAGGTGACCTCAAATGTGGCATTATAAAATTTAAGAATTGGAATGGCTTTCAGAAGCAATCTCTTTTACTAATAATTCTGCAAGCAACTAATATTGGATGCTTAATATGTCAGACATCATGCTAAACGCTTTACATGTAGTTCTCCATGTATTAATTACTCCAATACTTTTGTATACATTATTTTTTATCTTCCTTGTATGCATGAGGGAACTGACACTCTGAAAGGTGAAATAACTTGCTTAAATTCACTAGTAAGTAGCAGTGCCAGATTCTGAAACCAAGTTGATTCACTAGTTCAAAGCCCATAGATTTACCCACCACATTCTTATAACTCATTAATGAAAACACTCATTAGAAAATGGGCAAGAGATGGTCATATTCACTGGACACCGAGTCTGGCTTAAGGTGATGAGTGTGGGAAGGTATGTGGGGAGGCCTTCTTCCTACTGCAAAGAGGCAAGTCTGAGGGCTGGCGCCACCCAGCAATGACTCTGCTTCTACTTCCGGAACGCCAAGGGAGACAATTCCGGTTCCGGGATCCCCCTTCTTGGTCACCTGCAAGTCCCAGCTCGCTCCACCTACAGAAAGAGAAGCCATCTCAGTATGATCTTTATGAACATAGCCGACCTTTAATGACTTCTGAGAGGAATGGAGTTTCCTTGATGAGCCTGAGAGCTGTGCCCCGTGATGCAGAGAACTTTGCCTATATAACCTCGCCAGGTTGTTGGTGTGGAGCAAAGGGAAAGCAGACACCCTCAGTGAAGTGTTTCAGTAGAAAGTGTCACAGCTAGGTCCATTCATCCAGAAGGCTCATCCCTGTGAGATGTGTGTTCTGGTCTTAAGGGACATTTTGTATCTGGCTGAGCAACAAGGAACGCTATCTGGGCAGAAATAGTACACTTGTGAGGCATGTGGGAAACAATTCTGGTTTAGTGCAAACATGCACCAGCACCAGAAGGAACACAATGGAATAGAGACGTGGACAATGCTTTCTCTGTGAAAGGCTGCAGATTTTAAGTGTCAGGAAGGCCTTTCGCCTGTGGGAAAGTTGGGAAGGATTTTCCTGGCAACTGTACCTTCTCCAACATAGGCCACTCACAACTGGATTGAAGCCACACATCAGCACCAAATGTGGGGAGGCCTTTCACAGCAGAAAAAGTCATTACAAGTGCAGTGAACCAGGAAAGCTTTCAGGTACAAATACAAACTTGTTCAACATCAGGGAATTCACAATGGAGAAAAGGCCTTAGGAGTGTGGCAAATGTGGGAAATTATTTAGCCAAAACTCCAATCTCATTTGTCACTGGATAATTCACGCTGGAGAAAGACTTATGAGTGTGGTGAATGTGGAGAATTTCTTTAGCCAAAGCTCTGTCTTCATTGAACACTAGAGAATTCACACTAGAGCTAGGCCTCATGTGTATGGTGAATATAGGATGTCCTTTAGCCAGAGCTCCATCCTTAGTTAATCACAGAGCGTTCACACTGGAGCAAAGCCCTGTGAATTTGGTAAATATGGGAAATCCCTTCAACAGAAAGCCCTGGACTCAATCAACACTGGAGAGTGCATGCTGGAGAAAGGCTTCCATATTCACTATAACAACTCAGGAGGAAAGCCTCTGTGAATGTAAAGGAGGCATCGAACTCCATACATCTGAACATCCACAGTGGAGAGGTTCCCCACAAATTCCAGGTAAGTGGGAAGCTTTAAGGAGCTGCGTTGTACTTTCTAACCTGCGCAGGCCAGGACCCTTGCCAGATTTAGGTCACTGCCAGTTTCTGTGGCATAAGCCATTTCACCTCTACCACCTGACAGGTTCCCCATAGTGTGTATTAGTCACCTCAGTGTAATAAAGGAAAGCAGATGTTTCTGTTCTCTCTCTCATTCCCTGGAGAAAATCACAAATAGTCTGTGCCCTTAGGGGAATGTCATTCCTTCCTCTCTGACTAGTTAAGGCACGATCCTGACCCAATCTTGTCTAAGAAGATTGCTCTAGCCTGGGTATTACCGGCAATTTGCAAATAATTTTCTCTTCTTCCAATTTTGGTCTAATTTGCTTTGCTGTCAAAACCCACCTAGGAAAGAGTATTTCACTTTGTGATCCTAATTTGTGGCCTGAATGCCAGGATTTCTTTGTAGGCTCAGAGTTCACCCTGAGGAGGGGAAAGTTGTTGTGACATCCTGTAGGACTCTGGGGAGAAGGATGAATCCCTTTTTCTCGGGGGATGTCACATAACTCCTAGCACCCCTGAGAAGACTCCAGGCACTGCAGAGGAACCATGTGCCTGGATGTCCAAAACTCAAGTTTCTGGTGTCATTTGTTAAGAGGCCAGGCTGAAACCATAATTGGCGCAGAAACACTGAGTGTGATTAATAAGGTCTGGAGGAGACTGCATCAAGGTCGAGAATGGTACCTCTTCTGCAGTGTCTCCATAGGTGTTTCAGTGGCTAAGGCTATGAGCATGGGTGGGTGCACTCCATGCTGGTGTTTTTCCTGGAACTGACATAACTGTCAGAGCAAATAAGGTTTTGTTTACTCATGTAATGACCTCAAGGCCATTGCTGCACAGTCAAGAAAATGAAAATAGAGAAATGAGAGATCTCATAGTCCAGGGCTGTGGCTTTTGTCACCCCTCTAACATTTCTGTTGACTCATATAGAGATGATGTTTATTGCTTACCAATATTTCCTGCCACTGATGCGGGCTGCCTTTCCCAAGGCATGGTGGAGTCAATATAGGGTTGCCAAACTTTATGTTTTCCTTTAAAAAGTAGATCCAGACTTTAAGTCATTTTTAACGTTCTATTGAAACATAATTGGCATGCTATAAACTACACATATTTCAGGTGTACAGTTGAGTTGATTATCAGCCTGGATGATATACCAAGACCTTCATCTCTATAAAAATATTTAAAAATATTAGCTCCACGTGGTGGAGCATGCCCTTAGTCCCAGCTGCTTGAGAGACTCGGGGGGACAATCCCTTGATCCTAGGAGTTCAACACTATAGTGAGCTATGATCACAGCCTTGCACTACAGCCTGTGCAACACAGTGAGACACTGTCTCTTTAAAAAAAAAAAACAAAAAACAAAAACCGGTGTACAACTGAGGTACTTTCCACATACATATAAACTCATGAAACTGTCACAATTATGCTAATGTACATATCCAAATATCCATTACTCCTGTATACCTTTCTAATAATCTTTCCCTACTCTCACTTGCCCTCCAGGCAACCCTTGATTTACCTTTTTTCAAAATAAATTAGTTAATATTTTCTGGAATTTTATATGATTTTAATTATAAAGTGTTTTTTATTATTCTTGTTTTCTTCATGCTGCATAATTATTTTAATATTCATTAATGTTGCTTATGTGAATAGTTCATTCTTTTCTTGCAGAGTCGCATTCTGTTCTATGGATATTATCACTATTTGTTTACCCATTTATCTGTTAGTGGATATTTGGGCTGTTTCTGGTTTTGGGTTATTACAAATAAAATGGCATAGTTGAAGTATACAATTTGACATGCTTAAACTCTTGAAACTGAAAGTTTCTTCCTGCGCTTGCAACATATAAAATTATTTTTACAAGGACCTAGTCTACCTTTTGTAATGGATATTTTATATGTAGACACAAATGGAGAGGGATGTATTATGAAACTCTAGAAGCCCTTCCCCAATCTTCCATCATTATATCATTTCATAGCCATTCTTGTTTCATCAGGCTCCACCGCATTACTAGGTGACTTTACGTACAATTCCGGACATCATGTCATTTAATGCATAATTTTTTCAGGATGCACTTCTATAATGTAAGTGTTCTGTCATAACTCTAATAATTCTCATACAAAATGAAAATATTTAAAAATATTAAAAACAGATAAGCAAATGAGTTGATAACCAAATAAAAATACTATAAGTGATCAATAAGCATATGAAAAATATTCAACCTCACTAACAATAAAGATATACACATTTAAATAAAAAAACTATTTATTTCTTTTCTTACCCACATTTGGCAAAGATGTAAATGAGTGACAGTATTTGATAGGAGGGATATGGTCACCTTCAAATTAATTGGTGGGAGTATACATTGGAATCTCGTTTTTGCTCTTTTGTTTTTGCTTTTGGAGTCAGGGTCTCACTCTGTTGCCCTGGCTGGAGTGCGGTGGTGTGATCACAGCTCTCTGCAGCCACGAACTCCTGGGCTCAAGCAGATATCCTGTCTCAGCTTCCCAAGTAGCTGGAACTAGAGGTGCACAGCAACATGTCCAGTTAATTTAAAAATTTTTTTTTGTAGAGACAGAGTCTCATTACATTGCCCATGCCTGGTCTCTAACTCCAAGCCTCAAGGCCATCCTCTCACCTCAGCCTTCCAAAGCACTGAGATTACAAGCATGAGCCGCTGCACCCGGCGAATACCACATTTTTGGAAGGTAATTTGGCATATCCTCATAGCTCAGAAATTTTACTTTTAGGAATTTAACCTAAGGACATAACTAGAATACTTCAAAAAAGTGTAAGAAATGCAAATAATCTAAATGTCCAAAAAACGGATATTGGTAAATTAACTTACAAAATTTTGGTGTATTGGAATACATATGGAATACAGTTTTGTCATTTAAAATAATACTGTTAATAGGATAACGAATACATTTTAATTTATGTGCCAAATTTTATAATATCTTATTAATAACTTCACTTGTCATGGACAGAAATAATAAAATTAGCAAAATATGTATGGTTTATTATGGATCATAATAATTATTACATAAATACAACTAAGATCAACTTATATATTTAAATGTGAACATTTTGTTTCATATGGTTAGCAAAGTCACGAATATTTTGGCAATATTCTGTGAATCCCAATCAACATTTAGTCCATTATGTTCTCTTTGTAGACCACATAATTATATTGTTTTCTATTTTTTAATTGACACATTGTATTGTACATATTTATGGGATACAATTTGATGTTTTGATACATGTATATGTTGTATAATAATCAAATTAGGGTAGCTGGCGTATTCATCACCTTGTGCATTTTTCATTTCTTTGTAATAAGAACATTCCAAAACCTCTCTTCAAGGTATTTTATAATATACAATCCCTTACTGTTAACTATCTTCACCCTATTATGCAAAAGGACACCAGAACTTCTTTCTATCTTCTTGTAACTTTGTACCTGTTGGCCAACCTCTCCCATCCTCCCCAATCTCTCATTTTCTCCCCGGTGTCAGTAACCACTGCTCTACTCTCTAATTCTGTAAGATCGACATTTTTTTTTAGATCCCATTTCAAAATGTTAACTTTAAAAAGCAAGTTATTAAGCCACATATTTTCTTCATATGCCCTACTCAAATCTAGAATTGTTTTGTCTTCTTGACTTTAAAGTCTGGAAATTTTATCAAAAAAGAGGTTAGTTTAGCATGAGAACTTCTTATTGAACCCATCCTGGCTCCACCACCTTGCCTTACTAAGAGCTCAAAAATAATTGGTTCAATATTTAAGCATAGAATTATGCTGCAGATGGATACCAACGTCACCTCAGTACAATTTCTGGAATTTATATATGATAACATCTTCCTTAGCCCCACTCCTCTCACCATCTTGACCTGTCCTTTGAAAACATAGCCATGTGTAAATTTCTGGTCTCTGGTACCCATCACGTTCTCCTCCAGGTTTGTTCACGGCAGCTCTTTAATCACAAAAGAAAATGCTTAGACACTGAAGAATGTCATTTGTTGGGATTAATAATTATTACTCCTTCTAAAAGTATCCAGATCATCTGTTTCATTCTTCTGAACCCCTTGTGATTTCAGACCATTCTTGCTTTGTTCTTTTTAGTTCAAATAATGTTCTCCTGGATAAAGAAGATTATAAACAAAATAGCACTGTGAAACAGAGGATTCATCTGATTAGGTCTGCCAAATTTAGCATGCCCTGCTTGCTTTTGGTTACCTGCTTTTTATCTTTTTCTTTTCTTTTTTTTTTTTTTTTTTCATGAAGCTGAAAGCCACAGTAATTGAAGGCTGCACCACTGAACGCTGAAACTTAACCTTCATTAGCGGCATAATAAATTGAACATTTATAAATCACCATGGTAATGGTCACTTCAGTTATTTTTCAGGAATGTGGGACAGCTCCTGACCAGTTCAAACTGGTTGACTCTTCAGCTGGGCCTCTGTAAATGCCGGAGAGCATTTTGACATCAGAGGACCAAAAATTCCACCCTCAGATCATAATACCATCATTTTCTGCAAATGTGTCCTATGAAATGCCACATATCCCAACTATGTTTGCATAGATCACTGATTGCTTCATTTTTCCCCCACTGACAATCACCTTTTCCCACATCTTAGCTGACCCCACTTCTATAACCTATAAATATCCCTAAGCCTTATCTTCTGGGAGGTGGAGTTGAGACCTGTTCTTCACCTCCTCACTGGCTGCCTCATGAATAGTCTTCTCTTTTGCAAAATCCATTATCTCAGTGATTGACTTGCTGCAGTTGGGCAGAAAGAACCTGGTTGATGATCATTGTAGAAGCTGTAGATACTCGATTATTCACTGTCATCTGTTGCATCAGCTATTCTGTCTCCTCTCTACTTTCATGCAGACATAGATACAGATACCTTGTTTAACATATTTTAAAGAGCATTTTTATTACCCTCCCCATGATGTAGAAATCTCAGTTCATTGGAAGCCTTCATCTTCATAAACTCTTCTTCAAATCTTGTGCATGTCTTTTCATCCTTCTACCAATCTCCAGGTAGTTGGCTCTTTCTTATTCCCTTCTCAACTCCAGTGTTGCTTTCTTAGAAGCCTCCTTTCACAACTGATCTCATGGAATCCTTCCTTCTCCCCAATTCATGTCACTCTACCCCAATCCTGTCTTATTATTTTTGTTTCACTTATCACTACCCGCAATAATTATTTTTTCTACCTCCTTCAACTAGAAAGTGAGCACCATGAAGATAAAAATAGTACTGTCCCCTTAGGGCCTATTACTGGCCCAATCACATACTAGATATCAAATAGATATCTGTTGAATACAGTACTGATATTCCAAACATTAACTGGTACAGCACAGGCAATAAATAATCAGAAGAGACGCCAGATCTTTCTAGTACTGGGCTATGTACTTCACATACATCTTAATATTTAACCGTCATGAGAACATTCTATAAAAACCATTATTGCTGTCTTAACTTTTGTACAACTGATCTGAAAAAGATTAAGAAACACCTCTGGTTACAAATGGTAAGCTGGTATCCATGTTTCCTGCTTTATTTAGGAAGAGCTTTCCTTCCCATTCTTCATTCTAAAACTCAGTGCAGAAAGTCTCGTTACTTAGCACCACCTAGACATACAGTTACATTATGTCCAAGATCTTATTTCTAGTATAAAAATTCTAAAATTTGCTTAAATATTGCAAATATTTCTTCTAGAAATATTATTAATTCCACCACAAGTCAGAATATGGTGGTAGTGGATAATGAGCCTAAGAAAATTTGGCAGATTCTCAAACGTATAGCAGAATAATACTGTGACAAGGCATAGGGTGGCATCATATTGGTCAGATCTGACATTTACTTACAGAGTGAAGTTGCAACAATTTACCAAATATCTCTAAGCTTCAGGTTCTTCTTCTGTAGACTGGAAGAAATAATAGATCCAACCTCATGGCATCATTTTAGGAAATAAATGAGATAATGTGTATAAACCTCTAGGTATAATTCCTGTTGCAGAGTAAGCCTTTAAAAACTGCTAACTATCATCATCGTCATCGTCACCACTATCATTATTTTGAAGACTCTAGGAGACGAATATACATCTGTTTAATTATATCAAGCCACAGTAACCCTGAGCATCATAATACATACCTCTTCCTAGACTAATGTGAGATTTCTGGGTAACTTTCAGTACCTACAAATCTTGTTATTTTTCTCTTCACAAAGACAGCTATATTCAGTACAAAATGTACTCCCTGGGAACACTTGCTCTAGCTCCTAAGTATAAACCAATCAATAACAACTGTGTGACATAAGAGAAGATACTTAATCATAATTGTTTTAATCTACTTATCTGTAAAATAAAGGGATTGAAACAGACCATAAAAAGCAAAGTCTGTATCCAAACTAAAGTTCTGAGATTTCTTCTTGCCCAGCTCTGTCTTGTGGTAAATAATTAACATCTATGGTAGCAAAGAATAAATTATTCTCCAGTTCCAGTTCACTAAGTTGATGTCTAGCTCTCTGAGAATATTACACCATTTTAACTCCAAAAATAACAAGACACAGCAGCTCTGCTGTCTAGTAGAAATTAATAAGCTAATGACCTGAAAAAAAATCAATGTAATGCCAAATAGACATACTAAAATAATGCATTCTTGAAATAAGTATAATCACCTGTGACTGTCTGTTGCCTCATTAATCCTGACAAAATCCCTACGAAGTATTTAAATGGTTTGTAGCGGAAACATTTTTGTTTTAGCAGGAGAAAGAAAAACCTTATGCCAAACAAGAAATTTGCATATTTTGCCTAAAATTACCCACAACATTGAGGAGCAATCTACAAGAAACTGGATCTGTGAACCTCCAGCTGAGTGTCTGTAAGGAGGATGAGAAATAGTGAGATAAACAGATGGGGAATAAGGAAGGAGATGTTTTCTTCTTTCCTTTATTCCTATCTGAACTGCCTACAAAAAAACAGATGAGGCCAATTCCCAAAGTGTCTTTTCTTTAAAAGAAGTTTTGTAATGGTGCTATATTCTCTCCACACAGTGAAACTGTGCAAAAACTGAATTTTCCTTCACTGTGGGTCACCGGGAACATACCTGGTCTTATCTCATTGTCAAGCCAATCAGTTTCTATTGTTATCGTTACTTAGAGCTTCCCCTCCTGGACAGTTTCTGTGCTTCTGAGCAGAGGAAGACCTTGATTTCTAGGCAAGACACTGAGATGCCTATTCTTGGAAAATTATGCTAATGTTTTCTTTCTTTCTTCTTTCCTTTCTTCCCTCTGCCTCCCTTTCTGTCTCTCTCCTTCTTCCTCTCCTGGTCTTGGTCTTTGTCTCTACCTCTTTCTCTCTCTCTCCTACTCTTTGTAAAACAGACTATTGCCTCTAATTCCACAAGATACTTAGGTTACTTGCACAGTTACAGATAAAACTCATAGGGCTTATCAGTAGGAATTTTTCTAACAATAACTTGTGCAGTTACTCATACAGCATATCATATGCTCCCACTGTTGCAGATTCAAAAAGTTGACAGAAATTAGGGAAATTTAATTCCAGAG
The DNA here is from genome assembly GCF_000001405.40 of Homo sapiens. Taxonomy (NCBI): domain Eukaryota; kingdom Metazoa; phylum Chordata; class Mammalia; order Primates; family Hominidae; genus Homo; species Homo sapiens. Next base: position 174,531,588 of record NC_000004.12, on the reverse strand, counting down.
CAGAGTGCCAGTGAGCCAGGATAGTTACACAAAAGTAAGTTTCAAAAGACAATTTCAGTGTCAGGATTCAATTGAAAAGGCTGATAACTTCAGTTTTCTTCATATGTCCAGATATATTTAACAACAAAATTCTAAAAACTTTTTTGTTTTAAAAGGGAGGAGTGTTCTAACTCTCAGAACCAAAAATATATTCACTGATTAAAGTTTTGTTGACCTTAGTTCATAAAGGATATTAAATTTAAAAAATCCTAAGAATTTATGAAATGTGGAAAAAAAACATATTAAGAGCCTCCTCCAAGTCTAGGCAATGGGCTTCTGAAAGTTGTCTTCTCTTGATACCGGGTACTGAGGAATAGGGCCTGTTTTGACGCCAGCTGAAAAGACACTCAAATTACTAATGACCCATTAGCAACATATTCCCATTCAAGACTCTACATCATTTCTCCACAGAGGACTTTGGGTGTTCACTCGAGTGCTCTGAGGTTTAGGTCAGTGTTGCTAGGACCCTCCAGAGGGCCTCCTGTCTGATAAGACTTCCTACTGGATAATCACAGAATGAATAAAGTTATTCTCTCCACTATGCACGGGAGGGTCCAAACAGTATGTGGAATCTTTTAAGAGCAGAAAACCTGCATTTCCTTCTCCCCATCATAGTGTGAAATTAGGAGAAGCTAATCTGACAACTCGTTCATGACCAGGAGGGCTAAATTGCCAAAAAGTAAAAAGAGCCAGTCCTGAAGAATTTTCTAGGACTGATATGATTTGGCTGTGTCCCCACTCAAATATAATCTTGAATTGAAGTTCCCATAATTCCCACGTGTTGTGAGAGGGACCTGGTGGGAGATAATTGAATTACAGGGACAGTTTCCCCCATACTGTTCTCGTGGTAGTGAATAAGTCTCACAAAATCTGATGATTTTATAAGGGATTTCCCTTTTCACTTGGCTCTCATTCTCTCTTTTCTGCCACCACATAAGACGGGCCTTTTGCCTTCCGCCACACAAGACAGACCTTTTGCCTTCTGCCATGATTGTGAGGCTTCCCCAGCCATGTGGAACTGTGAGCCCATTAAACCTCTTTTTCTGTATAAATTACCCAGTCTTGGGTATGTCTTTATCAACAGCATGAAAACAGACTAATACGAGGACACTACCCAAAAGTTCAGAAAGAATAAATACATTGCAAAGATGAAACTGCTCAATCGAGTGGAAAGAAGTTTCCTTCCCCAAATTTAAAAACCAAATGTATAGGCTGACATCCAGTATTATACACAACATATTTGTTTTCATTACTATGAAAAGTATGACAAATGCAAAAATGGAAAATAAAGACCTAAGTGGGTGATTGTCACCAGAAGTTTCACTGACGTTCTTCCCCTTGATTCTGTCCCGTCAAGTCAATTCTTGTGGTTAGCATCATGATGGAGCATTCTACTCCCTTTCTCTTCTCAGGAGAGATGCCTGAATTTCTTTGTTCCTTCCCAACATCCTAGATCCTATAACAATAAAACAGGCAAAATACAGTTGCTGTGGTTCCATTGCCCCTGACTGCAATTCATTCTCCAAGTTAAACCAAGATAATCTTTCAAACACCCAAAGCTTAGAGGTCTCCCTAGGTTTTAAAGCCATTCAGTGACTTCCTATTGTCTGAGAGTGAAATATGAAGTCCATCTTATGGCTTAAAATGTTCGTAGTGATGTGCCTCCTTTCTTCTTCTCCAGCCTCATCTTCTGCCATTCCCTCATCCCGCATCAGCACCCCGTGTTCTAGCCTTTATTTTAATTGTTCAGATACACAGTATTCTCCCTTTCTCCTGGATGCTAGAATCTTCAGCTCCTTCTGTTTTGCACTACCCCTTCTTCCCTTCTCCTAACTTCTATTCTACCCATAAACATTTTTCAGACTTCAGGAGAAATAGCACTTCCTACAGGAGACTTGCCTCTTCTACCTCACCATGTTAAGCCCCTCTGACATGCGCTCCCATATACCTGCCTGTGACCAAATTATTGTCTGCATCCCCAAAGAGGCTACAAGCTCCATGGAGGTAAGATCATTTGTTTTATTTACTGCATGTACTCATGCCCTAGTACAGGACATATCTGTGGTGGCCAAAACACATTTGTTGAATAAATTGTACAAATTATATGAGCACAACCTATTAAGTAGAAGTTACTTTAGAGTAGTTGTTTATAACTGATACCACCCAATATTGGAACACATGGGTAGAAATTTTTCAAAAATTCTTCCTCAGCCTTCAGGTCCACCTGTAAGTGATGAATTTCTTTTCCTCTTTCTCTGTGTCACAGATTACCACCACTTGACCATTTGGCAACTGAATAACTTTGACCATTAGATGCTTCTCCCGTTACTGAACTGAACTGCCTTTCTGTTCTTGCCATTTGCAGGAATGTGTGTTTTGTTAAGTACAAGTCACAAGACTGGCTCAATCCTTAATGCATCCATCTGTTGGTTTCCCCAGTATAGTTTAGTCAGTAAACAGAATTCCATTTCCAGATTGGAAAATCTATGTTTTGTGGGCTGAATTGTGTATTCCCCCACAAATCCTTACATTGAATCCCTACCACCTAATACCTGAGAATGTAGCTCTATTTGAAGTTAGAGCCTTTAAAGAGGTGATTAAGTTAAAATAAGACCATGCGGACTGTAATCCAATCTTGCTAGTGTCCTTATAAGAAGAGGAAATTTGGACACACACACAGACACACATTCACAGAGAAAAAGCCGTGTGAGGACGCAGCGAGAAAGTGACCATCTGAAAGCCAAGGAGAGAGGCCTGAAGAAACCAAACCTTCCAAAACCTTGATCTTGGACTTCCAGCCTCAGGAATTGTGAGACAATAAATTTCTGTTGTTTAAGCCACCAAGTCTATGGTATTTTGTTATAGCAGCCCTGGGAAACACCAAGAAAAGTTAGAAACATCTCACCATATTCTGGAGTTGAAAATCTATCTGTATCATTGTTCTTTCTCCATTTTCAACTAAGTATCTCTTAATCCAGAAATAAATATGAATATTAAGGAAGAAACTTAATAAGAATATTTCATTGATCACCAAATTTGTGCCAGGCATTGTACTGGGTGCTTCAAGGAATGTCATTTTGTTCCCCTTTTAACAGCTCAGGAAACAGGATCAGAGAGGTTACGTAATCACCCAAAGATCATACAATTAGCAAAGGGGATGAGACAGCATTTGAATGTAGATCTAAGAGAATTCAGTGGAGTAGACAAAGCAAAGGCTTTGGAGCCATGTGACTTGGATGTGTACCCAAGTTTGTTGCTAAGTTCTGGTATCAGTCCCTTGTCTTCCATGAGGCTCATTTTCTTCAACTGTAAAATGAGGATACTACTACTTACCTTGCAGGGTTAGCAAGAAAACTAAATGAAATAACTTACAAAGGAACAAAAACATAGTAGCTATTTAAAAAGTCAGCTCCTCTATTGTAGCTTGTGGTAGCAAAGTCAAAACAAGCCCCAGACCCCAGTACTAGCAGTAACTGTCTTATGCCAGCAGTGGTTTTTGTTTGTTTGTTTCAATAAAGAAAAAGCTTATTTTTGTATTGATTGATATGTCATTATTTTAAAATTCAGTAAACATGTCTATCAGGTGAGTGACTGGCCTGCCTCTGAGCCTGGGCCTGTGATTGAGTGCTTCTTGGAATGTCTGTGCTCACCAGTGTGCATGGGATAAAGGAAAAATCAATTTAAGACTAGCCTGGCCTAACAGGTCAGAACTGAGCTGACAGACACTAGGGTATGGGAAAATATATATTTGCTCAAAGAGTGCTGATTTCAGTCTATATTCAACTTGTATTTCTTAAATAAATCGCCATTCAGACAGGGCTAAAAGTACTGCTCAGCTACAGTTATCTCAAAATTAAGAGTTTAATTTTCAAAAAAGAAGTAATACTCAGTAGTCAGCCACACCTTGTGTCAAAGCCTCCTCCTTCATTTTCTAGATAAGTGACCTTGACCAGATTCCCCAAACTCCTTAAACGTGTTTTGCTCATCTATAAAATTACCACAATAATAACTACCTCACAGCTTGGTTGTAAATAATAAACGCAATTATATATGTATAGTGCTTAATGATAATAGCATTTATATAACATTTGCTATGTGCCGGTCACTGGTCTAAGCACTTGACTTGTATCTAACTTAGTATAGTCTTCACAACAACTTTATGAAATAGGTGCTGCTATTATCCTCATTTTACTGATGAGGAAGCTGAGATTCAGATAAATTAAGTAACTATCCAAAAGTCACAGAGCTAGTAGATGGTAGAGCTGGATTAAAACCCAAGCGGTCTGATTCCAGAGGCTGTATGTGTAGACAGTAAGAGATGGCTGCTTCTGAGTAAATGTTCAACACTCAACACTTGTAATTGCATTAAAGGAATAATCACCTCTCTTAACTTTGCATCATTGCGCTGCATTTGTTTTTAAGAGAACTTCGTTTGCAAAACTAAATCAAATACAGCTCTCTACATGCTAGGAAGCCATGTGTCAGTTAAAACATAGCCACTCTCCATGCCCTCAGGCCTTTGCCGTTTGATACCCGCTCCTCTTGAGTATCTTTGCCCTCCCACTTTCTTCAACTGTTTTCCTATGCAGCTATCAGATCTCTACCATGGAAATACCAATCACAGGATCATAAGGAGCTTACTCTCTCTGGATGTCTTCAAAGAGGGCTCTGTCTTTTTCTCTGGATCCCTTCCAGCTGACGCAGCACAGGGCCACCCAAAGTACACGCGCAATACACGCTGACCAAAGAAAAGTATATATAAATATGAGATATGTGTTCAAGAGAAGATGGAAAATTTTAATAGGATGGTGAGATTTCCCATATGTTGTGATTATCTTTTTATATAACAGAAATATATTGATAATGGGTTTTTGGAGAAGAATGTTCCCATATTTTATATTAAAAGTCTATTTTGAATTTAAAATATCTATAGAACATTATATGTGGTATATTATAAAACCAAAAAAGGGCTGCTTACCCAGTCAACATCTCCCCACTCCTCTGATTTTTATATGCATTTCTCAGCTTCTATGTTCAGGACATTACATCAGCTATATATTTCTGTCATCACAGTGATTTGTGTTATTAAAAACATAATTCTTAGCTAAAACAAAGTTAAATTTGAGATAAACCATCATCCATATAATTTTGTAAGAACATTCTTATTTATAGGCTATACAGGTGAGTGTCCCTTATCCAAAATGCTTAGGACTAGAAGTATTTCAGATTTCAGAATTTTGGGGGGATTTTGTATTTGCATGTACATAATGAGATACCTTGGGGCTGAGACCTAAGTCTAACCATAAAATTTATTTGTTTCACATACATATTATACATATAGCCTGAAAATAATCTTTTGCATTTTAATAATTTTGTACATGAAACCAAGTTTGTATCTAGTACTTACATGTGGAATTTTCCACTTGTCATGTTTCAGATTGTTGGAGCACTTTTTAACAAAAACTTTCATTTAAAAAAGATTATTGCTTAGGAGTGGGGGCCAGGGAGGCAGTGTATAATGACACTATCTTTGTTTTGCTAGATAAGTAAGTAATTTATGTCTATTTGGAGACTTTATGGCAATAAATGATCTAGTAGGTTAGCCAATTTGGTTGCCCTGATGGCTATCTACCAAAAAGATTTAATTTGCCCCGTGTTCTACATGATTTAGTCATCAGGGACATTTGGGAGGATTTTTTCTATTGGGAGATATATTAGGTTAGGCTGTGATAGAAAATAGAAACAAACATGCAAAGGCTCAACAGATAAGAAGTTTATATCTTGCTTACATCACAGTCCAGGAAGGCTCAGATTTTGGAGCAATTAGGATTTCAGATTTTTAGATCAGGGATGCTAAACCTGTGACTGACACACAGCTTCCTGGCATGTAAAGAAGGGCCACAAGAAAGACATGGGGCATGGAACACCTCAGATGTGATGCCCAGGAGTTTAGATATTTTAAGGATTTTAAACATGAGAATATCTAAACACGATCAGATCAGTTTTAGAAATTTTCCTAGGAGAAGTGCAGAAGGTAAATTGGATTTAAGAAATGTGGAGCAATTAAATGAAATAAGTCAGGTACAGAAAGATAAATATTGCATGTTCTTAGTCATATGTGAAAGCTAAAAAAAAACCTTATAGAAGTAGAGAGTAGAATTGTGGTTATCAGAGGCTGGGAAGGGTAAGGGGAGATGTGTATAGGGAGAGGCTGGTTTACGGATACGAAGAAACAGCTAGATTAGAGGATAAGTTCTAGTGTTTTCTAGAACACATGTAAGGTGAATATGGTTAACAATAATTTAGTGTATAGGTTCTAAAAGCCAGAAGAGAGGATTTTGAATGTACACAACACAAGCAATGATAAACATTTGAGTTAATAAATATGCTAATAATCAAATATCCTGATTTTGTCACTATACATTGTATACATGTATTGATATATCACTCCGTACATATATATCACTCTGTATATATAGATCACATAAATATGCACAGTTATTCCATGTCAACTAAAAAGGGAAAAAATCCTTCCTTACAAAGATCACTGTTTGGTAAGCAGTTTAATTCACTGTAATAAAAGCATCTCACAATGCGAAAAAAAGTGGGGGGCGTATTTGGAGGTAATGAGAAGCTAACTGCTGTTTGCTATCATAGGAGAAAATATGAATCTGGACAGTGGCAGTGGAAATTGAGAGGAGGGAAAGGGATGAAGGGGTACTAAGTTTTCTCTAGACCTCAGTCCTTGCTATCTACTAAAAAAACCTATTCTTCACATTTTTCTCTATCTCACATTTATTATTCATTAATATTTCAGAAGTAATATGTTGGGACTAATATTAATGTATTAATACTTTGTGGCAGGCTCTGTAATAGTGTTTAATATGCTTCACCTATTTTAATTTTCACCTTTTTTTTTTTTTTTAGAAAAGCTTACTTTATAATAAGGAATCTGAGACCCAGAGTTGAAGCAAATTGCCCAAGGTTACACAGCTGGTCAGTAGCAGACACAAGATCCAAACCCGGTTTGTCTGAATCCAGTGCTGACGTCCTTGTGCCTCACCTATCCGCCACCGCCAAACTGCTTCCTGTTCTTCCAGTTGTCACTATCCTTGACTCATTGCACTTTGACCTCAATCAATCTTCTTATCTTTTCTTAAAAGAAAAACATGTTTGCTGTCTAATCTTTTCAACTATTATCCAGTCCATTTCTCTTTCCATGTAACCTTGGTCTTCAGTCCATGACAATATCTATCTTCTCACAGATCATTTCAGCTGTTCAGTTTTTGTGCCTTCTAAATTTACTCACACTAAATATTGTCCTGAAAAATTCAAAATATTTCTCCATCCTTTATTCCCTGGTGCTCACCTGAGTATTTTGCATTATTAACTACTTCTTTCTTCTTGAAAGTATTTCTCCCACAAGAGCTGCAAACCTGTGTTCTCCCAGCATGTTGCCATTTTACCCCAGCAGTTCCTTTTCTGTCTTTTTTGCCAGTTCCTTCATCAGAAACTTCTATGTTCTGTGCATGCCATTAGAGGAGCTGAAGTTTTGTTTGGTTCCTTGTTTTCTTTTTGTCTTCTACTATTATTCCCTTTCAATATGACCCCTCAATTTACTCTTCATATTACAATTTTAATTATCATCCTAGAGTACAAATATCTATTTTCCTGTTTTAATTTCTCAAGATTTTGTCAAGACCTAATTTCAAATTAATGTTAAAGACATTTGCTTAGCGGCTTACCAACAACGCGACAAGACACATTTTACACAGTCTCCTCATACACTCCTTCCCTGCTGAGCCAGCCACCTTTCCCAGTAAAGAAGGTAAAGAAGATATAAAAATGATTCATTCTGCTGTTAGTGTCAGTCTTTTGCTCAACTCCCATTTCCCCCAAGTATTTAGATTTTTTTTTTCTTTAAGAAAATAAATGCCAGCTGGGCATAGTGGCTCATGCCTGTAATCTTAGCACTCTTTGGGAGTCCAAGGTGGGAGGGTCGCTTGAGCCCTGGAGATTGAGGTTGCAGCGAGCTGGGATTATGCCACTGCATTCTAGCCAAACAGACAGAGCGAGATCTTGTCTCAAGATTAAAAAAAAAAAAAAAAAAAAAAAGCCAACCACTTACGTTTACAGAATTAAAATTGCAGCCTGCCGCTGACAACCTGAGAAAAAGAGACAAAGTCAGTGGAATAGCCCTTGTTATTTATGCAAGTCCGCATACAGCTAGCCCTGGAGTTCCTGGAGAGCAAGGAACCTCTGTCCCAAACTTGACTCAGAGCTTCCAAAGTTGGTGTATTTCAACAAGTAAGCATTCCATTGAGCCAACAATTTGGTAGGCTACCAGCGGCTCTGGAGCGCCTGTTGATGATGACAGTTTTTGTGGGGGCATCTCAATATGACACACAATTGACACTGACCAGAAACACAGCGCCAAGGACACTCTAGTCCTAGCCATGAAATGTTATGATTCCAGGTTTTCAGGACAGAGCAGAGTCCACTTCTCATCTCCAGTATCCGTAAAAATTTGTCCAAAATGTAACTAAGAAAACACAATGATATTAGTTACTTCTGCTCCCCGTCACCCTCAACCCCACTGATTACGAGATGGGAACTCACACAAAACTTTGAGACAAAAGAGCAACAAGTTTGCTTTATTGTTTGCTTGTTTTGTTCCGGAGTCGGGGCCGGGAGGGAGTGCAGGAGGAGGGATCCAAGCTTCCAAGCCTCTGCTCCGCTCTCCTTCTATCCAGTTGGTCTTTAGGGCACTGAAGGAAACTCTTCTTCAGAAATAACCTTTTAACTTTTCTTCTGTCAGCTGCCTGCCAATCACGGAGCCAGAGGCTGAGGGGAGGCTTTGAGCCGGTCTGCGAGTCCGGAAGGCAAAGATCGCGAAGCTTGGCGCTCCAGAACGCTCAGGGGGCAGGTGACACAGTCGTGGGTTCCCCGGCGGGCGCTGGCTTGACAGTTTCCTCCCCGCCCACTGGCAGGGGAGCGCCCCGCCGGGCTGCACGCGCGCGCGCGCAGGGGGGCATAAAAGCCGCGGCCGCGCGGAGACGCGGAGCTCGCCCACCGCCCGCCCCAGCAGTGGCTGCACCATGCACGTGAACGGCAAAGTGGCGCTGGTGACCGGCGCGGCTCAGGGCATAGGCAGAGCCTTTGCAGAGGCGCTGCTGCTTAAGGGCGCCAAGGTAAGCCCGGCGCCCAGCCGCGGAAATTTCTCTGCCCACACACTCCGAGACTCGCCCCGCCGCCCGAGGTGCACTGGCGGAGACAGGGAGGCCGCGCCCGGCGTGCCCACTTTGCCACTTCCAAAATTTGCTGAAGCTGAGGCTGTGAGCACACCTCAGAAGTGGCTGGGAGGGAACCCAAACCTAATTGCCAAATTTCAGGTCCAGGAGGGGAGCCTCTTGTGTGTTTATTGTTTGTCCGTCTATTTCGTGAGCTGCGCAGGCCCGCGATTCCTCTCCTCTTGTCTATAGGTAGCGCTGGTGGATTGGAATCTTGAAGCAGGTGTACAGTGTAAAGCTGCCCTGGATGAGCAGTTTGAACCTCAGAAGACTCTGTTCATCCAGTGCGATGTGGCTGACCAGCAACAACTGAGAGGTAAGACAGGGGAATCAATCTGTCAACTGGGAACGTGCTCTCAACAAGCAACAACCTGAAGGCAGCCCGGCCAGGGGGCCCTGGGTGCCGCCTCCGCTGCCTCCTCGAGAGCAGCTACCTTGAAGCTCCAAAAGACAGTTTGGACTGATACGTTTCCTTCTGACAGCCCAATAGCTGTAAAACCGAAAGAAAGGCAAGACTGCTGGAGAAATCCTTTTATTGTAGTCATTTGGCAGCATTAATGTAATCAAAATTCCTTTATGTATTCAAAGACAGTGCTGCTGCAGTAATTATTAAATGATTGAAATTGCAGACAAAACTTGGAAAATTAAAGTAGGTTAAGTAAGGTACTGTTGACAAACAACTTCTCCCAGAAAGCTGGAGTCCAATGACAATCAAATGTGGCAGTGTTTTTCGTTTAAACATATCAGAATACAAGTTCAAGGAGCATCATCACAGAAGTGCTAGATGCTTTTGACCATATGTTTTCTCCGGCTTTTTCCCCAATGAGACAGTACTTTAAAATAATAATAATAGTAATCATAATAAAGTATACAATGTTAGAATTGTAGTAGAAACATCTCTATCAGCCTTTCCTCAATGCTTTCCTGTTTCCGGCTACTCACTTAAAATAGACCAATCTACTTGTGAAGTATCAGGGACAATATTGGCATACACAATAAACAGCTTTGATTATAAAGCTGTTTTTTTTTTTTTTGTACATCTATTGGAGAACTTGAGAGTGCCCCAATAAACTTACAGGAAACAAAAATTCTGGAGAAAAACTAGAAAAGTAAAATATTTGTATTTCACAAAGTTTTATTCAAAGAGACTGAGTAAATTGTAAGGCACTTTTTAATCAAGGGGTCTGAAAACTTTTGCAAATCTTATTCCAGTGCTCCTGTTCTTAAAGGGACATCAAATGTACATTTATTTTAAAATTTTAAAATATTCTGTAAGAGAATGAAAATGAACTGACGTGTTAGAAGGAAGTGGTGTACCAACAGTTAAGAGAAATTGTAAAGGAAATTACATAACTGAAATCTGAAAATGCTAATAAAGACCTATAACACAGATGACAAGCATGAGCAGAACAGATTTGTAAACACAATGCAAGAGGAACATATTGTACCAGAGGACAATTATGTTGATTGCACATGATATTTTGGATCAAGGATAGAGCCAGGTCAGATCTCAACATTCATGCTGATGGCATAAGGAACAGTATAAACAATCTGAAAGCCATTTCTGTCTCAATTTATATAGTTTCATAAATGACATTTAACTACAATTGTTTTTTTCCCAGTATTTAAAATTAATACCTTGGCTATAAACTCATTCCTTAAGGATAAATGATTGTGGAGGAGGAAAAATACTCAGACACATAAGTGACCCGGGAAGGCATGTTGGTCATGAGAAATCCACATGTTGTCTGGACATGAGCATTTGCTTGCATCTAAAGGAAACATGACATTGATTCTTCCAGTTTCAGGATTTAATGTTGCCTATAACTTTTAAAATTGTTTAGACAGTGTGGAAATTATAAAAATATGAGATGAAAAGTTTCTTGGAGATAATCTAAACATAACTTATTTTCCAAATGAACAAATCACAGCCAAGAGAGTTTAGGTAAGTTACAAAGAGTACCATAGCATATAAATGTCAGCAAGAGGTAGACTGTCTGTTGCTTGAGCCTGGAATTCAATGGGATGTCAGAAAACAAGATGGTATACTATACATTGGTAAGGGCAGAGTATAAGGAATACGGTGGAGAACAGAATGAGGAAAGAAAATTAAAGCGGCAATTAGACATACATATTTAACACCCTCATTTTCCAAAAGGTGAAGGTTGTTTCTGTGGAGTTATGAAGAGTTAGAACATACTCAGAATGGAAGGAGAAAAAAAAAATACTGGGGGACATTTTCTGGACCCAATTTGAGATTTTAAGAAACATTTTTAAGATTCCATGAAAAAAGGCCGGGTGCAGTGGCTTCACGCTTGTAATCCCAGCAGTTTGGGAGGCCGAGGCGGGCGGATCACGAGGTCAGGAGATCGAGACTTTCACTCGCGTCTGTGTGAAGAGACCACCAAACAGGCTTTGTGTGAGCAACAAGGCTGTTTATTTCACCTGGGTGCAGGCTGGCTGAGTCGGAAAAGAGAGTCAGCAAAGGGAAATAGGGGTGGGGCTATTTTATAAGATTTGGGTAGGTAAAGGAAAAAGGGGGGTTGCCCGCTGGTGGGCAGCAGTGGGGGTCACAAGGTGCTCAGTGGTGGAGCTTTTTGAGCCAGGATGAGCCAGGAGATGGAATTTCACAAGGTAATGTCATCAGTTAAGGCAAGGACCGGCCATTTTCACTTCTTTTGTGGTGGAATGTCATCAGTTAAGGCAGGAACAGGCCATTTAAGTATCACTACTTTTGTGATTCTTCAGTTACTTCAGGCCATGTGGATGTATATGTGCAGGTCACAGGGGATATAATGGCTTAGCTTGGGCTCAGAGGCCTGACAGAGATCATCCTGGCTAACACGGTGAAACCCCGTCTCTACTAAAAATACAAAAAATTAGCCGGGCGTGGTGGTGGGCGCCTGTAGTCCCAGCTACTCTGGAGGCTGAGGCAGGAGAATGGCGTGAACCCGGGAGGTGGAGCTTGCAGTGAGCTGAGATCAGGCCACTGCACTCCAGCCTGGGGGACAGAACGAGGCTCCGACTCAAAAAAAAAAAAATCCATGAAAAATAAACAGTTTGTGTTTGTTGTTCTTCCATTCCCGTACAGTGAGTGTAAAAGGTACATATTAGGAAATCTTGAAAATGTTTTTAGTAAACAACTAGCATAGTAATTTATCTATATGGCAACTGATTAATCCATGTCTTCCCCAATATGTCTGGTGGTTGTTAATGATTATATGAATTTATTTCAATCAAAATAAAGCTTATGCTGACCTACTTTTTTTAAGGACTTGATATGTTGGTCTGGACACCTGAGAATATATTTCCGTCATGTAGAAAAACAACCACAATTTTTATCCATAGTGTAAAATAATAGAAGTAGAATGAATGATCAAAGGCCCGGGGAAACAGTTTAAATCAATTAGAACTCTGTCAAAGGCTGCTTTGAGAAACAATAGACATGTGATTGGACAGTGTAATGAAAGACATTCAGGCCTCAGAATCCATGCCAACTTTATCCTGTTTGAACATAGTTTTATACAAACTAGTAATCCTAGTAATCTGAAGTAGTAATAATAGTGAGAAAGAAGAAGGAAATAGTAAACATCGAAGTTTCAGTAATCAAATAAAATCAACTGAATGAAAAGTAGACTTTTACTAAGATATAAAAACTCCCCCAAACATGCATAATAGATCTGAATACACAAGAATATTTGTATTAACATAACACTTTATGAATTTAATATGGCTTATGGAAAAGGATGTTTACCAATAGTCTAAGCTACAGAGCTTCAGTAGCTTCTCAGGGACTAAGAGACATTGCTTGCTCTAACTGACTTCAACGAGCTCTTAGCTTAGGATCTTAGCTCAGTTCTCTAAAATGTACCCCATTAAGTTACTGCTTATAGAACTTCAATGTGCATACAAATCATGTAAGAATATGTTAAAGTTAAGATTCTTATTCAGTTAGTCTGTGGTGTCTGCAAAATTCTGCATTCTTACCAAGCTGCCAGATTGATGCTTCTAGTCCACAAACCACACATTGAGAAACAAGGAATTAATTACACTCAGCCCATGAGTTTAGTAACTTTCACTATGAGGGTAAATAAACTGAAATTCCTCTCATGGCATAGGACATGATTTAAATGTATACATGGAAAATAAGAATGTATCACTAATATCTTGTTTTATAATTAGACACTTTTAGAAAAGTTGTAGACCACTTTGGAAGACTGGACATTTTGGTCAATAATGCTGGAGTGAATAATGAGAAAAACTGGGAAAAAACTCTGCAAATTAATTTGGTGAGTTATCTTAGCTATATTTCTTGTCTATAATTATTTAATAACATGATGTTTGTAAAGAAAAAAAGGTTCTTGGAGTCATGGAAACAAAACAATGACCTACAATATTGAAAAAGGGAAGTTACAGAAAGCTGGATAAAAGCATTTTCTTTTATAAAAAGGAAGACATTTAATTATGAAAGTAAGTCTATCTTAAAATATTAGAAAGAAGCATGAATAAAATATAAATGATTGCTTAACTCAGGGATTGGCAGACTATGACCCACAGGCCAAAATAGCCTGCCAACTCTTTTGGTATGACCTGCAAGCTAAAAATACCATTTTACATTTCTAAATGGTGGATAAATTCAAAAGAAGAATAATATGATTATATGAAATTCAACTTTCAGTGTCCATAAAGTTTTATTGGAACACAGCCACAGTCATTCATTTAAGAATTGTCATTGGCTATTTTCATGCTACAGGGGCAAAGTTTAATATTTGTAAAAGATCCTGTGGCATTCAATGACTAAAATATTTACAATCTGGCCCTTTACAGAAAAAGCTCGTCAACCGCTGACTTATTTATTTAAAAGTAAATCTTAATTAAATGCTAGAATGTAACAGAAAACAAAATTAAAGTGACAATCGAACTTTGTAATTAGTAGGACTTTTTATCCTGAAAGTTCGTGGTTCGTGTGTGTGTGTGATTTCCATAATGTTTGATAATGACTTAGCTCTTAAAAATGGTAGAATTAAGAAATAAAATTTTCTCTTTTATCCATTAAGTCATGAGTTTATGGGTTACCTCATTCTATAAATACCCTTGACATAAGATATTGGAGTTTAGTAAAAATCAAACGTTAACTAAAACTAAATGTCAAATAGGCTGTGCCTGGGGTCTCCCTGACCTTGCTAAGGTCATTCTCACCAATCTTACAAGGCAGGTAATTGTAGAGTACAATTTGGCCACTGTGTATGTATAAAGGTACAGGGAGTGACCTCCTACTTCATGATATCCTCCTAGTAGATTATAAACTCCATAAAAACAAGAACTGGGTTGTGTTTTTCTTTGTCTCTCTCTCAGTAATCAACATAATATCTTGAAGATAGTGCTTAGTCAATACATTTTTTACTTAAATTGAAATGCCCATGAGTAATTACCTAACTGCTATAATAACTTGATAGAGGCAATGAGGATGACACTTCTTCACAAAAGAGCCAAATCTGTAAGTCCTACCTTGAGAAGAGTACAAAATTGCTCCCTAAACTTGACAGATAACTAAAATACAGTTTTCTTTTAGTTTTTTAAATTTTTCAATTATTTTTGTTGGCTTTTCTTTTCCAACTTTTATTTTAGGTTCAGGGTGTACATGTGCAGATTTGTTACCTGAGTAAATCGTGTGTCACTGGGGTTTGGTGTACAGATGATTTCATCACCCAGATAGTGGTCATAGCAACCCATAGATAGTTTTCCCACTCTCACCCTTCTCCCACCCTTCATCCTCAAGTAGACCTTGGGGACTATTGTTCCCCTTTGTATCCATATGTGCTTAATGTTTTGTTCCTGTTTGTAAGTGAGAACATGAGGTATTTGATTTTCTGTTCCTGCATTAATTTGCTTAGGATAATGCTCTCCAGCTGCATCCATGTTGCTGCAACCAACATGATTTCCTTTTTTATGGGTGTGTGGTGTTTCATGCTGTATACCTACCCGTATTCTTTATCCAGTCCCCCGTTGATGGGCATCTAGGTTGATTCCGTCTTTGCTATTGTGAATAGTGTTGCGATGACCCTATTAGTGCTGTGTCTTTCTTGGTAGAATGATTTATGTTCCTTTGGGTATATACCCAGTAATGGGGTTGCTGGGTTGAATGGTAGTTCTGTTTTAAGTTCTTCGAGAAAAGCTCCAAAATGCTTTCCATGGTGTCTGACTAGTTTACTTTCTTACCAGCAGCATATAAGTGTTCCCTTTTCTCTACAGCCTCGCCAAGCCAACATCCATTATTTATTTATTTTTTACTTCTTAATGATAGCCATTCTGATCGCTGTGAAATTGTATTTCATTGTGGTTCTGATTTGCATTTCTCTGATGATTAGTGATATTGAGCATTTTTTATGTTTGTTGGCCATGTGTCTGTCCTCTTCTGAGAAGTATTCACAGAAGTCTCTTTATGTCCTTTGCCCTTTTTTTAATGGGGTTGTTTGGTTTTTGCTTGTTGATTTGCTCAAGTTCCTTATATAATCTGTATATTAGACCTTTGTCAGATCCATAGTTTGCAAATATTTTCTCCAGTTCTGTAGGTTATCTGCTTACTGCTTTGATAGTTTCTTTTGCTGTGCAGAAGCTCTTTAGTTTAATTAGGTCCCATCTATTTTTGGTTTTGTTGCAATTGCTTTTGGAGACTTCATCATGAGATCTTTGCCATGGCATGTCTTCAGAATGGGGTGCTTTGTGTTTTCTTCTAGAATTTGTATAGTTTTAGGTTTTACATATGGTGTAAGGAAGGGGTCCAGTTTCAATCTTCTGCATATGGCTACCTGGTTATCCCAGCACAATTTATTGAATAGTGCATCCTTTCCCCATGCTCGTTTTTGTCAATTTTGTCAAAGATCAGATGATTGTAGGTGTACAGCCTTATTTCTGGCTTCTCCATGCTGTTCCATTGGTCTATATATCTGTTTTTGTACCAGTACCGTGCTGTTTGGGTTACTGTAGCCTTGTATAGTTTGAAGTCGAATAGTGTGATGCCTCCAGCTTTGTTCATTTTACTTAGAATTGCTTTGACTATTCTGACTCTTTTTGGATTCCATATGAATTTGAAAATTGTTTTTTTTAATTCTGTGGAAATGATGATGGTAGTTTGATAGGAATAGCATTGAATCTGTAAATTGCTTTGAGCAGTATGGCCATTTTAACAATATTGATTCTTCCTATCCATGAACATGGAATGTGTTTTCATTTAATAATGACATCTCTGATTCCTTTCAGTAGTGTTTTACAATTCTCATTGTAGAGATCTTTCACCTTGCTGGTGAGCTGTATTCATAGGTATTTTATTCTTTTTGTGGTTGTTGTAAATGGGATTGCATTCTTGATTTGCCTCTTAGCTTGGACATTATTGGTGTTTGGAAACATTACTGATTTTTGTACATTGGTTATGTATCCTGAAACGTAACTTAAATTGTTTATCAGTTCTAGGAAACTTTGGGCAGAGACTATGGTGTTTTCTATGTATAGAATCATACCGTTTGCAAAAAAAGATAGTTTGACTTCCTCTCTTCTTATTTAGATGCCCTTTATTCCTTTCTCTTGCCAGATTGCTCTGGCTTGGATTTCCAGTACTATGTTGAATATGAGTGGTGAGAGTGGGTATCCTTGTCTTGTTTCAGCTCTCAAGGCGAATGCTTCCAGCTTTTTCCCACTCAGTAAGATGTTTGCTTTATGTTACTTCGATGCCTATGTTGTTGAGGATTTTTTAACATGAAAAGATGTTGAATTTTACCTAAAATCTTTTAATTAAGAAGGAAGGTTCTATTTTACAGTATGGATACCCTCCTTGCAGTTCTTTTAAAACTTTTTCTCCAGTGTACCTCTTTCATTATATTTGAAAATAACTTGAAACTGTCAAGCTTCCCTCAAAATCTTTTTGGGATTCTAATTGCAAATATACATACATGTGTTTGGAGAGACCTGATAGCTGATTTTCCTGAGTTGAGACAGTTCTGTGATCTTCTTCTACTTTAGGGTAGAAATGTATTGAAATGAGATATTCTGTCTGTGAATCATACTTACATCTCTTGGCTAAATCTTCCATTATTATGATATATGAATGTTTAATATACCATTGAATTTTTTTAATTCCTAATTTAGTATTTGTGCTTCTGTACTTATAAATTGTACTATCCTTAATTTTCTTTTCTTATAATGTTCTTATTTGGTTTGGGTGTCATCTATATCCTGGCTTCCTTTTATGTCCTTGATCTGTTCATTTCTCAACAGAGGCATTCTTATCTCAAATGGCAAATGGCAGTCTGCCTACCTCTTTTAGTAATTCTGTAAGTTTAGACTCTATATATTATAAATCTATAATATTCAGAGCATAAGTTGCTAATGATTGCAATTTATTGATTTTTAAATTTTTTTTAAAGTTAAACTTCTGATTTGCTGTCTGATGATTTTTTAATCTATTCTATATTTTCAGATATAAAATTAGTACCCTATCATTTTCTTTGGATTCACATTCACCTACCTTTTTCCATTACTTTATTTTAAAAATATAAGCAACCTTTTATGTTAAATTTGTTGTTGCTGATGGTTTATTGTGAGATCTTAGAATCCTCTAATCTGTAGTTAGACACAACTGGGAACATCTGCCTTTTTAATATTTGTGAGTTTAAGCCATTTATTTTTACTCTTCCGTTTTATACTTTAATATTTACTGTTTTCTTTTTGTTTTTATTCTTTTTCTATTCCTTCCCTAAATGCATTATATAGCTTTAATTTTCTTATGCTGGTAAAAAAAAAAAATATGCATTTTATATTTACTCTTTGGAGGATACCCCTGACTTATTAAGAGTTGTATTTCATTACATCTTTTGGTAGCCTGATAAAACAAAAATTTTGAAAATATGGCTAATTGGGAACTGCAAGGATTTTTAAGAATATAGACTCATGCCACTTTCCAAAACCACATTAAATGACGAGATTTTCTTTGAACCAGGCTATCCCAGTGAAAAAGCACAAATTGCACAACAGCTTTCTCTCTTTAACATTACTACTGATATTTGTAATAGCTTCATCGGTAATATCTACAGATATTTTTACAGATAAAATTAATAGAGTATATAGTTCCTGTATTTGGTGACTTCCTAATGGACACTTGCTGTGTCTTTTCTCTGAAAAATCAGCTGTCAGAAACAGTGTGCAATGATTACAGCTAACGTAAAGAAACATGGAAATATTGAGGCAAATATTACGAAGTTACAGAATTCGACTGATGTCTTCATCCAGCTGAGAGGGCATGTTTGCTTTAATGTAGCCTGTGTGAATACCTGCTCTGAGCTGGAAAGTGCCAATATCATGGGCAAATAGGAAATTCTGGAAGACCAGGGGAATTTTATTGTGATCCTTTAGTTATAACTAACAGGCCTAGTTCCTTCTCCATTGAAATTTATCCAGCCTTTATTTTTCTTGGGACTCTGCTGACATAGGCCACTTTTCAGCTTCACATCAGGAACTGATGATATATGTTTACATAAAGAAAACACCATGGAACCTTTGTTACCAATGTATTACTTAAAAATATGTTACTTCCCCTCCTACCTAAACCCGTTGCAAGAGTAGAATCTGACCAATAATTTAACTTCCAACTTGATTATCTCTGTTACTGTAATGCAAATATTTGTGTGTAGTTTATATAACTCTTTTTTGAAACTCTGCTCTGGATTTAATTTGCCTCCTTGGGTCTTATACAATTCCATGTTTGTTCTTTTGCATGTTTTTCTGTATTACTGCTCATGTCAGAGAGTAACCTCTTAAAAGACTTTACCATATATCTCTCCTTCTTCTAAAATATTATACAACATATTTATACCATTTTCATAGGGCTTACCAGTTTTTTAATTTTATTAGAATTATTTAAATATATACATAATTCATGCTATTCATGCTAGTAAACCACAAGTTCTTTCAAGGCAGAAAACTATTGTCTTGTGTCCTTACAGATGTTAGTTAATAGTTACTGGGTCACCTGCCATTACCTGTATATGATATTTTGCATACATGAGAGTATTCACTTCTATGTCTCAGTACATTGCTTTCCAAATACATTAGTTCTTCCAAACGGTATCATCTGTCCTTCTACTTTTACTCCTTATCAAATTTACTCCTTACTTTTCACTTTGCTGATCTCATCCTTCTTCCCACTAAACCTTTTCCCAGTCTTTGGTTTCCATTAGGCTATTTTATACTTCCTCCTTAGTCTGAAGCCAACAACAGCAGCATTATGTATTGCTGTTCAGAACACAGAAGAAATGTTCAGCAGGCCGGGAGCGGTGACTCACGCCTGTAATCCCAGCACTTTGGGAGACCGAGGCGGGCGGATCACAAGGTCAGGAGATTGAGACCATCCTGGCTAACACGATGAAACCCCGTCTCTACTAAAAATACAAAAATTTAGCCGGGCGTGGTGGCGGACGCCTGTAGTCCCAGTTATTCAGGAGGCTGAGGCAGGCGAATGGCGTGAACCCGGGAGGCGGAGCTTGCAGTGAGCCGAGATTGCGCCACTGCACTCCAGCCTGGGCGACAGAGCGAGACTCTGTCTCAAAAACAAAATAAAATTAAAAAAAAGAAATGTTCAGGAAAGAATGAGTCTTTGCAAAACTATCAACACTCATGCTGGCAATTGGGCAGAGGTAAACTTAACTTTGAATATTGATTGGAATGGTAATTCTGTCATGTAGTTTTGTAACTTTCTGAAGTTTCTGTAAACCTAAATATGTTCATCCCCACTGATGTGGAACTTACAGTCTAATTTTGACATTTAACTAATATATGTTGAATTCCTTAACCCATTTATGCCAGAGGTTGCAATATTTTGAATTTTTGCATGAGTTAAAAATTAGACCTTGGCAATGACCTTGAACAGTAGGATATAAATAACTCTCACGTGCTTAGTATTCCAATAATGGAACACTAGGCATAAGTGGGTCAATATATTCAAATAAGATTTAAACAAAATAAATGAATGTTGCTAGTCATTTTTTTTTTTTTTCTGAAATGCACTTATTGACTAAAGATTTGCCCTGGGAAATACATTTCTTTGGGATTAGTCAAAATTAGAATCCAGTCTTGACTCTATAATTTATAAACTGTTATTTTATTTCTCTCATATTGAGCTTCCCAGGGAGGAAGGTAAACTCCCTATCTCTAAGGACTGTTACGCTTAAATAAACCATAGTTTATGTGAATATCCAGCACAGTGCCACTGCATAGAATTTATTCAATAAATTACACTTCCCTTCCAGAGCATCAAAATCTACATTTTCTGGCCAGGCACGGTGGCTCAGGCCTGTAATCCCAGCACTTTGGGAGGCTGAGGTGGGCGGATTAGTTGAGGTCAGGAGTTCGAGACCAGCCTGGCCAACATGGTGAAATATATAATATATAGACACACGTGCACATGCGTATATAATCTAGAATAAGGACTACGTTGTTATAGTAAAGGAGGAAAAGTGAAAAATGTCATTTCTACACAGCCAAAGCATTAGACCCTGTCTTGTAGATTCATCCTTTGAACTCTTTCATTTGAAAAATTACCCAGTTCTTAACCTGATAATGGATGAGAAAAATAATCCCTTGCCTTTCTCCACCAAAGACCTAAAGATAAATATTGCTTTTCTAAAAAATTAAAAATAAATCTTAAAAAATCTCAAATTTTCTATCTGGCTTCATCTTGTTCATGTCGAAAACACAACAGTGGGGTGTCAGCAAAGCTGTAATACCTGAGAATAAAAGCGTAGTGCCAATACGCATGAACAGAAATTCTGTTCAGACATGCTGAAGCCTTCTGCAGAAACTAACAGAATCCAACTGGCTTCATTAATTTCAGCCATCTACATCTTTTTCTTCTTATATAAACAATTAATGTTTTGGTTTTCCTTTCTAAAGAAAATCATGTGGAGATTTTATTCATTCTCCCTAAGCCTACTTACTGTCAAATTGACACATGGCTTAAGTGAATAGAACCTCCAATTTCCTTTTTTGTTCAAGAGCTACTGTTAGGTAGGAGAAGTATATCTGAATCCTTGCAAAAAAAAGAAAACTTCAAAAGGAAATTTTTAAGAGAAAAAGAAGGTAAGTACATGTGTAACCTCCGTTTCAGACGCATTACCTATTGTATCGTTTTCTTTGCAGTATTGTAAAGCATGAAAAAAATAGGAATTAAGATGTCAAAAAAGAATTTTCCTTTTTTAAAAGTCTGAGCTGGAAGGGATAGGAATTCTTAAATCCAAAAGGAAAAGTAAGGTTTGAAATATCAATTTGATCACACAGGTTTTTTTTTTTCTTTTTTTTTTTTGGTAGTGATTTGAACAAAAACAGGAAAAGTGCCTACACATGGATATAAGTGGCAAAACAGTCAACTATCAAAAGGATAGCTGTAAGCAGTGATTAATAAAATTTAGTTATAGACATTACTAAAGACCAGATGTCCAGCTAACTGACAATCACCACTTAAACTGGATAAAACATTTATGTGATTTCACACAACACGGAGTTGAGGATTGCTTGATCTTACAGGTCAATGATATCATCGGGCCCAGGGTTGTGTCATCCCTCCCACCGACCATTCTTTATGTTGGTTTCATCTTCAGGATACTAGGAAATAGGGGTTGTCCATTTAAGTTACGACATTCATATAAAGCAGGCAATGTAACCATTTCTTCAGGTTTTCTTAAGAGCAACAAAAAATTTCTCAGCAGCATCCATCCTGTTCCCATCTCTAGCTGATTGCCTCCCAGGTCTCACTGACCAAAACTGGGTCACCTGCTGGCTCTGAAACCAGCCACTGTCAAGGAGAATGGGATTTCCATGACTGAATTAAATTAATTAATCAGTGTCTACATTAAATTTGGGGAGATCACCTTCCTCGTATTATATGGAGAGGAGGTAGATACAGGAGCAAAATAGAACTTTTATTAGAAAGAAAAAAGGAGAAAATAAAACCTCTAGGAAATCAAGAGTAAGCATTATTCTATATTCCAAGATCCAAGAGAATTAAACAGAGTAGTTAAGTGTGGAATACTGAGACATGAGAACCATATGCAGAGAAGAAGGGTAAATAAATTTTGCATCCAACATTTAGAAAACAAAAAGAATATATGGAATTATTGAAGATGTTGAGAATTGAGTGAAAGTAATAGACATTTTTGGAATACAACCTGTAGCATAAAATCTCATATTGGGCAACTAAGTGAAGTTTTGCAGATATATGACAAGCTCCACAATGATTAGGCAAACCCAAAGAATCCAGGTTTAATGACTAACTTTAAAAACAAAGCTCTTTTAAAACCTTTCATTGATAATATTTGCAGAAATCTCCCTAGGTATCTGGAATAGCTATAAAAACTTTGGTGTGTGAAAATATGGGAAAGGATAATGACTGTATTCCTTTTCTCACTTATGCCTCTGGATTAGGTTTCTGTTATCAGTGGAACCTATCTTGGTTTGGATTACATGAGTAAGCAAAATGGAGGTGAAGGCGGCATCATTATCAATATGTCATCTTTAGCAGGTAAGGGCAATTATTACATTAAATGTAACATTTTCTTACTGGTAATTTGGACCACAAAAACAAATCTTCAAAGCATATTTATTATCAGCTCAAGTTGGAAATTAAAAATCTGATCGTTTTATAGTTCCATGGAATTTTCTATTGCAAAATATCAAAAGTTTGAAAAATATGTTTATTTCTCTTAATTTAACTTGTGGCTTTTAAAGTTATCTTACTGCAGTAATATTTGAAAAAATATATATAATTTTTTTTTAGAGCCAATATTTTTCAAAGGTTGTGGTGAGACTCCTAAGCAATAATGCATGTGAAAGCACCTTTGGCAAAGTAAAAAGCACTAAAGTGAAGTTAAGATGTCTCTGCTCCCATGTGATTTTAGTAACAGTGTGTAATTTTAAAATATGGCATATATCATAGTTAAGATATGTTAAACTAATAAATAAAGCCAAACTTACATGTAGTATAAGCACATTCCTTAACTCGTACATCAGTCTGAGGCAAGATCCTTGTTGCAGGTATCTCTTCTGTATGCAGACATTTGAAAACCTGGCTGGCAGAAGTTCTGCCGTCTTCAGCAGGGAGCTCCCAGGGTTACTTTAGAACTGCTGGATTCCTTTTTCTCTAGCAGAAAGAGAAGAAGAACATGGAGGAGGCATGGCTACTCTTTTAAGAACCCCAGCCCAGTAATGGCAGACCTTCTGCTCACATTTCAGTATAGAACTTGAGCTCATGTTTCACCTAACTGTAAGCGAGTCTGTCTGGGAAATGCAGTCTAGCTGTGTGCCTAAGAGAAGAATGGATTTCAGAGGGCAGCTAATCATCTTTTCCACAGCATGCAATCCTAAACTATAGTATTTTCAGAGTAGTATGATTTAGTATCAGCTGATATCTTATCCTTCAATACTAGCCTTAAACCTCTGACTGGACTTTTTGGAGCAACTGAGTCAAGTGACTTTACTTTTTAAAACTCTAGGAAAAAATCATCAATGATTCTTGAATAGTTCAAGTGAAATTGTGAAGTTTAAGAAGTCTGATCAACATGGACAGCAAATCTAAGCTATCTTGTCCAAAAAAGTGAGACTTTAAAAAATTATCTGTTTGGTTTTAGTTAATGTGGTGATTTCAGAATAGAAATTTCAGCCCCACACCCCACCCCAACCTTGGCATCTCAGCTCCAGTGATTTGGGAAGTTGGGTTTGGAGGTACCTGTGATTGAACCTCTGTCTGATTCTCAGCATTTGTCTCATCCCTCTAGGAATGATTATCAAATGGTTCTTTTATATCACTGTAAAGCTGCCACCAGAGGAGATTTAGAAATCTCCTTTAGAAGTTCTCAAAAATAGACTAGCATCTCATTTTCTGGGTCGCTTAAAGTCAAAATCATGTCCCTAAAGCTATTACAAACCTATTTCTATAAATTTTTCAGGGTAATCAGATTCTTTTTCCTAGTGGTACAACTACTTATAAATTATAACATTTTAATCCTAATGATACTTTAAAAGGTGAGCGCACGGGCAATATTTGAAAGGGGTATGTGTTCCAGAGAGGGCCAAATGTTAAGCTGTGGGAGACTGAAACCCTAAAAGCAAATTGGCAAAGCTAAATCTATACTATTTTGAAATAAAATCATAAGAAAAAAACAAGTGACTGGAGAATTAAAAAGAGATATTTAGTATTTTCTTAAAAGTTTAAATATTTAAAAACCTGGGGCTGTGATCAAGATTGATAATTCTCTGTATTCTTTCATAAAGCTAAGAGGGTCAGCAAAGCTTGGAGTACCATGAATATTCTACAAGGAGCCCCTGGCCTTTATGTCACTGGAGGCACTGATTTCATTCTTTGGAAGGCTGAAAGCCTCAGAGTTGGATCAATTTAGGACGATCTGGGAGAAATTCTTTACCATAAGAGGGTGCTTCCTTGCCCCAAAGAGCATGAATAAAGAAATGCAATGTAGAATTACTGCCTTTTATCTGTTTAAAATATTCAAATATATAATATCATTTATTGAGCACTGTTTACCTGATATCATTTTAAACACTGTACATTAACTCATTTAATCCTCACAACAACCCTGTGAGGTAAACTCTATATAATTTCCATTTTGAAAATGAGGAAACTAAGGCAGGAGAAGTGTGAAATATCTTGCCTAAGCTTATACATCAAGTAAGCCTCAGAGCTGGAATTCACATGCAAATAGCCTGGTACAAGTCTTCTTAGAATTTTAACCACTAGATTATTTATCTATCTCTAATATCTATGCATTTATTTGTTAATCTACCTGTATTTATCCCAGCCTAACAGAAAAGTAAAAGCAACTGAAATCGTTTCAATTGAATAAACCCTTGCAATTTGCTAGTCTCTTCAGGCTTCATGGGCACAGCTCTAATCTCATGGCTGCATTACTAAACCTTCAGTGAAATCTTAAGCTTTTGCCCCATTTGATACTTCCAGTAAAGTCCTAAAAATATCTGGGGAGCTTACCAGTGTCACAAGTCAAAACATGCCATTGAGCAGAGCAGTTTAAGGCTTGCAATTTGATGTCCACTTTGCTTTGTTGGCTAGGAGCTTGCTTTGTCATCCCGCTCACCGCCACCTCCCGCCAACCCCAGGTGTTAATCCTCTTTTTACCTATGTCAGATACAACATTTGCAATCATGTGTGGGCATTTCTCTATTCATGCAGATAAAACGATGACTTGATATAAATTCAGTGATAAGATTGCTTTGGTTTTAAATTACTTTCCTGGCACTGGTACAATTTAATGAATAATATTGCATTACAAACTGCTTCTCCCTCTGATTTTCCTCCACATGTACAAGGCAACACTATGTAAAATGGTTAAATAGCTTAAGTTTGTCATTGTTCCCTCTGCTTGGCTTACTACTCTCTCCATTTTCAGAAGTTGTCCTTGGCACCCTCTCTTCGTAATTCCAGCCTCCGCACCTCTTGTGTTTATACTGTTTCCTCGTTGCCACTGGCCAATGTGGACAGTCTACTTCCTTTCCCATCCAGGGCTCCCACTAACATGCCTTCAACTCACAAAGTCTTAAAATGAATTGCCTTGTATTTTATCCACCAACGGAGAGCCTCCAATTCTTCCCATAATGAAATTAGTTTGATAAAAATTCAGGATATTGTAATAATGGGAGAAGGCAAAAGAGGACCCCTCCGTCTTCATCATTCCCTCAGAAATGGTATCAACAATTTTATGCCCTTGAGTCATAGCATGTAGGAAGAGGTGAGAGCACAAAAATAATCTTTAAGGAGTTAACAGAGTACTTCTAATATTTGCCTACTCTGTGTTTTCCAAACCTTGCTTCCTCACAGATTTTTTTTTCCTGTTTTTCTCTGTACTGCTTACTCTATTGAAGGAATGGCTGTGGGTAATATTCAGTATTCAACTCAACAGGGCCTATCCTCATGATCTCTAGCGTGGATACAGTGGAGTCCTTCACTGTCACAGTAAAACCTTAAGTTGGCACACTGGTTTGAGTAGAGAAGTTAATGAGTAATGACCACTGACGCAGACAGAGTATCAAATGCAATTAATAGGTTTAATAAACAGGAGTAGTTAAGTAGACAATGATTCCTCAGCAGATTATGGGATGGGTATGCTCTAGTCTGGAGTTCCACAAGTTGTTCTGAGTGTGGTTAACCCACATGGACTTTTCTACACGAGTTTTTATTTATAAACATAATATACAAACAGACACTAATTTTGCCACATCCATCCTGAACTATTAAAACAAAGTTGGAAGGAACAATAGAAGAACGAAGTCTGGTTTAATGCAGATAATCAAACAGCTATGCTCCATTAAAACATCTCATGAGTCAAATGCACTCCGTTTGTTTGTTTGTTTGTTTGTTTGTTTGTTTGTTTGTTTTGAGACAGAGTTTCACTCGTGTCACCCAGGCTGGAGTGCAATGGCGCGATCTCGGCTCACTACAACCAACACCTCTCAGGTTAAAGCAATTCTCCTGCCTCAGCCTCCCCAGTAGCTGGGATTACAGGTGCACACCACCACGTCTGGCTTTTTTTTTTTTTGTATTTTTAGTAGAAACGGGATTTCATCATGCTAGCCAGGCTGGTATCGAACTCCTGACCTCAGGTGATCTGCCTGCCTCAGCCTCCCGAAGTGCTGGGATTACAGGCGCAGTTCTTAAGTATTTAATTGCTTCAGATTGTGGGAAAGGAAAAGTTATTGTCACAGGAAAAGGAGCCTACCTACCAACCCTGCTACATATTCAGTTAGTGAGGCTGTGGTGTTCACTAGGGACATGCTCTGTCACTCAGTAGCATTTTGTGAGAGATACCATGAGGGTCTTATTTACTCAGAAGTCAAAACATTGGAGTCTCCAGAAAATATTTAAAAATCATACAAAATTTTCAGCATGTCTTAAGTAACAACCCAGTGGCATATCTGCTTGTGCTATAAGTTTTATCTATAATAATATAATTAGCTCATAATTTGTGTTAAGGTAGAAGTGCTAAAATTACTACCTTAAATAAAAATTTCAACTTAATCAAACATATGTTGAGCATTTGCAGAAGGGAAATGGAGATATTAAAGTAACTAGGCAAAGTTTCTACCCCAAGAGCTGTATATCAGTGTCTCTTATCAAGATGACAGAACCAAATAATTTCCATGACATAAACTGTTTAAACAGAAGCATTGGCCAGGTGTCATGGCTCACACCTATAATCACAATGCTTTGGGAGGCCAAGGCAGGAGGATCACTTGAGGCCAGGAGTTAGAGACCAGCATGGGCAACAGAATGAGACCTCATCTGTATAAAAATTTTTAAAAATTAGCTGGGTGTGATGGTGCACACCTGTGTTCCTAGCTACTCAGGAGGCTGAGGTGGGAGGATTTCTTCAGCCTAGGAGTTCAAAGCTGCAGTGAGCTATGATTGCACTACTGCACTCCAGCCTGGGCAATATAGTGAGACCTTGTCTCTCAAAAGAAAAAAAAAAAAAATCAAAAAACCCAGAAGCATGATATTTAAGTTGCAAGGCCTTGGGACTCCAATAGCCGAAGAATGGACTAGAATATCCAGAAATTCCAGGTGAAATAAAACATTGATCATCTTCTTCTATCTCTGGGCCAAAGGTAAGAAAATCGCATGGCACCACCCTCTACTACTGCTCTCGTGATAAGGAAGCAGGCCTAACACATATTGAGCAATTGCCAAGCTCCAGGCATTGTGGTAAACTATTGGCTTTATGACATCCACATCTAACTTTTACAAGTCTCTACAATAGAGGTCAATTTAATTATCTCCAATTTATAGTTGAACAATGAATCTCAAACAGATCTTGAAGAATGTGGGAATTAGCAGTGGTAATAAAAGCAATTTTATTTTGCTCCATTTTAGCCTGTGTCATAGAGTGGATGTACTGTTCCTATGCTGTGATTCATAAGTGCTCAGATGCCAACTGCCATGAGTATGGGAGCCACCCTTCCTGCTTAGTGCTGGCAAAGTTCTCCCAAATGGACTCTGCAGAGTCCATTTTGCTCTCTTTTGGCTTAAAATAGTTTAAAAGACACATAGTAGAAGTAATCAGTAGGAATGATTAAATATTTGTAAATGAGGCATTTTGAAGGATAGATGAGAGATTCGAGGTTTCTTAACATAGGAATGAGAGGGCTACTGAGAAACGAATAGTCTTCTAGAACAGTGCTTCTCAGATTTAATATGTCTAGGGACTTTGTCAGATGCAGATTCTGATTTCGATAGGACAGAGATGGCTCCTGAAATTGTGCTCCCAGGTGATACCGCTCCTTGAACCACACTTTAAGAAGCCAGCCACTAGTATGCATAGGGATGGATATTCTTTGAATGGGTAAGGGAGCTTCTGTCAGTTTCCTCTGACCACAGCCTAGGCAATGACTGAACACTAGTAGCAACTGTCTGAGTCACTAGAAATTGCTATTAAACATATCTTTCTGGGAAGATTTTTGTTATAGAATATATAGTGGTTTTATGAAAGCATGTGTCACTTTTTTTTTTTTTTTTTTTGAGACGGAGTCTCGCTCTGTCGCCCAGGCTGGAGTGCGGTGGCGCAATCTCGGCTCACTGCAAGCTCCGCCTTTCGGGTTCACGCCATTCTCCTGCCTCAGCCTCCTGAGTAGCTGAGACTACAGGCGCCCGCCACCACGCCTGGCTAATTTTTTGTATTTTTAGTAGAGACGGGGTTTCACCGTGTTAGCCAGGATGGTCACCATCTCCTGACCTCGTGATCCGCCCACCTCGGCCTCCCAAAGTGCTGGGATTACAGGCGTCAGCCACCGCGCCCGGCCGCATGTGTCACTTTTTAATGTCGTGTCACACTCTAAAGCATAACTTAATGGCACCCATAAGAATGAGAAAAAAAACAGCCATCAGATAAGGTGTTCCATTATGCGGAAAATCACAAATGAGGAAGTTCACCAGTTACTTTGGTCAGGTGTATGCACGAATCGTAGATAAATATTTCTTGCTAGTTCTCCCTTTTTTCTTCAAGTTGGAGAAGTGGTGGTTAAAACAGACAGACGGGTACACATTTTTTTGTTGTTGTTGGTTGTAAAGAAAATGTGACAGCTTTAGATTCCTGCTTTTTTAGCGTAGTTACAGAACTCCAGGTTATCATACGAGTATCAGCATCCTTAGATTCACCATTTATTTCCCTAAGTTGAATTTTCAGCATTTTTATATAGTCCATTCTACATGGTTTCTCTCTCCTTAAAAGCAAATCTTGTTTGCGGATTTAGTATGACTGCCCTGTCTGAGGAGGTTTCTGTTTTTGCAAAAAAATCTTTTTGAGCTTTTTTACCTTCTGTGAAATGATTAAAACTGGCTTTTGTAAATATGGGTAGAAAGATTATGAAGAATAGAAGAACTAATGTAGAGATGGAATTTACATTTTTTTTTCTGAATGACTTTCTTTGTTCTATTAGTACACATGTAATTTTCAGATATTTTAAATGCTTTCAGGTATTTTAAGTGCTATATATATTATTTCGTCAGTCTAATTGTTTAGTGTTATTATCCTGAGTGGTTTTAGAAAATATTTCTTTGTTTTGTGGGTAGAATTTCTCCCTCTACTGATTTTTTTTTCTGTAACTTTACAGTTGTGACAGACATAAATCTGCTACTAATTATACTTGGTATATTTTAAAAAGAGCCATTGTGTATTTCTATAAATAAACTTGCACAATGGTGGGCCTATCAGAGGTACTGAAAAATACTGTTCTTAACTATTTTAATATAAGGTATCTATTTTTAAGCACACAGGATTTCTCACAATGTTAAACAAAATGCCATTTCTTTAAAAGCAGAGACTGCTCTCACATGGTCACAATCCTTTGTTTTATTGTTGTTGCTATTCTTAAATCCCTTAATGTTGTGACAGAATATTTCCATGTGCTCCCTAATTTTGAGAATTAATTTGCAAGATTAAAAAAAACCCATATTAGTTATAGTAACTGGTCCTATAGTCATTATACTGGTATCTGGCTCTTCAACCGGTAAAATTCCACCTTCGTCCTGCAACAGGGGTCCTCCCATTGGTTTTACACACTTCAATTGAGTATATTTAAAATATTACTTCATTATACTTTGCATTTAAAAGGAACTAAACACATAGTTCTTATGTGAATTTACTTCTGTAGAGCCTGTTGATTTAAGATTAGAAACAGTCCAGTTTGCCAAGGTTCAGAAATCAAACCAAGTTAGGACACTATACCAGATTTGTGGCATTTTAGTGCAAAAGATACATTTTCATTAAAAAGTACAATGTGGATGAACCGATAAATAGGTCAATAAAATAATTATTTGAGGTTTCATCTGGTTTACTCTTGATGTTGTACAATCTGTAGGCTTGAACAAAGGTATAATAACATATATCTACCACTATAATATCAAACAGAGTGGTTTACTACCCTAAAAACCCTGTTCTCCACCTGTTCATCCCTTCCTCCCACCACCTCCTGGTAACCACTGATCTTTCAACTGTCTCCATAGTTTTGCCTTTTCCAGATGTCATATAGTTGGAATCATACAGTATGTAGCCTTTTCAGGTTGGCTTCTTTCACTTAGTAATATGCATTTACGTTTCCTCCATATCTTTTCATGGCTTGATAGCCCTTTGTTAGAGTTGAATATTATTCCATTATCTGAATATACCACAGTTTATTTGTTCATTCAACTACTAAAGGACACTAGGTTGCTTCCAAGTTTTGGCAATTAATAAAGCTGCTATAAGCATCCACACACAGATTTTTGTGCAAGCATGTTTTCAGTTCTTTGAGTAAATGCCAAGGAACTAAATGTTGGATTGTATTGCATGTTTACTTTTGAAAGAAATTGCTAAATTGTCTTCCAAAGTGGCTGTGCCATTTTGCATTCGCACCAGCAATGAATTGGAGTTCTTGTTTCTTGACATATTCATCAGTATTTGGTGTCTTCAGCATTTAAATTTTAGCCATTCTAATGTGTGTAGTAGAATCTCATTGTTGTTTTAATTTGAAATTTCCTATAACATCTGATATTTATCATATTTTCTTTTTCGTTTGTTGTTTGAGACAGAGTCTCACTGTGTTGCCCAGGCTGAGCACCCACTATAGTTTAAGGAGAGAAAACTGCTAGGAAATATTACAAGAAGTAACCCAAGGCTCCCTCTCTAGAGTTCAAGGCAGAGTAAGAGGTCTTGGCTTGAGATAAGTATTTTAAATTTGAGTGTGTGTGTGTGTGTGTGTCATACAAAGATTGAGAGAGACAAATTGAGAGAATTAATTTTTATCCTCAGGAGTGAATAAAATCATGTAGGGAAAGAGTGTTCATAGAAAAGCAAAGAGGACCAGGTATATCTCTGGAGTTTTCCAGCATGTTTATGGGTCTAGTCAAGGAAGAGGAGCCAGCCAAAGACATGAAGAAGAAGCTGCCAGTGAATGTGAGATAGGAGACCAGCCTGGAGGAGGAAATGTTTCAAGGAAAGCATGGCTGTGCTAGTTGCTGCTGAGGAAGGGATCAAGGAAAATGAGACAGAGATTTAGCCTTAGCAAACCATTGCTCATTGGCAGCCTCCATAAGATCTGTTTGACTGGAGTGATCAGATGAAAGCCTGATGGGAATGAGTTGTAGAGCAAATAGGAGGTCAAGAAAGTGGAGACAATGCAAGGCATATAATAACTCTTCTGAGGACTTTCCATTGAAAAGAGAAACAAGGTGGTAGCTGGAGAAAAAATAAGTATTATTTTTAGATGGGTAATAACTGAGATATGTTTATATCTCAGAGTGATTCTGTTTCTGCAGTTGATATCAGTGACCATTTTAAGTCTCTTAAAATACTTTCATCCGTAATTTCTGTTACACAACACTTAATTGCTTCTCTTCCTACCTGGGCTGGTTTATTCTGTCCTTTTGCTCAGTCACCTACTCTCCAAGAGATGACTACCATGTATAGTTGTGCAGGTTGTAAATGGTAGGAACATAAGCGGCACAGTTTACACCAACTACCTTGTAAATTGTGTCTCCAGAGTCATACCGTGCACACTTAGTCTAACTCTATGAGCTGACCCTTATTACCAGCCCCAGAACACAATTTTTATTTGAAGCACATGGAAACAAATTCTATGTTGGTGTTGTGGGCCTACAGTAAGTAGTGGAAGCGTGGTTAACCAATCCTGAAGCTACACCACAGTAGCAATAATACTATACCTACAGAAGAAAAATGAATCAGATGCAGTAGAAAATGTTGGATTCCTAAAAAATGTCCACCCCCAACTAAAATCATTGTCAAAAATAATAAAACAACAAGAGCTTTTCTCCCTCCATTTAGGCTTCATTTTCAAAGCAACAAACTGAAGTATAGGTAGTAAATTTCTACATTGAGAGTCAGTTTGCAAGTTGGAGAGAAAGCACTGCAAATCCACCCTGCCTGTTCAAAACATAAGAAGCACCAGTTAAAATCTACCTATATTAGGGAAAAAAAGAAAAAAAAACTTCAATTAACAACTTGACTAAATGAAACAATTGAAAAAAATAGAATGTTCCTTACACATTACAACATGGATGAATCTCAAAACAGCTATCCTGAGTGAAAAGTCAGACAACAATATAATTTATACTATATGATTACATTATATAAATTTTAGAAAATGCAAAGTATAGTAACACAAAGCAGATCAGTGGTTGCCTGTGGGGAGGAGAGGGGCAGCAGAAAGGGATTACCAAGGGGCACAAGGAAACTTTTAGGGTGATGGACATGTTCATTATCTTGACTGGTCATGGTTTCATTGGTATATACATATGTCAAAACTTATCAAACTGTATACTTTCAATACGTGCAGTTTTATTGTATGTCAATTAGATCTCCATGAAGCTGTAAAAAAAAAATGAAAAAAGGAAACTTGGTTTCTGAATGTCTGAAATTGATTTGTGTAGGTTTTCATCTAATACTAAAAAGTGAGGGGCCAGTGCTGTGGCTCAGGCCTGTAATCCCAGCACTTTGGGAGGCCAAGGCAGGTGCATTGCTTGAGCTCAGTAGTTCAAGATCAGCTAGGCAACATGGTGAAATCCTATCTCTACCAAACATACAAAAATTAGCTGGGCGTGGTGGCTAATGCCTGCAGTCCCAGCTACTCAGGAGGCTGAGATGGGAGGATTGCTTGAGCCAAGTAGGTCAAGGCTTCAGTAAGCCATGGTCCTGCCACTGCACTCCAGCCTGGGCAATAGAGCTAGACTCTGTCTCAAAAGAGAGAGAAGGGGGCAGAAAGGAAGGGAGGGAAGGTATGGGGCGGGGGGAAGAGAGAGAGAGAGAGAAAGAGAGAGAGAGAAAGTGAGGCCGGCCATGGTGGCTCATGCCTGTAATCCCAGCACTTTGGGAGGCCAAGGCAGGTGGATCATGAGGTCAGGAAATCAAGACCATCCTGGCCAACATGGTGAAACCCCATCTCTACTAAAAATACAAAAATTAGCTGGGCACCGTGGCGCATACCTGTAGTTCCAGCTACTTGGGAGGCTGAGGCAGGAGAATCCCTTGAATCCAGGAGGCAGAAGTTGAAGTGAACAGAGATCAGGCCACTGCACTCCAGTCTGTTGATAGAGCGAGACTCTGTCTCAAAAAAAAAAAAAAAAAAAAAAAAAAAAGAAAGAAAAAGAAAGAAAAGAAAGTGAAAGCAATGCAAGGGTAAACATTTTGCAGAATAGCAGTGAAAATGTGATTAGAATGTTACAAGATTCATAAAACCAACTGCCATTTAAAAACTGCAAGCAATTTCTTTCACATTCCAGTTGCATTTACGAATCCACCTTTAAGGAAAGTATGTATGTTGTCTTTGCTTATTACCAGAACCCACAAAGCAGTATATTTCTTTCGCCTCTATGACACCTTGAACTAGCTGGGGTTCCAAAGTTCATCATCTCTGCATATGTAACAAAAATTCATTTCAAATTCATCTTTGACAACTCTTATGAACAATGTCTTTGTAGTTCTTGCGGCTGTGTGAACTAGTTTATCTCTGATTAAGGTTCATGCTGCATTTCCTGCTATATATGAACATTGTCCTGAAACCACTGCCTTTGTCTCATAAACATTTAAGGAATGGGTAAAGCAGGGACTAACAAGAACCAGAAGCAGCAACTCCTGGTTATACTTTTTTATTCCCTTTATCTTCCACTCCTAGTATACCTATGTAGCCTGTGGAAACATCATAAATTCTTGTTGACTGACACTGACAAACTTAATTAACTTACACATTTTACTTAACAACAACAATGACAACAAGAGAAGCAACATATTAACAATACTTTGAAATCATTGGGTGGACACACTAGGTGTGATCTACCATCCTCAGGGATTTAAACTGCCCTTGTGCAAACATACTTTATAAATTGAAACCTGGCAGGCACCCAGGGAGTGGTTATGGTCTGCATTTATTGCTGAACTTTGGCCCAACACCCTCAAATGATTGGTGGCATTCTGGGAATAGTTAGCTGGGTGGAGATGAGCATGTCTCAGCAGAATAATTTGGTATTATTAGCATGACATTTGATATTAAATATAGTATAATAATCAGGGATCACTGTTACTTGACTCAGAGAAGTCACAAACTTAAAAAGCATTAAAACAAGTTAATCCAAATTAGTCAAAAACAAATACAAGAATGACTCTGGTTCAATTTGATTGCTGATTAGATAATTAACAATTTTGAGAAATAAGCTTGATAATAATAGTTACTAGAGTAAAATAGGTTTTTATTGTTGTTGTTTTGTGTCTTTTCGGAGAGCTGAGCTAGGCTGGAGTTGGGGGAGAAGAGATGCTATAGGTATATGCTATACTGTTTTTTCTCTCCAGACCATGAATTTAATCAGTTACTGTTGTGCATATGTGGAAAATTACAAAATAAAACATTCTGTAATTGATTGAATTTCATAGTTGACTACATAATTATGAAAGGAAATAAAATAGGACCACAAATGTTTATTTCTATCTTCCTAAGTCATAGGACAAAAAGATCTAGGCATCTACAATAGATCAAATAAAAAGAAGAAGTTAACTTTTAATTTTCTTAAACTTTTGGAGGCATTGTTCAAGACAGATTGGTGACAGGAAATTGCATACTAATTTGTAGTGAAGACTAATAATCTCCAAGACTCTCTGAAGATTCAAATTCCTTCAGCCATTAGGAAGCTTTAAAAATGTAGAATATATACTTTTTAAAATCCAGACTTAAAAATGGAAACTTAGGTGGTAATTTACTGACTTTAAAGATGATTTTCTTTGTGTTTTAGATACCATTTACTTTCCTTGACTTTCCAGAAGGCCTGGGGAGGCAGAAAAACACATATAACTCTTGGCTGTATCTCTGTGTAACTTAGCTACTATAAATTCTGGACGACACGGGTCATGGAGCAAATAAACTACACTTAGGCTACTGAGTTTCACAAAGCTATCTGGTTTTATGTTACTGTGTTATTCAGATTCATCTTAAATTGAAATTATCACAAAATATTCATTTGCATTTTCATTACTGGGTATAGTCTACTTATTTTTTCATCAAAGCATTTAAATGTTATATTTGTCTGTTTCAGGACTCATGCCCGTTGCACAGCAGCCGGTTTATTGTGCTTCAAAGCATGGCATAGTTGGATTCACACGCTCAGCAGCGGTGAGGCTACAACAACCGTCATATCTCATTTTCTCTTTGTACACATTTATAAAACATGAATTCTGTAGAGAGGAATCACTTGAGAAATCACTTGGATGAAAGGTGGAAAAATGACATACCTCCATCTCAATTATAAAAAGTTATCAGATCACATAAAGAACCAAATAAATAATAGATCATTTTTAAATGAAGTGGATTCTAAATACAGATGTGTTATTTAAAAAAAATGTATTAAGGATAAGTAATGGGGAGATAGTACTTATTTCCAAAAATGACCCCAAATGGAAATATTATTAACTTCAGCTTTTCTGAAATGCAAGATGCAATAGGCCCCAGCCATTATTTGTCACCAGAGATACGATGAAAAGGAGTGAGAACATGGAGCTGGAAGGAGGGGTGGGGCCAGGCATTTACTTGATAGAGTGGTCAAGGATAATGTCTCCATGGAGGCCTAGGGTGAAAGGTGCACAGACCTTAGAAAAATACTTTAGACCTAATTGATCACATGCATTGACAGCATGAGGTGAGAATGCCTGCCTTTTTATAACTCACAAAAGAGACGCTTGAAAGGGGCCTGGCAAGCAAAGGGAATGTAGTTTGAGGTATGACTCAAGACACCAGCACAGGAGCTAGACCAAAAGCAGCTATGGGCCACTGTTGTGAGCTTGGATTTTATTTCAAGGGCAACCATCCATGGGGCTTTTACACGCAGGAGTGATAAGATCAGATTTCCTTTTTAAGAAGACCATTCTGTCTGCTTTTGCAAATTGTGTTACAAAAGACAAGTGTAAAAGCGGAAAGAACAGTTGTAGGGGGTCTCTGGGTGGTTCATCTAGGTGAGACAAAGAGAGCAGCTAGAGAGATGAAGAGAAAAATATTAGTAATCAAAGAATTAGTAGGAGACAGAAAAAACAGATGCACAAATGTTAACTGTTCAGTCAAAATGGAAGATAAGTAGTTCTCACACTCTTAAATTGATTGGAAATTATTGCTTAATTTGCAAAGACATAATCTTCAGACAGACTTCTTATAAACACATAAAGCTCTCTTACAAAGCAAAGTAAACCTGAAAGACCAGAAATTTTATATTTAAAATTACAAGACTGGAAACTTCTACAGTCAATTCTCAGTATGCATGGTGGTTATGTTCCATGAAGTCACTTACAAACACTACATTAGTGACTACTGAACCATTGCTTTTAGGGGAAATAGAGGGTTAAGTTCCTGAAAGCCTCTGGTCACAAAACTCCAATCAACCAGTCAATACATAACCTTATTTTATGTGTATTCCTGTTTAAAGAACCTTATTTATCATAGGTTGTATGAACATTGAACTCATTACTAAAGCACTTATTACTCATGCCTGATCAAAATTTATCTAACACAAATATTTTCTGTACAGGACATCAGTCTTCTTACACTAAGGAACACTACACAGCACTTCTGCAGTGGGTTTGGCAGCCATTTTAAACAGCAGAATCACCAATAAAAAAGCACAAAATTAGAAAAACATGGCACGACAGAGTATAGTCTTACTTGACCTCAGCAGGAACATGCACATCGGTGACTCAAATTTCTCACTGCCCTGTGCATGTCCACAAATAACTACAAATGCTCCACAAGTATTGATTTCCAGGGTTACAAGTAAATTTTAGCAAGCAAATTTAACAAATTTGTTTATATGTAATCCATGAATAATGAGAATTGACTAATTTTTTAATAATTGCAAATAAAATCAATAGTTTGTAAATTAAGCCAAATAATGTTAGTCTGAAAATACTTAAATTGTCTTCCAGATAGGACAGATTATTAAGAGTGTCTTTAGAATCAAAGTTCTAAACATTTTCACTAAAAGTCTTTTTAATTAAGTATTATTTGTTATACAACCACCATATTTGAAATAACACTTGGGATATCGATTCTAAGTCTCAGCTACTTAGCTTCAGGCTCCTGCAGAGTTCAGTAGATAAGAGAAGCTTACATAATTGTTTCCAGGAGTTGTCCAGTAATACTGATTTTTAAAAAAAATTAATTAGGTGAGATTTTCAGGAATTAATACAATACTTTATGTATGTGTTATTTTACTATCTATTTACCAGTCATTGTTACATAGCTGGGAGGATATCTAATTAGTATTTTTTACATCAGAAAATTGTAAGATGCTTTAATGATCAGTTTGTCCTGTGCTATATGTTTATGAAACTGCTGAAACCTACAACCTTCTAATTGGCAGTTGGCTGCTAATCTTATGAACAGTGGTGTGAGACTGAATGCCATTTGTCCAGGCTTTGTTAACACAGCCATCCTTGAATCAATTGAAAAAGAAGAAAACATGGGACAATATATAGAATATAAGGATCATATCAAGGATATGATTAAATACTATGGAATTTTGGAGTAAGTAAAACTATGTCTATTTTCTTTTAAATGATGAAGCAAAGCATTATTTAGATAAGCTATAAAAAGGGAAGAAATAAGCTTATACAGTTGAGAAATGAACACAAGCTTCAAACTTTTGGTTTGGCAAACTCTCTGGGAGAAAATATATTTTTCTGGGTTTATAAATAGAATGTAAGTTTATACATTATGAATGTTACTTTGAAATATGTAAAATGCTTCATTACTACCATCAGTCATAAAGTTGATATTTAGTCACCTTTGAAGGCAATGATACCTTCTCTGCCTAAATTCCAAGCAATATTCAAATATAGTCTGTGAAATATTGCAAGTTTCCATGACTTCAACCACTTTTATAAGAAATAGTTGATACACACACATACATGGACACATACTTTCTCAGTGAATTATGTCTGAATTCAAGCAACTGAGGATTTCATGAATCATAGTTATCATGTTGAAGGAATCAGACCTGAGATCAAATCTTGGCTCTACCACTAACCATGAACTTACCCATCATACCTCTAGATGCTTCAATTTTCTCACATATAAAATAGAGATAATACAACAGACTTAGGGACTTTGAAAAACTTAAATAAAATGATACATACAAGGTACTTAAAATGGTAACTGGTAAAAAATAAAATTTTCAGTAAATGCTAGCTGTTACCAATCATATTTCTACACTAATAACATCTATATCTGGTAAGTCTAAGATCTACTGATACGATAAAGATGAGAAAATGATCATTTGCTCAGTGAAAATAATGAGTATAAAT
The DNA here is from genome assembly GCF_000001405.40 of Homo sapiens. Classification (NCBI taxonomy): domain Eukaryota; kingdom Metazoa; phylum Chordata; class Mammalia; order Primates; family Hominidae; genus Homo; species Homo sapiens. Next base: position 174,492,371 of record NC_000004.12, on the reverse strand, counting down.
TCCTCCTGCCAAAATGATGGAAGGTTACAGCTAAATTTATCAAATAATTTAGTTAATATCCAATTGAAAGAAATCTAATTGAATAAATTAGATAAATAAGATATCTAATCTAGATATCTAATATGGAATTAAATAAAAATTGGAAGTAGCAATAGTTTAATGACACACATTTCCCTATAACATGTTCAACTTAATAGATTCTTCAGAAAATAACTTAAAATGAAGTGGTAATATGCCTCATTCTTTCGTTTCAAAATACTGTTTTCTTTATTTTTAGCCCACCATTGATTGCCAATGGATTGATAACACTCATTGAAGATGATGCTTTAAATGGTGCTATTATGAAGATCACAACTTCTAAGGGAATTCATTTTCAAGACTATGATACAACTCCATTTCAAGCAAAAACCCAATGAACAGCTTATGTGTTAGCCATAGCTGAAAATAAGCACAAATAGCTTATATTCAGATCCTATCTTCATTTGAATATAGCTTTTAAATGAAATGTTACAGTTTGAAGTTTTCCTTCATGCACTTGGTGATAAACGTTTTCTAAATTTTTAGTTAAGTATATGGATAAAAAGTTATGAACTATTAAAAATGTGATGTGGACCAAAGGCTAGGTTGTAATCTTGATAGTCTAAAAAATGATCAAAACAAATGATTTTCAAGGAATATTCAATATTCTGCCTTTCAGAAAGTGTATTTATATCTGTGCTTCATAAATATTAATGTTCTTCAGAACATCATTTTAAAGGAGATACTTGAATTGTTATTTAAATCAAACCAGATGTAAAACACTCACATACAAGTTCATACTTTAAAAGAGGAAAGCTACTTAACAATGACAAATATTTCACAATAATAATTTTTACTTATATACCATCTTTCAACTGAACATTTCAGTTCTTCCAAGAGCTTCTTAGAGTAGTATATTTTGGGGGCAGTCAAGGAATAAACTACAGTGTAAACATATCCCAGATGAAAACTGCTGTATGGAAAAATGACAGAAAGTAACTGATTGACACTGTTGATTCACAGTTCAGCCTCCTATCTGGGAAAGACATTTCTTTCCTCTGCTCACTTTAAGAACTTTTACCGACTCCAAAAATCTCAGGAATTAAACTTTTAACAGTTACAGCAATAAAGAATAGTTAGTACTCCAAAAATATTATATTTAAGATGCTCAACAAGAAAAAAATGCAAATGTAATATTTTTTTCAAATTACTTCTTTATTGACTTGTCCAAATTTCAAAAGTGCCTACCCTTCAATAAAACTTTTTTATTCTGATCTCCATAAATTACTTAGTCTTCTATGTATAGCTATCAAGGAAATAAAACCAATTTTGCCACAGCCACAACTGTAAATGTTTTTGTACCCATGCTGAAACTCATAACAACACAGACATAAAAATAGCTGTGAGGTTTTGCTTTTTTTGTTGTCAGCTATCTTAAGAATCATTAAATACACCTGCTTTGGGTAAAACTCTTTGCAAGCAGTAATTAACACTAGTAACAGTGAAAGCACAAGATTTCCAAATCAGTCGTTTTCTCAAAAAAATATCGTATAAGTGACTCATCCTGTCTGCTAACTCCAGACCTCCCAGCTTGAAGCCAAATCTTTCCATGTGAGATTGATATGGATTTCCTAGAAGTACTGGAATGTTGTCATATCTTGCCCTATTTTAATTCTGCTATAGAAAACAATTGCCTTCACTTTTAAGGAGTAATTTGAATATTAATAACTCTGGTCTAGATTTTCATATAATGTATTAAAGACAAAGTAGTGAACATCAATGAACATCTGATAGAGATAAACTGTAATCAGGCATAAGCTTGTTTGTATGTTCTGGCAGTGACTAATCAGTAAATGATGTCGGTTTGCCCAGTATCACTTATCTTCTGTATTTTTCCTCTGTCGTGTAAATAGTATAACCTTTTCATTTATGGACAATTTTTTGGACTAGTAGCCTTCAATATACATTCTGCTTTGAATTAATTTTTTCAAATCAATAAATTATGTAGACATTTAAAATCAAATATCAAGTAGAATTGAAAAATGTGAGTTACATAAGTTAAAAACTTACTTTAAATCTTACCTTCTATAGGTAGCTCTAAATAAATTCATATGGTTATATGGCATCTCTGGTGTATACTGATTGAGAAAATAATTAAACTGAAGTTAGGGGAGGGGGACCTTGGTTTCTTGTATTTTTCAGTGAATATCCTAATGTAAATGGTATATATATTTTTCCAATGTGTTTTTCTTAGTAAAATGAAGTTGGTACTTCTCAGAACAGCAACACTAGAAATACGTAGACATTGAGAAAAAGATCAAGACTTGATAATGCATTGAAATGTCCTACAAATTTTATTTTCTCATGTAAAAATGAATTTAGACACTTGTAATATCATTTAACATTCAAGTGATTATATGACAATTTCTCCTTACTTTTGCTCTCTATAAATTTAGCATACTGAAGAGATCTGAGAATGCAAATTTTGAAAAAAATTCAAGGTATTTCACATACTAAACATCATCAGATGGTTTTTCTTAAATTAGAATTTCAAAAGGGAAATTTACTGGTGCATAGGAAAAGGTGATTGGATCCAGGGTCACAGTTGCTGCCATAAGGTCTCCATCTCCTTTTCTCTTGTTAGCGTCCCTTCTAGGCAGCTCTTTCACATGATCACTTCCCGGATCTACAGGCCTGATTCCCAGCAGCTTGCAGTCCACCAAAACAAGAACTGATTTGGCCTTGCCTAGGTTATATGCCCACTACTGAGACAGTCCTTGTGGTCAGAGAGATAGCTACTCTGCCTGCCCAGAAGGAGATGGCATGCCTCCCCAGAGCTGGCAGAATTATGGGGTGGGAGGGAGACAGGAGAGGTGGGCAGGGCATTGACATGAGTCCTATGGACTAAAACAAGGAGAAGGAAAATTTCCAAAAGGAAAATTATGCTGTCATTACCAGAAAGTAGGTGAATGCATGCTGAGGTGACAGAAACAATAGCCACTGTATGTAGAGAAAGACAGAGTGATAAAAGATGAGTTATGTCTTAATCCTTTGGATAAGTTTGCATACTATCTTGGTTCCTATAACATGCCTAGATCCATGTTTTCAAAGTGTGTGAAAAACTGAATCACTCTGGATAGGATATGATAAAAGAGGAGACAATGAATGGAAAATACAGGAGGCATCTCATGCATATATGATTGTACTCATTCTTGATATAAAATATATTTCTCATTGTGAAACACAGTGAAAAAGGTTCAAAAGCTACTTGATTTAATATTGACTGCAAAACTGCAATCATTGCCTCTAGACTTGCTTTGTTTTTGAGATTCTGAATATATGACCACCTTAATTCTACCATTACATTCAAGCTTATTAGCCTCCCTTCCTTCTTTCTTTCCTTTTCTTTTCTTTCTTTCCTCCTTTCTTTCCTTTTCTTTTCTTTCTTTCCTTTCTCTCTTTCATTTCTGTCTTTCATTTCCCTTCATTCCTTCCTTCCCTTCCTTCCTTCCCTCCCTCCCTCCCTCCCTCCCTCCCTTCCTTCCTTCTTTCCTTCTTTTTTTCTGAGACAAAGTCTCACTTTGTCACTCAGGCTGGAGTGCAGTGGCATGATGCGGCTCACTGCAGTCTCAACTTCCTGAGCTCAAGTGATCCTCTGGCCGCAGCCTCCCAAGTAGCTAGGATCACAGGCATGCGCCACCATGCCTGGCTAGTTTTTGTGTATTTTTAAAAATCCTCCTGCCTTGGTATTAGTACCATTTCTAATTCTTCTTACTAAAATCTCATTGTCAGCATATAATTACTTTCATGCGCGTCCGTGTGAAGAGACCACCAAACAGGCTTTGTGTGAGCAACATGGCTGTTTATTTCACCTCGGTGCAGGTGGGCTGAATCCGAAAAGAGAGTCAGCGAAGGGAGATAGGGGTGGGGCCGTTTTATAGGATTTGGGAAGGTAATGGAAAATTACAGTCAAAGGGGGTTGTTCTCTGGTGGGCAGGGGTGGATCTCACAAAGTACATTCTCAAGGGTGGGGAGAATTACAAAGAACCTTCTTAAGGGTGGGGGAGATTACGAAGTACATTGATCAGTTAGGGTGGGGCAGGAACAAATCACAATGGTGGAATGTCATCAGTTAAGGCTGGTTTTACTTCTTTTGTGGATCTTCAGTTACTTCAGGCCATCTGGATGTATACGTGCAAGTCACAGGGGATGCGATGGCCTGGCCTGGGCTCAGAGGCCTGACAATTACATTAAATTTTACAAGATTTCTAAGGTTATCTTTGAACTATGAAACTCTTTTCCCCACAGTTTTCAAGTAATATTTCCACACATAACATTCACTCATTCAACAAATAACAATTGGCTGGCTGCGGTGGCTTCTGCCTGTAATCCCAGTGCTTTGGGAGGCTGAGGCAAGTGGATCACTTGAGGCAAGAAGTTCGAGACCAGTCTGCCCAACATGGTGAAACCTTGTCTCTACTAAAAAACAAACAAACAAACACATACGGAAATTAGCTGCATGTGGTGGCAGGTGCCTGTAATCCCAGCTTTTCAGGAGGCTGAGGCAGGAGAATTGCTTCAACCCGGGAGGTGGAGGCTGCAGGGAGCCGAAATCACACCACTGCACTCCACCCTGGGTAACAAAGCAAGATTGTCTCAAAACAAACAACAAAACAAACACAAATAATTATTGAGAAATTGTGTTGTTGGTAAATTTATATATACATGTTTAAGTATATTATATTCTATGTAGATGTTAGGGCAGACATGTATCAGTTATTAGGTCCAATATGGAAAACAGCATTTGAGTCCTGAAGAAATGTAATATGGGGAACTATTAATAGTTACAAAGATCCTGGAAGAGCTAAAGAGCCAAACATGGGTAATGAGGCAACCCAGCAACAGCAGGAAGGCTCTATCACTTCAAGAACTGGTGCAATTCAGGGTACTACCAGTGCCAAGGAACCAATGGGAGGCTGCCAATCAAAGCTGGGGCTACAGAGCAGGGGCTGTCAGGTGGGAGGTGGAATTCTGGAGGAGACAGCCACTGTCAGAGATGCCACCCCAAGAGAGTGGAGGGGGAGGAAATACCCTGAAATCTCCCCCTGCAATATCCTATTAAGTATCTCTCAGCCAGGAAGGGAGTTACGAAAAACGTCATTTTCAGGGCCAGCCCTTTGTGTTACACAGCAGAGCAGCACAAGGGAAGGCTGTGGATTTGAGAACAAACAGGCAGATGACATACATTTTACATTTTTCCCTGCTACAATAAGGATTTCGACTTGCCACTTACTCCCTTCTAAAGCTTGTTTTAGTTTTCGTTTTCTTTTGTTTTCAGAGGGAGTTTTACTCTTGTTGACCAGGCTGGAGTGCAATGGTGTGATCTTGGCCTTTGTGATCACTGTAACCTCCGCCTCCGCCTCCTGGGTTCAAGCGATTCTCCTGCCTCAGCCTGCCAAGTAGCTGGGATAACAGGCACCCACCATCACACCTGGCTAATTTTTTTGTATTTTTAGTAGAGATGGGGTTTCACTATGTTGGCCAGGCTGGTCTTGAACTCCTGACCTCAGGTGATCCACCCACCTTGGCCTCCCAAAGTGCTGGGATTACAGGCATGAGCCACGGTGCCTAGCCTAAAGCTTGTTTTTAAGAATCGTGAGTAAAGATATCACTCTAACTCCATAGTTATTCAATGGTGTGATGTTTCTGGGGTCTATTCCCACAGTAGCTAATGGTCATGTAGTCATTTGCATGTAACTAGCCTATGCATTTTGCTTTCCAGATGTATGGATTTATTACTAATTCCTATCACTAATCCTTAAAATCATTTGTCTTACTACCGTGACTTAAGTATGTGTTAAAAAAAACACTGTCTCATTCTCACTTACAAGTGCTATGAAGGAAACAAGGCTACTAAAACATGTTGGGCCGGGCGCAGTGTCTCACGCCTGTAATCCCAGCACTTTGGGAGGCCGAGGCAGGAAGATCACTTGAGATCAGGAGTTTGAGGCCAGCCTGGCCAACATAGTGAAACCCCATCTCTACCAAAAAATACAGAAAAATTAGCCGGTCATGGTGGTGCGTGACTGTAGTCCCAGCTACCTGGAGGCTGAAGTGGGAGGATCTCTTGAACGTGGGAGGCAGAGGCTGCAGTGAGCTGAGATCACGCCACTGCACACCAGCCTGAGTGACAGAGTGAGACCCTGTCTCAAAAATAAATAAACGAATAAATAAATAAAACATGTTGACTGTCTTGTTAGATCCTACTACATTTTTAAGCTCAATCTGCTAGATTTAAATCGAAAGAGGATAAACTGGTAAATTCCTGCATTTAGGTTGCCCTAATTTCATGCTAATGATATACCATTATTTAAAATTTAATGTATACATTTACATAAATTTTTATTTGCCCCTAAATTCGTGTGTGGTGTGTGTGTGTGTGTAGAACTGAACTAGATCAATGGCTTTCAAATGTTTTGCTCCTATACCCACAAAGTAATTTTTATAACTATGTATTCTTTGTAATCATTGAGTAAGAGTAGCAGAGAATTCAGATAAACCCCTGAAATTCATGGCTTAACACAATAGTTTTTTTTTCCTTTACACACACAAGAATGTAGTGCTGTATTCAGTGAGCAGCTTTTCATGAGGTTGTTCAGGATCCTTCTACCTTGTAGCTCCCCTGTCTATAGCTTTCGAATCATTTACTTCCAGCCAGTGAACTGAAGAAGAAAGAATGGGGCAGGCATACCTGCTTCTTGAACATTTCAGCCTGGAAGTAACATGCATTATTTTTACTCGTAGTCCTCTGGTGAGACTAGTCCCATGGCCCTATCTAAATGCAAGGGATACTGGGAAATGTAGAAACTGTGGGTGATGCCTCCCAGAAACAACTCTACACACTACAGGGAGGCTGAGTTTTTGATTGACAAATCATTTGTCTTTGCCACACTTAATATCCCTATAAATCCCTTGCTCCTCACACTGAATACATTTTACTCCTACTCAACGGTAACATCCCAAAATCCTATGTAGTTACTATCCTCAATTTAGATTTAGAATCACCAACACATGCACAGTCCTCCCTGTCAGGATGCACGTGGCTTCTCATGATCTAGTGACCTATGAACTTAAAAGGCAATCTCTCTTATCTGCTATGTGTGTCCACACACACAAACACGGACACTCTAATGATGAGCGAGAAGAGAAAAACTGCAATAAAATACCTCATTTGGAAAAGAAAAGAATGGGATACATACCAGTCTGTGGTCAATAGCAATGAGACAGTCCTACCTTGTAGGCATTATGAGGTCTCTCTTCCGTGGCAGTGGGGAATTTCCTTGCTGATATTGAAATCTTCAGTTTGGGATTCGTGATTTTACCATGGTGCCCAGGAGCCTCTCTCTCTAACTTAGTGAATTTTTTCTTTGTCTCTTACCCTCCATCTTTTGGTGCCAAATCTTCTGGGAAGTTGTGGAGTTTACACATACTGTGTCCTATCATTGCAAGTTGCTTTGAAACCCAAGGCTTAAGTCTTAAACAGTTAAAAGCTTTTTTTATTATTATTATTTTGAGACGGAGTCACATTCCGTAGCCCAGGATGGAGTGCAATGGCGCGATTTCTGATCCCTGCAACCTCTGCCTCCCAGGCTCAAGCTATTCTCCTGCCTCAGCCTCCCAAGTTGCTGGGATTACAGGCACGCACCACCAGGCCCAGCTAATTTTTGTATTATTTATTTATTTATTTATTTATTTATTTATTTATTTATTTATTTATTTTTTGAGACGGAGTCTCGCTCTGCGCCCAGGCTGGAGTGCAGTGGCGCGATCTCGGCTCACTGCAAGCTCCGCCTTCCGGGCTCACACCATTCTCCTGCCTCAGCCTCCCGAGTAGGTGGGACTACAGGCGCCCGCCACCACGCCGGGCTAATTTTCTTTTATTTTTAGTAGAGACGGGGTTTCACCGTGTTAGCCAGGATGGTCTTCATCTCCTGACCTTGTGATCCGCCCGCCTCGGCCTCCCAAAGTGCTGGGATTACAGGCGTGAGCCACCGCACCGGGCCTAGTTAAAAGCTTTTAAATTCTGACTTGGGATTTCTTCAGCTCTGCATCGTATTAAAAAATTAGTAGGCTCTGATCTGTTTACTTCTAGTGAATTTCATTTGCTTTAAAACACTGAAATATTTTTAAAGTCACAAGTCATTAATAGTCATAATTTTCAAGCCTGATATTTTATTTTGCACCCTACCCACTCGTTATTCCTCTCTTCTTTCAACGTAATGGGAGTACACTGAGAAAAGCAGACTTGGATAGAACTCACACTTGCAATTTGTGTCATAACTAAGGGTTAATGGATCATTCATGCGGAAAACATTTCTGAGTCTTATCTTTCTGTGCTTAGAGACTAGAAGCAGTTGACTTTTCCAACCCAAAAAGCTCCACATTTTTGGATTATCTCTTCTTTAAGTTTTAATTGCAAACAAGCCAATTCCAGCCTGAGCTCACCTCTTGGTTCTATAATTTGCTAGATGTAATCAGAGAACACCAAAACATACCATCATCATTCTATCTTTGAACCCCTTCACAGAGGAATTGGTCTCGGTAGGCATGGGAGGTAACATACTCGCCAAATGTTTTATCTTTGCTTAACAGGGTCCTCCACTTTTCTAGCCTCACTGCCCACAACTCACCTGGGAAGCCAATGCCGGATACGTTAGGTTTGTTGTTGCTTGGCGGCATTTCACTTCTGGAATCAATCTGTATTAGCTAAGGTAATGCTCGGTATTATAGGAGATAATTCCCCAAATCGCAGGGGCTTAACAAAATAAAAATTTATTACTCTCAGATGCAAGAATTCAATGCAGGTGTAGAGTGGGCAGCATTCCAAGGTGGGTGATTGAAAGATTCAGGTCCTTTACATTTTATAGCTCCACTATCACTCAGAGCCTTGGGATCTACTCAGAGGGCGGACAAGGCACACCTGCTCCTTAATCACTTCAGCCTTTTCTGATACCCTTTGTAGAGCTGCTTAAACGGCCCCACCTGGGTGCAGATACCCTTTGTAGAGCTGCTTAAACGGCCCCACCTGGGTGCAGATACCCTTTGTAGAGCTGCTTAAACGGCCCCACCTGGGTGCAAGGCTGGGCTCCAGTGCTGGGAAATGTAAATTCTGCCTGGAAACCCACTTTCCAGCAACAGCGCTACCCTTTGGAAAGGTAAGTATTTATCTCTGGTGGAGAGCTAGCTATTTCTGCCATACCCCTCTCATATTTTTAAGTTTAAATATAATATATATAAGTTTAAATTCATGACAAAGTAATTACTTTCGTATATTTTCAATATTGGCTTTAAAAATGTCCAATGGGTGATAAATACTATAACCATTTTATGAACCACTTTAAAATTCGAGAACATGGTCCTTCTCAAGAGTCAGAAATTTTGTATTGTTTTGTTTTATCATTTAAATCATAATTGCTTCCTCTACAGAATTTTATTCTAAATATTTCTCTGTGAATTTTAAGATTATAGCTCTCTGCAACAAGTATACACACTACACACACACACATTGAATTTTGAATTTTGTTTTTCATAAGGTCTAAGTGGATCTGACAGTTAAAATAATTAATATAAAATTGATCAAAATAATAATGATATTAACATTTTTTAAATTGTTTAAATTTTAATAGCTTTAGGGGTACAAGTGGGTTTTGGTTATGTGGATGAATTGTATAGTGGTGAAGTCTAAGATTTTAGTGTATCTGTCACCCAAGTAGTGCACATTGTACCCAATAGGTAGTTTTTCACACTAAATGCCCTTCCCATCCTGCCCTCTTTCTGAATCTCCAATGTCAATTATATCATTCTGCATGCCTTTGTATACCCACAGCTTAGCTCCCACTTATAAGTGAGAACATGCTGTATCTGGTTTTCAATTCCTGAGTTACTTGACTTAGAATAAGGCCTCTAATTCCATTCAAGTTGCTGCGAAAGACATTACTTCATTCTTTTTAATGACTGAGTAGTATTCCATGGGAGATATTATATATATAATATATATGTGTGTATATATATATATATATAGTGGATAATATAATATATATTAGATTCCATATCTTCTCAATTGTGAATTGTGCTGTGATAAACATATGCATGCAGGTGTCTTCTTGATATAGTGACTTCTTTTCCTTTGGGTAAATACCCAAGTAGTAGGATTTCTGGATTGAATGGTAGTTTTATTTTTAGTTATTTAAGAAATCTCCATACTGTTTTCCATAGAGGTTGTATTAATTTATATTCCCACCAGCAGTGTATAAGCATTCCATTTTCTTATGGAAATATATTGTTTTTTTTGACTTTTTCTTAATGACCACTCTGGCTGAGGTAAGGTGGTATCTAATTGTAGTTTTAATTTGCATTTCCTTGGATGACTAGTGATGCTGAGCATTTTTTTCATGTTTGTGGACATTTGTATATCTTCTGTTGAAAAATGTCTATTCGTGGCCTTTGCCCACTTTTTTACAGGATTATTTGTTTTTTTCTGGCTGATTTGTTTGAGTCCCTTGTATATTCTGGATATTAGTCCTTTGTCAGATGCATAACTTGCAGATATTTTCTCCCATTCTGTAGGTCATCTGCTTATGCTGATCATTTCTTCTTGCTATGCAGAAGTTTTTTAGTTTACTTACACCCCATGTATTTATTTTTGTGTTTGTTGCATTTGTTTTTGGGGTCTTAATCATAAATTCTTTGCCCAGGCCAATGTCCAGAGGCGTTTCTTCTAGATTTTCTTGTAGAATTTTTTGTTTGTTTGTTTCAGATGTTAAATATAGGTGTTTAATCCATCCTGAGTTACTTTTTGTATATGGTGAAAGATAGGGATCCGATTTCATTCTTCTACATGTGGCTATTCTATTTTCCCAGCACCATTTGTTTAATAGGGCATCCTTTCCCCAATTTATGTTTCTGTACACTGTGCCAAAGTTCAGTTGGCTGTAAGTTTTTGTCTTTATTTCTGGATTCTCTATTCTGTTCCATTGATCTTTTACCAGTACCATGCTGTTTTGCTCACTATAGCCTTGTATAATCTGAAGTTGGGTAATGTGATGCCTCCAGATTTATTCTTTTTGCTTAGGATTGCTTTGGCTATTTGGCTCTTTTTGGTTTCATATGAATTTTAGGATTTTTTTTTCTAATTCTGTGAAAACTGATCTTGGTAGGAATTGCACTGAATCTGTACATTGTTTTGGGCAGTATGGTCATCTTCACAATGTTGGTTCTTCTAATGCACGAGCATGGTGTATATTTCTGTTTGTTTGTGCCATCTATGATTTCTTTCAGCACAGTTCTGTAGTTCTCCTTGTAGAAATCTTTCACCTCCTTGGTTAAGTATATTTCTAGGTATTTTATTTTTTGTAGTTATTTTAAAAGGGATTGAGTTCTTCATTTGATTCTTAGCTTTGTCATTGTTGATGTATTGCAGTGCTATTGATTAGTGTATATTGATTTTGGAAACTGAGACTTTACTGAGTTCATTTATACGATCTAGGAGTCTTGAAGGAGTGTTTAGGGATTTCTAGGTGTGAAATCATATCACTTTCAAACAGAGATAATTTGATTTCCTCTTTTCCAATTTGGATGCCCTTTACTTATTTCTCTTGTCTGATTGCTCTGGCTAGGACTTCCAGTACTATGTTAATAGAAGTGGTGACAGTGGGCATCCTTGTCTTGTTCTTGCTTTTAAGGGAAATGCTTTCAACTTTTCCCTATTCAGTATGATGTTGCCCGTGGGTTTGTCATATATGACTTTTATTATTTTGAGGTATGTTCCTTCTGTGCCTAGATTGTTGAAGGTTTTTATCACAAGGGGATGCTGGATTTTATTGAATGACTTTTCTGCATCTGTTGAGATGATCATATGGTTTTTGTTTTTAATTCTGTTTATGTGATGAATCACATTTTTTAAGACAGGGTCTCACTCTGTTGCCCAGGCTGGAGTGCAGTGGCATGATCACAGCTCACTGCAGCCTCAACCTCATGGGCTCAAGATCCTCCTGCCTCAGCTTCCAAGGTAGCTAGGACCAGAGGTGCACACCACCATACCCAGCTAGTTTAGTAGTAGTAGTAGTAAGAGTAATAGTAGTAGTAGTAGTAGTAGTAGTAGTAGTAGTAGTGACAAGGTCTTGCTATGTTGCCCAGTCTGGTCTCAAACTCAGATTCCCAGAGTGGTGGGATTACAGGTGTGCACCACTGCACCCAGCTGAATCACATTTATTGACTTGCATATGTTGAACTATCCCTGTAACCATGGAATGAAATCCACCTGATGGTGGAGAATTATTTTTGTTTTGATATGCTATTGGATTTGATTTGCAGGTGTTTTGTTAAGGATTTTTGCATCTATATTCATCAGGGAAATTAGCCTGGAGTTTCGTTCCTTTATTATGGCCTTTCTTGGGTTTTGTTATCATGGTGAAACTGGCTTTGTAGAATGAGTTAGGGAGGATTCCTTCTTAATCTTTTGGAATCGTTTCAGTGAAATTAGTACCAATTCTTCTTTGAATGTCTGGTAAAATTTTGTTGTGAATCTGTCTGGCTGTCGGCTTTTTGTTGTTGTTGGCAATTTATTTTATTCCTGATTCAATCTTATTGCTTGTGATTGGTCTGTTCAGGATTTCTATTTCTTCCTGATTCAAGCTAAGAGGGTTGTATGATTCTAGGAATTTATTCATTTTCTCTAGATTTTCTGTTTTGTGTGCATTTAGGTGTTCATTGTAGTTTCGAATGATCTTGTATTTCTGTGGTGTCAGTTGAAATGTCTCCATTTTCACTTCTAATTGAGCTTATTTGACCCTTTCCTCTTCTTTTCTTGGTTAATCTAGCCAGTGGTCTATCAATTTTATCTTTTCAAAGAACCAGCTTTTTGTTTCATTTATCTTTTGTATATGTTTTATTTCAATTTCATTTAGCTCTGCTCTAATCTTTGTTATTTCTTTTCTTTTATTTTATTTATTTATTTATTTACTTATTTATTTATTTATTTATTTACTCTGTCAGGGTCTTGCTCTGTGAGCCAGATTGGAGTGCAGTGGTGCAATCTCAGCTTACTGCAGCCTCCATCAACCTCCAAGGCTCAAGCGATCCTCCCACCTCAGCCCCAGCAAGTAGCAGGGACTTCAGGCACACACCGCCATGCCCAAATAATTTTTGTATTTTTAGTAGAGATGAGGTTTCCCCATGTTGCCCAGGCTGGTGTCAAACTGCTGAGCTGAAGTCATCCGCCCACCTTGCCCTCCCAAAGTGCTGGGATTACAGACGTGAGCCACCACCCCTGACCCCAAGTTATTCATTTTCTTCTACTAGATTTGGCTTCGGTATGTTCTTATTTTTCTAGTTCTTCTAGCTAGGATGTTAGGTTGTCAATTTGTGACTTTTAATAATTTTTGATGTAGGCGTTTAGCACTGTAAACTTTCCTCTTACTGCTTTTGCTGTATTCTGGAGGTTTTGATAACTTATGTCACTCTTATCATTCATTTCAAAAGAATTTTAAATTTCCATCTTGATTTCATTGTTAAGCCAAAAATCATTCAGGAGTTGATTGTTTAATTTCCATGTATATTTGTAGTTTTAAGGGTTCCTTTTGGAATTCGTTTCTAGTTTTATTCCTCTATGGTCTGAGAAGATACTTGATAGGATTTTTTTTTCTTTTTCTTTTTTTTTTTTTTTTTTGAGATGGAGTCTTACCCTGTCGCCCAGGCTGGAGTGGTGCAATGGCGTGATCTTGGCTCACTGCAACCTCCGCCTCCCGGGCTCAGGTGATTCTCTTGCCTCAGCCTCCTGAGTAGCTGGGATTATAGGCACCCACCACCATGCCCAGCTAATTTTTAGTAGAGACAGAGTCTCGCCGTGTTGGCCAGGCTGGTCTGGAACTCCTGACCTCATGATCCGCCCACCTCGGCCTTCCAAAGTGCTGGGATTACAGGCGTGAGTCACCGTGCCTGGCCTATGATTTTTATTTCTTAAAATTTATTGAGACTTGTTTTGTGACCTATCATATGGTCTATCTTGGAGAATGTTCTGTGTGCTAATGAGAAGAATGTATATTCCGTAGTTCTTAGGTAGAGTGTTCTGTAAATGTCTGCTAGGTCCATTTGTTCTAGAGTATAGTTTAAGTCCAGTGTTTCTTTTTTGACTTTCAGCCTTGATGATCTGTCTAGTGCTGTCAGTTGAGTGTTAAAGTCCCCCACTATTGTGTTGCTGTATATCCTTTCTTAGGTCTAGTAATTGCTTTATGAATCTGGGAGCTCTAGCATTAGATACACATATATTTAGGATTGTTATATCTTCTTGTTGAATTGATCCTTTCATCAATTTATAATGCCCTTCTTTCTCTTTTTTTACTGTTGTTGCATTAAAGTCTGTTTTATCTGATATAATAATAGCTGCTCCCACTCACTTTTGGTCTCCATTTGCATGAAATACTTTTATCCACATCTTTATCTTGAGTCTATAAGAATCCTTATATGTTAGCTGTGTCTCCTGAAGATAGCAGATATTTGGTCTTTGATTTTTTTAAGTCGATTCTGCCAATCTACCTTTTAAATGTATCATTTAGGGCATTTGCATTTGACATTAATATTGAGATGTGAAATATTCTTCCAGCCATGTGTTGATTTTGTAATTGTGTTATTGTTTTATAAGCCCCGTGAATGTTATGCTTTCAGGAGTTTCCATTCTGGTGTATATACACCTTTTGGTTCAAGATTTGGAACCCCTTTTAGCATTTATTGTAGAATTGGTTTATCGTTGACAAATTCACTCAGCATTTGCTTGTTTAAGAAAGACTTTATTTCTCCTTTATTTATTCAACTTAGTATTGCTAGATACAGAATTCTCGACTGACAGTTTTTTTCTGTTTAAGGAGACTGAAGTCAGGACCCCAGTCCCTAATGGCTTATAAGGTTTCTGCTGAGAAGTCTGCTGTTGGTCTGATAAGTTTTCCTTTATATGTTACTTGATATTTGGTCTCACTACTCTTAAAATTCTTTCCTCCATATTGATTGGATAACCTGGTGACTATATGCCTTGGTGATGCCCTTTTTGAATCCATTCTACCAATCTGTATCTTTTAAGTTGATCATTTAGACTATTTGCATTTGACATTAATATTGAGCTTCTGGGCTAGGCACAGTGAATCAGCCCTATAATCCCAGCACTTTGGGAGGCCAAGGTGGGAGGATTACTTGAGGTCAAGAGTTCGAGACCAGCCTGGCCAACATGGTGAAACCCTGTCTCTACTAAAAATACAAAAATTTGCCATGTGGTGGTGGGCACCCATAATCCCAGCTACTCGGAAGGCTGAGGCAGAAGAATCACTTGAACCCGGGAGGCAGAGGTTGCAGTGAGATCATGCCACTGCACTCCAGTCTGGGTGACAGAGCAAGACTCTGTCTCAAAAAAAAAAACAAAAAATTGCTTCTCATATTTGGATGTCTAGATTTCTAGCAAGGCCAGAGAAATTTTCCTCAATCATTCCCTCAAATAAGTTTTCCAAATTTTAACTTTTTCTTCAGCCTCAGGAGCACCTATATTTCTTAGGTTTTGCCAATTTATATAATCCCATATTTTTTGGAGACTTTGATTATTGCTTTTAATTCTTTTCTCCTTTATATTTATCTGATTGGGTTAATTCAAAAGCCTTGTCTTTAGGCTCTGAAATTCTTTCTTCTAGTTGGTCTATTCTATCGTTAGGACTTTCCACTGCATTTTGTAGTTTCCTAAATGTGTCTTTCATTTCCAGAAGTTCTGATTGGATTTTCTTTAAAATAGGTATCTGTTTAGAAAATTTTTCATTTATATCCCGATTTTCTAAAATTTTTTATGTTGGCTTTTAAAATTTAAGTTGGTTTTAATTTCTTTATGTTGATTTAATTTCTTTATGTTTGTTTCTCTTGTATCTCCTTGAACAACTTAATAATTAACCTTTTTAATTCTTTGTCATGTATTTCAAATATTTCATTTTGATTTGGATCTACTGCTGGAGAGTTAGTGTGATCTTTTGGGGGTGTTATAGAACTGTATTTATTTATATTGCCAGAATTATTTTCTTGGTTCCTTCTTATTTGGGTAAACTATTTATTATTATTCTTGAATTTATTTTTTTATTAGACTGGTTTTTTATATCTCTTGTTTCCCCTTGAGGATGTGACTTTAATGTTTATAGTTTATTGTCACCTAGCTTCAGCTCTAAGTGCTTTCAGTGGTGAAGACTCTGTATGAGTTCCTTGGTTATGGAGAATCTTTGCGTGATGGCTTTCTTCGATGCTGGCTGCAATAATGACGTACTGGGTGTGTGAGCAGGTTCGTTGTCCCCTGTTGGGCTGGAATGACAGGGGTCTTATGAAGCTTATCTCATTCCCCAGAGATGTGCACTGAAATTTTTTTTTCCCTAGTATTTTTTATTCACTGGATTGAACAATTCAGGCTTCTGGCCAGTTTGAGGTGCCCACAGGTCAAAACCAGCTATGGCTAAAGCAGGCGGATAAATACAAACCCCAGTATCGGCAGAGATCCCAGCCTTTACAGCAGTGGCTGGGGAAGTTATCAGTGAGATGCACTGAGGTCTTTTCAAGGGTAGATAGGGAGCTGCCACAGCTCTGCTTCCAGGCCAGCAGAAAAGTGATCCACCTTCCCATCACACCCCTAACTCAGTGTTCCAGCTGTTCACATCAGACAGGCACCTCTTTTCATCTGCAGGAAGGCTCATGCTCCATGTAGAGAGGGGTTGTGACTCTACATTTCAAACAAGCCTCGATGGCACTCTTCCTTTGAGAATATTCCTTTAAGAATCCTCCAGAAATGTTCAGGAATGGTCCTGAAATGTTCCAGAAAGGGTGTCTACAGATCTACCCATGCCATGCTCCCGTAGGAGTTGCCCCAGCTGTGTCTATAATGGTAGATGAGAGGGAGAAGAGGTCCCCTTCTCCATCTCCACGACGCTTCATGAGTACAAGGGCTGCCTGACTGTTGGGTTAAGAGCCACAGACTTTCCTCACTAAGCCCAGAACTGTACCTGTGCCTCTGCTGAAAGAAACTTCCCACAAGTGGAAAGTTCAGGGACTCAAGGCCTGTGGTCTTGTTTCTTTTGTCCCATGGGGTGTTCCTTAATGTGGTGCACTCCCCCTCCCTCTAAGAGTAGGAGTCTCTGAGAACGAGACTACTGTGAATGCTGCTGTTCTACTGGGTCTAGCCACCCAGTGGGGCTGCCACACTTCAGGCTGGTACTAGGAAGTGTCTGCAAGAGATTCAGTGATGTGACATGTCCTCTAGTCTCACAGCAGCGGGCACCAGCACCAGCTCTGATGGAGGTAGGAGGGCAGTGACGTAGACTCTGAGATTTCCTTAGTTATAAATAGCCTTAGTGTGTTGGCTTTTTCAAATGTCAGCAGTAGTAGTAATGTACAGGGCATGTGGACAGACTCAAGACCTACTGGTTAGCGAGGGTGATGCAGGCAATGGTGAAGGCCGAGGTCACACAAAAGTTTTCTTTCTCCAGGGCTCTGTGTGATTGTTCCTGCAGATGTTGTAAAAGACTGGAGGCAGTTGGCTTCCAGCCACGACGTGGCACATGCAAAACAGCACCAGTGGCGGTAGCTGTGAAATTTGTGCTTGCCTTATGTTACCGAAAGGAGGTATTCCAGTGCCTTGGGCAATGGGTGAGGCCATGGAGAGCCCAAAGGACCCTGTCCATGGTGCTACACTACCAGGGTGTGTGGAGGGGCAAAGCCAGGTGGGGGCTGGGTCAGGCAAGTCCATGCTCTGGTTTCCCAGGAGCAGGCACAGGCAGTTTCCTGGCCACTGGGGTAATATTCCAGGGAGAAGCATAGCTATAATATTAACATTGTTATGAAAAATTATTTTAAATTAGAAATTAAAATGTATCAGAAATGCATTCTTACCAATATGAATGGAGCTTTTCCCTCAAATAATACAGTCAAGGATAAATATTATTTATTGATAAAATAAGGATCAGGATCAATTCTAGTCTCATTATAGCAATAAGTTTTAAGAAAAATTGTTCACATAAGTAAGCCGATGAAAATGAAAGTTTTGTTGTAATAGTACTACTCAGTTCTTTGAGCTCCCTCTAAATTATATTGCAAAAACACATAGTAATCTGTCCTCAAAATAAGTTTTTTTAGTGATTTATCAGGTGGTATCTGTTTCCAATTTTTGAAAGCAAAATTTGGAAGGCAACTTTCTTGCAAAATGATTTACTATTCTTAGGAGTCTATGAGTTTCTCAACTGCTAAGAAATATAACAAAATGGCTTTCCAAAACACATTGGATAGCTTGATTTGCCCTCTAGATTCACTCTTAACATTGCTTTGAGCTCCAGGTTAAAGACTGGCAACTCCTTTGCCTTTCAGCACCTGATTTAGTTCAATCAGTAGGAGGCTCTCAAGAGACTTGAGATCTAGAGAAAAGCGAGATCAAGATATTTTTCCTTGACTTCATTCCTGGTTTGGTTATCTCAGCATCTATCAGGCAGTCATTTGCACAGCTACTCACATTGTGTTCTAGTTATCATTCCCCCCTTTGCTCCTCCGGGTCCAGAAGTGGTAACACCTCCCTGCAGTTACTAGTCCCAGGGTCCTGTGCTATTTCTGCTATTTCCCTGAGTCCTGCAGATAACTTTATAAATAATTGTTTTAATAAATTAACTTAAAATTGCCCAGTTTGAGAGTGCCATTTGTTTCTTACTGAAATCAATACCAATAGATTAGAATTTATCAAATGACTATTAACTACAGCTGTTACTTTTTTTTTATTTTGCTCAGAAATACCCTGTTGATGGGGTCAAAATTAGATGAAACTAGAGTAAAACATCTCACACTATTAGCAAAGAAAGGTGAATTATGAATAAATAATTTCAAGAATAAAAATGGGTCATACAGACAATAAAAAAAGTTCAATTATTTTATTAAATTTATGAGTCAATTTGATTATTTATATAAAATAAGCAAATACCTAGAAGTAAACAATTTACCAAAACCGACACAAGGAGAAACAGAAAAATTGGATTAGTCAGATAACTACTAAAGAGATTGCAAACTCATCAATTTATTTAATTTA
Source organism: Homo sapiens (assembly GCF_000001405.40). Taxonomy (NCBI): domain Eukaryota; kingdom Metazoa; phylum Chordata; class Mammalia; order Primates; family Hominidae; genus Homo; species Homo sapiens. The sequence continues at coordinate 174,473,221 of NC_000004.12, read as the reverse complement.
TAATTAAAAACCTTCTCATAAAGAACATTCCTTGTCCAGATGGTTGTTTCAGTGGTGAATTCTACCAAATATTTAAAGATGAAACAATTCCAAATTTACTCTGGCTCTCCCAGAGTACAGAGAAAGAGACCACTGCCAACTTATAACTGTGATTTCAAAAACTGAAAAGGCATTATTACAAAGGAAAAAAAAAGGTATAGGCCAATCTCACTTTTGCCATAATGAACATAAATATAAAATTCCTAAATAAATTGGAAAAAGAAGTTCTTTTATATCAAAAATAAGAAAAAGTCATAAACAAGTGGAGTTATAGTAATTGAATTTGGTCTCACACTCAAATTTAATCAGTGAAAATTATCATATTAACAGACTACAGAAGAAAAATTGTATGATCATATCAATATATGTAGAAAAAGCTTTTGGATGTTGATAAGATTCAACATACATTTTCAAAAACAACAACAAAAGTATTAAAAACTAATAATAGAAGGGAGATTTCTTAGTCTCATATAGAACATCCACCAAAAAACATATTGCAATCATCATACTTACTGGTGAAATCCAGTACAATCAGGCAGTGAAAGGAAAATGCAGTGTAAACATTGGGAACAAAACTATCAATGTATAAAAGTTTTTAAAACTTCTAATAAATTATTAGCAAGAATCAGCAAGTAGGTAGAATACAAAGAAATGGCCCAGCGTTTCATTTCAGGCTCCAAAAAGGCTGTATTTCACACACACACAAAAAGGCAAACCAGAAATAGAGAGCAGGCCTTACAAAAATGAAAACCTAGGCTCAAATGAGCTTCATCTTAATCAGATTTAGCTGACAGGCTACTACTTTACCTATCCACCATCAGCTAATGAACCCCTCTCTGAAGAAAAATTATAAGCCAGAGCATATACAATTCTTCATACAATTTCTAGCATTTAATTAAGAATTAGCAGACACATAAAGAGACAGGAAAAAAATAATAATTAAATGAAAAAAAAAAAAAGACAGCCCCTACGGGATTGATACAGGAATTATCAAAAACAGATTTTAAAATCATTGTGATTGATATGTTCAAAAATTAGAAGAAAAGATTGGGAATTTTTCCAAAAAACTAGAAACAATGAAGAACAGTTTTAGAAATGAAAAAAAAAATTGAAATTAAGAAAACAATAGAATAAGAGATTCAACACAGCTTGAGAGAGGATTTGCGACTCTGATTTCCGAATAGAAAATAGGCCAGTAGAAAATATTTAGATTGAAACAAAAAGAGAAAGGGGAATGGAAAAATACAGAAAAGAGAATAAGAGAGATATGGACTTTAAAAACAGTCTAACAAGCCGGGCGTGGTGGCTCACGCCTGTAATCCCAGCATTTTAGGAGGCCAAGGCAGGTGGATCATCTGAGGTCAGAAGTTTGAGACTAGCCCGGCCAACAAGGTGAAACCCTGTCTCCACAAAAAAAGGCTGAGGAAGGAGAAGTGCTTGAACCTGGGAGGCGGAGGTTGTAGTGAGCCACGATCGTGCAGCTGCACTCCAGCCTGGGAAACAAAGTGAGACTCCATCTCAAAAAAACAAAAAACTGAAAAAAACAACAAAAAAAACCCAAAACAGTCTAACATAGGTGTAATTAGAGACCTACCAAAAAAAAAAAAAAAAAAAGGAAATTAAAGCAGAAGCATTATTTGTAACTAATATTCAACAAATGTTCAAAAGTAATCAGATTTTAAGCTGCTGATTCAAGAAGCAATACAAATGGCAAGAAGAAGAAAAAGAGCACACCAAATAGAAGTAAAAGCCAGTGACCAGAAGAAATCTTAAAACCTGCCAAGGGGAGCAGGGGGAGGCAAACTGTCTATACAAGAAGCAAAAATAAAATTGATCGCTAATTTCTTAGCAGAAACTACATAAATCAGAACACAATGAAAACTATCTTAAGGTTCCAAACAAATAAAAACTGAATGTAAGTTCTATATTGAGTTAAGAAAAATCTTATAAAATCAAAGAGGGTGTGTTAATGGCATTTCCAGGAAAAAAGAAAATCAGAAAATTCATCATAAATAGATTCAGATTCAAAGGAATACAAGTAAAGAATTTTTCAGGAGGGGAAAAGAATCTTCCAGATGAAGGAAGAGAAATTCAGGGTAATTTGAAGGGTAATGGAAAAGGAGTGAGGAAATCAAAATGAATATTTACTATATTAAGTCAGGAAAATAATGACTTCTAGTATTTAAAACATATGTAGAATTAAAATACAAAAAAGCATGAAAGGCAGGTGAGATCAAACAGAGTTAAAGTGTTCTAAGGTGTTTGTGTTTTCAAAGATCTGGTTAAAAAAAACCACAGTGGCTCACCCCTGTAATTCCAGCACTCTGGGAGGCCAAGGTAGGTGGATCACCTGAGGTCAGAAGTTTGAGACCAGCCTGATCGACATGGTGAAACCTCGTCTCTACTAAAAATACATAAATTAGCTGGACACAGTGGCATGCACCTGTAATCCCAGCTACTGAGGTGGCTGAGGCAGTAGAATTGCTTGAACCTGGGAGGCAGACGTTGCAGTGAGCGGAGATTGCACCACTGCACTTTAGCCTAGGCAACAAAGTGAGACTGTCAAAAAAAAAAAACACTAATTAAAATTAAAATTAGATATTAGTAGGTCAAGAAAGCCTAATGTAATACAGAAGGTAAATAATGTAAAACTAATAAGGTAATTTAGAAGAGAGTTAAATAATAATATTTAATTGATGAGTCCAAGGGAGGAAATAAAGCAAAGAGTATATAATGAGTAGACCCAATAGAAAACAAATACGGTTGACCCTTGAACGAAAACGGTTTGAACTGCATGGGCACACTCACACAGGGATTTTTTTCAATAAAAGTTACACTGGGTGTGCCTGCATCTCCTGCTCCCCTTCCACCTCCTCCATCTCTTCCACCTCTGCCACCCCTGAGACAGCAAGACCAGTCCCTCCTCTTCCTCCTCCTCCTCAGCCTACTCAACATGAAGATGAAGAGGCTGAAGACCTTGTGATGATCCACTTCCACTTAATGAATAGTAAATATATTTCTCTTCCTTAGGATTTTCTTAACATTTTCTTTTCTCTAACTTACTTTATTGCAAGAATACAGTGTATAATACATACAATATACAAAGTATGTGTTGACTATTTGTTATCAAGAAGGCTTTTGGTCAACAGTAGGCTATTGGTAGTTAAATTAGCCGGGAGTCAAAAGTGTTATGTGGATTTTCAACCTTGCCTCAGGGAGTCAGTGCCCCAGTCCCTCATTGATCAAGAGTCAACAGCAGTTGCATCAAGGATCACATTGAAGGTCAGATCGTCCCACACTCTTCTTTACTACCCTCCAGTGGTTTCTGGTTGCAAATAAGATCAAATACTCCATCTCTGATTTCACCTATTTTCACCCCCCTCCTTCCTGACTTCACTCTAGCTTCACTAGCTTCTCTGCACCTTGAATGTACCAAGCATCTGCCCTTTAGGAACTTTGCACTCACTCTTCACTCTGTCTAGATGGCTCTTTTCCATATATTTCCAAGAATAGCCTGACTCTAATATTATGTCCTTCAAATGGCATCCCACGTCCTCCACTCTAAATTAATCAGTTAGTTATCCCATTCTAGGTTATCACACCACCCTTATTTTGTTTTCAGCTTCATAGCACTGATCCTCTGAATTTATGTTAGTCGTTTTTTTCTTCATTATGTTTTTTTCTACTCTACCATAACATAAGCTCTATAAAAACAAAGACCTTACTTGTTTCTGTTCTTTACCTAATCACAGCATATAAAACAGTGCGTGGAATACGGTGTGCATCAAGTAAATATTTACTGAATGGATGAATGAAGTGTCTAATGAAGTGGGTAAGGCACACTAGGCTGTCTTAAAAGAAATATAAATTTCCCAAACATGGAAGTTTATATGTTCATTCTTTTATTGATTAGATGATTTCTGGGATACTGTATTTGAGTCTAAGTATCACATTTTAGAGGCTTTTGCCAGTCTGGAGTTTGGATTTTATCGTAACGACAACAGGAGAAAAACACACAAAACTACAAATATTTGAAATTGTCATAAGGAAATAGAATAGATAGTTGCCTCCTGTAAACAGAACTATGAATGAGTAAAGGTGAAAGGGATGTAGTTGAAGGTACCTTCAGAATTAAGATACTCCAAATGAAATGCCTTTGTAGTTTTCATTGACAGAAAAAATTGCTGTGATTGAGATGACTGAGGCCGATGCCAGCTAGTCACATATTAGAGATTCTATATACAACATATCTGTAAAAGTGAGAAGTTGGACCGAATGACCTTGAGAGCTCCTTAAACTTTGTTTCTATTCTACAGTGCTATATAATGTCATCACAGTTCAGTTTACACAAAGTAAATACAACTCATAGTAATATTTCCTTAATCATAAAGGATCATTATGGTATTCTCTCCCTATTTTGATTTCTTTCTAATTTTTTCTAACATTTGGTTTCTCCATTCCATTTACTATCTGAAGAATTTTGGTAGGAATGCTTCCAGAACCATATGGCCCTAGTTTGCTATTTCTGCTGTTGCCCCAACCTAATGCCGCCTGGGTGCCTCCCTGCAGCCTCTGATTCACGGTAGCCACCTAACGTTGGATAAATCCAACGTTCATGTTATCTAGATGTTGTGGCAAAATGTTAGTTCATTAATGTCCTGGTCCATGCTTCCCGTTCATGTGGGTCAGAGTGGAGGTAGGGAGGTTTCTCTAACAAGAATGATGTTTGCAGCATTAGTCTTCTTAAGTAAATTTTATTGTCCTTAGCTGATGACCACTGAACTGTCATGATAACATCAGTGAGAGAATAGTATAAGTGTATGGGACTAACACAAGCAGATACCTAGCATTTTATGGGGTGAACATGCTGCATTTGAGATTTATGAGATTGAGGGGGAAAGTTACATGTTTCTAGCATAGGATCTCTTTTTTCTTTTTTCATTCCTTCTTTTCTGATCCACTTCCACTTTCACTGCCAAAAGCCAAGTTCTTATAATGTCATGTGTATTAATGTATTTTGATTTTTTTCATAACTACTCTCAAGTCTCCAGTTTCTGTTCTAGTCAATTAGCCCTAAATACTACTGTTGGTATAATCTATCTAACACATGCCTGATTCCAGAGGTATGAAATCCAGCCCTCCAGCCAGAACCTTTGCAATCAGACCACAATTCACCATTCAGGCCTTATCTGGGCTACTCCTTATCAAATTGTAAGCTTTCCTAAATTCCACCGTGGCTTTGCCTACTTTATTCCCATTTTATACTCATCTGTAAATCTTCCCCATATTGAAGCAGGTAGGAGAGTGAGGAGGATGGTTAGGGTGGAATTCCTGCAAATGGAAGAAAGTGAAGATCAGGAGATGTGTGGGGAGTGGTGGGAGTTTTAGGGTAAAGATACTACGAAGAGATTTGGATAAATTGCAGATAAATATGTTTTTTTGTATTTAGCCTAGTGTAAAAATGTAAGGTATAGATTTCTGAATTTAATTTTCTGCATACAGATATTTATAATCATTGTTGATTCAGATTCAATTAGAGAATGAATAAGCTTTTCATATTATAATTTTAGCACCTAAGACAGACAAGCAGGCCTTTCCCTGTCTCACTGGTCCATAGCAATACTCATTACTTGTTGGTTGATTTGAGCCATGTATTGGTGGGGGTTTATCAGTTGTAATCCAAAACTGTCCTTTCTGTCACAGGATTTCATCTCTGGACGATTACTTCCGTATGTGTTCTAAAACATCCCAGTCAGGCCCCAGCATTACTGGGTTGCATCTGTATCACAAATTATTTCACACACAGTGTGAAATTATTTCACACACAGAGTAGTGATTGATCTCTGCTTCCCATTGTCTTTATCCGTCTCATTACAAGTTGTGGTGAATGACTAATGAGGAATGTTGGACTCTGAACAATTCTGTTTTCTGTTATTGCTGTAAAATATTCAAAACTTGAAGGAAAAACAAAACAAAATGAAGGAAAATAACAGTAATTTGAGAGTTCTTCACATATACAGACAGACACACACAAAAACACAGCTTGATGAGCAGAAAGCCAGAATGGATAGAAATAGCAGTTTCCACTAAAACTTACTCTTTTAAATGATTACTTTTTTTTATAGAGATCTTTAAGGCAAACGCTTGTATCTTTTTTCATGTACTCCCTCTTTACTCTGTAAGTATTTTATAGTAGAGGGAAAAGCTCGAGGCAACCCCATAGTAATTCTCAATCATAAACTTCCCTGAATCCCTCCCTGTTGTTGTTCTTGTCCTTTATACAGAAACAAAAAGTTTAAAAAGGGGAAAATGAGTCCTTCTTTAAACTCCCTTTTAACTTAGAGTCAATCAAGTCCGTTGTATTTCAGCTTATCTATAACAAATCTTACTTCAATGGTATTTTAATTGGCATGCAAAAAACTAAAGAAATGGCTGGGCATGGTGGCTCACACCTATAATCCAAGCACTTTGGGAGCCCGAGGCAGGTGGATTACCTGAGGTCAGGAGTTCAAGACCAGCCTGGCCAACATGGTGAAAGCCTGTCTCTACTAAAAATACAAAAATTAGCCAGGCATGGTGGTGGGCGCCTTTAATCCCAGCTACTTGGTAGGCTGAGGCAGAAGAATAGCTTGAAACTGGGAGGCGGAGGTTGCAGTGAGTCGAGATTGTGCCACTCTACTCCAGCCTGGGCTACAGAATGAGACTCTGTCTCAAAAAATAAAAATAAAAAATAAAAAAAAAAGAAAAATTTAAAAACCAAATGAAATACTTTTCTGTTCTTTCTTGTCCCACTACTTAAAGAATGGCACAAACTTGCTTTATTTTAGTGCTTTGTTATAGTCTAAAATAGGCCTTTCCCCCAGTATAAGAGAAATTGATGGGAAAGTTACATAATCTTCTTAGATTTCTTGAGTAGGATCTTTACTGAGTGAATTTATTATTTTAATTTGGAATATTATGAATTCCAAGAGTATCAGCTGATCTACCTTTAATTTTTTTTTCAGAGACAGGGTCTTGGAGTTCAGTGGTGTGATAACAGGTCATTGCAGCCTCATACTCCTGGACTCAAGTTATCCCACCACTTTAAACTCCTGAGGAGCTAACACTACAGGTGCACTCCACCATGTCTAGCTAATTTTCAAAAATTGTTTGTAGAGAGGGGGGCCTCACTATCTTGCCCAGGCTGGCCTTGAGCTACTGGCCTCAAGTGATCCTCTTGCCTTAGCCTCGCAAAGCACTGGGATTACAGATGTGAGCCACTGTATCAAACCAGGTCTGCCTTTAATTTTACATGCATTTATTGAAAAGCCACCCAATTCCAAGCATAATACTAGAGGGTAAAAAGCCAAAAATAAATAAGCTATGTGCCTGCCTTCGGGGAGCTCACAACTGTGTTTGGAAAACCAATATGTAAGGAAGAAAAAGACAAAATTTCATGTTATAATGACTGTAATTGATTTATGTATAAAGTTAATAGGCAGTTATAATGAGAACTCTGCCTGAGCGAGTCAGGGAAGGAGAAGGCTTCATAAAATAGGAGACATTTGAGCAGAGCCTTGAAAGATTCTTAAGAGTTTGGGAGGAGGGATGTTCCAGGGAGAAAGACCCTGCATAATTAGTTAAAAAAAAACTATAATCAGTTCTCTGATAATAGTTCTCTATGAGTTCAGCACAGAACTTGGGGCTGGAAGCAAGCATGAAGCATCGTGAGTGCTATTCTAAGAGGCTGGCACTTTGTCTTAGCAATGGGGAACTTTTCATGGATGTTAATCAAGAAGTTAGATGAACAGATTTATGTTTGGGGTTGGTTCAGAATAAAACAGGTAAGAGTGAACCTGAAAGTCTGGAGAACTAAGTGGAAGAATTTTGCAACATTCCATATGAAAGATGATAGAGGTCTTAATAAATGCAGTAACAATGGAACTAAAGAGGTAAACACAGGCAGGAGCACAATTAGGGAAATAGAACCTAGTGTCAGGTTGGAACTAAGCAATGAAAAAGGAGGAAGAGCTCTAGAATGACTCATAGGTTTTTAGATCCTATGCACAAAGTTTTGAAACACATCAGGGTCCAGCATGGTGGCTCACGCTTGTAATCCCAGCACTTTGGGAGGCCAAGGCAGAAAGATCGTTTAAGCCCAGTAGTTCTAGACCAGCATGGGCAACAGAGCAAGACCTTGTCTCTCCTAAAATTAAGAAAAAAAAAAAAGCCTGGTTTGGTGGCACGAGCCTATAGTCTCAGCTACTCAGGAGGCTGAGGCAAGAGGATCACTTGAACCCGGGAGTTCTAGGTTGCAGTGAGTCACAATTATGCCACTGCACTCCAGCCTGGGCAACAGAGCAAGACCCCATCTAAAAATAATTTTTTAACACATCAGCAGCATCACTCATATTTATTGAAGGCATATTCTGTTCCAGATACTGTGCCAGGCATGGCATTTCAAATCCTGTAATAATCATATAAGACAGTTACCATTATTATTCCAATACTACAAAATGAATGAGTTTAAACTCCCTTGGAAAGATCATTGAAATGTAACTAATAGCTTCAACCTTGCACTAGAATCACTTTTCAACACATTTTGATATTTACTATTATTATTTATTATTAATATTTATTATTACTTTTCCATATCCACATGAGTCAAGGACCAGATATTAAATCCACTTTAATATATGAAGAAATTTACTGACCTGGAAAAAAAAGATAGCAATTCAGGCATAAAAGTCTTAGTCTCATTGCTGCCAAGGTGGAGAACTTTTCTGGCTGGCTGTCATTGCACTACTGTTATTAGGGAAGATATTGTCTTCAACTTGGCTTTGTGCTATTTCACAAATTTACAATTCTGCAACAAAGATTCAAGGAAAAATATAGATGAGTTAGGGCTGTTTGTTTCAAGTAAAAAAAATTATCTTCAATTTAAGCATAATGACTAAAGTGTCTTACAGGACTCAAGAATAGGAATGTCACTAAAGGAAAGAACAACTGAAACTAAGCTCTCCAGAAGTGTTAGCACTCCTCCTTTCTTCTGGTTTATTTGAATCTTCTTTCTTCCCCTCTCTGAAGACTAGCTTTTGTCAATGTAAGATTTTATTTTCTCTGAGGACATTTATACATACATATAGACACATAAAAATCCAATTATTTTATATGTAATAGATATATTTTTACATGGTAAGAACAAATCATGACTACTGGGATTTTCTTAAATTAATATTCAATTTGTCAAAGTAAAAAGTTCTCAAATTTAGTTTATCTTAAGCCCTTAACTTTATATACATCATATAATTCTATTTATAAAGTCAGTAAAATTTAACATTTACTCTCAAATTGGTCTTGGACTAAAGTTTGAGTAACTTGGATAGCAGAATGCACTAAGCAATCAGGCTTCTTACAATTTAGTTAATTTGATTGACTTAAACATTTTAGACAGCGCTTATAAAGTTAATGTATTTGATTTACTTTTTACTTGCCTAAATTGATAAGCAAAACTTTCTAAGGTACTTGAATCACTCTAATAAACCAGACAAATTAAATTCATAACAATGGTAATTCTAAAGTTATCTCAAACATCCCAATACTCTCTATAATCTTGTAACAATTCTCTTAGGTTTTTCAATACAAATAACAAGTCCAAATCAAATTTTAAGTTAAAATTTTAAATGGGATTCAAAGGTCTCAACTGTCAGGTTCTCTAATAAGCCAATATGTTATGTGGCCTCCAATATATCCACCCGTGATCCTTGTCTCCTGGTATCCACACTCCTATGTAACCCCCCTCCCTCCCAGAGAATAGGATGCATGAGAAACAATGTCACTTCCAAGATAAGGTTACAAAAAACAAAAACAACAACAACAAAAAACCTAGCTTCTGTCTATGGTGACCATTCATCCTCTCTTGATTGCTGGATCTAATAAAGTAAGTTGCCCTAAGAGGGCCCTTGTGGCAAAGGACCAAATGAGGCCTTCAGCAAACAACTAGTGAGAAACTGAAGCATTCAGTCCAACCACTCATGAGAAACTGAATTCTACTTACAACCATACAAATGAGCTTGACAACAGATCCTTTCCCAGTTGAGTCTTCAGATGAAACAGCAGCCCCAGCCAACACCTTGACTGCAGCCTTGAAGAGACATTAAGGCAGAGGCATCCAACAAATCTTTTCCTTTATTCCTAACCCACAGAAACTATGAAATAATAAAGTTTTGTTACTTTAAGTCAATACATTTTGGGATAATTTGTTTTATAACAATAGACAACTAATATAGATAGATATTAAACATTATAAATAGTATATAACCAAATATGAACATATTGCTCTTATTTTAATACCAGAGCCTTAATACTATAGATTTTATATACTTAACTATTTCTATATTTAATTCTAAACCTCCCCAAAAAGTCAATTTTTTTAACTGAAGAAGGAAATAGTATTACAATCTCAGTATGTTAAAAGTGCTTATTGACTTGTGTGATTTGGGGCAAGGATGAGAGACCTGAAAGAAGGGTCATGCAGATTGATACCTCTCCTGCTACTGACAACAGGGCTCAAGACACCCCTTTACTTAATATTTTCATTGTATTTCAATAAATGAATTCTGCTATCTGAGGGTTTAGCTAACTTTTTTCACCACCTAATTGCATTTCATATTTCTTTTTTATGTTTCTTATTAGATTTAAATGACATTTACTGGACCTTGAATATATTTTATGACTAGTTTGACTTAAATATCAGACTAGTGAAGACTCCTACCTTCTCTCATTCTCAGGGTAGAAAACATGATCCTAATTGCTCCCAGCACTCCTATCTTTATAGGTACATTCCTGGCATATTAAAAGATAGAAACTTCCATTTCTGAGTTTCCATTTCTAAAACTGTTCTAAGGACTCCTCTTGATACATTTCAGGGATTGTGCCTGTCTCTGGACCAATCAACAGTGCCAGGAGGAAGAGATTATAGGAAACGTCCTCTGATTCTCAGGTATGAGAATAAAGGGAAAGGTGTCAGCCAGACAATCCCTTAGATTTTCAGTACATAGCAATTAAAACTCATGGGGTTAGATTTATTTTGCTTCAATTTAAGTTGATGAAGAAACAATATTCTGATTCTCAGCTGGAAAAAAGGAAAATTTCATAGTCACTGGACTCTTCCCAACTCCTAACCTTTCTAACCCTTCTCTTCAAGGGCTGCTCTTCTATCCACATGTTGTCACAGCAATGACTCACCCACGTCTGCCCTTCTGGGACAGCACGTAAAGTTCCACACCAATTCTCCCTTTTCAAAAGTTGAACTTTGTAGCATGTAGGTGAAGAGAGACCCACAGCCAGGGCCAGAAGAGCAAAATCCAGCCATTTCACTTTCTAAGCTTGAAACAATCATTTAATTTGCATTTAAGTACCTGGAAATGTTTCTAACTGTAAGCTGTATTAAGGACCCTAAAAAGCAACTTGTTGGGACAAGGCTAAAGCAAATAAGAGATAAACGTACAGATAAGAATTTTAGACACCAGAGAAAGGTAAACAGGTTATATTTGGATAAAGAACCTCTGGTAGCAATAAAGTTGGGCATTGGAGCATGACAGCTGTAGGCTGTCACCACCAGGCAAGAAAATAGTTATCTGATGCTTTCTGCAACTTGAGTTGTCCTTAGTTAAACATAATCACCTAAAAGTAAGCAAATTAAAGACAGATTTTTCTCCTAGCTTTTTTCTTCATGGATTTAAAAGAAAACCACTGTAATGAAGAAGTCAATATCATAAGGACATCAAATTAAAATTAGGTGGTGAAAAAAGTTAGCTAAACAGTCAGATAACAGAATTCATTTATTCACATCCAATGGATATTAAGTAAAGGGATGTCTTGAGCTGTGTTGTCAGTGGCAGGAGAGGTAATAATAGCTATTGATAAATGATATGATAATAATAGAATCTACAAGGGAAGATAAGGATAAATTGATTTGTAGATAATAACTCCTTAAACATAATTTGTTATTTCCTCAAAATTCTGGTTTTTTTTAAATGTATCCATGCCCTGCCTTCAGTCTCAGGATGGGCATTGTAAACCTTAGAAAAAATTGGGTAAAATAAATCAATATGACTGAGTATCATCTTGGTCTTTCTTCTTTTAAATTAATTATGTGAGGCATATCAGAACTTCTCCCTAGGACTCGTAGTGAGAAGTGCCATTTAATTACACAGTACTTTGAATCTTTCACATGGCTAAGTATGTATGTCCAGTTCTATGAAATGAATGAAGATTTGATTACTACAGAGGAGAAAGGAACTTTCTTTGCCAAACCAGATATGAGTCACACACAGTTTATCAATTTGGCAAACAATGAACTCTGAACCTCTGTTTTCCTTTACATTTTTCAGAGGTTAAAAAATAGACTCCATGTAGAGAAACTTGATGAATAATATTTTACTACATACTCAGAATGTATTTCACCTTTACAAAATGCACTCAGATTTTCCTTTAGAAATATCCCTTCCCCATTGTACTGTAGCCATGAACTTTGGAAGAATTGACTCTATCTCAGCTTCAAGCTATATTATCTTACCTCACTTAAAACAGATACTGGTTCCATAAGGGCTTTTTCCCAAACCCAGATCAATCAGCATTTGTCTTCTTCCTGGCCACAGTGATTGGCCCAATCAGAGTAAATCTCAAGACTTTTGTTCAACGATTATAGAATGTGACACTGTCTCTCTTCTTGGATGTGAACCAAGTAACCTGTTGCCCTGGTTGCCCTACTATTGGCAACCATTTTGTGAATATGATGGAAACCAGAATAGAGAGGAGGGAACAGCCAAGAGAATCACAGGAAACTGAGAGACTGCCTTGATCAAAACATACCTGGACTTTTCAGATATGTGAGCCAAAAACTCTAGTTTATGGTTTATGCTAATTTAAGTTGGGGATTTGTTACTTGTAACCAAAAGTATTGCTACTAATATGTTAAGTATCTATCAGGTTGGTGCAAAAGAAATTACAGTTTTTGTCATTTAAAAGTAATGTAGTATTCATCCAGGGAATGAACACTAGAAAATAGTGAAGGTTAAACTAATTACTGTCATATATTTTCATTCACTATAGCATTTCATAGCTATAAGAAGATCAGATGGAAATTCACACATACATAATCAACTAATATTTGACAAAGGTGCCATAATACACAATGGGAAAAGTATAGCCCATTCAGTTAGTGGTGTTGGGAAAATTGGATATCCACACATAAAAGAATGAAACTGGGACGGGTGCGGTGGCTCATGCTTGTAATCCCAGCACTTTGGGAGACTGAGGCAGGCGGTTCATGAGGTCAGGAGTTCAAGAATGAAATTGGACCCTTGTCTTACACCATATACAAAAATTAACTAAAGCCTTAAATGGAAGAGTTGAAGCCACAAAACTAGAAGAAAACGTAGGGAAAAGCTCCTTGATGTTAGTCTTGGAAATGGTATTTTAGATATGACATCCATAGCACAGGCAGCAAAAGCAAAAATAAACAATTGAGACTACATCAAACAAAAAAGCTTCTGCGCAGCAAAGGAAACAATCAACAAATGCAAAGGCAACCTACAGAATGGGGGAAATATTTACAAATCACAGATCTGGTAAGAGGTTAATAACCAAAATATGTAAGGAACTCACATAACTCAAAAGCGAAAATCAAATAACCTGATTAAAAAATGGGCAAAGGATCCAAATAGATATTTTTCCAAAGAAGACATACAAATAGCCAACAGGTATATGAAAAGGTGCTCAACATCACCAATCACTAAGGAGATGTAAATCAAAACCATAGTGAAATATCACCTCACATCTGTTAGCATGATTGTCATAGAAAAAACAAGAGATAACAAGTGTTGGCAAGAACGTGGAGAAAAGGGAACCCTTGTATACTGTTAATGGGACTGTAAATTGATACAACCATTTTGAAAACAGTATGGACGTTCCTCAAAAAATTAAAAATAGAACTACCACATGTACCAGCAATCTCTCTTCTGGGTATGTAAACAAAGGAAATAAAATCAGTATTTGGAAGAGATATCTATACTCCTGTGTTCATTGCAATGTTATTCACAATAGACGAGCTACATAAACAATGTAAGTGTTCATTGAAAGGTAAAGAAAATGTACACACACACACAATGGAGTATTATTCAGTCATTAAAAAAGGAAATCCTGCCTTTTGCAACAATATGGATGAACTTGAAGGACATTATGCTTAGTGGAATTAGCTAGGAACAGAAAGACAAATACTGCAAATACTGAATGATCTCACTTGTATGTGGAATCTTCAAAAGTTGAATTCACAGAAGCAGAGAGTAGAATGGGTGGTTGCCGGAGGCTGGAGTGTGGGGAAAATGTGGACATGTTAGTCAAAACGACAAACTTTCAGTTATAAGATGAACAAGTTCTGGGGATCTAACATACAGCATGGTGACTATAGTTAATTACTGTACTTTATTGTATATTTGAGATTTGATAAGAGAGCATATTTTAAGTGAACCTCACCACACATTCACACACACACACAAAAGGTAGCTATGGGTGATGATGGATGTGTTTATTAATTTGATTGCAGTAATCATTACAAAATGTGTAGGTGTATCAAATCATCACACTATGTACTTTGAATATATACAATTTTTGTTTGCCAATTAAATATTTTAAAGTTAAGAAAAAAATACGAAGTGGAAAAAACTATGAGTTAATTAGGACCAAGCACTCTTTCAATGTTGCATATATTTAGTAGCTCATTCAACTGCTTTTTATAAGTGTTTGATGCCAACTTTGAAAGCCCTGGTTAAAAAATAGCCCAAAAAGCAACTCATTTCAGGGTTGCTTAGTCTAATATTTTCTCTGTACTAATCAGCTGCTCTATTATATAAAATACTCAATCTTAGTCATTCTTTTGAGATAAAGCTTAGCAAGATGTTAATATTTAAAATTATATTCTTAGATGGGCAAGGTAGAAGTTATTTGTTATTAAACAACTCAGCAGATATTAGTTTATCAGATTAGCTTCAACAGAGATAAGAACCTTAAGGAAATGGAATATATGTATTATTAGGTCAAGGAAAGTCCTGAAAGAAAGAGTTTTCTAGTGTGTGACGACCTGTAGAGGAAGCAGGTCTGAGTGGGGAACAGATGATAAGGACAGGTAAAGATGAGGAAAGAGTAGTAGAGTGACAAAAATTATCCCCAAACTAACCGCACTTACTTCCCCCCATGCCAGTACTGTGTAGAGAGTGTTTATGAATTCTGTCTTAAAGCTTGGACTGCGTATTTATATGACTATGAACCCTGACACCAACACTTGGCAAAGTAATCAGAACATGTCCTAGCACAAGAAGAGCTTTTAGGCCAGAAGCTTGCTACAAACAACCCGAATGGATGCCATATTTTAAACCTTACAGCTTGCCTCCCTACTCTCTTTCCCTACAGCCTCACTCCACCGTATCCTGCGAGTCAGTGATTTTCTTGGCGATTAGTCCGTACAAGATATTTGCATGATACTTATGCTGCACTTTCCATCCAAACTGGAAACAAACCAGCTTCGTAAAAAATGTCTACTTGTCTCACTGGAAACAAACAAAAAAAAAGCAATGATTAAGTACTAGAATTGCATCCAGACATAACCAAAGCTGGTTTAGCTCTTATTTAATACACTTGGCTTCTCCTAAAGCAATAGGGCCATTCTTTTCCCTTCCATTCTGCTATCTGTCTACTACATCTTTGGCTGCCTTTTTTCTGATATGTCAAATAAAAGATTACTTGATTTAGGGGAGGTTTCCAAATATTTATGGAGTAGCTTGAAAGAAAATCTTTGTAAAATCACTTTGGGAAAGATGTTTTCCTCCTACAGAATAAAAGCCTTAAATGTTTTCATTTCTTTCTGTCTGAGACAGAAAGAGAGAAAGGTATTAAATGAAGGTGTATAACTACCACTTGTTATTGATCTAGTATTTTATTTTGAGAAAATGCTTTTGTGTGTAAAGTTATAATATTAAGAAAATGTAATGCTTTGCATAGTTTTTAGAAATGAAAAATCCTGTTTTATATGTCTATGATTTGATTTCAGGGGGAAAAAAAAAGCACCATTCAAGCCTCATTTCAAGTACAGTACCAATTTACCAGTAGATTAATGTCAAATCCTTCTATGTTTGAAATTCTGACCTTTTACTTTTATTTTATTTAATCAGAATATATTTTAAATTATACTGTTTAGGCTTCTAGGTTTCAGATTAGCTCAGTCACCAGAAGCCTGTTCTTCTCCACTGGGGTTCTGGCAAAATGGACTAAATCTGGTGGAATATCAAAGTTTATTGAGCCACCGGAACTACAGAGTCAATTTTCCTCATCACTCTCCACTCCACATCCGCACTCCCACCATAAAAACTAGTCATACAATCCAGAAAAGAAACTTAGAGTTACTAAATCAAATAGAGTGTAGCAAAAAATCCCAGTCTCAGAAGAAAGATCAATTTACATTTGTTTATTGATCTCTAACAAAACATTTGTAAGTATGATGCCAAAAATTAAAATTCAGAAAGTCAGCTTAAACACACAAGTCATCATTCTTATAATGGTCCCGTGGCCAGTTGATAATTATGCTTCCTTCTTATAGCCAAAGGATCTGAATCCAATTTCTGCAAAGTGTGTGAAGTACTTACCAGAAAGAACTTTTAAAAATGGCATGAGGCAAACTCCGGATCTTATTTTTTATTTCTCTCTGAAAATCTCTACTTCAAAGACAGAAGCTTTGATTGCCCAAGTGACAGCTTTAGAATATTATATTTGCTAAAATCTTAAAGGAGCAAATTCTTCAGTATGACTTCTAACCTTCAGTATACTGGTATAGTTCCAAGACGGGGGAAAAAAACAACTACAAAACCCTGAGACTGTATATTGAAAAAATACTGAGTGCATGTAAAAGATCTACCATGTTTTATTATTCATAGCTTTCTAGCTCCCAAACATTGGTAGACAACTTCTAAATGTAAAATAAAAAAAGTATAAATAGTATGTGCAGCTCAAGTGCAAGCTTCTGATTTTGAATATAAAATGTAAGAGGAATGAAATATATACTTTGGCCAGGTGCGCTGGCTCATGCCTGTAATCCCGACACTTTGGAGGCCAAGGCAGGAAGATAGTTTGAGCCTACGGGTTCAAGGCCAACCTAGGCAACATAGTGAGACTGCACTTCTACAAAAATTTTTTTAAATTGGCCAGGCATGATGGTGCATGCCTGTACTTCCAGACACTTGGGAGGCTGAGGAATGATGATCGCTTGAGCCTGGGAGTTCAAGGCTGCAGTGAGCCATGATTGTGCCACTGCACTACAGCCTGGGTAACAGATTGAAACCCTGTCTCAAAAAAAAATATATACGAAAAAAAATAAAAAATAAAAAATAAATATATATATACACATATATATACACACATACATAATATATATATATAAAACAAATATTGGGTAATCTATTAACAAGGTAAGCTCTCTATATATAGCTAACAATGTAAGCTATATATATTGCTTACATTGTTAATAAATTATATAGCTTATATTGTTTATATATTATTATATATACTAATGTATATAAAATATATATACTTTATATATATTATATATACTAATGTATATAAAATATATATACTTTATATATATTATATATACTAATGTATATAAAATATATATACTTTATATATATTATATATATATATCTTATATTGTTAATAGATTACCCAATATTCCCATGACATACTGAAACTACTTGACTCACTAGTAGATCTAAGACTAGGATCTAAGCCTCCCCTCCCACAGAATACATCTAAACTTCATTCTACTAGGTTAGATATTGGCCAGTTCATAAGGTACCCACCTCAGGGACAAAGTGCAAAGGCCTCTAAGTAATAGCAGAAAGTCACACCAGTAAAGGTAACTTTCCCTCTGGGTGTGAGTTCTGTTCCTTTATGATTAAGCTAATTTTGATTTTTAAAATTAGCTCCTTGCTTGGCTCTATGTAATTATTAATGCAAGAAAACTGTCTGAGCTGCTGCCTTTGGGTCTACCTTTAGATCTGGTCACTTACCTACATGGCCTCTGAGCTTGCCAAGTCTTTGTATGTTTCTCCCTATAAAGATAAGAAGGAAGTCTTTATCAAAACCTTGGGAAAGGCCGGGCGCGGTGGCTTATGCCTATAATCCCAGCACTTTGGGAGGCCGAGGTGGGCGGATCACAGGGTCAGGAGTTCAAGACCAGCCTGGCCAATATGGTGGTGAAACCCCACCTCTACTAAAAAGATACAAAAATTAGCCTGGCATGGTGGCGGGTGCCTGTAGTCCCAGCTACTCAAGAGGATGAGGCAGGAGGATTGCTTAAACCCGGGAGGAGGAGGTTGCAGTGAGCCAAGATCGTGCCACTGCACCGCAGCCTGGACAACAGAGAGGGACTCTGTCCAAAAAAAACAAAAACAAAAACAAACAAACAAACAAAAAAACCTTGGGGAGACCTTATCAAAATCTTGATCAGGAAGCTAGATCTATTGGCAATGAATAGTTGGGTTTCTGTTTAAGTAATTAATTTCCTCAATTTTTTTTAACATGGAAATTTCACTGGACTGAATCAGGATTTCCCCAATTCTAGTCAAGAAACAGATGGATTCATGAGACCCAAGAGTCTAACTCAGGTCTGAGCAGAACAAGAATTAATTATATAGAACTGAATGAATTGATGAGGGATAGTTGCAGGGTTTTGTTTGGAACACTATTGATGTTTTAACGTTCTATTTTTCCAGATAAATGAAGAGCACCTTTCTCTGAAGCAATCTATCACTCACAACAATTTAGTGGATTATATCTTAATAAACCAAAATGTACATTTACAAATAATGTATTTTTCTTCCTGACTGATTCCTCCAGAATTTGGAAACTCTGATTGAGTATCTTAATTTCATGGCAATGTAAGTATTTGTATAAGTCTGATTAAAAACAAAGAAAATTGGGATATTAAAACTAATAGTAACTATTATAGGATTACTGTGAGTTTTAAAAAGAAAAAATATATAATGCATTTAGAACAATCTCTGAGTTTAGTAAGTACTCAATAAAGTTTATTTTATTCTTATTTTTATTTGTATTGTTTTATTTTTATCAGTTCTCTGTTAGCAATTATCCCAACAGATCCAATGCTGTACTCAAAACACCAACCAGGCATGAACACCTGTCAGGTCCCAGCCCAGCCTGCCCAAGCCTTTGCTCCCCACTCTGCCCTATCCCTTCCAAAAATGGATCAAGAAATTCTACTTTGATGGTGCTAGCAACTTTAGCCAAAGCTGAAATTATTTGAATATCCTGGCTATTCCTTGTGTAAATATATATAGACTGTTATGAAAATGATTCATGAACTTTTCAATTCCATTGTCAGAATATTTCCTCATGTTTAAAGATTATGTGACTAGAATGTTCAATGATAATATAATAAATGTGTATGAATTGCTGCATACAAAAGATTATTATTTTTTTCTTTTCAACTTTTACTTTAGAATTGGGGGTATGCATGGAGGTTTGTTACAAAGCTATATTTCATGATGCTGAGGTTTGAAATATAAATCAATCTGTCATGGAGGTAGTGAGCATAGTACCCAATAGGTAGCTTTTTCAACTTTTACCCCTCTTTTTCTCTTGTATTCTCCAGTGTCTGGTGTTCCCAACAAAAGACTATTATTCAAAGGAAAGAAGCATTTTTTTCATAGGGTTAATGGAATTTCTTTCAATATTCTAGATTTAAATATGGTTTCCCATATAGTGTTTAGTATATGATACTATACTTTTAAAGTCTCCATCCAAAATTCCCATCTTTAATATTTTTTCATTCCATTTTTTTCTCAAAAAACTAGTTTGTTATTGTTAAATTGTTGATATAGCCAAGATAATGCTGCAAAATCCTCAACTATTCTTTCAGTCTTTCTTGTTTAAAGGTGGATATTGTAAAACAAAAGAGCAAGTCTATGAACTACATGTATATACTTCTGTTAAGAGATAAAATCCAAAAGGCTCTAAAAATACTGTACTGAACTTTCCATCAGAAGGGAAAGTTTTAATTATTAGAGGTTAACAAGTTTTGTGTAAGCATTAATCAAGTTCGCTCCAAACTGTATGTGTCTGGATGTTGCTGAATATCTGCCCTTGGGCAAGCCTTCATAGTCTTAACTTGCTTATTCATACTGTTTCTTTTTTCTTTTGGTTTTAACTCATAACATGTTCTTCTTAATGTATTACATAGTGAAGAATTTAGGACACTAGCTGTTTGCAAATACACTGGAGCTGAGATTACTTCAGGGGCTAGAGCTATGTATAAACTCAGACTGAGGTAAATCATGTAAACATTTCAGTCTTTGTTTAAAAGAAGTCATTTTTTATTATATGCTTTTTTTTTTTTTTTTTTCTGGGCAGGATGCCTCTACCTGCCCTGTTTTCTTCTCTTTTATCAGTCTTTTTATTTACATAGCAGTTTCCTTCAACTTGTAACTTACAAATTAACTTGACATAAAGCTGTTTCTTTCTCGATGAGAAAAAGAAAATATGCCATGTATTCTACTTTTTTTATTAAACCATCTGGACCTCTGGAAGCAGAGCCCAAACCTAACAGCCTCTCACGATATAAAATAAATATGCATTATTCTATGGAGGAAACTAAAACAGGGCTGTCCTTTCTTCATCTCTCCACTAATGGAAAGAAGTTTAATTTATGGGGATTTCTGCGAAGGGGAGTCTGTACCACAGGAGGAGGTATAATAGCAATTACCAAAAAAAAAAAAAAAAAAATACAAAATGCCAGAGTTTCAGTACCAAGTAATTAAACACCTCCCAGACCTTTAAAAGTTTGCTCAAGGTCCATTTGATTTTTAACAGAGGCTTTAAATATATAGGAAGGAGAGGATAAATTTCCAAATCAAAATGTTCTTAATGGATGGCAACTGGAGAAAAACAATGGCAGGTTGTTTTCTCAGTCATTCTGTTAAGTTTGCATCATAAGACTTAATAAACAAAGAGTGTTTACAGCATACAGTGGCTGTGAGAACACAGGTGGAGTGTTAAGCATGTAAATGGCACTAGTATACATAACTAAGGTGTTCCATTTCCGAATGTGACCTCTCAAAATGACAGGGTTTTACCCTGGCATAGTGCCTCTGAACAATTAAAAGCAATAGATAGCCACTGTGAAGGTAATAGGATTTAATCTGTGTGTTCAGTCAGCTGCTATTACACAACTGGGAAAAAAACTGCATTCCTAGGTAATCTGAGTCTTAAAGAGACATAATGCACGTTGATCATTTAGTCCACTACATCCATGGACCTATTATCAAAGTTTCACAGAATCAGAAATAGGAGCTGAAATAGCAAGTGCTTTTCTGTCTTTACTCTAACATAGAATTATTCTCTATGAAATAACCACATACAATACCCCAAACACAACATTTTTTACATAAAGCTAATGCCCCCAGCTCACCACGGATATTTTCATAAACACAAAAGAACAGTTTTACTTTATACAAAGCAATAGATGTCTAATACATTCATATCCACAATTGCATCATGCATAGACAAAAATGCCATTAAATTATATTTATTTGGGCAATTTTATGATTTTCAGATTTGGACCAGAATTTTTATGCTAGTCTGTCACCTGTCGCCTGTCATACAGAATGTTAGTGCACACCAAAACCATCCTTGAAGATGCTATCTTCCCTTTATTAATCTCAGGGAACTGATAGTCTATCTTTCAATACCTTTCACCTCCATAGAGAGATGGGTTTCTGAATGTGCCTGTTGAATATACTCTTTCACCTCCAAGGGCCTCCAGGCTAAAGTACTGCTACAAAAGCAAAACTCAGGTTCAAGAGTGCCTATACCATACACAAGTTAAGTTTTTTTCTCACTGGTATTTACAAAACCTCCTGATTGTCTATAGCTTTTCTTGATAGCTGGGGCCATGCCTGAATGGCAGGCTAAGTCTTGTACATCTCTAAGATTTTGGATCCCCTTAGGCCAGATTTCTGGAATTGGAAGCGATTTGGAGAGAGCAATTTCAAATCTTTGCTCCAAGAAAGTAGTAACATAATTTCCCACTAAAACTATGGCGATTTGTATCTTTAAAGAACAAAAGCCAACGGACTGTCATCAGGCTCAAAGAAAATATTGGCATTTTTCAAAAAAAGCTAGTACTTTTTCAGCCCAACTCTTTTCTTTGGCAAAATCTTGTGGATCATATTTGGAACTTCTGTAGACATTTCAAACTCACAGATCCATGTGTTTTAAATGAAGATTGCCTGCATAGGCTATGGAACAAGATTTACCTTTATCACTGGATCACTACACCACAAAATGAACATTATTTGAAGCCACACCTTTTTTGTGAGGTTGACAAAACAAGGCAGCCAGATTTGAAAGGTTATGAATTCTGCAATGGAACTTGATTCATGGCATCTAATAAAGATATTTGAATGCTCCTGCCAAGTTCAGCAACAAGACTTGCCAGAACATAGAATCTCAAGTAAGCCTACCCTTAATCTTCTGTGAGAAAAGAAAACAGGCCCAACAGCAGCAGCGGCTGGATTTGAGAATTCATCCCTGCATTTTTTTCTCTTAATAAAGGTCAGCTATACCACTGAGAAACAACGTATCAGTAACACCTGATACTGTTCAGAACATTCAGCAAGAAGAGAGGCCTTCTGGTCATTTAGGAATGTATCTACATTGTATGAATTACCTCCTTTTTATAGTTGTTTATCACTAAATACAGACAGCCTTCGGATTATTCCAGTTAATTGGGAGTGAGAAGGATAGACGAGAGAGGACAAGATCAAAGAGATAGGCAATAAAAAGCTCAACTGTAGTTGGCTTTCAATTTTGTTTTTATTCTTGCACTGGAATATGGGTGTGCCTGGCATTCTGAGAATTTGCATTTCAGACAAAGTAATAAAAGTAGGCCATAGAGACCTGAATCTGAGAAACTGAAAAGTCCTTGGAGCTCTCTGTCTGCTCAACTTCTCCTGATCAACACATTCCCTGCTGGAAATGGACATTTCCATTTCTCCAAGTATTGTCTGACCTAAGTGGAGTGGAATGTTTCTTGTTTATCAACAAGAACATGAGAGCAAAATATTCTACAGAACGGATGATGTAAAATGATGATTGATTTATTGTTTCCAGAGAAAATCTGTGGAATAGAATCAATGTCCTTCTCGGGAAATTGAAACTTGTCACACATTTCAGAGATATTTAGCCTAATATATTTGATAAATGCATACATTTTTCAAAATGAGATTGCTTCTGGAGATTTTGCTACCTCTCACTTCCCCACATACCCACACCCACAAACTTCCCACATCCCTAAGAAACCGACATGATCCAGTTAGTGGTCCAGAGGGATGGAAGCCCAGGAAACGGCAGAAATAGACCCACCCCTGAGCAATGGAATAGTGAGAGACAGCTCAAGAACATCTTTCACCTGGAAGAGTGACCCCTCCCCAGTGCTGGGTCAGTGATATTGCTACAAGGTGAAGAAGATTTTAAAATTTATTTAACCTACACATTCTACCATTTTGAAAGATGTAAACATTTATATATTTGGCAGGTGGGATAAACTAAATGTTCACTCATGGAGATATTGCCATTAATGTGGCTGCTAGAAAAAGTTTTAGTACATGACTTTGAAGTTTTACAATCATTTTCCTAATGCCAAGTCCTTTAAATTACTGTGATGAGCTGAACAGAGTGCACAGATGACTTAAGTCTGGAAAGTTGTTCACCAGAAAACATTTCATTTCAGTTAGAGTTGTCTCAGTAGGACAGATACCTCTAAACAATACTAATTCAAGGCCTTGGCTAACATATTGGTTATGGAGAGCAGTGCTTTATCACCAAGTTTTGGATGCATTTGCGTAATATCTAGAGGATTGAATTATATACATGGCAAATCAAAGTGACAAATATTAGTTACACAACTTAAATTCTAAAAAATATCTAATGATGAGACATTTTAAATTAAAATCAGAAATTCATCCCTTTTTAAACATGAGTTGAAAAATTAACAACATTTTTAACCAATCTATGCAAAAGCAAGGAATGTAAACTTTTGTTAAATTAGTAAACGCTACTGATTTTATAATTGATGCTTTAAACTTACGTCTTTTTTTTTTTTTCTTAGACAGAGTCTCACTCCATCTGCCAGGCTGCAGTACAGTAGTGTGCTCTAGGCTCACTGCAACCTCCACCTTCCAGGTTCAAGTGATTCTCCTGCCTCAGAATCCCAAGTAGCTAGGACTACAAGCAAGCACCACCATGCCCAGCTAATGTTTGTATTTTTATAGAAATGGGGTTTCACCATGTTGCCCAGACTGGTCTTGAACTCCTGGCCTCAGGTGATCTACCCAAAGTGCTGGGATTACAGGCTTGAGCCACCGCACCCAGCCTCAACTTCCATCTAGATTGCAAAAAAGGATAATTTAGATCAGCTAGGCACTCACAAGATGATCAGTGAAACCCAGTTTAACTCAAATTGGCATTTTAACTCAATATGAACAAATTTTGTACTGAAGAAACACATTTTTACAAGCCAACAGAAATAGGGAAGTATAACTGCAAATACATAAGCTGACAGTAGGTAGGGAATAAGCCAAAAAAAATCTTCATGCTCTTTGGCATAGTTGGCGTAAATGTTGCCTGAAAGTATGAATCATAAGTACAAAGTCAATGCAGATGGGACAGCCCATATACAAAAGACCAGTATTTATCCTATAATATTCTCAGGACTAACTGTGACAGGTATTAGAAAAACATGCAACATAACAAAAAAAGTGAGAAAATGGTCATCCTTTTTCAAAGGATTCAATCTTGGTCATCCAAAAGTTGCTCTAGAGACTAGAGAATGTACATCATTTATTTATTCAAAAGACACCAACTAGATTACCTTCAGCATGATGACATTAGAATAGCTATACTTCAACTACAGATGTGTACATTAATTGGGCAAGCAGAGCCACACATAATCTCAAGTGACTCACTTTGGACCTTTGGACTTTGGAATGTCCTAAGGGCTTTCAGCAGGTTCACAATCCTCATTAAAGTTTATATATATATATATATATATATATATATATATATATATAAATAAACTTTATACATATATACACACTATATATATACACACACATATGTGTATATATATACACATATGTATATACATATACACATGTGTGTGTGTGTGTGTGTGTGTGTGTGTGTATATGCACTATATGTCAAGGAACGTGGGAAACCTCTAGCTACTGACAGGCATCCTTGACTGTCAGTCAAGGAACTGAATTCTGCCAAAAACAAGGATGAACTTGTAAATGGGTTTTTCCCCAGAATCTCCAGACAATAACTAAGCCCAGCCTACACTTTGATTATAGGCTTATGAGACCTTGAACAAAGACTTCAGTCATTCCACAGGAGTTCAGAACATGCCACCCAAAATATGCAGCGTGGGCATATCGGTTATTTTGAGCTAAAGGTGCTTGAGAAACAGCAGATGCAGAAAGGGGTCTCTGATCTCCATGTTTCTACCTAAAACCATGTCATAAAAATTCCCATGAGAATGGGAGACTGGGTGTTGATATCCACCAAAATGGATCTGTATAAACAAACCTACTAAAATAACCCTTATCTTTCATAGTTTCCCCCATATATTTCCTAATCATTTTCCCACTCCTGGAAACTTAACTCCCTTTTTATTTGTCTTGTTTCTTCTGCACAGATTCATCATTCTTTGGTTTTAAAAAGGTACATAAGTTCTCAATTCCAACTTAACTAGAAGTTTTGTTGACTTCTTTCTTTCCTAATCTGAAAACTTTATCTTATTACCACTTCTCCTTCAGTTTTGTTAGCCAAAAAAGGAAATATCCTGCTATTTAAAAAAAAAAAACAAAACAAAACACCTTTTACCTGTACTAAGAATCTCATCTTTATCTGTTTCTTCTTCAGCCTTATTTTATGAATTATCTCTTGGATATCAAGTGAATTCTTCCCTAATGGCTGATTCCAAGCAACTGCTCTGTCCTACTTTTATGCTCACTGAATGGTATTCCCCATTCTCCCTCACAAGTTTCACTTTCTTATTTTCACTCTTCAATGATGAATTTCTCAGGAGGGGTTTTGCTTGCGTTATTGCTTTTACACTGTCTACCTTAGTGCCTTCACAGCTAAACACCCTCTGTTTCATGTTTCATGAAACATGCAGTAAACTGCTCTGACCTTTATGTTGAGCTTTGTCAGGGTAAGCAACTCTGCTACCTTAGCCAAAACCAGGAAGGATGGGGAACCTAAAGTACCACCTCAAGATGGAGTAACTTCTAGACTACTCTTCAGACTTTCTGCTACTTCTTGTGTTTATTCTGGTAATCTGTGTCATTCAAGGAGTATGTCCATTAATCAAAGTTACCAAATGTATTGTCATCACATTGTTCATATTCCCTTGTTATTCTTTAAATGTTGATAGGATCTAGACTGATGGCTTTTCCTTTATTTCTGATGTATTAGTCTGTTCTTGCACTGCTAAAAGACATACCTGAGACTGGGTAATTTATAAAGGAAAGAGGTCTAAGTGGCTGATAGTTCTAGTTCTGTGGGCTGTGCAGGCTTTTGCTTCTGGAGAGACCTCAGGAAACTTACAATCATGGACGAAGGCAAAGGAGAAGCAGGCATATCTTCACATGGCTGGCAGGAAGAGAGAGAGTGAAGGAAGAAGTGCTACACGCTTTCAAACAACCAACTCTCATGAGAACTTTATCATGAAACAGTACTCTAATGGCCTCGTGAGAACTTTATCACGAGACCATTAGAAACCACACCCATGATTCAATCATCTCCCACTGTCACCCACGGAGCGTATCCAGGTTCTTGGAGTCTTGAACAAAGAATCGGACAAAATGCACAAACAAAGCAAGGAAGAAATTAAGGGATTTATTGAAAATCAAAGTACACTCCATGGTGTGGGAGTGAGCCCAGGCATAGGGGCTCAAGGGCCCCGTTACAGTATTTTGGGGAGTTTACCCTCTAGAGGATTCCACTGGTTACTTCAGGTACACCTTATGTAAATGGAGAGGGTGAAGTAAAGTTACAAAGTTATTTACTTGGCCTGTGCCCTGCAGAGAGGATATTTCCTGTCATAGCTGAAGTGTGAATTGGCCTTATATTCCCTGCATCCAGACCCTGTTTTCCTGCCTCACCACCAGGCCCCTCCTCCAACAGTGGGGATTATAATTCGGCATGAGATTTGGGTGAAGACAAAGAGCCAAACAGTATCATATGATATTGACAATCTGTCTCTCTCTCTCTTTTTTTTTTTTTTTTTTGAGACAGGGAATCACTCTCTGTCACCCAGTCTTGAGTGCAATGGTATGATCACAGCTCACTGCAGCTTCGAGCTGCCGGACTCAAGCAATCCTCCCATCTCAGCCTCCTGAGCAGCAAGACTACAGGCATGCACCACCACACCTGGCTAAATATTTAATTTTTTATAGAGACAAGACCTTGCTCTGTTGCCCAGGATGGTCTCAAACTCCTAAGCTTAAGTGATCCTACTGCCTTGGACTCCGAAGTACTAGGATTACAGGTATGTTGTTTTTATTGATCTTTTTAATGAGGTATTTCTACTCTTGGTATTTGGAAATGTAAAGCCTCTTAGTGCTATATGAGTTCTGGAAATTTATCAGCTCCCTAGCAGTTCTTTGCCTGACCACAGTTTCACCCTATCAATCCACAGCTTAGAATTCAGCAGCAGACTTCAGGTGACCATTAGGCAAATTTCTGTAGCTCTTTTTTCTGCATAGCTACGTCCTCACTGAGTGCTTTCCCACATAAATTGAAAATCCTCACCCTCTGTGTTTTCTGAGTCTGGCTCCTCAGTGGACTCTGTGAAACTATTACTTCTGCTTGGATTCCCCTTCCTGTGAATCAACCTTGAGAGGGCCTCCAGGTGGGAAGCTAAGATGATTTTAGGCCTCACCTGATTTGTTCGCTTTCTCTCAAGAATCACTGTCCTGTGCTGCCTGTTAACCAATGTGTGAAAAAAGGCGTTTACGATATTTTGCCAGCAGGGGGTCATGATCAGGACCGATTTATCAATTAGGAGAAACAGAATTCCTTTACCTCAAGGCTCGCTCTATCGCCTATGGCCACCTTGCCCAGTCTTGCTGCAAGTATATTTCCCCTGTTGTCAGAATCTGGCTACAGTTGTACATGTTGAATGGGACTCAGTTAGCATTCTTCCTAACAGTGATGCATTCAAGGAAACAGCCTGGATTTTGAAAGAGCAATGGCAGTTGAAGTGATTAATTTTACCAGTCTTCCACTCTTGCTTAACAACGGTAAGAATGGGATGTCAAGTTACCACCTTTTAAATGGCAAATTCTCCATGAGTAGTAATTCATTCTATAATTCTTGATTATGAAAGAGGTGGCCAAATTGATTTCCTTACACAGAAGGAACAGCTTAAAGTGTTTAGGCCTGGAGGAAAAAATGACCACAGAAAAGGGAAGTGAGGGCTGAGAATACATCTCATTGTAAATCTCAGGAGTTTTTCTCTGTGGAGCAAGTCAGGTTTCTGTCCTTCACTCACCCTGAGGTCAATTTAACCTCTCATTTTTCAGTAAACCATGTAGGTCCAGGGAAGTCCCTTCCCTGCAACTTTGGAGAAAGTTTTTTAAAAGCATGAGGTGATAAAGAAATGAGGCTCCAAAGGCCAGGTGTATAAACCACAGAAATCTTTTAGGAAATAAGAAATGACTATTCCTTAACAACACTAAATTATATTACAAAGAAGTATCGTGGTTCTAAGGAGTAAATGTGAGTAGCTGCTTTCTTCCTCATGCCTTCAGCAAGCTAGTTATGTGCATTTAAGATTTTTGTTCTTTTCAATATTATAGATGCAGTTCAATAACATAGTTTCTATGATTTCTTCTATTGCTAATAAAATATGTAAATTTTCTTAATAATAAAATAAGTATTGTAATTCTATAATACAATATCAGGAGGAAAAGTTCTTAAATGCATTCTACGTATCATAGATATAGTTCAACACACAATGATACTAACATAAACAAGCTGGGTTATCACCCTATACCATTATTAAGCATTATAGAGGATTGTTGGCACTTCTAAGAGTTTAAGTGTGAGTGGAAGCTACATGGCCACCTGTCAAGTTTCTCGAATTTCTAAAGAAATGAATAAAGAAGTCTGTTGGTAAGGAGTACAGTGCCACAGCAAACAATATGATAATACCTGGGATTTATTTTCTAATCATTATTTCTAGCTTTCATTTCCAAAGTTAGTGACTTTATTTCTACAATTTGTAGGGTACGATCGAAATTGAAAACATATTCTATTAATGAAGAGAAAGAGGAGGAAGAGTGATGGAAGTAGAAGTGGGAGGGAGAGGAGGACAGCAAGAAGAGGAAGAAGAGAAGGAGGGAGAGGAGAGGAGGAAGACAAGGAGATGAAAGAAAAGGAGGAGGGTGAGGAGTAGGAGGGAAGAAGAGGAAGGAGGAAGATGAGATTAAAGAGTAAATAGGAGAAAAAATGTTCTTTTATGTGTTCTTTTGGCACACTCCCAGAGAGTCCTAGGTTCAAATGACAAATAAAAGGGTCCCAGCCAGACCTCTGATTTAGCTAACCATTATATAGATTCAGAATTATTTTCCAGGTGCTGCAAAAATCTTCTATTACATCTGCTTCTAGCTCTGATTAACAAGCTTGTGTAAACTAGAAAAACAAACCTTGAATATTCTGAAGCTCTGTGTTATCTCTTCTTTATAATCATCCATTTGTTAGCCTGGAAATATAATATTATAATATATATAGAATATATATTATATATAATATAAATAAAATATATATTATATATAATATAAATATAATATAATAAACACTCTTTGTGGAACTCTGTATCAGGCATTGTTACATTATGAAACTATCAAAGGCACAGAACCTACTCTATTGGACAGTGACCCTCTAGCAGAGGTGAGACAAGCATGGACACAAATCTGTGTTATAAATACATTATGTTTACAGCTGTATATATCAGATTAGAAATGGTGTGATAGGAAAACATTAATGAATTGTGGGGAAAGTGGAAATTACAAGAAAAAGATTTAGACTGGAAAAGAAAATTGCCGTTGATATAGTTTGGCTGTGTCCCTATCCAAATCTCAACTTGAATTATATCTCCCAGAATTCCCATGTGTTGTGAGAAGGACCCAGAGGGAGGTAATTGAATCATGAGGGCCAGTCTTTCCCCTGCTATTCTCATGATAGTGAATAAGTCTCACAAGATCTGATGGGTTTATCAGAGGTTTGTGCTTTTGCTTCTCCCTCATTTTCTCTTGCCACTGCCATGTAAGAAGTGCCTTTTGCTTCCCACCATGATTCTGAGGCCTCCACAGCCATGTGGAACTGTAAGTCCAATTAAACCTCTTTTTCTTCCCAGTCTCGGGTATGTCTTTATCAGCAGTGTGAAAATGGACTAATACAGTAAATTGGTACCAGTAGGGTGGGGCGATGCTGAAATGATACCTGAAAATGTGGAAGCAACATTGGAACTGGGTAACAGGCAGAGATTGGAACAGTTTGAAGGGCTTGGAAGAAGACGAGAAAATATGGGAAAGTTTTGATCTTCCTAGAGACTTGTTGAATGGCTTTGCCCAAAATGCTGATACACATATGGACAATAAAATCCAGGCTGAGGTCTTCTCAGATGGACATGAGGAACTTGTTGGGAACTGGAGCAAAGGTGACTCTTGTTACGTTTTAGCAAAGAGACTGGTGGCATTTTTACCCCTGCCCTAGAGATCTGTGGAACTTTGGGTATCTGGTAGAAGAAATTCTAAGCAGCAAAACATTCAAGAGGTGACTTGGGTGCTGTTAAAGGCATTCTGTTTTATAAGGGAAGCAGATCATAAAAGTTTGGAAAATTTGCACCCTGACTGTGGGATTAAAAAAAAAAAAATTTTCTGGGGAGAAATTCAAGCCAGCTGTAGAAATTTGCATAAGTAACAAGGAGCCTAATGTTAATTTCCAAGACCATGGGGAAAATGTCTCCAGGCCATGTCAGAGAACTTCATGGCAGGCCCTCCCATCTCAGGCCCAGAGGCCCAGAAGGAAAAAGTGGTTTCGAGGACTGGGCCCAGGGTCCTCATGCTGTGTGCAGTCTAGGGACTTAGTGCCCTGTGTCCAAGCCGCTCCAGCCGTGGCTGAAAGGAGCCAACGTACAGCTCAGGCTGTGGCTTCAGAGGGTAGAAGCTCCAAGCCTTGGCAGCTTCCATGTGGTGTTGAGTCTGTGGATGCACAGAAGTCAAGAATTGAGGTTTGGGAACCTCCACCTAGATTTCAGAAGATGTATGGAAATGGCTGCATGCCTAGGCAAAAGTTTGCTGAAGGGGTGGGATTCTCATGGAGAACCTCTGCTAGGACAGTGCAAAAGGAAAACGTGGGGTCAGAGCCTCCACACAGAATCCCTGCTGGTGCACTGCCTAGTAAAAAAATTTGACCACCCTGCTGGATTTCAAACTTCCATGGGCCCTGTAACCCCTTTGTTTCAGCCAATTTCTCCCATTGGGATGGCTATATTTACCAAATACCTATATCCCCATTGTATCTAGGAAATAACTAGCTTGCATTTGATTTTATGAGCTCATAGGTGGAAGGTACTTACCTTTTCTCAGATGAGACTTTGGACTGTGGAGTTTTGAGTTAATGCTGAAATGAGTTAAGACTTTGGGGGACTTCGGGAAGGCATGATTGGTTTTGAAATGTGAGGACATGAGATTTGGGAGGGACCAGGGGTGGAATAATATGGTTTGTCCCCACCCAACTCTCAACTTGAATTTTATCTCCCAGAATTCCCAGGTGTTGCGGGAGGGACCCGGGGGAGGTAATTAAATCATTGGGCCCAGTCTTTCCCATGCTATTCTCATGATACTAAATAAGTCTCACGAGATCTGATGGGTTTATCAGGTGCTTCTGCTTTTGCTTCTTCCTCATTTTCTCTTGCTGCCACCATGTAAGAAGTGCCTTTCACCTCCCACCATGATTCTGAGGCCTCCCCAGCCATGTAGAACTGTAAGTCCAATTAAACCTCTTTTTCTTCCCAGTCTTGGGTATGTCTTTATCAGCAGCATGAAAATAGACTCATACAGGGTAATGAGAAAAACTTCTTTTTTTCTTTTGAGATGGAGTCTCACTCTGCCACCCAGGCTGGAGTGCAATGGCGTGATCTCAACTCACTGCAACCTCCATTTCCCAGGCTCAAGCAATCCTTCTGCCTCATCCTCCTGAGTATCTGGGATTACAGGTGCCTGCCACTAAAGCCCAGCTAATTTTTGCACTTTTAGTAGAAATGGGGTTTCACCATGTTGGCCAGCCTGATCTTGAACTCCTGACCTCAAGTGATGCACCCGCCTTGGCCTCCCCAAAGTGCTGGGATTACAGGCATGAGCCACTGCACCCAACCTAAAACTTCTTAAAAGATGTATGGCTCAAGCAGAAATTTTAAAAGACAAAATAAGATTCAGAGTAGCCATTCTAATGGGGGTAAATTACTTTTATCAGGAATTGGTAAAAAACAAAAAAGAAGATAATAGAAAAAAGTAAAT
Source organism: Homo sapiens (assembly GCF_000001405.40). Classification (NCBI taxonomy): domain Eukaryota; kingdom Metazoa; phylum Chordata; class Mammalia; order Primates; family Hominidae; genus Homo; species Homo sapiens. The sequence goes on along the minus strand of NC_000004.12, from coordinate 174,440,486 downwards.
TTGATTACCATTTCCAGTAATAGAAAAGAGATAAGCACATTGAATACTGAGTCACCATGCCTCCAAAATATATGATGCCATGGTGCTCTGGCTATGTGACTTGTTAATACCTAGTATACGAAAAATGGGTTTTGTTGTTCAACCAGTAAGCTAAGACATGTATTTTTGCTTCAAGACTTCTCAGGCCCTTTAATATATAACAAATATACTGTATTAAACCATGTTCCCTGAGTATACTTGACCTGTGATATGCTGAATCCAGCTGTTATCAGCTTATAAAAGTCAAATGTTAAAGTTTTGTGAATTAGGAAAACCAGTAAACAGCCATCATACAAATTATAAAAAATTTACAATTGGATAAATTATATTAAAAACTAAAGCAATAAATACTCAACATTTATCATTTCCTAATCATGTGACTACATGTACTAATATCTATGTATCTGTGCACATCTCCTGTATAACTGTGATGGAAATATTATAGAATGATGTGCTACTCAGCATTTCTTCCCAACAAATGTTACAAATCAGGAATTTTTTAGTCCTCACTGCAACCTCCGTTTCCCGGGCTCAAGCAATTCTTCTGCCTCATCCTCCTGAGTATCTGGGATTACAGGTGCCTGCCACTACACCTGGCTAATTTTTGCATTTTTAGTAGAAATGGGGTTTCACCATGTTGGCCAGGCTGGCCTCGAACTCCTGACCTCAAGTGATCCGCCTTTTGCTTTTTTCTATTATCTTCTTTTTTCTTTTTTAACAATTCCGGATAAAAGTAATTTTCCCCCATTAGAATGGCTATTCTGAATCTTATTTTATCTTTTAAAATTTCTGCTTGAGCCATACCTCTTTTAAGAAGTTTTAGGCTGCAACCTAAAGTGAGAAGTTTTAGACTTATTTTTTCAAGGAAGCCAGTTGTTAAACATTTACCAGCGTACCATGGAAAACTACTTTCTCTGAGCAACAGATAGGACCACTGTTCTCAGAACACACTTTAGGAAATGCCAACCTACAGGAAAAAAGTTCTTTTCAGCTCTATCTCCTAACAGCTCCTGTATTTATATTTTGCTGCATCCAACAGAAACGTAGTCAACTTACCTGTTTTCCTTGACGCCTACTGATTCTTATAAGTCTCAGCTTAGACATTGTCTTTTTTTGTGAAACCTCTGATGTCTCTATGCCGAATTAAGAAGATCCTAGTTGCCTCCACTGAAGCTTGAATGTGCCTCTATTAGAATATTGTTGTCCTACGCAAAGGCATAAGAATGATACAATGGACTTTGGGGACTTTAGGGGAAGAGTGGGAGGGGGTCGAGGGATAAAAGACTACAAATATGGTGCAGTGTATACTGCTTGGGTGATGGGTGCACCAAAATCTCACAAATCACCACTAAAGAACTTACTCATGTAACTCAATACGACCTGTACCCGAATAACTTACGGAAAAAATAAAAATAAAAAATAAGTATTTAGGAATCATCCTGATCCTGTTTTTAGGGTAAAGTTTTAGGGATTCAATACTGCAGGTGTTCTTTTGCCAGAATGGACCCAAAGCCAATTCTTGACAGAAATGCTGACTCAGCTCTAGGAATTCCTGAGTTTGCCTTAGATGTCGATGAGACGCTCCACCACTGAAGTCAAAATCTGTGATCAGCAACTTAATGTCCATACTAAAAAATCACACTTACTTGATAATCCTTTACTTGATTGGCATGTATAACCCATCGGTACATATTAGGTCCGTGCAAAAGGAATCATGGTTTTTGCATTGTTGGAATTTTCCCTTTGATATTGGAATATATTCTTAAATAAATACAGTTATGCTATATATTAAAAAGAATATTATTGCCCTAGCCATAATTCATTAATTTATTCAACAAGTACATGTTTTGCCCCACAATGTGTAGATGCTAGGAATAACATTGAATAGATACCAATAGTACCTGGTGAGAGAGACAAAAACAGATTAATTAATTACCATTTTGACAAGGGCCAAGAAAAAAGTATAATTGTCCACACACCTATTTCATCTTCAAAACTGTGATTCACCTAAGTGATAAAGGCTCTTTTAAATTTTGTTTTCTCTTTAAAGATGGGTCTCACTATGTTGGCCAGGTTAATCTTGAACTCCTGGTTTCAAGCAATCCTCCTCTCTCAGCCTCCCAAAGGGCTGGGAATACAGGTGTGAGCCACCATGCCCAGCCAAAGGCTCTTTTTAAATCATCTTTCTCTTCTTAATATCAAGGGCCTTGTAGAGCATATGTGTTAAACAAATTTACTGAGATAGAGAATATGCATAAGGAGAGAGAAAAAATGAAATATTTACTTACAGGTTGTTTAACTGATAAGCACAAAACTATCCTGAAAAAAAAAATGTATGTATGAACAAGAATGCATGAAGAAGATAATTCTTACTCTTCAGTGTAAGGGAAGTATCTATAAAATGCCTGTGTGAAGACTGAGTTAGACATGGTGATTGTGGTATAAGATAAGAATAGAAATGAAGGAGACAGAGATGTTGCAGACCGTCTAGAATTTCACAACCTTAGAGCAGTGGCTTCAGTCTTTGCATAGATAACAATCACTGGCATTGTTGTTGTTGCCTAGAAAGAGAAGTATAAAGACATTTGCATGGGAATGTGCATCAAAGGCATTCTAGGGCTGAACAGAAAAGTTAAATTGGGAATCATTCAACATTTCCCTGACCACCAGATGGACCACCATTCATTTCACTGCATCCTCCAAATAAAAAATTGCTATATTTTCCCATGTGTACAATGATAAGAATTCCCCAGCTTTCCAAACACAGACAAGTTCCAAGTGCTCCAGCAGCAAACTCCCACTGAGCATAATATAAGCATTCAGAAATTCCAAGGAAACTCCCCTATTTGCTGCCAAAATCTTTTTTTTTTTTTTCGAAAGCCATGTACAGTTTCTGGAATGATTTCACGATTTCAAGATGATGTGTTTAATTGGGTTTGCAAACAAAAATATGAGCTGTACATATTGGAATGTCACTGTTTGCCCTCTTAAGTACATTTTTATTTAAAACATTAACACATTGTGAGAAGTTAGAGTACCCACATGTCTGCAAAATGAATGACTCAACAATTCCTCAGGAGTTCTCACACACACAAAAAATGGAGCCATATAATCTGAACTAAAGACAAATGAAGAGATTTAAAAGTATCAGGATTCCAAATGCATTCTGATACAAAGACATCATGGATTGACCTCTCATATTTATTTACATCTCTCTGAAGGTTGACTTGGGGGCTATGTGTTTTGAAATTTGATAACAATTCATACTTGGAAATTACACTGGGCAAGGAGCTTTTCTTGTTACATAACCACATTTAATCCTAAAAATACTTGATCCTAGGTATTTATTAGGCAGTATATTCTAATTTTATTCATTTGTTTGTTGTCAATAATTTTTTATCACAGACTTCTTTAAAATTCTGATATTGTCTCTGAACCTCCTGCTTAGAAAAGTGCATGTGTTCCACAGGTGGTACAGGTTTAGTTTGCCAACTCCTTGAAATCCATCCATGGACGATGAGACTGGTGGCAGGATGGGGGGTTCCATAGAGCCCAGGTCAACTATCTCAGATGTGGTCCAAATACCTATCTTACCTGAAAAGGAAGAAATGAAACCCAGAGAGGCTAAGAAGTGACTTATTGAAAGGTCACTCAACAAATGAGTAGCAGAGCCACCAGTGAAAATCAAACTTTCTTGCTAACTCGTGGTCCTATATTTTCCCATTACCTGCTGTGAATTTAAATAACCACTAATAATCAAGGTTTTGGTTATCTCCCCTCACTCTTTACCCCTCACCAGCCAGCCTATATAGTCATAGTCAAGAGATAGTAAAGTCAGAAGTTGGAGAAACCTGGCTTTATTTCTGATTGATTATTGATTGATTATTGATTGAAGCTATTGCATGACTGGACATAAAAATACTTTCTCTGCATCAATCTCCCTACCCATAAAGTAGAAACAATTGTTTGTGGTTAATTGTAATCACTTAGGAGTATTGCAAGAATAGATCAGATAATGTCTATAGTATATGAGAATCAAATCAAAAACATGTAATAAAAACTTCCTCAAAACGACAAAATAATAACAACTTATGTTTTCCAAAGCATTACAACCTAGGAATAAGTGTGAAGTCATGATTTTGGTAACAAATAAGTTTTCCCTAATTCTCAGGTTCACTGGAAAAATGACTGAGATGCTACACTTGTCATTTCTAAAACTCTCAAGCTACATTCCCTATTGTCCTTACAGGAAAGAATGTCTCCATGGCAACTCCAGGGAACTAAGCTAATGGCAAGGAGATCAGTAAGGAGACTGTCACAGTAATTCAGATGAGATATAGTGATGGCATACTTAAAAGCTTCCATAGTAGAGATGGAGAGAAGTGAATAGATTCCAGGATACTTCGGAGGGATAGTAGTGATGGATTGGAGATCATGGTAAAAGAAAATAGTACGGATACCACACAGCTTCCTGGCTTTAGGCCCCGGGTTCATGGTGGAACCATTCACTCTCACTGGGAGCAAAGAAGAGAGAGCAGCTAGAGAAGGTGAAGAAGGCGAAAGAGGTTGCAACGAGCGAGGCTTCTACTTCCCAGATGGAAGTGGGCACTAAACAGCTGCATATGTAGGTATGCATTGGAATTTAAGCAAATGTCCAAAGGCTGTAGGTCAGAGAAGGAGATATTCAGGTAAAATGGAGGGGGCTGATATGTGCCAGAAGAAGTAGAAGCTTGCTAGTTTGCCATTCTCACTTTTTTCCACCACAAACCGAGACAAGTAAATTCGTGCTGGTGGCTGCACCTTCATTATGGCAAGAAATGTTTTGGAAAATCTGAACCCATTTGAATCTATGAGTACAGTAAAGTTTTAGTAGCAATGTTAATAATGTAAAGAGAAAGAGGAAATCGATTTAGAGGAATCAATTTAGGATTTGTCTGCCAGGGAATGGAAGAGAGAACTAAACCTCTGAGTAAAAGTGGCTTTGTGTCTAATGGGAGGCTTGGAGGTAAATTCATTGTGGTATTTGCGCAAGGCCCCTAACGGAAGACGAGAAAGAAATAAGAACTCAGGCTTTTGATTTCACAACCTTCTTTTCATTGTCCAAATCTTTTTTTCTAACCCCATTGCTGCTTTACTTTTTAGATCTCAGATACCTAGAATCACAGAATCATAGGATTGAATAAACCCTCTAACCACCCAAAGCCTCCCTCATATCTCACCATCCTAATATAGCGATCTTCTGTATCACATCACTGTCCAAAAATAAATTGTATTTTTCTTTTTCTCAGAAATCAGTGAAGTATCACTTTGGGGTACATTACAATAACTAACTCATTTGCTTGTAGTTGCTGTTTATTGGCAATGCACATTCTTGGGCTGTATGTCCAAGGTGAAATGAATGATCATCATTCATCAAGGGTCTAACATGTCTAGTGAAATAGTCATTGGCTATCTAATAGGAGAACTGTTCCACAGATGGCTTAATTACAATGTAGAGGAGGGCAATTGATAAGAATGAGGTCCTGAAGTAAGCTAGGCAAAGCAGAGGTTTTCAAAGCTGAACCTTAAAAACACCTGAGGAGTTTTAAAAAATAGTTGCCCAGGTCTTATTTCAAACAAATTAAATCAGAATCTCTGGGGACGAGCCCCAGATATTTGCATTTTTTAAGACTCTCAGGTTGTTTCAAAGGGCAACCTCAGTCATGAGCTTACATGAATTGGATGTTAATGGCTGACCCAGTGTGCTCCCATTATGGAGTTCAAGCCATGTGGATTCTAACTACATTCCCCAGCGAAGGATTGAGCTCTGAATTCATGTGCCTAAAGGCCTTAGAGTCTCTTTTTGCACACCCAGCAGCCACAGGAAACCATTTCAGGTATGTGTGTGGGTAGTAAGGGCAAATGTTAAAGATGACTTTTGTCTGGCAAAACAATTTTCGTATTTTGTTACTAGGCCAGGCGTGGTGGCTCATGCCTGTAATCCCAGCACTTTGGGAGGCCAAGATGGGAATATTGCTTAAACCCAGGAGTTAGAGACTAGCCTGAGCAACAAAATAGGACCCCAATTCTACAAAAAATACAAAAATTAGCCAGGTGTGGTTATGCACACATGTAGTTGCAGCTACTTTTGGAGCTGAGGTGGAGGATCGCTTGAGCCCAGGCTGCCGTGAGTTGTGATCATGCCATTGCACTCCAGCCTGAGTGACAGAGTAAGACTCTATCTCAAAAAAAATAAAATAAAATAAAATAAGTTACTAAAACTTGGTGGTCTCAAACTCCTGGGCTCAAGCAATCCTTCTGCCTCCACCTCCCAAGGTGCTGGGATTACAGGTGTGAGCCACTGTGCCCAGCTCAAAACTTAAATTCTTAACCATTCAGCTAAACTGCCTCCAAATGAGAGCACTACAAAACAAAGCAAAAAAAAAAAATCCCTATTTTTATAGTAGCAGGGATAAAAGGTATCAAAAGAACTATATTGATGAATGGCATTTGGAATAAAAATGAGTATCTGTGCATTAATCAAAGCTAGGAGTCATGTTTCCATAGAATGAGCAATGTGTTACCTCCTTTGAAAGAAAAAACATTCACAAATGTACTGTGCTGACTTAAGTATGCACAAACATAGAAATAGATAGAAAACCTATATTCTTATAGCTCTCATAAAAGTATGAGACCAAAGTAAATTGATAAACAAAACCCACAAAAAGTGTATTAACAACATTAATATAGCAGATGATGCTGTTGTCCTAAAATGAAATCAGTGCTGTCAATATGAATATCATATGGATAATCCAAACTGTGTTCACACAATAAATCGTCATGTGATTTGGCCCTTATGTGATGCACTTTAAAATATTAAACTTCCTCTGGTATCCTCACATTAGCCTTTGACAATTAAAAGAGTTGCCTATTTGGGAGGCTGAGGCGGGTGGATCACAAGGTCAAGAGATTGAGACCATCCTGGCCAACATGATGAAACCCCATCTCTACTAAAAATACAAAAACTAGCTGGGTGTGGTGGCGTGAACCTGTAGTCCCAGCTACTTGGGAGGCTGAGGCAGAAGAATCACTTGAACCCTAGAGGTAGAGGTTGCAGCGAGCCAAGATCATGCCACTGCACTCCAGCTTGGTGACAGAGTGAGAGTGAGACTCTGTCTCAAAAAAAAAAAAAAAAAAAAAAAGATTGCCTATACATTAGAGCCCCTGTTAAATAAGCTCACCCAGATATCTCTACAAAAAACATGTCTATTACAAAACTGCCTCCTCCTAATTTAGCACATGGTGCTACATTAACACGTCTCCTTTCTCCCTGAAAATGACTCTCCTTGAGATTTATTTCTTTACTAACTAGGTTTATTATGACTTATAAGATGAAGGCAACAATAAAGGATATTTGTTTCCTGTAGGACTTCCAACACTAATTCCCCTGTTATCTTTCAGGAGAATCTCCCATGGGGGCTATGCAGAAGGGATGCAGAGCCCCACCTTCCACTACAGAATCCAAAGGCAGAAAACACATGACCCAAGTTCAGTCAATGAGACTGTCCCACTACTTTTGATGTGGACCAAATGAGCCAATGACCAGAGATTATTAGAATTAATGATGCAAAAGTCAGATCCAATGGCACTAGTAATGATCTGGTGGCAGTATTAGTACCCACCAGCAACTTTGGACTGTAGTTTCCAGGACTGACTGACCCTGTAGCTTTGATTTCTTCTTCCAGTCTGTCCTCAATTCTGTGAATCCCTTATATAATTCCAGAAAATCCCAATGTTGCTATGACAGATTTTGTTTCACTCTTATAAGCAAAAATCCTAACAAATACAGTTATTAATAATAGGAAGAAGTTTGTAAGAAATAAAAATATGGAGAATCTAGGATTTATTATCTAGCTATTGGAGACTACAGGTAGACAGTCTCATGAATAGTCCCCAGTAGGAATCAGAAGTCCATGGGAAACAGTGATGAAGCAGCTAAATAAGTACACCTAGACCATTTCAAGATAGGCAGGTCTGTGCAAACCTACACCAATGTCCAAGGAAGCTGAGAGGCCTAAGAAAGAGGCTGACATATCCTGTTTCTTAGAAACAAACATTTAATAGGGACTTAAGGAACAGAAGCCATGTCTGTGTCTTTGGTGGTGGCAAGACAAGATGGCGGATCCTGGCACCATTATGTCTCTGATCCAGGGCTTACACACCATAGTGAAATTAGTGGCTCAGATGGAATTTGTAGGCCAATTGAAGTGTGATAACATCAAGGTTGTTTGACCTAAGGACAGGATTTAAAGTTAAGTACCTTCTCTTACACAAGGAACAATAGATAAATGGAAATTTTAGAGGCCTTCCAGATATTGGAGTTAATCAGTTAAGCCAACATGGCAGATTAGTTTCCAAGGTGGAGCTGCTTTAGCCTCCCATCCAAAATGGAGTTGCTTTAGCTTCCGTATATATTTAATATCCTTCCCCATAATTTTACTTCATTTCTAAAAACTTTCCTGCTAAATGAAAAGCCATTATATGACATTTTTTCCATTAATTTTGATGGATCAAATTATGATTCATTTCATCCAATCCAAAATACTCAATTTCCAGTGGATAGAAAACTATATCAATTGAACAAAGAAAACAAGTTTATATAATTAAGAACAACAATTAAAAGTAAATAAATACAGCTTACACATAAAATTAAGTGCCATGAAGATTTACTGTCTTCACTGAAAAGGAATGAGGAGACTGAACGTAGAAAATAGTCACTGGAGAAAGAGAGAGAGCTCAAGGCAGTTATTCTTTGGAAGGTAAGTTCTTTTTTTTTTTTTTTTTTTTTTTTTTTTTAAGAAAGGGTCTTCCTCTACTGCCCAGGCTGGAGTGAGTGGGTGGGAACATTGCTCACTGTAGCCTCAACCTCATGGGCTCAAGTGACCCTCCTGAATAGCTGGGGCCACAGGTGCACACAGGTATGCTCTTCTTTTGCACCATTTTATTCATCAATTTTCCACCACAAACTGCACTTAAAAATAACATTATAACATACAAACCACTTTTAGGGTGAAAAACATTTGTACACAGAGACTTTAAAATATGGAAATAGTGCAGGCACAAAACGGACTCAAAAGTCATAGAAGGTGCACCCCTTTCATGCCCTTTCACTTGGCATGCATATACAAAACATAATTTCTTATTCATCCAAACATTGTTTTATATAATATTGTCTGACTGTACACTGTGTGTCAAGTCTATTGATGAGGATGTCTTTGCTTAGAAACATAATGTTAAAATATTGTATCATATATATCTTTAGAAATATATATCTTTAGGTTAAAAAAAGTCATTATACTAAAAAAGAACAGAGTCATTCACAAAGAGGTAAATGTTTCAAGAGATGGTAAAACAAAAAGTCATAAATAAATGGTCATGAAGGAAGAAAATCTGTGCTATATATTGTCTTCTAGAATAAAATATCCTCTAGAGTAAGGCTTTCTGTGACCATGTTGCCCAGCCCACAGGCTGTGTAAAGGATGTGAATAAAAAGACTGGAGTGTGAGAAAGGTTAATCTGTTGGCACTTTTTATATAGACACTTATTAAAGAGAATGTGGATACTGCAAAAGGGAGACATGAATGAGTCTACAGCCTGCCTCTCTCAAATACAAGTCAATTACCATCTGTTTTCTAAGCAGGGCAGTTTCAGGAGCTGATACAGTACAAACACGGCCTCTATTCTTCCAAGATCTTGACGGGGAAAATGAATGCAACACTTAGTTGCTTTTGTACCAGGAGGGAACTTTGAGACCTGATTGGAGCCTGGACTTTCTGGGACTCCTGGAGAGACGCAGGACCTCAGAGCTTCGTAGATGTATACAGAGATGTGTAAGAGAAAATTCACCACAATTTTAATGTTACCTTAAGGTAAAGAGCTTTCATTTTATTTTAACTTTCTTACTAACATTTATCTATGGTGGCCATTTTTTTTCAACAAACCTATATTATTTCTATAATGAAAAATATCATAAACATACTCTGTCGTGAAATATAATTAGAACAGAAAAAGTATTAACTTATTAAAAAGTTCAAAATTCTAAATTCTTGGCTTAAGTCAAATACATTTAAAAACCCAGGGACTTTCTAAAATCATGCAAAATAATTATTTAGTTCAGGCAGCTGCAGGGCTGCTGTGGCCAAAGTTTCATGCTGTAAGTTGTCCATCTGCACCAGTTGCACCATCTGTTGAATGCCCAGCCTCACCAAGTCTCAGAATGATAGTCCTGGCTAACACTTAGAAAATGCTATATTCAAGACACTGTACTAAGTGCTATATTTATATTATCATACTTAATATTCAGAAACACCCTATTAAGTAAGTACTATTGTCTTCCATGTTTCATGGGTTAGGAAACTAAGGCATAAAGAAGTTAAGCAAATTCTCATAGGTCAAATAGCTGGTAGTATTGGAGCAAGGACAAAAATAATTAGACTGATTCACCATCCATATGCTTGATTGCACATCGTGCAGCCCACTGGTCAGGAGTGAATAAGCACTGGAGAATTGAAATGGAGATATGTGAAGAATTTCAAGTTCTGCATGTACCTGGAAATCCTGAAACTCCAACCACTTGCTGAGCCTCCCTTGTCCATGGGATCATAGTTTAGACCTTTATCAGGATGTTCTCCTGTTTGAAAATGTTGCTGCATCCTGATCTGAAGAAGTCACCCTGCAAGAAAAAGCCAGCTTTCATGATGAACCCCACCCTGCTTCCGCTCAATGGTGCAATTAGAGTTAGCCAAATCAAACTTCTCTCAACTTCCCAGGATCCCAGGATATCACTATGCTCCTTTTTGTCTCCTCACCCTTTAAATATTAGAGTGTCTCACGCACTGTCTTTAACTCTTTTCTCTTTATTACCTACGCTCACTCCCTAAGGGATCCCTATCTCCTGCCTTTAAATACTATCAGCATGTTTAACTGCAAACTCATATACTCATAACTTCCTGCTTGACATTTCCAATTTTTCTGTTTGAGATGAGGTCTTATTCTGCCATGCAGGTTGGAGTGCAGTGGTGCAATCTTGGCTCACTGAAGCCTCTGTCTCCCAGGCTCAAGTTATCCTCCCACCTAGGCCTCCCTTTGAGTAGATGGGACCATAGGTATGTGCCACTAGACTCAGCTAATTTTTAAATTTTTTGTAGAGACAGGATCTCCCTATGTTGCCTAGGCTGGTCTTGATCTGCTGGGCTCAAGCAATCCTCCCACCTAGGCCTTCCAGAGCACTGGGATTACAGGTGCGAGCCACCACACCCCACAGTGACATTTCCTTATCCAGCAGGCATCTCAAACCTATTATGTCCAAATCCAAATGGATAATTCCTACTAAAGTAGCTCCTCATACAGTCTTCCCCTTCTCAGTAAATAAATTCATCCTTTTTTAAGCTCCTCAGTCAATTTGAAGTAATTTTTGACTCCTCTCTTGCTATTACATCCCACATGGGAATTCTACTTTCAATATATATCCAGAATCTGGCACTTCTAATCACCTTCCTTGCCATCATACTGGTTCAGGACACCACAATACCTTTATAGAATTTTTGTGATAACCTCCCAGTGTTCTCCACAATCCTGAGCTTGGCCTGCTTTACTGCCTCTCCAGTTCCCGCCACCATTCCAAACGCACTAGCCTCAGAAGAGTAGCCAAAATGATGATCCTGAGAGATATAAATGAGATGATGCCACTCCCCTACTTAAAACATTTCTATGTCTTCCTGTCTCAAGAAGAATATAAGCTAAAGTCCTTACCAGCACCTACAAGCCCTTACATGCTCCGGTCCCCATTAGCTTTCAAACTTCATGTCCTATTATTTCTCTGTCACTCTTTTTACTTAAAGCATATTGGCCTGTTTAATGTTTTCCTAAATTACTCAGGGCTTTTGCATATGAATTTTCCTCTACCTAGGATGCTCTTTTCCCAGATATGTGTATGGCTAATTGCCTTGCTTCTTTCCTATTCGTTTTTTTAACTCAAAACTCCCATTCTCTCAGTGAGAGCTTTTCTGACCACTCCATGGAAAATATCACACATATATCCCTCACATGTTCTTTCCATGCATTACTCCTGCACTTCACAGATATGTGTTGAATATATAAATGTATTCTCCAGAAGGCCAATTACAGAACCAAAACTGCAAAGGGGAAGATTATACACCCAAAACACCATAGGACTTTGGTCATTTATAAATGCACAAATCTTAGGAACAGGTAAAGAATTTGATTTTGAGAATGCTCGCAAAACAAAGAGGAATAGTAGGATTCAAGTATTTACTGCATAGTTGGACTATCTTAATTAGGAAGGCATGTTTAATAAATCAAAACATTCACATGAGTACAAATGTCTTTGATGAATGACAAGATCAAAACTATGCCTACAAACTGAAACTTAAGTAATACTGTAGTAGATTCTTACAATGTTATGTTGCATCACGATCCTTTCAAAATATAAGTTGGACTTACACTAGAAGCAGAGCTTAGTCACCCCTGACACAGTTTCCAGTTGCCCACTTTCTCCTAATTCTTTAGTGTGGTTGATCCAGATATCTACCTTGCACAACGACCTCCTAGGGAACACCTTCCTGTAGGACAGCTATATACCACCTACTTGAGTTGCTCTCTGACCCTGCCTGGACTGTTCATACATATATGGCGCAATGACCATCTCTCAGTCACAGTGTAGACTACATGCAGCTCGTGCCTGCTTCCTCTAAACCCACAATTCAAAAACTCTATCCCATGTTCTATGGGAAATCTAGTACCCTTATCAACATTTCTGAGAATTCCTTGGGGTTCATATCTTCATGGTTACTCTGGCTCTGCCTGCCTGCCTCCACTAGACTACTGATGTCATTGGCATCTGATCCCCTATAACTATTCTCCTGCCCTCTGCTCTGTGACAACCAGGACATGAAAAGCAACCTTATTCCTCTGAATAACCTATAAACAGCTCACCCATAATATTTGTTCATGTGTTACATTTACCTTATGATTTGAAATGATACATAAATGTATTTACATGGCCTTTGAAATTTTAAAATTTAATATTATACTTTCTCACTGTTTACATTTATTTGACCTGCCTTCAATAATCTCTTACTGTTCATTTTCCTCCATGGATATTTGCTCTGCTATGTTACTCGGCCATGTCTGTTTCTTTCTCCTCTCTTCTTTCTTACTCTTTTTACTACTTGTTTTTTTTTGAGTCGGAGTCTCACTCTGTCCCCCAGGCTGGAGTGCAGTGGCACAATCTTGGCTCACCGCAAACTCTGCCTCCCAGGTTCAAGCGATTCTCCTGTCTCAGCCTCCCGAGTAGCTGGGATTACAGGCATATGCCACCATGCCCCAGTATTTTTATATTTTTAGTAGAGACGGGGTTTTACCACGTTGCCCAGCCTGGTCCCAAACTCATGACCTCAAGTGATCCACCTGCCTCAGGCTCCCAAAGTGCTGGGATCACAGGCGTCAGCCACGGCGCCTGGCTACGACTCTTTTTCTAATATTTGTTCATCACTTTCACAAAGAATATAGCTCTTCTTCATTTTTATTTTCTTATAACCCATGCTGTTAAGTTTTCACATTATACTGAAATATAGTTTCTCACGTTAGTTTACAAACAAGACGATTCCTCCTCGTTAAAGGAACTGTTAAGCCAGATGGTGAAAGTCTTTGCATCCAAGAGTCCTGAGCAGCTGAGGTATATGAATAACAGCTGCCTGAACCCAAATCTCCTCAAACAACCTCTAAGCAACAAGAATAAAACCACACAAAATTCTCACCTTTGGCAAAATTAGAAGACAGAAAAATATTACAAGTGAAAATTACCCATAGGTATAAAAATAAGCACCAAATTCCAGCATAGCTAACTTTCGAAGCTCTTCTGAAGTCATTCCCACAAAGAAAAGGGGTTCTGAAAAAATGCACAAGAAAGATAAGGGACAATTGAGTTAAAGCCAACCCCAGGAAGAGATAGCTCAAAGAGTCCTGATAATAATCCTGGTGATGGATTATTAATCATTGAGTTCTCTAAGAATCAATTAATCCATCCAAATCTAAATAAATGAACAAAAACTAAATTAGTACTGGGGGAATCTTATCCCTTTAAGTGGAATGTCAGCTAATAAATGTAGAAGGGATGGTAGACTTAGAAAATCACCATTTTGGAACTATTACAATAAAAATTGATGTAAGCAAAAATTATCAATGAGTACTTAAATGAGTAGGTCAAAGTTTGGGGAATAAAGAAGATTTAGGTATCTTCAAAGTATCTCTCCACAAATTAATTATAAATTACTAAGGGGAAAATAAAAAATTTGCAGTGGAAAAACCTAGCAGAACCATCTTAGCCAATCAATCGTAGCTAACATCACCAATCATGGGACAGACCAGCATCATGTTGCCTGCTGATGTGATGTGCTGAGAAGAGTACAGTCTCATGTCTGTTTCCCTATCTGACATGCATGACCTGGTTCTAAACAGAGGAAATATCAGACAGACCCAAACTGAGTGACATTCCACAAAATAACAGGTACTCTCCAAGCTGCCAAGGTTATAAGGGAAAAGACTGAGGATTTAATCTAGATTAAAAACACTCCAGGGACATGATGATTAAGCACAATTCTTACCACTGAGTTAAATTTTAGACCAGGAAAAAAAACACAGGACATTGTTGGGATAATGGACTAAATTTGAATATTGGCTCTGGAAGAGGTATTCCTATTATATAAATGGTATATATATTTTTTTACTCTGGTAATTTTACTAGTTATTCAAGAGAATGTGTTTTTCTTAGGAAACACACACTGTTCGAAAGGTTAAAAAATGTTTATTAAGAGAGTAAATGATAAAGCAACCAGAGCAAAAATGTTAATAATTTGTGAATCTAGGTAAAGAATAAAATGAGGATCATTTGTTCTATTCGGATAATCTCTCTGTAAAACTTGAAATTATGGTAAAATAAAACGTTTAAAAAATTCTTGTTCTACTTTATTAAAAATAGAAAATTCTGATATTTTCCTTTTAAAAAAATAATCTCTGAAGTTAGATAACTGGAAACAAAAATTTACAAAGCTTCCCCACAGATCCTTATGAAATAAGTTTATGGTAGAATTAAACATATCCAGGTAACTCAATCTTTTGCTTTTAAGCCAAATTAATTGAGCCAAAAACAATACAGAGCTCTTAAAACATTTTGTTGATTTTTGATAAATTAAGTTGTCCCAGTATTGCCAAAATGTTTACAACAATAATACAACAAAACTGGCCAGGCACAGGGACTGACACCTGTAATCCCAGAACTTTGGGAGGCCAAGGTGGGAGGATCACTTGAGCCCAGGAGTTCAAGACCAGCCTGGACAACACAGTGAGACCCTGCTGTGATTGCACCACTGCATTCCAGCCTAAGCAACAGAGTGAAACCCTGTCTCCAAAAAAAAAAAAAAGAAAATAAAAGAAAAGAAAAAAAATCATAAAACTAACACTCTTCAGTCATTATATGATTTTCATTATTGAAGTTTTATATTTGCTAAAATACCTGTTTTTATTGATCCATCTAGTATTAATAGGTGTAACTGCAACATGTCCTTTTGTTTATGAGCTTAAAAATATAGCAGAAACTACTATAAATTGAGGATTTACTTATGCTAGGTATGGTGTAAGGAAAATTTTAAAAATAGCATTCTGTTTTTTGATCTTAAAAAATCCTATAGGTATGATTAGTACTTTATCTATTTATAAATAAGGAACTGAAGATAAAGAAGGTAAAGAACTTAGACCTAACTTCACACAGTTTGTAGTTTGTAACTGGCAGAGGTGAGGTTCTAAACCTAGTCAACAAGGCTAGAAAGCTAGTAGGTTTCCTAGCACCCTATGTAGTACATATGCTTGCTAGTACTATTAGTAATTCCAATGATTTTTACTTTGGGATTTGGCAAAATCTCTCAGGATAAATAATTCAAAATCATCAATTGTTAAGTAATTTTCCTAGATGAATTCTTGGAATCAAGATGATAGTCTGCTTAACATACGATTCCATTATCTTATCATGTCGGACTACAGCCTGGCAAAGGTACACTGCTCTGTTGAAAAATAATTTTTAAATATACTGTTATTAATCTGGAAGAAACTGCAATGTAGGAGATCTAGAAATAGATAATATTAATTTATTCTGAAAAATTAAAAGGACAGACTTGAGTAACAGACAAAATTTCCAAATAAGCAGATCTTGATTTTGAAGTTCAGGTTTTTATTCTATTTTAATTAAAAATCTAATAACAAAATCAAAAAACCCAGAAACAAAATCCTTGCAAATATTTTTCGTTTTGAACTTCTTTTTTATTACTATTATAATTTTTTGTTGTTGTTTTTACATGCAGAGATAGGGTCTTGCGAGGCTGCCCAGGGTGGTCTCAAGATTCTGGGCTCAAATGATCCTCCCACCCCAGCCTCCCAAAGTACTGGGATTGCAGGCATGAGCCACCACACCCAGCCTGTTTTGAAATTCTTTAAGTTTTCATATGAGCTGTCAAAAAGGTTTCTAGCTACCCATTGCTTTCAGACACAGTAGCTCTATTTACGTGGCCACTGCCAGCACATGAGTCACTGAGTCAGACTGTGACATGCCCACAGCATATCCCATTATTTAACTCATTGACTCAAGGAACACATAAGAAAAAATACACAGTCTACAAATTAATCACTTTAGCAAAATTGGCTTTACACATATTCCAGGATACGTGCATGATTAAGCAAGCTATATTTATGTCAGCAGAGAACTATAAATAGAATATTTATTTAGAGTCATCTTATCTAAGGAGATGTCTAATTTTTGTTGAATTTACACCTCAGATGTCAGACTCAACAGAAAAACAGGCAAGACATGCAGTTTTGTTTTATCTTCCTCCACCAGCCCCAATGCCAAATGTCACATGACACACACACATATACACACACACACACACACACGCAAAAAGGTTGTATTTCTCCGGTAGTCAGAATAGCAATAGCGAATTCAATGGTTCTATGAATGTCTGGATCATGTTTTGGAAAGAAGTAACACTTCTGCAGAAATTTTGTTTCCCTGTTTCTCTTAGATTCAAAGAGCTGGCAAACTGCCAAATCGGAAATTCTGCAAACTGGAAGTGCAAATTGTGTTATTTGTATTGTAATCTTTAACATGTGTCATTTCAATGATTCCCAAATCACACTATGAATCAAAATTAAAACTAAAAATGCAGGTTTTGATAAAATAGGATTCAATGGAAATGTAAAATTACATTTTAGCACAGTGTCCTCCATTGAATATGTTTCCTTCTTTCCCTCTTCCTCTTTTCAGTTTAGTCTCACACAGGTTTTAGATTTTATCTGAGGTTTGAGAGTAAAGTGTTGCATACCTTCCAAAAAGCTTTTGCCTTATTTCCAATTATTGCAATGCAATATTAGATAAGAATCCAAATAAGTGTGATTTATGGGTATTGTTACATTTATCTGGAAAAAAATGCAAACTTAAAAGTGTTTGACAGGGCTCACCACATGAGAAACATCTAGACCCTTCTAGCTTGTCAAAGAAATGGAAGACAATTGAAAGAGTTTGTAGTAAAGCGTGGAAAGGACCAATTTAATGATTTTGTTAAAAGAAATGAAAACAATTATGTCATTATAATATTACTGCTATAATATTATATGTTATATGTTGTTATAACAGAAAAAAGTCAACATCTTTCATCATTCATTTTTGAAATTAACTTCTGTCATACAATTGAACATTTGTTTTTGCTTCCTTTTTTTTCTCCAAATATTTGGGTTTAGTTGAGGTTCTGGAAAAAACTTAGTGTTTTACTTTAGACTAAATAAGCTTAAAATTCACTCAATATCAGCATAAAAACTTTTACCGGAACATTTTGCATAGGACCATATTCCTGTTTTCCATAAATTTAATCTACTAAAATCTAAGAGCCAGATCAGAATTCTTTTTTTGGCAGGCGAGCTTAGAGAAAAATTAAAACAATCAGATTGTTTTCTTGAGTCTCTATAAGCATACCTCCTCTGCACAGTGAATTGAAAATCCTTTTGCTTCCACATCTGATAAATAATACAATTAGTAACTCTAATAATTTTTATTTTTGATGGAATGAAAATGCAGTCATCACTTTGTGAATTTTTTTTTTTTTTTTTTTTGAGACATGGTCTTGCTCTGTCCCCCAGGCTGGAGTGCAGTGGCACGATCTCAGCCCACTGCAACCTCTGCCTCCTGGGTTCAAGCGATTCTCCTGTTTCAGCCTCCTGAGTAGCTGGGGCTACAGGCAGCTCCTGTGCCACGATGCTGGCTAATTTTTGTATTTTTAGTAGAGACAGGGTTTTACCATGTTGGCCAGGCTGGTCTCAAACTCCTGACCTCCAGTGTTCCACCCACCTCAGCCTCCCAAAGTGCTGGGATTACAGGCATGAGCCACCGTGCCCTTCTGCTTTGTGAAATAATTTAAGTGAATTCACATGCATGCAACTTCTCCCATGTGTGAAGCAAGTCAAACACAAGAAACATGATCTCCACATTCTGAACAGTAAATGGAATGTGAATATGGAATGAACAAATGTAATTAAACACTTATTCACTGGAAATGGACATATAATGACAAATATAAAAAGAAAAAATATGTAAGAATAATGTACCTGTACTCAAACTTGTCCTTCAGGCAATATTGTGAGAAATTTCTCCACTAAACCCAATGAGGAAACTGAAGAAAGTAAAATATTAGCATCCAATTTTCTTATGAGTTGATTCAATAAGCATTTACTAAATTCCATACAAAGTTTAAAATAACAATTCCTGCAGTCCTAGAGCTCTCATGGTACAGGAGAGAGAAATGTACACAGAAATTTACTGGTGTGGTGAGTACCACAACTTAGATGCTGACAGAGTACAGTGGGAACACAAAAGTGGAAATATGTAATCATGCACACAGACATCACAGAATATTTCATAAAGAAGGTAAATTTTCAGTTGAGTGACATATAATTACAAGGAACTCCCTAGACGGTTGCAGGGGAAAGTAGTTGCAAAGATATGGAAGGGAAAAAGAACATATCGTATTTTAGAAGATTTCTAAATGTTTTAGCACATGTGGAATATCTGGAGTATAAACAGAGAGGGAATAACTTTGCCCATTAAAATAAGGAATTAAGAAGCCACCATTATTTTTATTGTTTTTTGTTTTTTTGCTGTCAAATTAATTTTTCATCTTTGGAAATTTGAAAATGGGGAAAACATAGAGAAGAAAATTAAACCTACTTCAAATTCTGTCAGCAAAGAATTGTGTGGCTTGACTACATGCTTTATTCCACAGCCGTGCTTCTAACAGCCTTGCAGTGATACTGATCTGAGGCCATGGGCAGCAAATGAGACTGTCCCCCAAGTCAGCTGGGACCAACGATACTTCTCCCAACTGTCACCAAAATGTTCTCCACTTATTTTCCACAATGATGCATTCTTTTCTCAGTCTTGGTGCCTTCTGGATAATTAAATTTTCCCTAGATTTGGATGATATTTCCTTGATTTTATGGTATGTGATTGTTGTTTTCTACTCTTGGCACCAGTAAAGGTAGTTCTCTTTTTTATTATTATTATTTCCTATTGTTTTTCTCCTAGCGTATGACCACTTGTTGAAAAAGGGTTTTGCTCTTAAAGGAAGCTTTGCCAGAAATCCAGAGCACATTTTCTCCTTTAGTTCAGGATTATACATGTAAGTGGCACTGCTGGGTCAAGCAAGAAGTACTATTGAAAGGGTTTGGTATAGAGGCAAGTCGCTTTCTGAAAAAATGTCAATTTTCATGCCTATGATGGCATGTGAGATGCCATTTTCTAGCATGCTTACCGACAATGGGTGTTATCTTTTATTTTTGCAAAGAGTTGAGGGATTTTGAAGAATCATGGTGATAAAATCAGCATTTAACTTTCTTGCTGTCACTCTTCCCGCAGCGTAGAGGATACGCTGAGCATACAGGGTATGGTCTGGTTTGCAGGCCAAAAGATAAGGTAGGTGGTTTGTGAAATAATGTAGATGAGAAAACATAACCAAGGAAGTGGCAGGAAGAAGAAGAGAGATGGAAAAAAATTTGAGAGACAGGAAGGAAATATAAATATAGTAACCAAGAACACGTTGCTAAAGGGGGCAATAAAAATAATTCTGAAAATCGCTGGTCTCTACAAAGCACTGTACACATATTAGTTCATATAATTCTCACAAATTTAGAAGATAGGTGTTATTATTATGATTTTTCAGATTTGTAAAATAGGTTAAAGTAGACATTTAGAAAGTTGTATTATAATGATTGTACTCACTTGTATATAGGAAGCAAGATAATACATATAGCTATGCATTGAGTGTGAACTGCTTGTGAGACATAATCATATAGTTAAGTAGATTCAGGGAAATGTGGATTTGGAATTTAAGACAGAGAGAGGAATCATAAAATTTAAAACTTGACAGTCATTAGGATATCTGGTTCCCCCAATAAATCTAAGTCTTAAAGTAAGGCAAACCTTATTTATGAGTTTTATACATCAGATATATTATATGAATATAGCATGTCTCTTTCTCTCAAATAAGTAAACTGCCTTAAAAAAAGATAGTATCTAATCTACATACTATGTGAAGAGCAATACTATTTATGCAGGAAAAGGATAGGAGGGAGAAAGCAGAGAATAATACCACCAAGGACAGATGTTCGCAATATGTAAACTGAGTAAAGTTCCTTGAAGGAGTGAGATTTAAAAATATATATCTGGGGCCAGGCACAGTGGCTCACGCCTGTAATCCCCCAGCGTTTGGGAGGCCAAGGCAGGTGGATAACTTGAGCTCAGGAGTTCGAGTCCAGCTTGAGACTAGCTTGGGCAACACTGGGAAAGCCCATTTCTGCAAAAAATACAAAAATTAGCCAGGCATGGTGGCGTGTGTCTGTGGTCCCAGCTACTCTGGAGTCTGAGGTGGGAGGATTGCTTGAGCCAGGGAGGTGGAGGTTGCAGTGAGCCGATATCACACCACTGCACTCTAGCATGGGTGACAAGAGTGAGACCCTCTCTCAAAAAAAAAAATTACATATGCATAATATATAGACTTTATATTCTATATAAAAGACTATGTTATATATAGTATATAGACTTTATATTATATATATATAATATAAGACTACATATAGAGAGAGACTTTGTTAAGTTTAGAAGATGTGGTCAAAAAAGAAAAAGAAAGAAAGGCTCTCTTTATGCATAACGTGTCAGAATTTAGCTATTGTGTCTTCGCTTGCCAAAAGCAACATAGTGAATTGAATGCATTCACAAATTTAGGCCAAAGGTCATGGTTGATAAAAATCTGGGTTCCAGAGATGTTTACTTACTTTTTAATGAATCAGTGATCCTCATTAGGTCAATGACAATACAGTAAATTTTTCTTACCCAAAATCTTTAGCAATAGCTAAATCTTTAGCTTTTCCAGATCGGGATATTTCTTAGTAGTTATAGAAATGACAACTCACCCTCATTTGTGATTTATGATATAATTTAGCTTTTTTCAATCTTGCTACTATCTTTTATGATATTGCATCATTCTTTAGCACAGTTACTGAAATATGACGTAAAATATGCAGAAATATGCCAATCAGACCTTATTTTGTTATCAGTTAGCATCTCTTAAATAGAAAGATAGTACTAATGGCTAAAATTTGTAGATTCTTTTCATGTCTTTGAAAATAGCATGAAAATAAAAAATAAATTAACCAAATCTTAGTAATCAGAGATGCAGTAATTTAATGTTATCTTGGAAAATAAATTAACAATAATCTAATGGGTTATGTTCAAATTATTACCTAGATTTTATGTATGCTAAATTTTTACCAAATTTCTTCACTTCATATTTCCATGTGTTTTTGTTCTTATTTTAACTTAAAGAACTCTTTCTGATAATAGAAATTTTTAAAAAATCTGCACTTTTCTTACTTTCAAGCTTGCACGAGATCTATGTAAAATATTTTTTAAATGAATTGTAGGATTACAGTAACATTCCAAATATTAAGATGGTGTCCATCCAAGGGTATGTCTCCTACCATTTTCTCTAAGTTTTGTACATATTTTCTTTTCCTTTCATTCCTAATTCTTGTAAACCACTATAACACTCATGGTTTGAATACTACAGTGATGATTCCTGCCTCTTTCAAGTGGACGAGCAAATCAACAATATCAATAGGAGAAACAAATTTAAATATTCAAATAAATTGATATTTATTTTATACTTTTTGCTATGCTTACAAAAAGTACTAAATTATGAGTTACATCTGATATTCTAATGATATTTTCATTACATAAAATTCAGCAACCTTTAAAGGGTGGTTCCAAGATGGCCGAATAGGAACAGCTCCAGTTTACAGCTCCCAGTGTGAGCAACACAGAAGACAGGTGATTTCTGCATTTCCAACTGAGGTACCGGGTTCATCTCACTGGGGCTCGTCAGACAGTGGGGGCAGGACAGTGGGTAGAGCCCACTGAGCATGAGCCAAAGCAGGGCGAGGCATCACCTCACCCGGGAAGCGTAAGGGGTCAGGGAATTCCCTTTCCTAGCCAAGGGAAGGGGTGACAGATGGCACCTGGAAAATTGGGTCACTCCTACCCTAATACTGCACTTTTCCAATGGTCTTAGCAAATGGAACACCAAGAGATTATATCCTGCGCCTGGCTGGGAGGGTCCCATGCCCATGGAGCCTCGCTCATTGCTAGCACAGCAGTCTGAGATCGAACTGCAAGGTGGCAGCGAGGCTGGGGGAGGAGTGCCCACCATTGCTGAGGCTTGAGTAGGTAAACAAAGCGGCTGGGAAGCTCAAACTGGGTGGAGCCCACCGCAGCTCAAGGAGGCCTGCCTGCCCCTGTAGACTCCACCTCTGGGAGCAGGGCATAGCCGAACAAAAGGCAGCAGAAACCTCTGCAGACTTAAATGTCCTTGTCTGACAGCTTTGAAGAGAGTAGTGGTTCTCCCAGCACGGAGTTTGAGATCTGAGAATGAGCAGACTGCCTCCTCAAGTGGGTCCCTGACCCCCGAGTAGCCTAACTGGGAAGCACCCCCAGTAGGGGCAGACTGACACCTCACACAGCTGGGTACCCCTCTGAGATGAAGCTTCCAGAGGAACGATCAAGCAGCAACATCTGCTGTTCAGCAATATTCGCTGTTCTGCAGCCTCCACTGCTGATACCCAGGCAAACAGGGTCTCGAGTGGACCTCCAGCAAACTCCAACAGACCTGCAGCTGAGGGTCCTGACTGTTAGAAGGAAAACTAACAAACAGAAAGGATGTGACACCAAAACCCCATCTGTATGTCACCATCATCAAAGACCAAAGGTAGATAAAACACAAAGATGGGGAAAAAACAGAGCAGAAAAGCTGAAAATTCTAAAAATCAGAGCACCTCTCCCACTCCAAAGGAACGCAGCTCCTCGCCAGCAATGGAACAAAGCTGGACGGAGAATGACTTTGACGAGTTGAGAGAAGAAGGCTTCAGACGATCAAACTTCTCCCAGCTAAAGGAGGAAGTTCAAACCCATCACAAAGAAGCTAAAAACCTTGAAAAAAGATTAGACAAATGGCTAACTAGAATAACCAGTGTAGAGAAGTCCTTAAATGACCTGATGGAGCTGAAAACCACGGCACGAGAACTACGTGATGAATACACAAGCGTCAGTAGCCAATTTGATCAACTGGAAGAAAGGGTATCAGTGATTGAAGATCAAATGAATGCAGTGAAGTGAGAAGAGAAGTTTAGAGAAAAAGGAGTAAAAAGAAATGAATAAAGCCTCCAAGAAATATCGGACTATGTGAAAAGACCAAATCTACATCCGATTGGTGTACCTGAAAGTGATGGAGAGAATGGAACCAAGTTGGAAAACACTCTGCAGGATATTATCCAGGAGAACTTCCCCAACCTAGCAAGGCAGGCAAACATTCAGATTCAGGAAATACAGAGAACGCCACAAAGTTACTCCTCGAGAAGAGCAACTCCAAGACACATAATTGTCAGATTCACCAAATTTGAAATGAAGGAAAAAATGTTAAGGGCAGCCAGAAAGAAAGGTCGGGTTACCCACAAAAGGAAGCCCATCAGACTAACAGCAGGTCTCTCAGCAGAAACTCTACAAGCCAGAAGAGGGTGGGGGCCAATATTCAACATTCTTAGAGAAAAGAATTTTCAAACCAGAATTTCATATCCAGCCAAACTAAGCTTCATAAGTGAAAGAGAAATAAAATACTTTACAGACACGCAAATGCTGAGAGATTTTGGCACCACCAGGCCTGCCCTACAAGAGCTCCTGAAGGAAGCGTTAAACATGGAAAGGAACAACCAGTACCAGCCACTGCAAAAATATGACAAATTGTAAAGACATCAATGCTAGGAAGAAACTGCATCAACTAATGAGCAAAATAACCAGCCAACGTCATAATGACAGGATCAAATTCACATATAACAATATGAACCTTAAATGTAAATGGGCTAAATGCTCCAGTTAAAAGACACACACTGGCAAATTGGATAAATAGTCAAGACCCGTCAGTGTGCTGTATTCAGGAGACCCATCTCACATGCAGAGACACACATATGCTCAAAAAAAAGGGATTCAGGAAGATCTACCAAGCAAATGGAAAACAAAAAAAAGGCAGGGGTTGCAATCCTAGTCTCTGATAAAGCAGACTTGAAACCAACAAAGATCAAAAGAGACAAAGAAGGCATTACATAATGGTAAAGGGATCAATTCAACAACAAGAGCTAACTATCCTAAATATATATGCACCCAATACAGGAGCACCCAGATTCATAAAGCAATTCCTTAGAGATCTACAAAGAGACTTAGACTCTCACACAATAATAATGGGAGACTTTAACACCCCACTGTCCACATTAGACAGATCAACGAGACAGAAAGTTAACAAGGATATCCAGGAATTAGTCTCAGCTCTGCACCAAGCAGACCTAATAGAAATCTACAGAACTCTCCACCCCAAATAACAGAATACACATTCTTCTCAGTACCACATCACACTTATTCCAAAACTGACCACACAGTTGGAAGTAAAGCACTCCTCAGCAAATGTAAAAGAACAGAAATTATAACAAACTGTCTCTCAGACCACAGTGCAATCAAACTAGAACTCAGGGTTAAGAAACTCCCTCAAAACCACTCAACTACATGGAAACTGAACAACCTGCTCCTGAATGACTACTGGGTACATAACGAAATGAAGGCAGACATAAATATGTTCTTTGAAACCAATAAGAA
This sequence comes from Homo sapiens, assembly GCF_000001405.40. Taxonomy (NCBI): domain Eukaryota; kingdom Metazoa; phylum Chordata; class Mammalia; order Primates; family Hominidae; genus Homo; species Homo sapiens. The sequence goes on along the minus strand of NC_000004.12, from coordinate 174,415,102 downwards.
CAAAGACACAACATACCAGAATCTCTGGGACACATTTAAAGCAGTGTGTAGAGGGAAATTTATAGCACTAAATGCCCCACAAGAGAAAGCAGGAAAGATCTAAAATTGACACCCTAACATCACAATTAAAAGAACTAGAGAAGCAAGAGCAAACACATTCAAAAGCTAGCAGAAGGCAAGAAAGAACTAAGATCAGAGAAGAACTGAAGGAGATAGAGACACAAAAAACGCTTCCAAAGATCAATGAATCCAGGAGCTGGTTTTTCGAAAGATCAACAAAATTGATAGACCGCTAGCAAGACTAATAAAGAAGAAAAGAGAAGAATCAAATAGATGCAATAAAAAATGATAAAGGGGATATCACCACTGATCCCACAGAAATACAAACTACCATCAGAGAATACTACAAACACCTCTATGCAAATAAACTAGAAAATCTAGAAGAAATGGATAAATTCCTGGACACATACATCCTCCCAAGATTAAACCAGGAAGAAGTTGAATCCCTGAATAGACGAATAACAGGCTCTGAAGTTAAGGCAATAATTAATAGCCTACCAACCAAAAAAAGTCCAGGACCAGAAGTATTCACAGCCAAATTCTACCAGAGGTACAAGGAGGAGCTGGTACCATTCCTTCTGAAACTATTCCAATCAATAGAAAAAGAGGGAATCCTCCCTAACTCATTTTATGAGGCCAGCATCATTCTGATACCAAAGCCGGGCAGAGACACAACAAAAAAAGAGAATTTTAGAACAATATCCCTGATGAACAACGATGCAAAAATCCTCAATAAAATACTGGCAAACCAAATCCAGCAGCACATCAAAAAGCTTATCCACCATGACCAAGTGGGCTTCATCCCTGGGATGCAAGGCTGGTTCAACATAAGCAAATCAATAAACATAATCCAGCATATAAACAGAACCAAAGACAAAAACCACATGATTATCTCAATAGATGCAAAAAAGGCGTTTGACAAAATTCAACAACCCTTCATGCTAAAAACTCTCAATAAACTAGGTATTGATGGGACTTATCTCAAAATAATGAGCTATTTATGACAAACCCAAAGCCAACATCATACTGAATGGGCAAAAATTGGAAGCATTCCCTTTGAAAACGGGCACAAGACAGGGATGCCCTCTCTCACCACTACTATTCAACATAGTGTTGGAAGTTCTGGCCAGGGCAATCAGGCAGGACAAAGAAATAAAGGGTATTCAATTAGGAAAAGAGGAAGTCAAATTGTCCCTGTTTGCAGATGACATGACTGTATATTTAGAAAACCCCATCGTCTCAGCCCAAAATCTCCTTAAGCTGATAAGCAACTTCAGCAAAGTCTCAGGATACAAAATCAATGTGCAAATATCACAAGCATTCTTATACACCAATAACAGACAAACAGAGAGTCAAATCATGAGTGAACTCCCATTCACAATTGCTTCAAAGAGAATAAAATACCTAGGAATCCAACTTACAAGGGATATGAAGGACCTCTTCAAGGAGAACTACAAACCACTGCTCAACGAAATAAAAGAGGATACAAACAAATGGAAGAACATTCCATTCTCATGGATAGGAAGAATCAGTATCATGAAAATGACCATACTGCCCAAGGTAATTTATAGATTCAATGCCATCCTCCATCAAGCTACCAATGACTTTCTTCACAGAATTGGAAAAAACTACTTTAAAGTTCATATGGAACCAAAAAAGAGCCCGCATTGCCAAAACAATCCTAAGCCAAAAGAACAAAGCTGGAGGCATCATGCTACCTGACTTCAAACTATACTACAAGGCTACAGTAACCAAAACAGCATGGTACTGGTACCAAAACAGAGATATAGACCAATGAAACAGAACAGAGCCCTCAGAAATAATACCACACATCTACAAACATCTGATCTTTGACAAACCTGACAAAAACAAGAAATGGGGAAATGATTCCCTATTTAATAAATGGTACTGGGAAAACTGGCTAGCCATATGTAGACAGCTGAAACTGGATCCCTTCCTTACACCTTATACAAAAATTAATTCCAGATGGATTAAAGACTTAAATCTTAGACCTAAAACCATAAAAACCCTAGAAGAAAACCTAGGCAATACCATTCAGGACATAGGCAAGGGCAAGGACTTCATGGCTAAAACACCAAAAGCAATGGCAACAGAAGCCAAAATTGACAAATGGGATCTAATTAAACTAAAGAGCTTCTGCACAGCAAAAGAAGCTACCATCAGAGTGAACAGGCAACCTACAGAATGGGAGAAAATTTTTGCAATCTACTCATCTGACAAAGGGCTGATATCCAGAATCTACAAAGAACTCAAACAAATTTACAAGAAAAAAACCAACAATCCCATCAAAAAGTGGGCGAAGGATATGAACAGACACTTCTCAAAAGAAGACATTTATGCAGCCAAAAGACACATGAAAAAATGCTCACCATCACTGGCCATCAGAGAAATGCAAATCAAAACCACAATGAGACACCATCTCACACCAGTTAGAATGGCTATCATTAAAAAGTCAGGGAACAACAGGTGCTGGAGAGGATGTGGAGAAATAGGAACACTTTTACACTGTTGGTGGGACTGTAAACTAGTTCAACAATTGTGGAAGTCAGTGTGTGGATTCCTCAGGGATCTAGAACTAGAAATACCATTTGACCCAGCCATCCCATTACTGGGTATATACCCAAAGGACTATAAATCATGCTACTATAAAGACACATGCACATGTATGTTTATTGTGGCACTATTCACAATAGCAAAGACTTGGAACCAACCCAAATGTCCAACAATGATAGACTGGATCAAGAAAATGTGGCACATATACACCATGGAATACTATGCAGCTATAAAAAATGATGAGTTCATGTCCTTTGTAGGGACATGGATGAAGCTGGAAACCATCATTCTCAGCAAACTATCGCAAGGACAAAAAACCAAACACCACATGTTCTCACTCATAGGTGGGAATTGAACAATGAGAACACATGGACACAGGAAGGGGAACATCACACACCGGGGCCTGTTGTGGGGTGGGGGGAGGGGCGAGGGATAGCATTAGGAGATATACCTAATGTAAATGATGAGTTAATGGGTGCAGCACACCAACATGTCACATGTATACGTATGTAACTAACCTGCATGTTGTGCACATGTACCCTAAAACTTAAAGTATAATTAAAAAAAAAAAAAGGTTAACAGGAGAATAACTTGGGTTGATTAGTTTTGTCTAATGTCTAGGTTCTCATGAGTAATACAGATAAACTATTAAAGATAAATAAATTGAGTAAATGTAAATGAGAAAAAGAATTATTTTGTAAATTTCTATTAAAAATTCTGCTAGAATTTTTATTGGGATTGCATAGAATCTATAAATCAAATTAGGGAGAATTCATATCTTAATAATATTGAATATTCTAATATAAGAACACAGTATATCTCTCCATTTATTTAGGTCTTCTTTGATACACTTCATTAGCAATTTTTTTAGTTTTCTACATACAGGCCACAGACATAATAGAACTATTATTATTTCAGTTTCCAATTCTTCATTGCTAGTGATTTTTTATATATGGACATGGAGTTGATTTTTATATTAATCTTGTGTTCTGTAAACTTGCTAACCTCACTTTTTAGTCTTAGTCATTTTTTGTAGATTCTTTGGAATTTTCTACAGACACAATCACATAACTTACGAAGACAACTTCATTTCCAGTCTGAATGCTTTTTATTTTATTTTATTCCCTTATTGAACTGACTAGGACAATGATGAATAGGAAAGGTGACAGCCAACAGCTTTGCTTTTGTCCCAGTCTTAAGGGAAAAGTCTTTCACCATTAAATGTGACGGCAAATGAATGTTTTTCAAAGATGCCCTCTATCACAGTAAGGAAGTTTCTGCTTATTCTTACTTTATTGAGAGTTTAGATCATGAGTGAATATTCAATTATGTCAATTATTTTTACTGCATCTATTGAGATGATTATATGACTTTTCTTTTTTAGTATTTTATGTTGAATGATATGTTGAATAATATCAATTCATTTTCAAACTTCAAACCAAACTTGTGTTTCTAGAATAAACTGAATTTGGTCATGATATATTATCATTTTTCATATTACTCCACTCAGTGTGCTAATGTTTAGTGGAGGATTATACTGTCAATGTAAATGTAGGGTTTTGATATGAAGTTTTCTTCTAATGACTTTGGCTAGTTTGGGTATACAGTAATGCCAGCCTAATTGAATGAGTGATAAAGTTTCCTCTTTTTCGTTTCCCTCCCTCCCTCCCTCTCTTCCTTCTTTCCTTTTGTTTTTTTTTTTTTTGAGACTTGGTCTCACTCTGTCACGTAGGCTGAGCTGCAGTGGCACAATCACGGCTCACCACAGCCTTGCCCTCCCAGACTCAAGCCATCCTCCCATTTCAGCCTCCCAAGCTGCTGGGACCACAGGCGCATACCATCAAGCCCAGCTAATTATTTTTATTCCTGGCAGACACAAGAGTCTTTCTATGTTGCCCAGCCTGGTCTCAAACTCCTGGGCTAAAGCAATCCTCCCACCTTGGCCTCTCAAGGTGCTGGAATTACAAGCATGAGTCTCTATGCCTGGCCTCTTCTTTTTTTATTTTCTATAAGAGCTTGCATAGAATTAGCATTATTTCTTCCTTAAATGTTAAGTAGAATTTATTAGTGAACCACAGATTTTTTTTTTGCTGGAAGGTTTTAACCACAAATTCAATTTCTTTAATAGGTATAGGACAATTAAGGTTATCTATTTCTCTTTAAGTGAGCACTGGTAGTGTGTGTCCTTTAAGGAACTTGCCTATTTATCTAAAGATTTTCAATTTATGACATAAAGTTGTCTATAAATTGCATTGATTTTTGTAAAGAACCAGTTTTTTGTTTCATTCATTTTTTCTGGCGTTTTTCTGATTTTAATTTCATTAATTTATCCTTTTTCTTTTTATTCTTTATTGTCTCCTTCTGCTTGCTTTGAATTAAATTACTCTTTTCTCTCTTAAGGTGAAACTTATATCATCAATATAAAGAATTTGGTCCTTTCTAAAATATCCCTTACTGCTGTGAGTTTTCCTTTAAGTGTAGCTATAGCTGCACCCCACATAATGTGCTTGCATTGTCATTCAATTCAGAATATTTTCTAATTTTTCTTTCTATTTGAACCACGAAATATTTTAGAAGTGCCTTGTTCAACTTTCAAATTGTGAAGATATTCCAGATTATTTTCCATTTTTTATTTCATGATTATCAAAGAATATACTTGGATGATTTCAATTACTTTACATGGTTAAAATTTGTATATTTTGATGACCATTTCATGTGCACTTGAGGTGATATATTCTGATATGAGAGGTTGAATATTCTATTTATATCTTAGGTCACATTGTTTGATAGCACTTTTCAAGTCTTCTCTATCTGTATTGATTTATATCTACTTGCTCTATCAATTACTGAGAGAGGAATGTTGAAGTCTCAAACTACACTTGTGCACTAACTATGCCCTTCTTGGAGAGTTTAAGGGGGAGGAGTAGAAATAGAGGAAACATTTCAGGGCACAGAGCCTTTAGTGTAGTGCTATCCAATAGAAGCTTTTGCAATGGTGGAATGTTCTATATTTGTGATGTCTGCATGTGACTCTTTAGCACTTGAAATGTGACTACTGCGGTTGAGAAACTGAATTCTTAGTTTATTTTATTTAATAGCTGCAGGTGGCTCGTGACTACCACATTGGACTACACAGCTTTAGTGCATGATTGGACTTTACCGTCTTATATTGGGTCTTATTTCCTAGAAACAAAGACTGAGATGAAGATTCTGGTTTATGTGACTTGTTGAGGGCGTACTTCAGAAAAAATTGAGTGAGGAAAGCTGGATATACAGGGGAAAGGAAACAAAACAAGAATGAAGTCTCAGCTGAAAATTACTTTCACTCTGATCCCTTGGGAAAAGAAATTCTACCAGAGAAGTAGACTGACCTTGAGGCTATGAGCCAGCCTTTTATACCTCCATGCAGGGTGGAGGTTAGGTTGGTGCTTTCCTGGCAGGCAGGTGTTGCCAGGGGCAATTTAAAAAAAAAAAAAACAGGATCTAGCTCTGTAGCTTAGGCTAGAGTGCTGTGGCATGATCTTGGCTCAATGCAGCCTCGATCTCCTGGACTCAAGCGATTCTGCCCCCTCAGCCTCCTAAGTAGCTGAGACCGCAGGCGCAGGCCACCATGTGTGGCTAATTTGTTTTTGTTTTTGTTTTTGTATTGTTTATGGAGACAGTGTTTCCCCATGTTGCTCAAGCTGGTCTTGAACTACTGAGTTTAGGTAATCCGCCCACGTCGGCCTCCCAAAGTGCTGGGATTACAGATGTGAGACACTGAGCCAGGCCTGCCAAGGGCAATTCTTTAAAGGAAGGGGCTATTAGAATAAGGGCTGTTATCAGCCAATACTAGAGCAAATGAGTGATAGGTGCATTGTCTGCTAAAAAAGAATCTAGGCCAGGCGACCGGGCTCACGCCTGTAATCCCAGCACTTTGGGAGGCCAAGGCCCAAGGGATCAGACTGAAAGTAATTTTCAGCTGAGACTTCATTCTTGTTTTGTTTCCTTTCAAACTGCAGAGGAAAATGGGTCAGAATTACAGCTTTAAAATCCAGCCTCAGCAGTATACAAATGATTTTAATAAAGCAACATAAAAACCCTGGCAGCCTATCTGCCCCCGCCACCAAAAAAAAAAAAAAAAAACAATTTCTAGGCCGGGCGCAGTGGCTCACGCCGGTAATCCCAGCACTTTTGGAGGCCGAGGCGGGCGGATCACGAGGTCAGGTGATCGAGACCATCCTGGCTAACACGGTGAAACCCCGTCTCCACTAAAAATACAAAAAATTCTCAGGGCGTGGTGGCAGGCGCCTGTAGTCCCAGCTACTCAGGAGGCTGAGGCAGGAGAATGGCGTGAACCCGGGAGGCGGAGCTTGCAGTGAGCCGAGATGGCGCCACTGCACTCCAGCCTGGGCGACAGAGCGAGACTCCGTCTCAAACACACACACACACACACACACAACAATTTCTATCACATCACTATGTACCAAAAGACTAAAGCAAACACTTAGTCCTATAAATCTTTACTTCGGCCTTTAAGGTTAATAATGGAAGGCTTTTGTAAGAAAATAACTTAGTAGTGATTTGGAATGTTGATGTTAAGTTTGCTAATCTAATCAGTGAATACCAATATGCTCTTCAGAATCAGGCTGATGCCTTCTTCTACGTTAAAAAATTTACATTCTTGGCAGGGCGCGTTGGCTCACGCCTGTAATCCCAGCACTTTGGGAGGCCGAGGTGGGTGGATCATGAGGTCAGGAGTTTGAGACCAGCCTGGCTAACATGGTGAAACCCTGTCTCTACTAAAAATACAAAAATTAGCCTGGCGTGGTGGCGGGTGCCTGTAATCCCAACTACTCCGGAGGCTGAGGCAAGAGAATTGCTTGAACTCGGGAAGCGGAGGTTGCAGTGAGCCGAGATTGCGACACTGCACTCCAGCCTGGGTGACAGAGCAAGACTCTGTCTCAAAAACAAACAAACAAAAAAGAGATTACATTCTTATTTCTTCTTCCAAAAATTGTTAATTATAATCAGTAACTCAGGCATTTGACTTGCCTTTTAATAATTTTTAAAATTCTCATTTTACATGTAAGAATATGTAAAATAAAACCCATACAAGTCTGTGTTCTCTTTATTGACAATTTATTCGGATTCAAATCAGCTTTATCAAAAGTAGTAGCATGAAAACATGTTCCAATGTATCTGAGGCTCGGAATGGCAGCTTATTGTACCCAATACTTTTGGGAAATAGTCATTTCCTTAAAAATATACTCAGTGCAGGTAATTATGTTCTCAGAATAACTAAAATATACCATTATAAGAATTTCCAAATTAAATCGGTCTGTGTAATTTTAGGGAACATACAATATTTTTAATTGTAGATTTAAGGAGAAATGATGAAATTTAGACCTTTTCCCCACCACATTTTACAAGTTCCACCTCCCTAAAGTTTACTAAAGAAGACAGAAAGCCCAAGTCCCTTTCATCCAATGTTCAGTTAATTAGAAGTACTCCAAAATTAGGCCATCTAGTTAGAAAACATTTGCATTTCCCATTTTATTTTCTAGAATGATTTCTATGACTCTATCCATTGGGAAAGAAAAGAAAGTGTGGACAAAATCAAAGTAACATTCAATGCTTTTTGTTTTTTCTGTCTGATAATGCAGTTGGAGTTCTCTGTGGTTTCTACTTCTATATATAAGAGCTGATTAGTGTTTACTAAAGTGGCCAGTCTTCACCAAATGCACATCCCTGTGGAATTTATCACCTCTTAAGTTCTTCAATGGTGGTGCCTAAGTTTCCAGTCTGATCTTCAAGACAGTTTCAAAATCTCTCAATTGGTTCAACCTGGAAAGTCACTGAGGTTTTGACGCTGGTCCCACTGGGAGGCAGGATTTGTCCAAGTAGAGCATATTCCTGGCACTTTCTAGGCTCAACAATGATATCCTTGGTTACCCTGATGCAACACTTCGTGTGTGGTAGAGAACATATCTTCTATTTCTCTAGACCTGCCAGAAATGTGTCAAGGCTAATTTTGTTCTCATTAGTATAACACATCTGCTTAATTTATACCACGAACTTTTTCACTCTACTCAGAATGGGACATTTGCATAGTTTTGCACCCTTTGACTGTTTACCATAATGCTTAATACTATTACTCAGAAAGTTGAAAAGACTTTTGCCATGAAAATGTGTAACAACTGGACGAATATGCTCACAAAGTTCTGATTTCAAATATCTTGTAAACAATAAAATCTAAACCAGGTCTATATTAAGGAAATGATGAGTCAAAATAAATGTTATGCCTGACTTAAATCTTCTACGATGTTTGATGAACAATGGAAATGGCATAAAAATTGAATATTGCTGTAATACTTAGTACACGTTCTCAATATTTACTTAAATCATTAGGCTAGATTTCTCTGTTGAGCCCCAGCCTTGTGTGCATACCTGTCTATTGGGCACAGCTACTGTGATGGCTTCTGGACATTTAAAGTTCAACATATTCAAAACTGAACTCACCATCTTCACCTTTCTTCCAACCAGCTTCTCCCTAGGTGTTCCCTTTCCTAGTGAATAACGTCACTCTCCAACCAATTACTCAAGCTGGAAACCTGAGTTTTCCCTCACTCTTTTCTCTCCTTCACTCTCATATTCAGCCGAAAATCAAATTTTGTTTAACTTACCTCCTAATCATTTTTCAGATTTGTCTCTTTCCAATAGCCCCCACAATTGCCCTATTCTGAGTCACCCTAATTACTCACCTGGGTTATCACCTCACTTGCTTATCTCCATTTTATCCCCTAGGTTATTCACTACAATGCAGCCAAGAGCTTTAATGTGCTACTATGATCCATACTGAACTATATTACAAGGATCCATAGGATCCATATTTAAATTATTTTGATATCTCTCCCCTTTTCCAGAACACTCTTAGCTGTCTTCATTGCCTGGGTAGCTTCTGTTCATCCATTGGTTTTTAGCTTTTACATATATATATATATACACACACACACATATATATACACATACACACACACACACACATATATATATATATCTTCCACCAGAAATTTTTTCCTGACTCAACCTCCTCCCTCGTATGATGCTTGGTGTGTGAGGTGAGATTGTCAGAAGGTGACGCTTGACAGATAGAAGAATCATATGTGTTTTCCCTGAGCTCTTAAGAGCATCAAAAAGCTATTGACATGTTACAAACAGGGTTTCAGAAGAACACAGTGGCACATTAAAGCTCTTGGACTTTAAACTTTATCAATTAGGATGGCAGTTTAGAAATTCAGTGTTTTTGCTACCTCCCTGGGAACTGAAAGAGAAGAGGAGAAGGGAGGGCAAGGGAGGGGAGGGGAGGGGAGGGGAGAATAGGAGAGGGGAAGAGAGGGGGAGGAAGAGGAGGGGAGGAGAGTTGAGGAGAGGGGAAGGAAGAGGAGGGGAGGAGAGGGGAAAGAAGAGGAGGGGAGGGAAGATGAGGGGAGGAGAGAGGAGTGAAGGGGAGGGGAAGAGAGGGGAGGGAAGGGGAAGGGAGTAGAGGGGAGGGGTGGGGACACACATTTTAAGCTGAGCAACCTCATTAAAGAGAGAAAGCAAAAACAAAGCCAACTGCTACCTTGAATATTGGCTACTGAAGACAGATAACCTTCCGGCCTAGACCATGATACAGTAAATGAGTATGATTTGAGATTTCCCTGCAGAAGTTGTGAGCACTTATATTATCTGGGAACATAAATTCTTTATAATCTCCTGGCAGTCACCAGTTAATAGAAATTACATTAAAAGATTCCAACTTCACTAGCTATATGGGTTGGAAAATTACATGTCAGTTTCCAATTCTGTCTGGACAGGAGTTCATCTTAGACAATGTGGTCTTAATGGCGTTTATAAGAACATCTTGGAAAGATAACTTTGTTTTGATGAATTGAACATTCTCAGCTGAGCTCCTATAAACAAACATGTAACAGACTACAGAAATCCCAGGGAGTTTTATCAAGCAATACTGTCACTCACACCCTGACTTCTGGGCTTTGTTCTTGTCTTTGATTACAAATTTACTCAAACTCTATTTCAAATTAATTATTTGTTAGAATGCTAAGGTAAACGTGGCTTTCCTGTAATGAATGTATTTTTACAACTTGTTCCTGGGATTAATTGTTGATTAAAAAGTTTGTTTGATCTTTGGAAATCCTCTTTGTTTCATTATTATAGATACTTAGGGAACATTTACGAAAGAATTCTTGTGCTTAAGGGAAAATTCCATGTCAGGTGGTTCTCTTTGAATGTCAGCAATGCATAATAGAATGTGCATAATCATAACAAATGAATAGCCACTGTTAATATATTTTCTGACTTGAATCAATTTCCAAATTACTCTTAACTCCTATATAATTCAGATCCAAGATCAAGCCTCTCTGACTCCTGAAGAAATTAACAGTCTTGACTCAACCCCTCAATTTCATAACTTCATAATCCAAAGCCTTCGTCAAAATCTATGAATTCCTCAGGGCCTATCCAGCCAGGCATTTTAACAGCAAGTATTTTTTCCTCAGAAGAATTCTCATATCAGTTACTAAGAATGTATTTTGTTACTGAGATCTTTTGGGTGATTCTATTAATTCTAAACCCCTACTGTCCAATAAAGACTTACAGTCTCAGTGAAACATTTTAATAGATAAAAGTCTATTCTTCTGAATATCCAAATCGCAAAAGGGTAAAGATTCATTTGCTCCATTTCTGAGTCTATTCCTCTAGCTTAAGATCAGATTAGGTAGAAAATTATTATTTTTTTTCACAGCCAGGAACTTGCACACCTAATACCTGCGATACAGACTCTTGTATTTTAGAAGTAAGGCACAAAAACAACAATGTGGATACTGCTACTACGTAGAGGAAAGGGATCCGGGACAGAGCATGCACCATTCCAAGCTCTAGTCACGACATAAAAGCAGAGATTCACAGCTCTGCAGCTCAGAGAAGGCACAAGCCCAGCAACACAATGTAGCAAAAATCAGTGGACAGCCTCCCTGCTATGCCTCGCACACTCCACGCTGCCCACTCTTCTTAGAACTCTCTTGCCCTGGACCACCTTCACCTCCATCCATCCTTACTCAAATCACACCTCAGTGACGCCTGACAACCACACTGTGAAAACTTCCTTCCCGTCCCCCTCCCCTGGCAGTCCCAATCTCCCTTACTCTGCTCTCCTCTCCCCTTTTCCTCATACTGCTAAGTAATCTTCTCATTTATTATTTTTATTGTTTACTGATGGTTTCTCCGATGGTATGTGAGCTCCACAGGGTCAGAGATCTGTTATTTCATAAGCCATTTTCTCTGCTTCCTCCTTTCACTCAACTATTTTTCTCTCCAGCCACGACTTTCTGACCTAGCATTTCCCATTCCCTCATGTTACTGATCTTGCTGCTCCCCTAGTGTGAGGGCCAGCCCCTTAATCCCACCAGTTTATCTAGCTCATTAGTACCTTTACCACTTCATCACCTCACTGTTCAGCCTGAGACACATGATCAGCAACTTTAAGCTGCTTGGAGTCCCCGGCAGCTTCTATCCTTTAATTTTCAGTTCTGCTAAGCCCTAGCCCTGGGAAACCTGCTTTCTACAGTTCTACCCTCAGTCTCCAAACATTAAAATCAAGGTCATAAAATTATGCATCAGAGAAGCACTGAAACATTTTCTACCTAACTTTACAGCAGCTCCCCATTCTTTTATTAACTCTCTGTGGATCTCTCCCTCCAGCCCCTGCTTGGATCTTTTTGCTCAGTCCTCAGCTACTCAGTCTCACCACTCAGCCTGGGCGTTGCCACCATAATGACTAAGAAGACAAATTCTTTGTCACAAAATGCTTTGTATACTCTTTCCCCCACCTCAAACCAGCTCTGTGTCCACAGAACTCTAAATTTCTCTGTGTTTTCAGGTGCCTACTCTTCCTATACTCCTTTTTCAGAGGAAGAGGTGCCCTTCTCCTTGCCCAAATCAGCCTCTCTATCTGTGTTAAGGGTATTCCCCATCTTCCACCTCTTCTGGAACTTCATGCCATCAGACAAATCCTCTTTCACAAACCTTCAATCTCTTGCTCTTCATCTCTTCTGCCTGCAATTGGGCTTATAGCCTGCCCAATTCTATACACTTTATCTCTGACTCTTATATATCTTCCAACTACCTACATTCAATATTTTCTCTTTTGTATCCATCTTCTCATAGATAATTTAATCAATGTACTTTAAATATTTTATATACAAAGACTCTTGTTGTCCAATCTCATTATAAAATCTCGTTGCCCTTTCCCAGTTCCCATCCGCCTTGATGTCTGTGGCATTTGCCATATTTAATCAGTCCTTCTTCAGCCCCTCCTTTTGTTTCAGTCCCAGGCCTATTCCTATTCTTCTACTTCACTACCCACTTCTCTGTGGGTGTCCTTTGTGGTTTCTCTTCTTTCTTCCACACCGTATATCAAAGAGTAGCACAAAGGTTAATCATTGATATCTTGATCCCTGTCATCATTTTTTCCCTCAGGGATCTTAAACATTCTCAGTGCTTACAAATCCATTCTTCCGCAAGACTCATTTCTCCTGAGCTTATCTGATGGTAGCAGACTATCAAAGCTGGAAAGAATGTTGGGGGTTACCTTGTCCAAAATTCCCTTTTGAGATTATCTGAGACAACTGAACCCACCATCACCAAAGAACAAAGAACAAAAACTCAGGATTTCTGATACCTCCCATGTGCTGGTATGAAGGGGTGGGTTGCCACTCCACACCTGTGGGCGTTTCTCATCAGGTGGAACGAGAGACTTGGAAAATAAACAGACGCAGAGACAAAGTATAGAGAAAGAAAAATGGGCCCAGGGGACCAGCGTTCAGCATACGGAGGACCCACGCTGACACCGGCCTCTGAATTCCCTTACTATTTATTGATCATTATCGGGCATTTCCCGGAGAGGGGGATGTGGCAGGACAATAGGATAATAGTGGAGAGAAGATCAGCAGGTAAACAGGTGAACGAATGTCTCTGCATCATAAACAAGGTAAAGAAAAAAGTGCTGTGCTTTTGATGTGCATATACATAAACATCTCAATGCCTTAAAGAGCAGTATTGCTGCCAGCATGTCCCACCTCCAGCCCTAAGGCGGTTTTCCCCTATCTCAGTAGATGGAATATACAATCGGGCTTTACACCGAGACATTCCATTGCCCAGGGATGAGTAGGAGACAGAAGCCTTCCTTTTATCTCAACCGCAAAGAGGCGTTCCTTCCTCTTTTACGAATCCTCTTCAGCACAGACCCTTTATGGTGTCGGGCTTGGGGACAGTCAGGTGTTTCCCTTCCCACCAGGCCATATTTCAGACTATCACATGGGGAGAAACCTTGGACAATACCTGGCTTTCCTTGGCAGAGGTCCCTGTGGCCTTCCGCAGTGTTTTGTGTCTCTGGGTACTTGAGAATAGGGAGTGGTTATGACTCTTAACAAGCACGCTGCCTTCAAGCATTTGTTTAACAAAGAACATCCTGCACAGCCCTTAATCCATTTCACCTTAAATTGACACAGCACATGTCTCAGGGAGAACAGGGTTGGGGGTAGGGTTACAGATTAACAGCATCTCAAGGCAGAAGAATTTTTCTTAGTACAGAACAAAATGGAGTCTCTTATGTCTACTTCTTTCTACACAGACACAGTAACAATCTGATCTCTCTTTCTTTTCCCCACACTGGTAGCATAAAAGGAAGGAATTTATCTTTTAGTCCCACTTCTACAACCAACTTGTTTGGTGGCATTTGCAAAATTATTAAATCTCTTGGAAATTTATCTTCCACTATGTCTAAAATGAAAAAATTTTAACACAATAATTGACTCTAAAATCCCTTCAAATATTAATTGTTCATTGATTTATGATTCTTTGATACCTGATGCAGGATATCACCACAGGATCACAGTCAATCATGTCCAGAAAAAATCATTCATTTTCCTTTTCAGAAAAATAATGTCCACTTTCCTTGGGATTTACTTATCTTGGTGAATGGTACCATGATTCTCTCAGGAACTGACTATACCTGACCCAGTTTTGTACTTCTCCAGATTCACCGGCCCATCATTTTCTGGTGACCCTCCAGGATGAACACTTGGCACCTGCCATGTTCTTATAACCAAAGAGAGGAAGCTTTAATCCTCTCTGGAAAGAGATTCTTTGGGCAATGTTACCTCCTCCATTAGAGAGGCTGGGTCCTTAGAGCCCATCTTCCAGTTGCATTGACATTTTCTTTGAAGGTGTGCCTTCCTATACAACTGCACTATAAACTCTTTGAAGACAAGTGTTTTATAACCTTTCATTTTCCCATGGCTAACAGAATGTTTGCTCTAAATAAATACTTAGACTTTTCTTTCCTTTTTATTAAAAAGAAAAGATGCCATGTAGTGGCCCTACAGGTTAGGAAGAGTAGAAAGGTAATGCTTATGTAAACTCCATTTCCAAATTTCTGTAAGACAGGAAAATTGGATTTATCATTTTTAGGCTCTAGCTGTATATAAAATTTTCAACTCCTTATTGAGTTGGAAATAAATTGGTAAAATGAGGCTGATTGAATTATAAATAATGAAAAAAAACCACAAAACACCAAGAACTACTGATTTTTTCACATCATTCAAGAAAATATTATTACCGACTAGAGAGAAAATATAACAAAAACCTAACTACAAGTAGGTAAAAGAGTTATGGATGATTTTAATTCTTTGAATTTTAGAATTGTTTCAAAATGTCTATAATTAACAAGTATTTCCTTTACAGTTCAAAAAAATAACTGTTGTTTTCAAAAGAGAGGAGCATTTAAATGTGTTTCCACTGGCCAGGTGCAGTGGCTCACAACTGTAATCCCAGCACTTTGGTAGGCCGAGGCAGGCAGACTGCTTAAGGCCAGGAGTTTGAGACCAGCTGGTCAACATGGCAAAACCCGTCTCTACTAAAAATACAAAAACTAGCCTAGCACGGTGGCGCATACCTGTAATTCCGGCTTATTGGGAGGCTGAAGCATGAGAATTGCTTGAACCCAGGAGGGAGAAATTGCAGTGAGCTGGGGTCAGGCCATGCACTCCAGCCTGAGTGACAGAAATCAGAAACTCAAAAGAATGCAACCATTTGTCTCTTATCTACCTTTGATCTGGGAGCCCCCTCCCCACTTTGAGTTGTCCCATCTTTGCCTCAAGTCGTCCCACTTTTCCAGACTGAACCAATGTACATCCTATACATATTGATTGATGTCTCATGCCTCCCTAAAATGTATAAAACCAAGCTGAGCCCTGACCGCCTTGGACATATGCCATCAGGACCTCCTGAGTCTGTGTCATGGGCATGCATCCTCAACCTTGGGAAAATAAACTTTCTAAGTTAACTGAGACCTGTCTCAGATTTTCAGGGTTCATACTCACAAAGACTTATGAATTAATATTAAAGTGTCTAAGGCCTTAAGGTTCTGGGAGCCAACTGATGACTCATAATCTGTAATAAACAGATGGTGCTAAGAAAACATCAGTTCCTTGGAGTTGTACATACTGAAGCAACACACGGTCAGAATGAACCAGAATTGAACATACAGACTGGGACTATAGGCACGCAGTTCTCATAAAAGCCATGCCAGCAATGTTCTAATCCAGTTGTCCTTTCTGTTCTGGATGAATTTTTAAAGGCTCATATCAGATTGGTGAGGACTTCAAATTCATGGAACTAATTGCATGTTTTTAAATGACCATTGCATGAGTAAGATTAACTGGAATTGGTCATGAAAGCTACATGAAAACCCAAGATTTATAGTCCCATCAATGTGGTAGGCAGAATAATAGCTTCCTAAGGATGTCTACATCCTAATTCCTGGAAACTGTGAATATGCTATGTTACATGACAAGAAGGAATTAAGGCTGCAGATGGAATTAAAATTGTTAATAAATTAATGTTGAGAAGGTGTATTAGTTCATTTTCATGCTGCTGATAAAGACATACCCGAGACTGGGTAACTTATGAAGTAAAAGAGGTTTAATGAACTCACAGTTCCACATGGCTGGGAGGCCTCACACTCATGGCAGAAGGCAAAGGCACGTCTCACATGGCAGCAGGCAAGAGAGCAACTGAGAACCAAGTGAAAGGGATTTCCCCTTATAAAACCAATAGATCTTGTGAGACTTATTCACTACCATGAGAGCAGTATGGAGGAATCACCCCCATGATTCAGTTATCTCCCACCAGGTCCCTCCCACAACATGTGGGAATTATGGGAGCTACAATTAAAGATGAGATTTGGTTGGGGACATAGGCAAACCATATCAGATGGGGAGACTATCCTGGATTTTCTAGTGGGTGATAGGTAATCATATGAGTCCTTATAAGTGAAAGAGGAGTCAGAAGAGTCAGTGTCAGAGTAACATGATGTGAGAAAGACTAAACTGTTCATTGCTGGCTTTGAAGAGAGGAGAGGGCTAGCATGAAGCAAAAAGTGCAGGTGGCCTCTAGAAGCTGGAAAAAGTAAGAAAATGAATTCCCTTGGTGCCTGTAGAAAGAAACACAGCCCGACCAAATCCTTGATTTTAGCCTGGTTGGGACTCATTTTGACTTCTGACTTCAGAACTATAAAATAATAGATTTGTGATGTTTAAAATCACTAAGTTTTGGTACTTTGTTACAACAGCAATAAGAAACTAATATAATCAGCAAATATTTTCAATCCCTGAATAATTTCGTTTGAATGTATGCTTTCTATTTACTATTATATAACAGTTTAACTCTGTTTACAACTTCATCTGCAAATACTGCCACACTTGCTCAGGGACAAGAGTCACAATTTATTTGGTTTTGTATCTTTAACAAGTAATGCATATCCTGGTTCATAGAAGTTAAATAAAGTAACCTTTTCTTACCTTACAAGGCAATAATGTGACTGTCAGCTGACAGTCATGGACAGCTCCATCCTTAGGGTACTAGAGATACAACATGAAAGAGTTTGAGTGTAATAATTTGCCTCAAGCATTACATCATTTCTCTCTGGTTTTTACTCCAATCATAAAATGTTAAAGATGGACAATGGTAAGTTATGTCCACTGCTTTCCTTTTAGACGAGGCACAGATTGGTGAATTATTCCCATAATCTCAACAAGCATTAGATCCTGAATCAATTTTCTTTCCAAAACAAAATGCTGACTGGAGGCATTCAAAATTACCTTCATTGGCAAGTGAGAGAACACTAATAATACTTCATGTCCTGACAGCAAACTACCAAAGTGACCTAGCTAGTATTAAGAAAAGAACAACCTTTTCATCTGAAAGAAACAGCCCCTTGGCAGTGGGGTGGAGGAGACATTTTCTTAATACAACATAGCAAAATGCCTAAAGTAAGTATTTTTATATAGAGAAGGAATAAAAATATATTACATATAATTTGTTTATATAAAACAAATCATCGTCCAAGAGATTTGTTTTAAAAATATTTATTTTCAAAATGATTGTACTACTTTTTCTGATTCGATCTTCAAGCTGTGGAAAAACAGAAACTATTTTCAAATGTCTGGCTGCTCACCAGTAAACTCTTTGAAAAAGAAAACAGGCTGTTTAGATTTACCGTCAAAAATGCCTTCGGGATGAAGTGTGCCTTGTCATGGTCAACATCAAATAGAACTTTCTTATATTGGCACATCTTTACTACCAGACTGTTCTCAGCTTGTAGACATAGTTACAAACTATGTATATATAGTTGTACATATAGTTATACATAGTTATCTTATATTTACTTATATTATTATTGCCTTCGTACTTTTATTTTATATAATTTTATGTAATTATTAACTTTGTAGTCAATCTTGAATTCAATGTCCTGTTCATAGGTTGAGTCAGGAAGAAAAAAACACATTCACAATGTGTTTCATGAGGTCAATGATTCTTTTCCAGAAAATAAAGTAAGTGTTCATCTGGTCTTAGAATGTTATCATCAACTTGAAATTTCTACATATTTTTCTCCTTTCTTTCTCTCTCATTTTCTTAGATCCTTTGTCTTCTCTGTTGGCTGCTTCTGCCTCCCACCTTCTCACTCATCATCTCATCAAGCATTAGCAACTTTTTGTTATTGATAAAGTCTGAAGAGTGTTGAGTTGACAAATGTTGTGCCTTTAATAGTCAAAAAATACAACAACAATTTAATCCTGAAACATGGTGATATAGAAGAAGATGGAAGTTTGAGAAGCTGTTTTTATTTAGATCAGTGCAGGCAGATTGTTTTAAATATAATGCCTAGAAATTTTTTTAACTCATGCCCATCTTTACCATCAGAATGTTCTTAGTTTATATACATACAGCTAGTTATCTTATATTTACTTATTTTATTATTACTGTCTTTGTACTTTTATATAATTAACTGCCATCCAGTGACTTTTCTTTAAATGTAGTGAAAAACATTTCACTACAAAATTTCCATTATATCTATTCATTGCAATAGTTCAATTGCATTAAAAACAAAACAAAATTCCACTAAATTTCAGATAGATAGGCAGCAAATATATAACTTGACAAAATCCTAAGTATTCTGAGTCAATTCAGTGGAGGAGGAGGGCAATCTTCAGTGAGTTAAAATAAGAGCATTATATTTTACAGTTGTAGGTGGCCATCAAGGTCATCTAGTCAAGCTACATTGATTCATAATTTTGAAAACTAAGATCCTATATTAACTATCTTTTCTGACCACAGTGGTATGAAACTAAAAATCAAGAACAGGAGGAATCATGGAAAATGAACACATTTGTGGAAATTAAATAACATGCCCCTGAAAAACTGTTGGGTTAAAGAAGAAATTAAAGGAGAAATTTTTAAAATCTTGAGACAAATCAAAATGGAAACACAACATACCAGACTTATGGGATATGTTAAAAGCTGTTCTAAGAGAGAAGTTTATAGCAATAAGCATCTACATCAAAAAAAGAAGAAAGATCTCAAATAAACAACCTAATATTATACTTTAAGGAACTAGAAAAAGAAGTATGACTAAGCCCAAGGTTAGCAGAAGGAAGGAAATAACAAAGATCGAGCATAAATAAATAAAACAGAAACTAGAAAACCAATAGAAAAGATCAATAAAATTAAGAAATTGGTTTTTAGAAAAGCTAAATAAAACTGACAAGCCCTTGTCTAGACTAAGGAAAAAAAAAACTCAAATAAATAAAATTTAAAATAAAAAAGGAGACATTACAACTGATAACAGAAAGAGAAAGAATCATGAGACTACTGTGAGCAATTATGCACTAATGAATTGAACGACCTAGAAAAAATAGATAAATTCCTAGAAACATGTAACCTACCACGCTGAATCATGAAGAAACTGGAAATCTAAACAGACCAATAATGAGTCAGAGTACTAAATCAGGCTTTATAAGTCACCCATCAAAGAAAAACCCAGAACCAGATGGCTTCATAACTGAATTCTATGAAATATTTTTTAAAAACTAATACCAATTATACTCAAACTCTCCCAGAGAACTGAAGAAGAAAGAATACTTCCAAACTCATTTTATGAGGCTGCATTACTCTTCCTCTAAAACTGGACAAAGACACTATGAAAAAAGAAAACTATAGGCCAATATCACTGACAAACAGATGCAGAATTTCACAACAAAATACGAGGAAACCATATTCAACAATACTTTAAAAGGATCACTCACCATGATTAAGTGCGATTTATCTCTGTAATGCAAGTTTGGTTCAACATATACAAACCAATAAATGTGATTCACCATATTAACAGAATGAAGGACAAAAAGTGTATGATTTCTCAATTTGATGCAGAGAAAGCACTTGATAAAATCCAGCTTCCTTTTATGATAAAATTAGGTGTAGAAGGAATGTTCCTCAAAACAACTAAGGTTATATATTAAAAGCCCACAGCTAACATTGTACTCAACAGTGAAAAATTGAAAGCTTTTCCTCTAAGATCAGGAACAAGACAAGGATGCCCACTCTCACCACCTCTGTTCAACATAGTACTGGAAATCTGAGCCAGAACAATTAGGCAATTAAAAAAAAAGGCATCTGCATAGGAAAGGAAGAAGTGAAATTGTCTCTTTACTGACATGATATTTTACATAGAAAATTCAGAAGACTTCACCAAAAACTTGTTAGAACTAATGAACTAATTCAGCAAAGTTGCAGAACATAAAATTAACATACAAAAAAAAGTAGTGTTTCCACATACTAATAACAAACTATGTGAAAAAGAAATTAAGAAAACAATCCCATTTGTAATAGTGTCAAAAATAGATAAATAAAATGCTTATGAGTAAATTTAACCAAAGAGATGGAAGATCTTTATACTGAAAACTATAAAACATTGATGAAGGTAATTGAAGATTACACAAATAAAAGAAAAGATACCCTGTGTTCATGGATTTGAAGGACTGATATTGTTAAAATGTTATACTACCAAAGCAGTCTTTAGATTCAATGCAATCTCTATCAAAATTCTAATGTCATTTTTAACAGAAACAGAAAAACAATTGTAAAACTCATATGGGTCCACAAGAGACCCCAATAGCCAAAGCATTCATAACCAAAAATAACAAAGCTAAAGGCATCATACAACTGGATTTCAAAATATATTGCAAAGCTGTAGTAATCAAAACAGAATGTACTGGCATAAAAACAGACACACTGACCAACCGAATGGTATAGACAGCCCAGAAATAAACCCACACCTCTACAGTCAATTTTGACAGAGGTACCAAGAAGACAAAATGACGAAAGGGCAGTCTCTTCAATAAATGGGAAAACTGGATATCCACATGAAAAAGGATGAAAAGGACCTTTATTTCACTCTTATACAAGAATAAAGTAAAAAATGGATTAAAGACTTAAATGTAAGACATGACACTGTAAATCTACTAGAAGAAAACGTAGGGGGAAAGTTCCATGACAGGTCTGTAACAGTGACTTCTCAGATATAATCCCAGAAGCACAGGCAACAAAAGCAAAAATAGACAAATATAATTGTATTCAACTAAAAAGTTTCAGGGCAGCAAAAGAAACAATAGAGTGAAGAGATAATGCACAGATTGGGAGAAAATATTTGCAAATTGTACATCAGATAAGGGGGCTAATATTCAAAATATACAAGGACACAAATTACTCAGTAACAAGAAAACAAATAAACCTATTTAAAAATGTACAAAAAACCTGAATAGACATTTCTCAAAAGAAGACAGAAGTAGTTAACAGATACAAGAAAAAAATTCTCAATATCGCTAATCATTAGAGAAATGCAAATCAAAACCACAATGAAATATCACCTCATACCTACCTGTTCAATTGGATCAAAAAAACAAAAGGTAAGTGTTGGCGAGGATGTGGAGAAAAAGAAACCCTTGTATACTGGTGGTGATATTATAAATTAGTACAGCCATTTTGGAATACAGTATTGAGCTTCCTCAAAAAACTATAAAAAGAATTGCAATATAATCCAGCAATCCCACTTTGGGGTACAGTATATACCCAAAGGAATTGAAATCAGTATTTTGAAGACATATCTGCACTCCCATCTTCACTGAAGAATTTTTCACAAGAGCCAAGATATGCAAAAAACCTGTGTCTACTGAAGCATGAATGGATTTTTAAAATGTCGTATATATACACAATGGAATACTCTTAAGGCTTAACACACACACACACACACACACACACACACACACACACACAGAGAGAGAGAGAGGAAATTCTGGCATTTGTGACAACACGGATGAACCTAGAAGACATTAGGCTAAATGAAATAAGCCAGGCACAGAGAGACAAATGCCATATGATTTCACTTTTATGAGAAATCTAAAAAAAGTCAAATTCATTCAAGTAGAGAGTAGAATGGACCAGAGGTTGGCAATGATTGGGGCGCAGGAGTAGACAAGGAAAGGGGAGATGTTGGTTAAAGGGTACAGGGTTTCAGTTAGACATAAGGAACATGTTCTGGTGATCTATTGCATAGCATGGTGACTACAGTTAATAATAACGTATTATGGCCGGGCGCGGTGGCTCACGCCTGTAATCCCAGCACTTTGGGAGGCCGAGGCGGGTGGATCATGAGGTCAGGAGATCGAGACCATCCTGGCTAACAAGGTGAAACCCCGTCTCTACTAAAAATACAAAAAATTAGCCGGGCGCGGTGGCGGGCGTCTGTAGTCCCAGCTACTCGGGAGGCTGAGGCAGGAGAATGGCGTGAACCCGGGAAGCGGAGCTTGCAGTGAGCCGAGATTGCGCCACTGCAGTCCGCAGTCCAGCCTGGGCGACAGAGCGAGACTCCGTCTCAAAAAAAAAATAATAATAATAATAACGTATTATATATTTTAAAACAGTTAAAAGAGGATATCAAATGTTCAGTGAGGGATATGCTAACTCACCTAATTTGATTATCCCACAATGTATACATATATGAAAATACTACATTGGACCCCATTAATATATACAATTATTATTTGCCAATTAAAAAAGAAACTAAGGTCCATATAAGTTAAATGAGGAGCATAAAGCCACAAAACTAGTTGGAGGCAGAAATGGCTCTGAACCCTTTTCCCTTTACTCTCAGACCAATGGAACGTTGAGCACAGAATATTATTCGCTGTCTTTGCTGCTATGAAGCCAGTATTCTTGGTTTCCCAAAACACTGGGAATAGAAAAATAGAATTTCAGTTCCCCAGAATGTAACTCCAAAGGAAAAATGTCATATTGTTAGCACAGTTTTACTTGACTTTGGATGCCCCAGTAAACCTGTGAAATCACTTTAAATAGTCTAAAGTCATGCAAATTCCACTCCGAATTGTGGGAATTAACTGAAAAAAAAAAAAATCTACAAGTCTGAACATTCCAAAATAATGGCTTAGCTATTTGAAAGATAAAAAACTCAAAGAAATTATGACCAAATAAGAAGATCACAGAGGTAGTATTCTTAATACAGCAAAATTCAAGTTAAAATTTTATGATGCCTATGTGGTGCCAGAATATAGTGCTATGCCAGAAATAGGCTTCTCAACTTTTCAGTCCATAAATGGACTGAAGTGCCATATACATACAGATTGTACTACATTTGGAGTTTTCCTGTGAGTTCTTCCCATCCAGAATATCATTTGGAGTGTCCCTGTGAATACATTTAGTGTCCCCCAGAATACATTTGGAGTGTCCCTGTGAGTTCTTCCTATCTGATATTCTGGAATATCAGAAAACATTATAGCTGGTTACTCAAGCTATGCTCCTGGCCATACAGACCAGAGGAAAGACCATTTATATACATTGCTATACAAAAGAAAGAACAGGGGATAGCCATACCTGGATCTGACCCATGGAGACCCTGGATTCTACTGATTCTACTTGACAAGGGCATAAAGTAAGGAATATCAAACTTTTTTCTTTAAAAGGCCATATACTGGAAATTTTAGGCTGTGTTAAAAGTACACAATCCTGCCATTGTAGTACAAAGCAGCCATAGACAATTCATAAATGAATGAGTGTGACTGTCATCAATCAAACTTTATTGACACTGAAATTTGAATTTCAAATACTTTTCATGTGTCATGAAATGTTATTCTTTTCTTCTTAACCATTAAAAAATCTAAAAACAATTCTAAGTTCATAAGCCCTTCAAAAACAGACAGCATTATCTCAAATTTATGCTTCAACAATTATAAATCATTTTAAACTCGTTTGTGTTTTGAGCATGCATAGCCACTTTGATAATAAGGTCTACATACTTATTTTCTAGTGTGATATATAGTAGGGATCAGAAAGTAACTCTGTTGGCTTGGAAGGCTGAGATTTGGTAGATAAGTTCCACCCTGACTTTGGAGTTTGGTGATATAGTATAATTATTAAATACATGTGGCTGACCTTTTCAGAGGGTCAGTTGGGTGTATCCCAAAGATCATCCCAGGAATGCATTTTCTGGTTCCGACCAACCTCTCCTTCTTAAACACCTCTTTGAAGACATTGCTTTAGTAAATCCTAATAAAACACAGTGTGTGGAAGGTTAAGAGAAGAAAATAAATAGGGATATAGCAACGCTAGGGCTAACACATCACTTACAAGTTTCTGAATAGGTCATCAGACCACGGGTTAATTATTTGTAAATATTTGTAAATAAAAATTATTTATAAATATATATATTTACAAATATATATACACAATATATATACATTTATTTGTCTATTTATTTATTTATTTATTTTGGGACAGGGTCTCACTATGTCACCCAGACTGGAGTGCAGTGGCATGGTCACTGCTCACTGCAGCCTCGACCTCCTGGGCTCACCTCAGCCTCCCACCTCAGCCTCCCAGGCAACTGAAACTACAGGTATGTGCCACAATGCCCAGCTAATTTTTGTATTTTTGGTAGAGATGTGGTTTTGCCCTGTTGCCCAGGTTGGTTTCGCACTCCTGGGCTCAAGCCACCCACCTGCCTTGACCTCTCAAAGCACTGGGATTACAGTCGTGAGCCACCGAGCCTAGGCAAATATACTTTTAATATAAAGAATGATTACATAGAACTTTCAATAGCAAGCCCCAAAAATTCTGCTTGAGACTAACTAGAATATAGGTTGTTATTTTATTTTATAGTTTTTTCTTACCAGACTATCACAAGTAGAAAATTGAAATTAAAATCTCTTGCTAATTTCTGTTTGTTCTGTGATCTCTTGAAGTGTGAATTTAAAATGCTTCTTTCAGTTCAGATTTGATTGAACATTCTATGGAGCACCTACTCACTGCAGATAAAAGGTGAAAAGGCTTTCTTCCATTCAGGTTACTCAGAGGGCAGACACACCTCATTTTAGTCATCCGATATGAACTGAGTGGCAACTCATTGCTATAAATATCTCCATATCTCCTGTTCCTCTCTGCTCAAACCATAGTTCCTGCCCCTATATGCTCAGCATTTTCCCCAGTGCCCTATGAATTCATTTCCTAAGTGTCTCTTACTTTATTTAAATCTCTCACAAATTCCCAAAGCCCATGTTACAAGGAGGAAGATTCAGCTGGGCAGGATCCCAGGAGATCTAGGGCTGGTTCTAAACCGATGACCTTTTAGCACGCATCTCTTATTTCTGCACTCAGCCCCAAAATAATACCCTAGGAGGAGAGAACAAATAGAGCAGGCATTAGATACAAAATAGAGAAACATTACCAACCAGTGACTGTTACCTGAAATTGTATGTTTATGCAAGTAGGGGATGATTTGGGCCGATTTATCTCATTTCAAGGAAGATAAACCTTCATTACAGTTCTGATTGAAGATTCCCATTGAAATCACAACCTGAACTAAACTACATAAAGCAATAAATATCTAGTTCCAGGGGATTCAATTTTCTAAATTTTTCTGAGCAAGGGGTCTATTGCAACTTTGATCTCATTGCAGCTGCTATGCTGGTCCCCAGCAGGAACTCAAGGATTCCACTTTTGAAGTGTCATACACAACTTTTCCTTGCTATGAAGAAACATGTACTTTCCAGCTGCTACAAAAGTAAAAATTTCCTCCCTGACTCTCCCCAGAGAATACATGCACAGAAAACTGAATTCATCTGTTCTGGTGCTGCTTGGAGGTAAGAAAAATAAAGAGAAAAAGAAAACTGTTCAAAAGGAAAACAATAACCCATTATTTTCTAAGCCAACAGTATATTTGCTTCTTACACAGGCTATAGTAAACACTTAGGAGAAATAGTTGTTACTTTATTTTATTAAAACTACAGGTAAGGTCAAGTTTAGCTGGAACTGTGAATTGGATCTTTACCTTCAGCATTGGCCCAGCCTCCTCTCTGGGCCTCTCACATCTGTTTTGGCAACCCCATTCCTCTGAAGCACTTAGAGCTTCATGGTCTTCTTCCATCCCCCAAAGAGCTGCCAAGACTTTAAAAAGAGAATAGTCATTGATGGATTATATAAAATTGAAAGTCAAATTCACTTTGACCCTGGTAGTATCATAATTAATTTATTCTGGAAAGAAAAAAATAATAGTAATTTGTTGCTCACTGTTGTGGAGCTGGGAAGTTCAAGATAAAGCTCCCAGCAGATTTGGTGTCTGGTTAGAGCTCATTCCTCGTAGATGTTGCTTTCTAGGTGTCCTCACATGGAAACCAGGCAGACTCCCTCAAGCCTCTTTTATAAGGGAATTAGTCCCATTAATGAGGGTGGAGCCCTCATGATCTAATCACCTCCCAAAGTCTCTACCTCTTAATACTCTTGCATTGGAGATTAGGTTTCAACATTTGAATTTTGGTGGGACACAAACATTCACATCGTAGCAAGAGGCATACATAAAGCAAAAGCACATACAAATCTGTGACTTATATACATAGAAAAACATATACTAACTTATAAAAACCAAAATACCTATATATAGTTACATTAATGTCAAGCAAAATAGACATTATAACAAATGACGTAGTGCTACAGGTATTAATATGGTTGATTCTTACAAATATAATATCAAGTTACAGAAAAATACATACAGAGAAAATGTATTTATATGAAGTTAAAGAATATACAAAATTGTTACGTAATATTTAGCAATGCTTATATATGTCATGAAGCAATTGTTGAGGAAACACAAAGAGCCTTGGCAGTATTTGTCTAGCCATGAGTATTCATGGTATTATTTTCTATATTCTTTGGTACATTTTATATTATTAATTAATTTCCTCTGTATTACACGTTGGTATACCTGATACATATATACATATATTATATTCCTATCTTTTAAATAAATAAATGGAAGTAAAAAATGTTAACAGTTTGATTTGTTTTAAAAATTATGACTGTGTTTTTAAACCAGAGGAGCTTTCTGGCAACGTCATCTGGAAATAAAACTGCACTTGCCAGCTGCCTTTCAATTATACTGCTCATTTTCTCTATCTTTCAGACTTGTAATCAGAGACAGATCTGGACACGTGAGTTTTAGTTTTCCACTTTGCACTTATAATTACTACCAAAATAGTTACACTCTCTGATGGGCTCCAAATGCATTGCCTAAAGCTTATTTCTTAGTGGGTTCACTTTCTAAATTGTTTGCTCCAACTGATCCTCTAAGAGTCAAAGACACAGGGATCTAAAAGATGAAATAACCAAAAATTATCTGCTTGAGTATTTCCTGGGCCAAGCCAATCAGTGCCTCTCTTTCTCTTTCTGCCTCTCCCCTTTTTCTCCCTCATTCTCTCTCTCTCTCTCTCTCTCTCTCTGTCTCCTTTTCTTAACATAGAAAAGGGAATGAAGAAACAGGAACTATGCAGCCCTGGTCTCCCTGGGACCCTTTCCACAATTCAGTCGTTAGCTCATCTGCCTTGTCTTTTACCATTAGGACTCCACCAGCAAACTGATTACTGGATGCTTCCTGTATGCTCCAGTCAGGATCTAGCCAAAAATGGAATCACAATTCACAGCTAATGTACAGGAATAAAAGCTGTTATTTTTCCTATCAGATGTCCTATAAACTGTAGTTTGTTTTACCAGTAGATTTATCCAAGTTGAGCTTTATTATTATTGTTTTTAACTGATTTGAGTACTTTATGTTTTAATAAGTCATTTGGTCATTAGCAGTCCATACCTTGTGAACCAAGCCACATGGTGAAACAGGTTATGCAAACTTAATTAGTCCGACTGGGAGTTTGAGGAGGCATAATTCACTCTCTAGATGCCTCACGGTAGCATTGTTATGTGGCATTTTTCTGTGTTGTGGGTGGAAAGGTAACTTATATATTTTACTCTTTTCCATGATTAGGAAAATGGCAACAGGGGTCAATTTTAAGTCATCTGAATTCATTACACATTTCCCAATTAATTTGAAGAAAGCAGTTCATGATATATGCAAACATTTACCTGTTTTTGCAACTGTGTTTTGTTAAATTGTGTAGCTATGTTTGCAATATTTATAAAAAATTAAAAGAACTTGAACACCCAAAAATGAAGGCTTTATTAAGTGTGGCATATTCATATAATGGAACATCCTTTTAAAATAATGTTTTAAAACAATATTTACTGGCAAAGAAGGTTAATAATATGTTGCTAAACCAAAGAAGCATGATGTCTTTTTATGTTTACAAATAACAATAATATGAAATCTGAAGAATATACAATAAGATGAAGATAACAGTGATTACTTCCTGGCTGTTGTTGGTATAAGTGACTTTTTAATTCTATTTTACTTATCTATATCTTTCAATTATTTCTGAACAATCATATATTCATATATTGCCTGTGTAATAAAAATAAAACAAAGAAATCTACTTGATTCAAATCCCCTTACATTAAAATATGGAATGGGACATTCAAGCAGAAATAAAGTTCCGATTTTTAAAGATGGAATAGCACTTCAGAATGTAAAACCTCAATTTTCTTCCTGCATTAGGTACATGAGAAAAGGGATCACTGGTGATACGATTTGGCTGTGTCCCCACCCAAATTTCCTCTTGAACTGTAGTTCCCATAATCCCCACATGTCATGGGAGGGTCCTGGTGGGAGGTAATTGAATCATGGGGGTGGTTACCCCCATGCTGTCCTCATGGTAGTGAGTTCTCATGTGATCTGATGGTTTTATAAGAGGCTTTTCTCACTTTGCTTGGCACTTCTCCTTCTTGCTGCCATATGAAGAAGGATGTGTTTGCTTCCCCTTCTGCCATGATTGTTTGTTTCCTGAGGCCTCCCCAGCCATGCCGAACTGTCAGTCAATTAAACCTCTTGCCTTTATAAATTACCTAGTCTCAGGTAGGTCTCTATTAGCAGCATAAGACAGGACTAATACATTTGGTAACAAGAAGCAAAATTACTAGAAAACTTTGTGTCAGCCATTTCCATAAGTAAGATTTACAAGATAGTACCAGCTAAAGTAGGGACTAAAAGAGATTAGTCAAATCAAGCACCTACTAATTAATTCAAGGGCCAAATATCCTTATTATTCTGATTTACCAACCATCCAGATAAGGCATATTCAAAGAACTTCATAAATTGTGACAGTTATTAACAATCAGATTGGACACTTGGGAATGCCCAAGGTAAGGATGGAGCCTCTGGCCTGAGAAAGAATGGTGACATACCTCTTAGTATAGAATTATTTTTATGGATTTTCACTTCCTGAAAGAGTACATGGCCTTAGGCAATGCACTTTGATACACGTGGTAAAAATAACTATTGTAATTTTTTTTTAAAATTTCTTGGACTAGGTGGTTCTTCCACTGAAAAGAGATGAGAAATTTTAAAAAATAGTGGTTTGAATTCAAAATGGGTTAGCATTTATAAAAATTAGATTTGCCTTTCTTCTAACATTATTATATTAGTAGCATGGTCATCTAGGTGCCTTGGAATAGTGGTAAACTCTACAGATACAAAAATACATACAAATAAATAAATATTTATATAAATACATACTACAGATTATCATAAAATATTTTCTTAAAATCTGAGTATTTTCAATCAGTTTTGGCATTTGGTACTATAATAGTCTCTGAAAGATCTCTAAGCTTTAATAGTTCACTTACTTTGGCTGAGTGAACTTTTGAAATTAACTTTGAAATTTTGAAAACACCAATATGATCCTGTCCCTCATACCAACTACCTATGCTTAAAAAACATAACTGACTCTCCATTATTAAAACAGAATTTTTTTTTTTTTTTTGAGATATGGAGTCTCGCCCTGTCGCCCAGGCCGGAGTGCAGTGGCACCATCTCGGCTCACTGCAAGCTCCGCCTCCCGGGTTCACGCCATTCTCTCACCTCAGCCTCCAGAGTAGCTGGGATTACAGGCGCCCGCCGCCACGCCTGGCTAATTTTTTGTATTTTTAGTAGAGACGGGGTTTCACCATGTTAGCCAGGATGGTCTCCATCTCCTGACCTCGTGATCCGCCCGCCTCGGCCTCCCAAAGTGCTGGGATTACAGGCGTGAGCCACCGTGCCTGGCCCTAAAACAGAAATTCTTAACTTTATGGTGAGGTTGCAGATTTACTCACACAACATTCAGATGTGTAAAAAATAAAATAAAATAAAAATATAAAAAACCTCCTTTATTTTTTATTTACTGTTCTGGTCTTCAAAGACCTCATCAGTAAAAGACCTCATTTACTTAAAAGACCATAAAAGACCTCATTTACTTAAAAGACCTCATTCTGAGAAGTATCAGAGGAAAAAGAATCTGGTAAGTCAAAAGATGGAGAAATTTTGGTGCATGCCCCTTTAAACAGTCTCTAAGTAATTTAGGCTATTTAAATGAGCCAGGAAAATCCAAAATCAGAGTTCTGTCCCCTCTCTTAACCTTCCTCCTAGGTGACAATGAAGTTTATGAGAAAAGTAAAGATAACACAAGATCTCATGCTGCTGGAGGACGGAGAAATAAGACTGTTTGAAACTCCCCAGAGTTCTGTGGGTCCTGGCTGGCCTATGCATGAAGTGGTTGTTCTGGGACCCTCCCAGTAGTGATCATAAAGTGCTACTCTTCTGAAGGGATGGGTTGCCCCTCCACACCTGTGGGCGTTTCTCATTAGGTGGAAAGAGAGACTTGGAAAATAAACAGATGCAGAGGCAAAGTATAGAGAAAGAAAAATGGGCCCAGGAGACCAGCATTCAGCATACGGAGGACCCACGCTGACACCGGCCTCTGAGTTCCCTTACTATTTATTGATCATTATCGGGCATTTCCCAGAGAGGGGGATGTGGCAGGACAATAGGATAATAGTGGAGAGAAGATCAGCAGGTAAACACGTGAACAAATGTCTCTGCATCATAAACAAGGTAAAGAAAAAAGTGCTGTGCTTTTGATGTGCATATACATAAACATCTCAATGCCTTAAAGAGCAGTATTGCTGCCAGCATGTCCCACCTCCAGCCCTAAGGCAGTTTTCCCCTATCTCAGTAGATGGAATATACAATTGGACTTTACACCGAGACATTCCATTGCCCAGGGAGGAGCAGGAGACAGATGCCTTCCTCTTATCTCAACTGCAAAGAGGCGTTCCTTCCTCTTTTACTAACCCTCCTCAGCACAGACCCTTTACTGGTGTCAGGCTGGGGGACAGTCAGGTGTTTCCCTTCCCACGAGGCCATATTTCAGACTATCACATGGGGAGAAACCTTGGACAATACCTGGCTTTCCTCGGCAGAGGTCCCTGTGGCCTTCCGCAGTGTTTTGTGTCTCTGGGTACTTGAGATTAGGGAGTGGTGATGACTCTTAACAAGCATGCTGCCTTCAAGCATTTGTTTAACAACGAACATCCTGCACAGCCCTTAATCCATTTAACCCTGAGTGGACACAGCACATGTCTCAGGGAGAACAGGGTTGGGGGTAGAGTTACAGATTAACAGCATCTCAAGGCAGAAGAATTTTTCTTAGTACAGAACAAAATGGAGTCTCTTATGTCTACTTCTTTCTACACAGACACAGTAATAATCTGATCTCTCTTTCTTTTCCCCACATTCTTCCCATCACCTTTCCTTTCTGCTAGCCTTGACCACACCAAATCCCCAGGTACCATGCCCTCTTTGCACCATGCTAGGCTCTCCAGGTCTCCCAGTTCACCTTGTACCCTCAATATCAAGATAGCAGGCTGAGCATGGTGGCTCACGCCTGTAATCCCAGCACTTTGGGAGGCCAAGGCGGGTGGATCACTTTAGGTTAGGAGTTCAAGACCAACCTGGACAACATGGTGAAACCCCATCTCTACTAAAAATACAAAAATTACCAGGCGTGGTGGCGGGCACGCGTAGTCCCAGCTACTCGGGAGGCTGAGGCAAGAGAATTGCTTGAACCTGGGAGGTGGAGGTTGCAATGAACTGAGATTGCACCACTGCACTCCAGCCTGGGTGACAGAATCAGACTGTGTCTCAAATAATAATAATAATAATAATAATAATAATAATAATAATAATAACATAAGGATGCTTCTGTGTCTCTTCTATGTCACATCCCCCGCTCCAAGTAAACAGGTGCCTTATGCTAGCATCTACACATTGTGTACATGAAAAGGCAAAGAGAAAAAGATACATTAATATTTTTCAAACTGGAAAATCTGCTTGCTGCCAGTCTACTCCTCTGGTCTCATCTGGCAACATGTAATTCTAGCCACACAGGTGTTTTATCAGTCTTTCAAACTTCCACTTCCTGCCATGATGGAATAACAGGGACTTAATTTACCCTTCCATGTGAAACAACCATAAAAATGGACAAGACATAAAACAATGGCTTGTAGATACTGGTAGCACAGGACTGCAATTCCTGAGACAAGGAAAGCAAACGATGTGAGCCCTGCAGTTGGATCAGCTCACCGCCTAAAGAGTTTGCAGGCTGCAGTGCAGGGTGGGTGCAATGGTTTGAATGTGTACTCTCCAAAATTTAGGTGTTAAAACTTACTGGCCAATGTGAGAGTATTAAAAGGTGGAGCTTTTAACATGCAATTAGGTCATGAGAGCTCCTCCCTTGAGAGTGGGATTATGGCCCTTATAAAAGATGCTTCACACTTGCCCCTCCACCTTCTACCATACATGTGAGAAGACAGTTTTCCTCCCCTCCAGAAAATGCAGCAACAAAGAACTATCTTGGAAGCAGAGAGCAACCCTCGCCAGACAACCAAACCTGCTAGTGCCTTGATCTTGGATTTTTCAGCTTCCAGAACTGTGAGAAAATTAATTTTTTCTTTATAAATTACCCAGTCTCTTGTATTTTGTTATAGCAGCACAAAATAGAAAAAGATGAAGAACCTAGGAGAAGTCCATTGACTTCCCTGAGTTGAGGAGATGGAGCTGAGAGTTCAAGGAGGCCAAGGAAGCAAGAGTTCACAAGGCTGTCAAAGCTGTCAGAATCAAAATGGAGTTACTTGTGTCATGCCCTGACAAAATGGACCTGAGGAAGGCCATGAAGGGAGGGCTCTCATGCATGTTTGCCTGATAACAAAACTATCAAAACAGACTGCAAAAACCACAACCTTGCACAAAGGTCACCACAACCTTGTCCAGTAAATGCTTCTGCAAGGGCGTCTGCCCAGCAACTTTCTGTTTAACCTTGGACTGATTTGCCCTTGTTATTGATCTTTGTAGCCAAGGATGATTGATTTAAAAACAAAACAACAAACAAGAAAACATAGGTAATCCTCCTCATTTGCCTTTAAAAACTCCCCATTGCCTCAACCTCTTGGAATATGCACATAATTTACATGTTATGCATATTCCCATTGCAATGCTACTCCTGAATAAATACTATTTTCTTTTATAGAGTCTCCCTGTCTGTTTGTTATTTAGTTGGACATGGCAGACTACCGCAGAGGAGAGAACTATAGAGAAAGAAAACCCAGAGATCTGCAGAGGGTCCCCCTTGAGTATTCAGCCAAATATTGATCAGGATATGCATGTGAGCAAATTATCCAAAGCTGGAAAAAGAAACACCCAAGCAGCAGGGGAAACAACCCTTAGGGTTCACCCAGAGCTGAGAATAGCTTATGTGCCCACCGGTGAGATTGGAAACTGAAGGGTGGCCTGCCCCTCCACACCTGTGGGCTTCTCTCATCAGGTGGAACCAGAGACTTGAGAAAAGAAAGAGACACAGAGACAAAGTACAGAGAAAGAAAAGTCGGCCCAGGGGTGCTCAGCATGCGGAGGACCCCTGCCGGCACAGTCTCTGAGTTCCCTCAGTATGTATTGATCATTATCGGGCGTTTCTCGGACAGGCGGATGTGGCAGGACAATAGGGTAACAGTGGAGAGAGGGTCAGCAGGAAAACATATGAACAAATGTCACTGCATCATAAACAAGGTAAAGAAAAAGTGCTGTACTTTTGATGTGCATATACATAAACATCTCAATGCCTTAAAGAGCAGTATTGCCTCCAGCATGTCTCACCTCCAGCCCTAAGGCAGTTTTCTCCTATCTCAGTAGATGGAACATGCAATCGGGTTTTACACCAAGACATTCCATTGCCCAGGGACGAGCAGGAGACAGATGCCTTCCTCCTATCTCAACTGCAAAGAGGGCTTTCTCTTTTACTAATCCTCCTCAGCACAGACCCTTTACTGCGGGCTGGGGGATGGTCAGGTCTTTCCCTTCCCACCAGGCCATATTTCAGATTATCACATGGGGAGAAACCTTGGACAATACCTGGCTTTCCTAGTGTCCCTGGGTACTTGAGATTAGGGGGTGGTGATGACTTTTAACAAGCATACTGCCTTCAAGCATTTGTTTAACAAAGCACATCCTGCATAGCCCTAAATCCATTAAACCTTGAGTCGACACAGAACATGTTTCTGCAAGCACAGGGTTGGGGGTAGGGTTACAGATTAACAGCATCTCAAGGCAGAATAATTTTTCTTAGTACAGAACAAAATGGAGTCTCTTATGTCTACTTCTTTCTACATAGACACAGTAACACTCTGATCTCTCTTTCTTTTCCCCACAGGAAACCCTCTTAATTCAAGGGGCATTGGATAGAATACTAAAAACATTACTACTTTACTAAAAGGGCAAAATTGGCTACTAAATGCTGCTCTGGTCCCATTTAACAAATCTTAAGAACAAAAAACAGAAGCAAACTGTTTCTAAGTAATTTAACAGCATCCTAGGACAAAATTCAAGAATATGCATAGAAATACAAAAATATTCAACTCCCAAAAAGGTAAAATTCACATTTTCTAGCATATAATTAAAACTTACCATAGTTACAAAGAAGCAGGAATATATAGCCCATAATAAGGATAAAAATCAATCAATAAAAACAGACTTAGAAATAACACAGATTTAGTAGACAAGAACATCAAATCAGTTAGTATAAATACATGCCATATATTCAAGAAGCTTTGAGCATGCAAAGACATGGAAGATAATGGAAAAGAACTCAAATCAAACTTCTAGAGCTTAAAAATGCAATGTCTGCATATCATCTCAACGTAAGTCCTTAACACATACTGTTGCCTTTGCCTGGAACACTCTTCCTCTCCCACTTCATTTGCTGAAAGTAAACCTTCAGATTTCATCCTATCATCACTCTCTCAAGGAAAGTTTGCTTGGTCTGCAAGTAATATATCACATCCCTTGGCTAAATGATGTTATGGCTCCAAATACCATTCATTTACTGTCCTTATCACAAATACAATTTTACATTATTTGTGTAATCTCTGTCTCCATCACTATTCCAAGCACCATGGTGACACAACTCACGTACAGTTTTCTTCACTATTGTCTAGTGCCTTGCGTAGTGCTTGTAAATCCAAAATTGCAGACAGTTTAAAATTTGTCAGCTCAACTCTATGAGTCTTGATATTTCAAACTAGGAACATCTGTACATATAAAAACATAAATGTAGTCAGCCTTTTGGATGCAGAGAACTAACAGGTTTCCCCTCTCAATAGCTCCTTTAGTGAAGAAAACACAAAGTTTTTGCATTTCTTTAGCTGCAGTACCCAAGGGATATATAGAATTATACCTTTGGTTCTGAAGCAGATAGCCCTAATCTTTAATCCTATTTAATCCTATATTTAAATTTTAATTTAAATTTAATCTTTTTAAATTGTGGGAAAGGATTAATGGTATTAAATGTCTTTTATGTTCCTATATTAATGATTTGCACTTGGAGTTTTCTGAAATATTAGAAACGTTTGCTACAATTAACTAAGCTGGAGATAAATGCAAGTGTTACAGAATGCCAAAAGAGAAAATTCTATTTAATAGTTAAAAGGAAATTACTTCCAGCTGGTATGGCTGGAACAAAACTATTAAAAAAAATTTTTTTTAAATATATCAGTGGGATACTTTCAAGTAGTAGATCCTCTCTTCCTCCTTTGATTTTAATTGGGACCTCAGATGCTGGTGGGGACTCTACCATGCACTATTTACAGCAGTGAAAATGACTGATTATATTCCTAATTATTGAGTGTCATAGAAGCTGCAATCTTGGAAACATCACAGTACAGAGAGGAAGGTGAGCTGTCCTGCAGCAATATGAGGTAGGGCCAGTTTCTTCCTCTTATACTGTTTCTTTGAGCAATTTCTTTCTTGGAAGATAATTTTAGTAGGCCCAGTAATTGTCAAACATTAATATTTGAAGGGAATATTTAAATGTTTTATTATCACGAGTTGCATATTCAAATGGAACAAGCTGAATTGATATTAAGGTGCATTTTCTTTTGAGATAATGCAACAGCTGCCAGTGTTGAATCTTTAAAATGTAGCAGGATTCAAATGCTTAAACATTTCAATGTTAAACACGTGAATTGGAAGTTTAAAAGTGTGTTTAAATTAAGCTAATTAATGTTCTGTGTAGCCCTAGTGTGCTCTAAGTGAAAAAGGCATCGGTTAGCACCCTAAAATTCTATTCAAGTGGCCACCTCATCCTCTTACGATGGGGCCAGTTGCTCTAATTTGTCTGTCTTTTAAAAAATTATAGACCTCCCAGCTAGAAAGATGTGTCAGCCTCCTCCTCTTCCCCAGCTAGAAAGATGACCCAAGACTGAGAGTCCATGACCATCAGAATATACCTTTTAGATCTTTTTCACACCAGGAAGATAAAATTGTGGATATTTGAACAATTAAAGTGTGTTGTGGTTTATGCTGTGTAAAACCTTTGTATTAGCTGAGTAGGCTGCTATGTTAAAATGGCAAACATTACACATCCGCTATGTTAAAATGGCAAACATTACACATCATTTCCACCCACAACCATTGACCAAAACGAATCACAAGGTCCTGCATGATTGCAAGGAGGTTGAGAAATATGGACAGCAATGGAATGTTCAGTGAACACCACTATCTTTAGCACAAACATTAACTCTGTCTTTAAGGATGTGAGACTTGGAAAGAGGAATGCCAACATTTAAGTGTGCCTGGGTGTGTGTTTGTGTGTAACTGTTCATTTGCTCCTATTGAATCACTCTCATGGTGCCACAGAAACCAGGGGCAAGGTCTCATAAGAAAAGAATAGTGTCTTGATGGTAGTTATTGAAAGGAATCTTGAAATATTTGGACAAATACTATTTTCTTTTAAATTCATGATTTTGAAAGAAAAAATCTAAAATACGCTCAAAATAAAGAATCACACTTTACCTTATCTTACTTTTTGAACTTTCCCTTCTATAAATACATGTATTTTGTATTTTTACAAAAAATAGATGCAAAAATTCTCTCTCAATCATGCAAGCACGCATGCATAATATTCAAAATTCCTCCTTGGATAATTGGAAGTACTTATTCCATAAGAATTTTAGTAAATGGAAAAAGATATGTCTAAAATTTTGACTTATTTCTGATACCAGGTTTCTGTAGGGGAGGAGAAACAGCTTGTATATTTTCCTACCAGAATCTAAAACACAAATTTGAAAGTTTCAAAAACTCCAAATAAAATCACTTCATGATTCTCTTGCTGTTTGTACTCCAGTTAACCCTATGGCGTTTTCTCTAATCAACTATTAGTCAGACTCACATTTCTTCCCAATTCCCTGCGTGCATTAACAGTTCAATGTTAAAAATAAGATACTCTTCATTTTCAAGTATAATACAATAGCCTCAAACTGCTCAGGGAGTTTTAAGAAGATTCCATGTGCAACTGCCCCTAAAAGTTTCCCACAACACATGAAGAGAGAGCTTGTGTGTGTGTGCATGTGTGTATACACGTGTCGGGGGTAGGGAGAGGGTGATAGGTGTGGAGTACATTTGGTTAGGACTAAGTGTTTTCATAGGGTGTGTGTATGTATTCTAGAGATGAAACAGAAATGGAATTACCTCTCCCCAGCCTCCCCTGCTCCTTAAAGACAAAGTGCACAGAAAAGAATGAATAGATTCTCTGTTACCAGACCCCATATCTAGAGATTGGAGACAAGCTTCACAAAGGATTTCCTTTAACCAATAGGAGAAGGGGTGAAGAGAGACTTGGAAAGAATTTATCCAGTCAAGATAGAAATAGTCTATCAAAAACAGACCATTAGCCCAGACAGTAATTATCTTGGAAAAAGAAAAACAAACCATTAGGATTTCTTCAGGCAACTTGGACCTGACATTGACACTGAAAGATGACTTCTTGATTTTAGGACTGACCTATGGGAGGAACAACTTGGACTCCTGTGTTCACCTGTGCCCTCTTCACTCTTTACAAATTTACTTGGATGACGACTTCCACTTCATATAGGTAGGTTTTTCCATGTGAGATACATGTGAAAATTTCTATGTAGGTAGCTTGGAAACGGTACTTTGTTAATTAAAAATTTTTACGTTATTCATTAAGAAGTCCTATCTAAGAAAGAACCCTCAACCTAAATGATAGGTTTCCAAGAACAGTAAATTAAGTTAAATTTTCCTGAACTGGCACTGCTATGGATTCAATTGTGTCCCCTTAAAATTCATGTTAAAGTCCTAACTCCCAGTACCTCAGAATGTGACCTTATTTGGAAATAGTGTGATTGCAGATTTAATTACTTAAGATGAAATCACAGTGGAGGAGAGTAGGCCCCTCTTTCAATATGCCCAGTGTTATTACAAAAAGTGGAAATGTGGACACAGACACACATGCAGGGAGAATGCCATATGAAGATGAAGGCAGACATGGGGTGATGCTTCTACAAGCCAAAGATTGTGGGCAAACCACCAGAAGCTAGGAGAAAGGCATGGAAGATTCTCCAAAATCTTCAGAAGGAACCAACCTTGCCGACACCTTCGTCTCAGACATCCAGACTCTGGACCTCCGACACAAAAATTTACCATTGTTTAACCCATCCAATCTGTAGTATCTTGTTAAGGCAGCCCTAGCAAGCGAATACAGGCACTAAGAGCAAATATACTTTACCCCATGAACACTCATATGCTAAGTGCTTATCTCCATAAGAATCCAGGACATCAACAACATTTTTAAAAACAGGCTGGGCGCGGTGACTCATGCCTGTAATCCCAGCACTTTGGGAGGCCAAGGGGGGCGGAACACCTGAGGTCAGGAGTTCAGGACCAGCATGGCCAACGTGGTGAAACCCCATCTCCACTAAAAATGGAAAAATTAGCCAGGCATTGTGGCAGGCACTTGTAATCCCAGCTACTCGGGAAGCTGAGACAGGAGAATTACTTGAATCTGGGAGGCAGAGGTGGCAGTGAGCCTAGATCGCACCACTGCACTCCAGCCTGGGCGACAAGAGCAAGACTTTATCTCAAAAAAAAAAAAAAGGCAACATTTTAATATTGCCATGATCCTGTGTTTTCCACAATGTGATCTATTTTCATCACAGAGTGCAGCCACAACAGCTAATAGTCAAAAGGAAATACATAACCCACTAGGTTTCTTTGGTCTCATAATACATCTTACTATATAGGTTTTCTTATATTAGTATCATATCCTAGAGACCTAACAAGGACATCGTGGGAAAAAAAAAAAGACAATTTTCTGAGATGTCATTTTCAAAAAGAAAAATATGTAATGAAAGGAAAACTGAAAGACTCTTAGGAGAAAAGAGACTGTGCTCATGTTTACTTCACTAGGCCCTTGCACCTTTCCATATATTTTTCTCCACCACTGACCTAAGTTTCAGTAGGGAACAGATCCCTTCTCATATTCATTTGCCCACCTTTACTCTGCTTTCTTTCATAACTTTATCAACTTTCTACCTACTTCGTTCTTCCCATCTTCTCTTCATCTTCCCCCCATGACTCTCTTAGACACAATGCTGGAGACCCAGCTGCCATAACTTCATTGGAGGTTAAAGTGTGTGCAGAGTGGCTGTTGGGTTAGTTTTGCTGATCCCATTTAGCTACTGGTTAGAGGAAGTGATGAAAAAGATTTAAACTTGGTTTCTGGAAGTAAATTCCAACAGAAAACCCTTGCTGGACTTGGGGGTGTAGGGAGCAGCATGAGTCCAA
This sequence comes from Homo sapiens, assembly GCF_000001405.40. NCBI lineage: Eukaryota > Metazoa > Chordata > Mammalia > Primates > Hominidae > Homo > Homo sapiens. The sequence goes on along the minus strand of NC_000004.12, from coordinate 174,374,631 downwards.
ACCCAGGCTTGGAGCAAGCCACGGAAGATTGCAATTGGACCTAAAAGGATAATGGTAAGAAGTAGAAGGGTGAGGAATGCAGAGTATTAAAGATGAGAATACCAGTAATAATAGCAATAACAATAATGACACTAAAATTCATGAACACTCATATGCTAAGTGCATATCTCCCTAAGAACCAGGACATCAACAAATATTTTTTAAAACAATGGCAATATTTAAAAAATACTTATCTACAACTTTCAAAAATGCTTTGAATGTGGACAACATATTATTTTATTTTGCTGATTGTTCAACAAGCATATGTGCTGAACAATGTTTTTTAAATATTGAATTTCTCTAGAGAAATCTTAAAAAAAAACCCTACTCTTTGGACAAAATGGTTTAAAATTCCAAGGATTATCCTATCATTATTATTTTGCATGAGATACTTTGATGTGCTTCTTTATGAAAATACAAACAGGATACTGAAGTCATCCCATTTTCAAAAATTTATTTCAAATTACTTAACTGGAAGATGGAGAAGTTGGTGGTATGGTTTCTGGAAGTTACCATCTATCAACCTCTGCCTCTTCCAGGCACTCCTAGTTATGTCAGAATTCTCCCACCACAGTGACTTTGTGGTTGACTGCTGTGGTCACAAGGATCTGGACTAACAAGGGACGTCTGGAAGAGGGGGTGTTTGACCAAGCTGAGAATTGCAGGAGAATTACTGAGAAAGAATGAGTTAAATCCTCATTAATTCAGACAATATTTATCAGTCACCAACTTTCTGGAAGATTCCCTGTTATGCTGCCAGCCACTCAATAACTGACACCCGTGTTGGAGAATTACAGCCTAGAAGGGAAGGGCTATGGCCCTATGGCACCCTCCCAATAACCCCTTGAAAATAGTTCTAAAAACAAAATGTTGATTTTTCTACTGAGGGGCCAGCATTTTGTATTTCAATTTTTCAATTTCTCTCTTTTTTTTTTTTTTGACAGGATCTCACTCTGTTGCCCAGGCTGGAGAGCAGTGGTGCAATCTCAGTTCACTGCAGCCTCAACCTCTGGCACTCGAGTAATCCTCTCACCTTAGCCTCCTAAGTAGCTGGCACTACAGGTTTGATCACACCTGGCTAACTTTTGTATTATTTGGTAGAGATGTGGTGAGGGGGGGTAGGTTCACCATGTTGTCCAGGCTAGTCTCAAACTTCTGGTCTGAAGCTATCTGCCCACCTCGGCCTCCCAAAGTGCCGGGATTATAGGTGTGAGCCACTGTGCCTCGCTATTTCAATTTCTCACAATTAAAGAAAGTTAATTAGAAACTATCTAGAAAATAATTAAGCTAATTTTCTGGACATATTATCTCTCTTTAATTTTTTCTTGGCAAACACATAGCTCTTATTATGTGCCAAGCACTGTTATAGTAACTTTTAAAAAATTACCTGATTATTTATTATAACAACCCTATGATGTATGTATTATTGTTATTTACCCCATTTTTACATGAGAAAATTGAGACCCAGAGCTAGTAAGTAACCCACCCAGGTTTACATAGCTAGCAAGCGGGTAATCTTTTAGTAAAGTGATAAAAAGACAAAATAAATTATATCAAAATAAAAACAAAAATAAACCATATTCCATATCCAGGGACTAAATTAAATTAGAAGAGGATTCCTTAAAAATTGATAATGCCAGCTACAGTGAGACCAGAAGAATAAGTCCTGGTGTTCTATCACACAATAGAGTGACCATAGCAAATAACAAGGTAGTACATACTTCAAGATAGCTAGAAGAGAAGATTCTAAATATTATCACCACAAGGAACTGATCAATGTCTTAAGTGATAGATAAGGTCATTACCCTGATTTGGTCATTATATATTAAAACATCACATTGTACCCCATGAACATGTGCAATTATTATGTGTCAGTTATACAATTTAAAAATTAATTAATAAAATAAAATAAATGGAATGATACATTTAAAAATCTTGAAGTTCATACTTTAAATGAGTGAATTGTGTGGTATGGAAGTAATATCACAATAAAGCTGCTGTAAAAAAATGAAAAAAAATTTTAATTCCATACTAATTCAGACAAAACATAGCTAAGAATATGTGTAGCTGAAAAAAAAATGTGGTGAGATAAAATAGTCCCAAAGAAAACTGGGCTATCCTATCACCACCTTCAGACTGGGTAAAGATCAATTAATTAATCTAGGTGAATATTTATTGGATGTATTTAAGTGTTTGGCCTATGCAGCCTCTTTTGGGTAAAACATTTCTTCACAAGCTCAAGTGATAAATACTATTGAGCTTTAGTTTCCGCCCTTAGAAAAATAGTAATAATGACAGTACCTATCTCATAAGCTTATGAAAGAACTTCTCCCATGTGGTGGTATGGTGTCCAGATAGGATTCCTGTATACTGGAAAGCAAATGCTCACCAATCAATACACCCCTCAAAATTTTTTTTTTTGAGGGGTGTATTGGGACCATAAAATGGTCCTTATGCTTTGCTGTGAATAAAACATAGCTGTAAAGAGAGAGAAGACTTCAATATCCACACAATTTAAAAGTAAATGCAAGCATGTAAATCAGTCAATACACCCAGGAAGAGCCAAAGACAGCTTCCTTAACTTCCTCAGCCCACCAAAAAAGGTTACTTTTCTTAGGTTAGCAAATTGGCTTCCTTATTTCTCTGATATCAGAGGTTTTAAAAATGCCAAAACTCTATGTATCAATGCAATATGAGACAAAGTGCTGTTCAGTTTGGAGGACTTTATGGAACTCATTTATGTACTGACCTCTTGGTAAATAACTTCTCAGATGAGAGATCGGGCTACAAAATACAGAAACAATCAACCCAGGAATCACATCTGTGAGGAAAGCTCAAGCTTTAAACTTTATTATATCTTGAAATAGAAAATCAAAACCATTCACAAATCTTCTGATTATGATGCATGAATAATATATTGTAAATTATAATTACATGATTATAACATATTATTGACTATCAATTGAATAATAATCTACTAGTACCTAATGAATAATTATCGATATTACCATATAGTTGTAATATATTATATGATGATAATAGTAATCTGTATGATTACAAAGCATGGTAATAAATAAGCTTTAACTAACAAGCTTCACTTTAAGAATTCTTAATTCCATTCACCTAGTATAGTTTAGGAGGAGAGGCTATAAACTGAATCCTCCAGTGGAACAATTAGAGGCTCCCTTGAGCTCACACCAAAGTGAATTTAATCTAGACCAAGATGCCTCAAGAATTATTTTATGAGCTGATTCAACTGACAACCTGTGGATTCACAGGATTCCCCAAGCCCATGGAAATACATTTTTAACGTCATGAGGCTGAGACTGCTCATCAGACCTTACCACTGGCTACATGGAAAGACCAATTCATGAATTTCAGGTGGGATGTCTACCTTCTTTCTTGCGAATCCCCCTGCTACCTATTCCTGGTTCAACCTTCGGCCCTCAGAGAGATTCCCCTTTTGATCATGGTGCTTGTCCTCCAGTGATTTCAAATTCTAGGAGAGCAAAGACTTTCTTGTTCACTAACAAACCTAAGTTTTCATCATACTGCCTGACACAAAGCATACATATAATGAATATACATATAAATTCACATACAAACACATATATAGATATATGTATGTGCCTGTATGTATGTGTACGTGTATTGAGACATAGAGGGATAATACGATGGATAGAAAGGGAGGAAGTAAGCTGACTTACCTATTATAGAGGCCAATAAGAATGAGAAAATACCCTATGTTTAAGTGCTTCTCAAAATCTCATGTACATAAAAAAATCTTTGGAGGATCTTGTTACATTGCAGGTCTCTGTTCAATAGGCGTAGGTCAGAAACTGTGATTGATATTCTGTGATCTAACCAGCTCCTAGATGAGGCCAGTGCTGCTGTTCCTCTGATCACACTCCGAATGGCAAAGCCCCAGATAACTTGGACCCAGGTGCTGGCCAATAATGAGTAATTTAGCAACATATGCCTCAAAAACCATGCACTACATAAGAGACAATAAGTTACTTCGTGACAAGTACTATGGTAAGTACTTTAGATAAATTTTCCCATTTGATCCCTTCTGCAACCTAGTAAATATTAGTATACAAATTTAATAATGTAGCAATAAAGAAATTGAGACATAAATAAGCTACATGGCTTTTGCATTTTATATCTAGCAGATACGCCTAACTCTAAGACTATATTGCTTCCCAAACAGAGACTGGATCCTGAAATGCCAAGGTTTCCACACCCTAGAAAACAGCAAATAAGGAATGGCTTTGGGGATGATTATTAGTGGGTTCATATCTCTGGGTTAGAATGAGATTTTCAGTTGAGTTCACGCCCTAATTTAAAGAGCAGTATTCACAGTGGAAACAGCTAAGCCTTGAGGCAAACATATCAGGGCTTAAAATCTTGTTCCACTTGCTCCAAGCTGTGTGACCTAAGTCATCTCACCTTGCTGAACCCAGTTTCCTCATGTGTAAAAACAAATTTGCATCATAGGGTTGCAAAGGTTTGCTGACAAAATCATTTTATAGTGCCTAGCACATTGGTAACCATGAACTCGTAATTAAAATGATTTAGTATTTTTTTTTCTGCTACCTTACTTTAATTCCACTCAGTTGTGAAGTCGGTAGCACAGATAAATTATCTGCTCACAAAAGTAAATGCCACTGATTTTGGTGTGGCACAACACTTCTGGAAAGTATTGGAGACAGTCTCCTACAGTATATTCTCTGCTTTAATGTTGTCATTAATAAAAACGGATTGTCTACCTCTTGCCACTTTGCTGAGGGGGCCAAGATGAGATGAATATGTGAAGCTGAATATCTGAGACAGGTCTCAGTTAATTTAGAAAGCTTATTTTGCCAAGATTGAGGGTGTGTGACCATGACACAGCCTCAGCAGGTTCTGATGACATGTGCCCAAGGTGGTTGGGGCACATCTTGATTTTACACATTTTAGGGAGATGTGAGACATCAAGCAATATATGTAAGACATACACTGGTTCCGTCTGGAAAGGCGGGACAACTCTAGCAGAAAGGGGGCTTCCAAGTCACAGGTAGGTAAGAGACAAACTGTTGCATTCTTTTGAGTTTCTGATTAGCCTTTACAAAGGAGGCAATCACATATGTATTTTATCTCAGTGAGGAGAGAAACAGAATTATCCTAAGCAGTTCCCAGCTTGACTTTTCCCTTTAGCTTAGTGACTTTTGGCGCCCCAAGATTTCTTTTCCTCTCACATTTTCCCCCTCCTTTCCTTTTAAAAATGTTTTAGGGAAAGCATTTTAAAAGAAAATGAGTCTCTGGTGTCAGGTTTTGTCTGATCTCTCATGGCTAGAATGGTTTATTCCTAGATAGGTAGGCCCCAAGCTGTTAGGAAACCCCATTTTTAGAAGGTTGAGAAGTTGCATGTCCTATGAAGAGAAAATAGGGAGAGGAAAAGAGAAAAATAACAACAAACAAAGAATCCTGGAGAATCCATATAGTCCACACTCCTTGGAAGTCCATACATTAGTAGGGAGGTAGGAAAGTGGCTTATGTAGGTAAATAGATTGCTGTTATTTTCTTCTGAAGATTAAGTTGTCTAGATTCAGTTCGTGGGGCTTTAAGAAAGCATAACTACATTCTTGGTGACTACTAATCAGCAAAAATGCAGGGGAAAAGAAAAAGAAGAAAAATTGAAAACATTGCTTTGGAGACTTGAAGTCAGGAAAAATTAGAATTCAGTCCAAATTGTAGAAAATAGTAAAAATTGAAAAACATTAGGCAAGACTAGAATCTAACAACAGGTGTACTATAGTTTTTGAAACCTAATTTTTCTCTCTGCAGTTTCCCAGGTTTACTAAAGACAAATCATGGTAGAAACCATTTGCTTCATTATGCCTGGCCAGATTATTTGTATAAAGTACAGCAAGAATAATTATTTTTCATATAGGCATTTAAATTAACTTTGATGGGAGGGGCACAGTGGCTCACGCTTGTAATCCCAGCACTTTGGGAGGCTGAGGTGGGCAGATCATCTGAGATCAGGAGTTTAAGACCAGCCTGGCCAATATGGTGAAACCCTGTCTCTACTAAAAATACAAAAATTAGCTGGGCGTGGTGGTGGGCACCTGTAGTTCCAGCTACTTGGGAGGCTGAGGCAGGAGAATTGCTTGAATCCAGGAGGCGGAGGTTGCAGTGAGCCAAGATTGCTTCATTGCATTCCAGCCTGGGTGACAAGGGTGAAACTCCATCTCAAAAAATAAATAAATAAATAAGTAAGTAAATAAATAAATGGCTTTGATGGAAGTTTGTTCTATAGAAGGAATCTCAGATAAGATTTTTTTAAAGCTAAGTCCAGCTATGGATGTGTACCATCAAATATCTATGAATTGGGTGAATCCTTCTCCTCTTGAGGTCCCAAGATAACTCAGGGCTGCTGGGTCTGTCAGAAAGTGACATTCTTTACTTACCACAGGTCAAGAATTCTGTACAGGGATGGCGTAGACAAAATATGAGGCCAGTTTTCCCAAGGGGCTTTTATTGGCTGTATAAGTGAAGTTTTTTCCTTAAAGGAAAGCACTCCATTCCAGTCAAGGCCTTGGTAAAATAACCAGTTTCTCTAATTGTATCCTGTTACAAATGAAAACAGATTCTTCTTGCACTCATGCAAATAACTATATTGACATATATTAAGAATACTCATGAATAGTTTCCAAATTCTGGAGAAATCAGGTGGAGACAAACAAATATGCTCCAAATTTTGTTCATAGGAGTATACTTAATTGTTAAAAGCTGCCAATAGCTCAAAAGAAATGTTTCTTTGAGAAATAAAACAAAGAACCAGTAACATTTTAAGAAAAAAGTAAAAACGATTACTTTAGTCAGTCCATGCAGTTAATTCCTGTTCTGCTTGATATTTATGAACATTTTGGCTCTCCATGAGTCCTGAAAGTTTTTTCTCTATTCTGATATCAGTCTCCAAAGTTATCAGAAACCTGCATTCAAGAGTACCTGTCAGGTTTTATAGCTGATTATACAGCCATCTTCTAAAGAGGACAAAAACAAGACAACAATTGTCCATAGATGACAAAAAGTTTAGGGCAGCCTTAGTCAAAACACACAATTGACAAGGAAATTTGTTACCTTTGTGGCACAGAATAATTTAACATAGCAATTATTATTACTGATAATGTACACTAAGTAATATCAGAATTATAGGAGTTTCCCAAAATTTTGTAACATATACCAATAACATATTTATACCAATACAGCCCAAAGAAAACCAAACACCATTTCATATTTAACAATGCTTCCTATATAATATTTATAGCAAATAAGCCAAATTATGTCATTTTTGGACTTTAGGGAACTTAATATCTTAAAGTATTAATTAGGTCAGAAAAAGACAATTTATAATTTGCTTTTGGATAGTTTGTTATAATTTGTAATTTGCTTTTGGATAGTTTGGAACTTTCCTTCAGATTTGATCAAGTCAGATAGAGTTAATCAAACCCAACGGGGAAAAGACCCAACAACAACAAAAAAACTGTTAAGCAAAACAAATGACGGCACAACTTACATGATTACTGAGCGCTCTAATGGTAAGGAGAAATTAAGACCAGCTGGTTGTTAATCTTCACTTTGGCCAAGAAAATTCCCAATTCAGTTACTTACCTAGGAATATGTCTCATGCTAAAGACTGCTCTCTACTATCCTAGAAACAGGATAAATTTCAAATTCATCTTACCTGTTGGAAGTGAGTTCAAACTCCATAAAGGAGTTACCTGCCTTCCATCATCATGGAAGCAGAAAAAACTTGCCTTTCTTGGGTTGGAAGCAAGTAAAACTCCAAAACAGTTGTATAGCAAACTAAACTTTAGATCTTGACCAAATTTTAGGAGATCAGGGATTCTCTGGAGGGGTTCTTCCAGGCCTCAGCAAATTGTTCTGTTGGTTTGAGCCATAAAGATAGCTCAAGCTGGTACCAAACACCAATAGGAGATTTGTCAAAGGTCAGGGGCATCTCCATGCAGAATCCCTTTGTGGTCACCCAAATGTGAACCCCAAATATCTGAGACAGGTCTCAGTTAATTTAGAAAGTTTATTTTTCCAAGGTTGAGGATTCATGCCCATAACGCAGCCTCAGGACGTCCTGATGACATATACCCAAGGTGATCAGGGCATAGCTTTTGTTTTTTTCTTTCTTTTTTTTTTCTTTTTTTTTGAGACAGAGTTTTGCTCTTGTCACCCAGGAACAGTGCTAAGCATTTTCACGGCATCATCACACTCAAATCACACAATGATATGATGAATTATTATCCCAACCTCACTGTAGTTGTCTCATTACAGACATTCTGCTCCATCCTCACTGTCCTGCAGCCATAAGGTTGAGAAGACAGACTAAATACTGGACCTTTTGGTTGTAAATTGTTTTGATGCCTGATTCACATGGAAATCTGGTTTGACAATACTATTATGAATATTCAGCAGAAGTTTTGAATGTGACTCTTCTACCTGGGTAGTGCCAGACCTAATATCCATTGTTTTATTTTATATGACATTAGGATGACACAAAAGAACAGTAACATATGCAAATAAATGCCTCATCCTTGATGATAATATATATTTAGAATGAGATGCATTAATGAGGTTAAGCTGTGAAGAAAAGCATAGGATCTCATCAAACTTGCTATTAAAGTCAATGTCTCAATTTGCTCCTGGCAAGTAAACTTTATGAAAAATGCAACAGGTTGTATAGAGGTTTTCTCTCAGTTTTGTCAAGATAAAAAGACATTAATATTTTGAAATGTGATATCACATTTCAAAATGTATCTACTCATCACATTTCAAAATGTGATATATTCTGTCTCCTATAGAGGAGAATCTATCATTCTCCTCATATTCTGACATTTTAATATACATTTAAAAGAGGAAAACTATTTTCCAAATAAGAAATGAAGACTAGTTGAATTTTGTGTAATTAATTATTAGTGAGAGGAAACAGAAAAATAAAGGGGTTGTTTAGAATTTCTGAAAGCCAGTAAAATTTTGAACCAGAAAATCCCACATGCCATTACAACACGCAATGCCAAACTCCTTTTTTTTCTAGAATTGTCCATCTCGTCTCAGACTGTTAGCCCAAGGTTTATTTTTATAAGGTTTTACTCTGCATATGATCCCTTAGAGTGTGTGTTATTTATTGCTTTAACTTATACAAATATTATTTCTTAATGATTGGATTTGCAGCTTAAACCTTGCCAATCAGCAATAATATCTATCACTACAGATTTTTTTATTTGCTAAGAGCAGAACCAAATTAGTTCCTTATTTTCTCAACTTTCCAAAAAAAAAAAAAAAAAAAAAAAACAAAACACCAGGCAAATGAACAAAAACCCAAGCCTTTACTGCCACCCAGTGGTTGTTCAGAATTAAAAAAAAAATTTTGCCAGGTCATGACTAACATTTTAAAGGAAATTTTTATTCTTGAAATGCTAGAATGTTTCAGACATTTTAATATGAAGCAACTTGAGACAAAAACTTTTAAAAAATAGCCACACATATCTACTATGAGTACATTATCAATGATGTTATTTTAAACATTGCAACAAAATGATGAATACAATAACAACTCATTCTCATCTTACTTTGACAGGTAATTTAACTTTTTGTTTGAAATAATTATAGATTAATATGAAGTTACAAAAATGGTACATATATTTCTATTTAAAAACTGCCAAGTTACTTCCCGAGTGGTTCTGTCATTTTTGATTCACACAAAGTAAAAGATATTCAGTTTCTCGGCATTCTCATCAGCATTTGGTGTTATCACTAATTTTTTTTTTTTTTTTTTGAGACGGAGTTTTGCTCTGTTGCCCAGGCTGGATTGCCGTTGCATGTGATCTCGGCTCACTGCAACCTCTGTCTCCCGGATTCAAGCAATTCTTCTGCCTCAGCCTCCCAAGTAGCTGGGACTACTGGCATGTGCCACTGCACTGAGCTAATTTTTGCATTTTTAGTAGAGACAGGGTTTCACCATGCTGGCCAGGCTGGTCTTGAACTCCTGACCTGATGATCCACCTGCCTTGGCCTCCCAAAGTGCCAGGATTGCAGGCAAGAGCCACCATGCCCGGCCCACTATTTTTAATGTTAGCCATCCTGATAGGTTTACAGTGGTATCTCACTGTAGTGTGAATGTGCATTTTCCTGATGACAAATGACTCTGAACACTTTTCCTGTGCTTATTTGCCATCCACTCCTCTTTGGAAACGTGTCTGTCTTTTGATCATTTTGTATTTTTAAAACTGTTGACTTTCAAGAATTCTTTATATATTCTATATACAATCCCTTTGTCCTATATGGTCTTTAAAAATATTGTCTCTCACTGTGTAGCTTGCCTTTTCATTCTCTTAACAGGGTTTTTCACAGAGCAAACACTTTATTTTGATGAGGTCTGATATGGTTTGGCTGTGTCTCCACCCAAATCTCATCTTGAATTCCCATGTGTTGTGTGAGGGGCCTGGTGGGAGATAATTGAATCATGAGGGTGAGTCTTTCCCATGCTGTTCTCATGAGAGTGAGTAAGTCTCATGAGATCTCTGATGGTTCTATGAGGAGGTGTTCACCTACACAAGCTTTTTCTTTGCCTGTTGCCATCCATGTAAGATGTGACTTGCTCCTCCTTGCCTTCCACCATGATTGTGAGGCCTCCCCAGCCACGTGGAACTGTAAGTCCATTAAACCTCTCTTTCTTTTGTAAATTGCCCAGTCTCAGGTATGCCTTTATTAGCAGTGTGAAAATGGACTAATACAAGGTCCAATTTATAAAAAAACTTTTTCTACATATCATGTTTTGGGTGTAATCAATAAGAACTCTTTGCCTAGCTCTAAGTCCTGAAGATATTCTCTATTTGATTTTTTTCTAAATGTTTTATATTCTTATATTTTATCATTAAGCCTATGATCTATTTTAAGTTAATTTTTCAATAAAGTATGAGGTTTTAGTCAAGGTGCATTTTTTAGAATGTCCAATTGCTCCAGCACCATTTGTTGAAAAGAAAATCCTTCCTCCCTGGAATTGTTTCTGTACCTTTGTTAAAAATCAGTTGAGTGTGTTTGTGTGTAACATGTGACTTTTATTTCATCTTCTAGTTAAACACATTGCATGATTAATCTCAACAACAGCCTTTTGATGACAGTAATGTAAAAATATTGATGAGATAATTTTATCAAAATGAAAACTAACATTAAATGTCTTTGGCTAGTAAAACACAGAAAATTATTCAAAATGGGAAATGAAATCTTAAATAATCTTCATATCATGTGCTGGGTTAAAACCTAATTTTAAATAAACGGCTGTATAACAAATCAGCAGAGAGCCATACCATTGAAGAGACTTCCATGATTTAAATCCTGGCAAGGTATTTTAGCAGCTAGCTACAGGACCTCTGAGGCCTGGCTACTAAACCCCTCAATGTCGGCATTTTTCATCTCCAAAATACAAGTAATAATCTACCTCCCTCTTTATGTTGCTGTGAAGATAAGTTAATTAACAGAACAATGCTTAACATATTAAGAACCCAATTTATGTCATCTATCATCAATAAAATCTGATATAAAAAGTCTGATAATGCCAGTGACAGCTCGAATCACACCTATCTTTTAAGATGAAATATATTTATCCTAAGCCTTGGGCAAGTTTCCTAGTCTAAGTGCATTTCCTCATCTGTAAAATAGGATTGTTATGAGGAACAAGTGAGCTAAAGTATTAGGTGGATTTATCACAGTGCTCAGTTACACAGGAAATACTCCTCTAGTAAGTACTACTCTTCTAAAATTTAAAATATTACTTACAATATTGTACCATTATTAATATCATATATTTGTGGAGCTCAAAGATGTATACAGACAGTCCCAGACAGGATGGTTCAACTTATGATTTTTTGACTTTACAGTGGTGCAAAAGCGATACACATTCAGTAGAAACCAGAGTTGAAATTTTGACTTTTGATCTTTTCCCAGGCTAGTGATATGCAGTATGACACTCTCTAGATGCTGAGCAATGGCAGTGAGCCATAGCCCTGAGTCAGCCAGGTGATAATGAGGGTAAACCAGTACTATACTACACAGTGTAATATAGTCAATAAATTACGTGAGATATTCAACACTTTATTGTAAAACAGGCTTTGTGTTAGATGATTTTGCCCAACTGTAGGCTAATGTAAATGTTCTGAGCATGTTTAAGGTAGGCTAGGCTAAGCTATGATGTCTAGTAGGTTAGCTACATTAAATGTATTCTGACTTATAGTATTTCCAACTTATGATGGGTTTATTGTGACAGTCTCATTGTAAATTGAGGAGCATCTGCAAAACATGCTATGTTAGATGCTAGGATTAAAAAGCAATAAAGGCAGTCCTTATGCTAGATTGCATTTTATAGTCTACAAGCAAAATCAGAACATGCAAAATAGAGATGGGAGAGAAACTATTGCTACCAGAGGCATATGAGACTAAACAGTTTCAGTCTCCATAATGACCAACCATAGTTTGAATGCTGGAGAATTTCAACACCAACAACTCGGTTGACCTAACTCTTAAAGACAGAGCAAAAATATTTAGCAAACCCATGAAAATTAAGTTTATTTGATATTTTAAGAGAAAGAAACACAGATTAGGCAAATATTCTATGGAAGAATAGCAGAGTTTTACCAACTTAATTAGCATATATAAGAAACTATTACCAGCAAAGAAAATTCTGTATGGAAGCTTAAAGCACGGTGGTTACTTATCAATTATGAATATAAGTCTAATTCGTATTTTTTTCAACTTTTATTTTAGATTCAGGGGTATATATACAAGTTTGTTACCTAGTTATATTCTAAGATGCTTAGGTTTGGGGTATGAATGATCCCGTCACCCAAATACTGAGTATAGTACCCAATAATTTTTCAATGCTTATGTATCTCCCTCTCTGCTCCCTCCAGTAGTCTCCAGTTTCTATTGTTCCCATCTTTACATCCACGAGTACCCAACGTTTAGCTCCCACTTACGAGTGAGGCCGTGGTATTTGGTTCTCTGTTCCTGCTTAATTTGCTTAAGATAATGGCCTCCAGTTGCATCTATGTTGCTGCAAAGGACATGATTTCATTATTTTTCATAGCTGTGTAGTATTGCATGGTGTACATGTACTGCATTTTCTTTATTCAGTCCAATGTTGATGGACACCTAGGTTGATTCCATATCTTTCTTATTGTGAATAGTGCTGCAATGAACAGGTGAGCGCATGATGTGCCTTTTTGGTAGAATAATTTGTTTTCTTTTGGATATATATCCAGTAAGGGGATTTCTGGGTCAAATGGTAACTCTGTTTTAAGTTATTTGAAACATCTCCAGACTGCTTTCCACAGTAGCTAAACTAGTTTATTTTCCCACCAACAGAGTATGTGTTCCTTTTTTCCACACGCTCACCAGCATCTGTTGTTTTTTTGAATTTTTAATAATAGTTATTCTGACTGGTGTGAGATGGTATCTTATTGCGGTTTTGATTTGCATTTCCTGATGATTAATGATATGGAGCATTTTTTCATATATCAGTTGGCCTCTTGTATCTTCTTTTGAGAAGTGTCTGTCCATGACTTTCGCCCATTTTTTGATGGGGTTGTTTTTTGCTTGTTCAGTTGTTTAAGTTTCCTCTGGATGCTGGATATTGGACTTTTGTTGGATGCATCATTTGTGAATATTTTCTCCCATTCTGTAAGTAGTCTGCTTACTCTGTTGATAGTTTCTTTTGATGTGCAGAAGCTTTTTAGTTTAATTAGGTCCCACATGCCAATTTGTTTTTGTTGCCATTGATTTTGAGGACTTAGTCATAAATTCTTTCCCAAGGTAAATGTCTAGAACGCCCTATGTTTTCTTCTTGGATTATCATAGTTTGAGGTCTTACATTTAAATCTTTTATCTGTCATGAGTTAATTTTTTTTTTTTTTTTTTTTTTTTTTTTGAGACAGAGGCTCACTCTGTTGCCCAGGCTGGAGTGCAGTGGCACCATCTCGGCTCACTGCAACCTCCGCCTCCCAGGTTCAAGTGATTCTCCTGCCTCAGCCTCCCGAGTAGATGGGATTACAGGCACCTGTCACCATGCCCAGCTAATTTCTGTATTTTCAGTAGAGTCAGGGTTTCACCTTGTTGGCCAGGTTGGTCTCAAACTCTTGACCTCAGGTGATCCACCCTCCTCAGCCTCCCAAAGTGTTGGGATTACAAGCATGAGCCACTGCACCCAGCCAAGTTAATTTTTATATATAGTGAAAGCTAGGGGTCCGGTTTCATTCTTCTGCCTATGGCTAGCCAGCTTTCCTAGCACCACTTATTGGGTGGGGAGTCATTTCCCCATTGCTGATTTTTGTCCAATTTGTTGAAGATCAGATGGCTGCAGCTGTGTGACTTTATTGCTGGCTTCCCTATTCTGTTCCATTGGTGTATGTGTCTGTTTTTTTACCAGAACCATGCTGTTTTGGTTACTGCAGCTCTGTAGTATAGCTTGAAGTTGGGTAATGTGATACCTCCAGTTTTATTCTTCTTGCTTAGGATTGCCTTGGCTATTTGGGCTCCATTTTGGTTCCATAAGAATTTAAGGATTGTTTTTTTCTAATTCTGTGAAAAATGATATTGGTGGGAATTGCACAGAATCTATAGATTGATGACCATAATTTGGGCAGTATGGTCACTTCAACAACATTGACTCTTGTATCCATGAGCATGGAATGGAATGTTTTTCCATTTGTTTGTGTCATCCGTAATTTCTTTTAGCAAAGTTTCGTGGTTCTCCTTGTAGAGATGTTCCACCTCCTTGGTTAGACACATTCCTACATAATTTTTGTATATGGCTGGCTATTGTAAATGGAATTGCGTTCTTGATTTGGCGCTCAGCTTGAATGTTATTGGTTTTTAGAAATGCTACTAATTTTTGTACAGTTATTTTGTATCCTGAAATTTTACTGAAGTCATTTATCAGTTCCAGGAGCCTCTTGGTGAAGTCTTTAGGGTTTTCTAGGTATAGAATCATATCCATGAAGTCATATAGTTTGACTTATTTTCCTATTTGGATGTCCTTTGTTTCTTTCTCTTGCTTGATTGTTCTGACTAGGACTTCCAGTACTATGCTGAATAGGAATGGTGACAGTGAACATCCTTGTCTTGTTCCAGTTTGAAGGGAATGCTTCCAGTTTTTGCCTGTTCAGTATGATGTTGGCTATGGATTTGTCATAGATTGCTCTTATTATTTTGAGGTATATTCCTTCGATGACTAGTTTGTTGAGGGTTTTCTTCATGAAGGGATGCTGGATTTTATTGAAAGCTTTTTCCATGTTCATAATATTTTTAACATATCATTATTTTGAAAGAAAAATAGAACACACCGTTTATCTACTATATTAACCTCTGTTAACAATCCTAGGGTGAGCTGAATCACTGGCTCTCATACCACTGCCACCTTCTGAAAACTCATCAATTTAAAGCATAAACAGTGACACTGTATTGATTCAGCCCACATCACTGACAGCAAATACCTCACTTGTTCAGAGAAGCAAGATGACTCAGAGAAGCCAACTGAAACCAAAAACCAAAGGAAGTAGTTGTCAGAGCAAAACCATAAGTAGCTTAGTAGGTTTAATATTCTTTAAAGCTGTTTATATATGTGCAATAAGTAAATAGATCCCCCTTTAAATCAAAGACTTCCCTTGACTACATGACATCACTTTCTCCATCCTAGTCTAACAGCTTTTTCTGAAAAATAATAACATTATACTGTGCTTCTTTTTCATGTTAATTATTTTGTTGTATAATTTGAAGACAAGCAATCTTAGAATTGTGTAACTCACATACACCTACACACATATGTATTTATTTTAAGGATCATGTCTATGTTTTTTCAAAAATGAGTCTTCATAACATAGCTGTCTTAGTCTGTTTTCTGTTGCTTATAATAGAACACCTGAAACTGGGTAACTTATAAAGAAAAGAAATTTCTTACAATTCAGGTGGCTTGGAAGTCCAAGGGCATGGCTCAGTGTCTGGTGAGAGCCTTCTTCCTGGTGAGGACTGTGCAGAGACCTGAGGCAGTGCAGACCATCACATGGTGAGGGGGCTGAGCATGCTAACGTGCTAGCTCAGGCCTCTCTTCCTCTTAGAAAGCCACCAGTTCCACTCCCATGATTGCCCATTAATCCATTAACCCATCAATTTATTAACTCATGAGTAGATTAATCCACTCAGGGGGCAGAGCACTCATGAACCACTCACTTCTTAAACGTTCCACCTCTCAATACTGCCACATAGGAAATTTGGTTTCCCACTCATGAAATTGAGGGGGGGGCACATTCAAAACATGGCAGTAACGAAGGCCTGAATGGCTTGACGATGCTGAACCATTTCCTGCATGGGAGCAGGAAAGAAAATTTACTCACAGAAGCAGTGAAAACCCTGGAATGTTGTGAAATTCTCTAGGACTAACCTGAAAAGCCCTTGTATCTGTGTTTTTTTTTGTTTTGTTTTGTTTTGTTTTGTTTGACCAGTGACAGCTTGTCTCTCCTTGTCCTTCACGCCTAAATATAGTGGACCAACCTGAGGAAGCAGTATCATAACCAATTTGGAGAGAAAAAGGAAGGAATTTGGTCTAGGATCACTATTGCCCTGTAGAAATGAAGGGGAATTATTAGTTTCTGATATTTTGAAAATAGCTAATAAAATAGGAGTGTCTGTACAAAGATTTATGGTAAATAATGTACTCTCAGACATATTACTTAACTCTCACCATAACCTAAATATGACCAAGAAAAAATATTTATTTACCAGTAAAATAAAAAACATAGTGAGGTTTTCGGTTTGGTTTGATTTTCTAGGAATTTCAGAGTAATTTTAAAAACAGAGTTGTCATTCTCTCAGGTAACACGAGATGATTTTATGTACTGGAAAGTTTCCTCTGAAAATGTCACAGAATATTTAAATGACACCGTAGTTGTATAACATTTTACTGAGATGTCATCACAGTTAAAAGTTGCCTGTGTGAGTAAGGCTTACCATACTTCAGCAGGCTTTGTGTGACTGTGAACTCCTCTCACACCTCCAATTCCAATTACAGAGACTTTCTGAAAAGGAATCAGGGACCTGGAGCATAACCCAGTATGGAGGTCACAACTGGGGAGGGGAGGAAATGGCCAAAATGAAAGGCGATGTCATTGAATGCAGGAAGAATTTTTTTTTTTGCAACCGGGTCTTGCTCTCTTGCCTAGGCTGGAGTGCAGTGGTGTGACCATAGCTCACTGCAGCTTTGAACGTCTGGGCTCAAGCAATCCTTTCACCTCAGCCTCACAAGTAGCTGGGACTACAGGCACATGTCACCATGCACAGCTAATTAAAAAAAAATTGTAGAGATAGGATCTCACTATGTTGCCCAGGATGGTCTTGAACTCCTGGCCGCAAGTTTAAATTAAATGTTAAGAATGGCATTGGGAGGCCGAGGCAGGCAAATCATGAGGTCAGGAGATCGAGACCATCCTGGCTAACATGGTGAAACCTCGTCTCTACTAAAAATATAAAAAATTAGCTGGGCATGGTGGCAGGCGCCTGTAGTCCCAGCTACTCGGGAGGCTGAGGCAGGAGAATGGTGTGAACCCGGGAGGTGGAGCTTGCAGTAAGCCGAGATCATGCCACTGCACTCCAGCCTGGGTGACAGAGCAAGATTCCGTCTCAAAAAAAAAAAAAAAAAACAAAAAAAACCGGCAATACTTCACTTTGTAGTTGAAGTCCCAAAGAGCAGAACTGTGAATTCTAAAAACAGAACTTTAAAAATAGCTGTGAAAGAATGGAACAAAAATAGTTTTATAAGGCAGCTCCACTTACAGAATATTGTGTCATTGTGATCTCCAGTAGAGTAATTTTATTTTTCTTTTCTGAAGACCATGCAGGTGAGAGTAATAATCCACAGGGATGTATTTGATTTAGAAAAAGTCAAGACTGTTAGTACAAAACAAAGATTGGGGATATTATTGGTTTACACCTAAGGATTTCAACTAAAGAATTTCATTAGATGTGCAGGAGAGAAAAAGTAGTATCTTTTTCATACCAATTGCGAAGTTGACAATTGGTGAATGACACCTATAACAAAAGACAGATTAACGAGAAAGGCATAACAAAATTTTTTAACCAAAATTTTGTGTGACACGGGAAACTTCAGAAATGACCTGAAGACTTAGGAAAAGCTGTGTATTTTTATGCCTAGGTTTGCTAAAGAATGGACAGTCACATAGAAGTCTGATTGTCCAGCCTGGCCAACATGGTCAAACCTCGTCTCTACCAAAAATACAAAAATTAGCTGGGCGTGCTGGCGGGCACCTGTAATCCCAGCTACTCGGGAGGCTGAGGCAGGAGAATTGCTTGAACCCAGGAGGCGGAGCTTGAGGTGAGCCGAGGTCATGCCGCTGCACACTCCAGCCTGGGCAACAGAGTGAGACTCCGCCTCAAAAAAAAAAAAAGAAAGCAAGAAAGAAGAAGCCTGATTGATCAAAAAGGATATGATCAATAAACTGGGGGGAACTAAGCAAGGCCTGTTTGTTCAGATTCTGCTCTGGCTGTATGTATCTTCTTTCCTTTTCTCTGGATTTAAGGTGTCCCAAAAAGTCTTCATTCTCCACATGGAGGGAGAGAGAATGATTTTTATGGCCTGGGAGAGAAGGTTGGAGAAAGTCAGAGAGTGAGCTTTCTGCTTATGCCAAGGTGCCATATTTTGGGATATCATGTTCTAAGCCCTGATATATATTAAAAACAATTGCCCGCTTATGGAGCCAACTTTGAAACAATATGAACTATTTTCTGATGTCCTTACAAATTGGTGTAATATGCCATATGGGAGTTCATCTAACCCTTGGTGATTTACATAAACCTGGAACTAACCTCATATTTCCATTTGCTACAGAAGTCTAGAGCCATTCCACAGTCGTTGGCTAATTTCTGGACAGCTTACTATCTCCTAACTTCCTCTGCTTCTTGGGCTCTTGTTTCTCGTTTATATTGGGGTCAACATGAGGTGCTACCAGATATAAAACAGCTCCTTTACTGTGTTTGCTGAAAATTGAAACAAAGCATTTATAAGCACAATAGACTTTCCTGATGACTGGAGAGACGGGGGGCAAAAGCTCATCACTTATTATATTGTCCTGTCCCCCAAGTCCATTTTTATCACTCACCACCAGAAGTTTCTCTCCTGGCTCTTTCTCTGCAGCACCTGCTTTTTGATTTTGCTGGCCTGTCTCTTCTCTGCTCCCACCTTTTATTCCACTCCCCTCCCCAGTCCTTCTCAGTAGCAAAACAACACATTCCTCCTTTTACCTCATGTGTAGTGGTTCCCCTTTCCTCTGAAGTCACCAGCTGACACACTCCCAGCATTTATGAACACAGATTCTAAACAGAAACGGTTCACAGAGAGGAATTCTGGACCGAATATTAGAATAATATGTTCTTAACAGCATTACATTATGCCTGGTTTTGAGTGAGACAAATTTAGCATGATCATGGTTGGTGAAAATCATTGGGATGAAAAAAATGAATTCTCAAAATTGTATCTCATTAGTCCTCAGCAAGCAAGTGAGGCATCTTTCTCTCTACTTTACAGATGAGAGTTCTAAGGCAATAAAATGTCAGAAAATTTCCCTAAGATGACTCCAGGAATAAGGAATGGAGCCTGTAAAAACACTCTTTGGGAGGCCGAGGCAGGTGGATCACGTGAGATCAGGAGTTTGAGACCAGCCTGGCCAACCTGGTGAAACCCCATCTCTACTGAAAATACAAAAATTACCTGGGCGTGGTGGTGGGCACCTGTAGTCCCAGCTACTCGGGAGGCTGAGGCAGAAGAATCACTTGAACCAGGAGGCGGAGGTTGCAGTGAGTCAAGATCGCGCCATTGCACTCCAGCCTGGGCGACAGAGCGAGACTGTCTCAAACACACACACACACACACACACACACACACACTCAGTTCTAATTGGCTCCTAGTCACACACATTTTACAATGCCTTCTATGCTAACAAAAATCAACACAACACAATTCTCTGAACATCTATAATACATACAGTTGAAACTTGACTATATTCTGTTTTGGATTACTTTTCTTGAGTCTTTTCTTCTTAATAAGACAATAAGTTCTTTCAGGACCAACACTAATCAAGGAACATCTTATTTCCTATCTTCAAGATTAATAACCAGTCACCATATTCAACAAACAATTTGGGGTTTAATTTCATAATTTTCTTATGCTAACTTTATAATTCTGTGAATAATATGATCAAACCACCTCATATAGCTCTTAGAATAAAGGCACCTTTACTGATATTGTTAAAAAATAAAATTACAACAAGTTTGGTTTTAAGATGTAATTAGCTGTTATTAGTGATTCTAGAACTGGGCAATATCTCATTCTATAAAACAGAAGGCGTGCTCTGGTTTATAGTTTGGCTTTATAGGCAGAAAAGGGCTGAAGAAAGCAGAAACAAGGAACAAAAGCAGATTGGTCATTTCAAAGTTACTTTACTTATAGGGTTAACACAGAAGGGGCTTCCCTATCATGCTGGCTCAGGTAAAATGAGCCCCTTCTGCTTAGTTGCTGTGAATCTTCTCATTTCTGGAAACCTTGCCTGTTTCAAAGTTTAGTGTAATTGTGCATGACACCTAGCATGAGTGACTTCACTGTCTGCTGGAGCCCAGTGTAGGAGCTCGGTCTAAACAATGAAATCGCCTCCCATATACTTTGCTTAATAATCTCTTTAAACTATCAGGAACCAGGATTAAAACGAGATGAATAAACATTTGAGCAAATTATTTGGGTGCATCATCACTCAGAATTAAGCTTTAGCAAAATGCTGTGAAATGTAGTTTTACAGACTTAAATCCAGAAAACTCCATTTACCCCTTATGTTGTTTTAGGTTTCCCCAGGAGCTCTTTTTCCCAAAGCTGTTTACTTTGATTCTTCTTTCTGGAGCCTAGAGGCCTCTCCTTCTACCTATCTAAGAGTTTAGTCAAGTAAAGCCACTTAGTTAAAAAGGAAGAAGAAAAAAAAATACAGGTTTAAGGTAACAGCTATAAACCTGTCTCTTTTCTTTCTGTCTGGGAAAAAAGAAAGGAAGGAGACATAGTGTTTAAGAGGATGCTGAGACTATTATCTTACTGCTAGTGAGTTATTCTTTGGCTTTTATTACGACTTTTTTTGCACCCTGCTCCCTGCCTCCCTGGCACTGTAGCTTTAAAGCTTCTTTTTTTCAGAATTTAGATATTGCAGTGCACTTACATCTTCCTCTCCTATACTGCAAGCTTCTAGCACTATTAATTGGTCATTCAAATACATTTGTGGAATAATGGATGAATAAGTACCAATTCTGTTACAATGAAATTACTGAAGGAGATATCTTGGTTTTCCTCTATAATTTGTATTCTAATATTCAGTCAAAGTAGTTTGTTAAATAAATTAGAAAGAATTGATCTTCAACCATGGTAATTAACATCTTGCTCTAGATGAAGGATTTCTGTCTGGCAATCCGTGTTTCATTAAGTTTTATCAACTTATCACCAAGTAATGTGAACCCTCATTTTTTGTACAGGTTGAATATCCCTTATCTGAAGCACTTACAGCCAGAAGTGTTTCGGATTTCAGATTTTTTTGGATTTTGGAATACTTTCATATACATCGTGAGATTTCTTGGGGAGGAGACCCAATTCTAAACATAAAATTCATTTATGTTTCATATACACCATATACACATAGACTGAAGGTAGTTTTATACAATATTTTAAATAATTTTGTTGGCACTCAAAAAGTTTCCATTTTGAAACATTTCAGATTTCAGATCTTTGGATTAGGGATTCTCAACCTGTAACAACTTTTCTCTGATATTCTGGCAATGCTCCCACAGCCACAAAAGCCAGCTGTGTTGGCTTGATTAGAGGAACTTATTTTAACAATTGTTTTCTTGACATGTAGCCCAGAGAAGTAAAGTGAGCTGCCTAGCTCATTACACAATAATTACAAAAATAATGCTTAGCTTTTCTTGAAAGAGTATCCAGGTGCCAGCCTGAGTGTGTGGAACACAGGTGATGATTAATAAATACGTGAATGAATAAATAAAAGCCACAATTGGCTGTAGGTGTTAAACAAACACTTCTTCATCAATTTTAGCCACCAGCATCACCAGCCTGAAATAGCATTAAGAATCCATCCAAGTCAATCAGAAGCAACCAAAAATCTTTAGCTCTGCAGGACAGAAAGAAATACTTCTTTAAGTAACTTCCTTCCTAAAACACACGCACACTCACACACACACGCACACACACACACACGCACGCACACATAAACAATATCTGGTTCTTTTTTCTGGTCACTTTCACTTAATTTCAATTAAAAATTTATAATTTTTAATTGCAGCCAGGTTTCTTAATTTTAACTCCAGGTTTCTCATCAGGGAACACTTGCCAATAAGTCTCCCTCATGGAGAGATTGAGGTTATTAAGTTCCTTCAGAGGGGACCTGAACATTCTCCAGCATTCTTCAGGGCAACTAACAATATCCTGGACATTCAGATGCCCCATGCAAGATCACAATTAGGCTTCTTATCCTCCACCTAGTTTTCTGGGCTAAATTACAAGGGATGCAGTATGGTTGATGAAAATACAAAAGCTGTCAATTAGAATTTTCACACACACACCTCGCAGCACATGGCAAAACACACTCTCCAAGCATCGTTGCCTTTCTCTAAGGGTGCAGACAGCACTCTCCAGGGTGCTTAGGGAGAGCACCCCTCTCAGAAGACTAGTAAGAAGGAAAAAACCGTAGTAGGAGCCTGATGTTGATTTAGTTATCACTGAATTTGAATACCTCTTTTCAATGCTGGAAAAGATAATCGTGATACAAGGATAAATTCTCCTCAGGGCTTCTCCTGGTAGAAGGCAAAGTGCTACTCTTCCCTTCCCGCAGTCTGCCTAATCCCTACATCTATATTTTAAGGTACAGAAAGACTGATTATTCTCCTGCCTTGGAATATTCCTAATAGATACACAATCATAATAGGCAAAACTAGGGGCAAACATTTGGAAATGCTCAGAGAAGGCAATTTATGATAGCTAATTAACAACTCTGGCCATTGGCAGAGGCTAAAAAGTTCAAGTGCAGAGACCAGTTTTAGGATGATGTCCTGTCTGCCTTTGACACAGAAAGGATTACACAGAGCCTGCAGGGGAAAAAAAGTGTTGTATTTATATGGCCTCAGTTGCCCATTACAGCAGATTGAGACATATGGGCAGCACATCAGCACCTCGAACAACTGGTCTCCAAATGTATCCTTTTCACAGATACTATGGCTCAAAAAGTTAAGCTTTACACGATTCTTTAAGAATAGATCTATTATTATCTTGAAGTGGAACATCAGAGAGACATCAATTTTATGTCTCTCACTTACCTGGAGTTCAAAGTATTGCAATAGTTCCCTTTCTTTACCGTAAGAAATTGCTGCAGGTCGACCCTAAGTTTTCCTTACGTGAAGTAAATTTAACAGTTAAGGGTTTAGATTTAGCTCATGAACTAGATGTTCATGTTAACCATTGTATCAAGTTGGAATTACTTGCTGCTGGAAAATAAACTGCTCTAACTGTTCAGAGCTAACAATGAGATTTGTCAAAAATCTGTCCCATCAATGACAATGAAAATCACATTAAGAAGTCACTCTGCTTCTGGTTCTGCAGATGTAGTTTTCTGCATATCATAAAATAAATCTATGGAAGTCATCAAGGAATATGTAATACTCTGATGAAATTAAGAGATCATTTAAAAATTATTGACTGATTTTGTTTTGCTAGATTTTATTCAAAAAGTGTTCTAACCTGTTTAGTTGGTAATTAAAATAATCTATTTTGGCTTAACTCTAATTTCATTTCTCTAAAACAAGGCATATGATTTTCTCTGTAAATGTACAATTACCAGTTGAAACTGCATTAAGCTTTTAAGCTAATGAATTTAATTTGGTGCTTTGGTATAGTTATTTACTAAGCAGTTTAACATCAAGCTATGGAAACATGAAGACACCTGTAACAAGTCCATAGTAATAGCAAAGCTACCCCAAACTGATCTGAAATATCAGCTCCTGTTTTTTCGAAACTAATGTATTTTCACACCTGGAGTAAAATTGCCTGTTTTACATCCATCTTATTGAATTAAATATGAGCAAGGGGAGAGGGCTGCATTTTAATGAAAGAGGCCATCAAACAGAGCCCAAACCCTGAGGTTCCTTCATCTCTTCACCACACAGTGTTCCTTCATCACAAATGGCAATCAGATTTTTAAAAAATCAGGAGAGGGAATTGAAAGAACTGCACCTAAGGCAATAGGATTTTTGAACAATAGAGAGAAATCACCTGGGAAACATTAGATCCTTGTTGTCAGAATCTGGGGGTCACAAAGGAAGTTGTATAAAAGAGGCCTATCGGGACACATGGATAAAGTAGACTAGAAAGAACATATGGGAAGTGTGTGAGAGGAATCAGTCTGTCTCAATTAATTACTGTCATTTTATGTACACAGATAGACAAAAGAAAATAGGAGACTGGTTGCTTTGATATGCAAAAAGGCCCCTACACAGTTGTAATAGTTGCCAAGCTTCTTGATTACCATTATGGTGTTGAGTTGAAATATTTCACTTCAAAAATATTTTCCTACTCTCAAATCTTTTGTGTAAAGAGGTGGCAAAAAAAAGAAGAGAAAAACAGAAAACAGCAAGCTAGGCCACTAGGGGAACGATGTTGAACAAGATCTAGTCTATATGTGAGGAATTCACAGTTTTAGGAGGAAAATATGATCTTTAGAAAGATAAATTAAGATATGACATGGTAAATGCTGTTACAGAGATGTGAGCAAAATACCAATGGAGGACGGATGGAGCAAGAATGGATCTTGAAGGAGGCTGGAATTCTCACAGCATTTGAAATGGATAGTGAAGTAATAATAGCAATTTGCCAGGAAAAAAAAATTCAGGTGTGGTATTCCAGTCTGGAAGGTTGGTCCTAATGTCTGGCATTTACCAGATGAGATAGTCAATAAGAAAATAACATAAAGTGCAAGAGAAATACAAATGCAGGAGAGGCAGCGAAGTCTGGTAGCAGCCTGAACAAACAGTTTCCTCTACTAGCCAGCTGGGGCAGTGGTTCTCCAACTTTATTGTGAATCAGAATCACCTGGACTAAAGTGTTTGGGCTTCAATAGCTCTGAGATGGGATCAAAGGTTTTGTTATGCTAACAAGTTCTCAGGAAATGTTGATTCTCCTGATCCAGGGACCACCCTGTGAGATCCTGAAATAGGGTGCTGGAGCTTCATCTTGGAAACAATAGAGAAATGATAGAGAACTTCATGGGAGAGATATCCATATCATTGGCTTTGGTTTACAGTGTGAGATATGACTAGAGTATGGGACACTAGTAACAGGAAAATCGATTAGGGACTATTATATTTTCTAATTGAGAGAAAAATGAGGGCTTCCCATCACAATCACTTCTGGGAAGAAGAAGAATAGCTAAGAACTATTTCTCAGGTCGAAGCTATGGGATTTGGCATCCTCCTGTATTTGAGAGTTGAGAAAAAGAAAGAAGTGAGAAATGACACAGTACCATACAAAGGGCATTAATTGATGTGTAGAGTATAACACATTGGAGCAGTTCTCAAGAAGGAGGAGTTGTACGACTTCCGGTTCTAGCAATATTTCCTTATATAGAGCTTTAAAAACATTTGTGTACAATGCTGAACTCTTTTAAAAAAAACAAATCTTCTTGACACACAGGTGTGGCATAGTGTCAAATACTAACCAGAGGTTAAATAGGATGCATAATTAAAACATGTTGGATTTGGGCTGCAAGAGGTCATTGTCTTCCTAATTAAAAGAGTTTCCTTCAATGGGAGAAAATAAACTGTAATCAGTTGGAGATTGCATGGGATTTAAGAAAGTAGACACATCAAGTGTGACTGACCTCTTAAGAAATGTGATAAGGAATAGGAAGGACACAGGAACTTGATATAATGGTTGGATCAAAAGAAATTGGTGGTTTCTGTTTGAGGATAAGTGGGACTTTTATCATGTTTCAAGGCAAATGCACGTGTAAAAGAAATATTCAATTTTTTTTTTTCAAAATTCTCAAAATTAGATATCACCAATCAAGCAAGATCATAAGTAGGCATGAGGATAAAAAATATGTCAGCTGGCTCTCTAGATTCCTCCCCTCTGGGCAGGGCATGTCTGAAAGAAAGGCAGCATCCCCAGTCAGGGGCTGATAGATAAAACTCCCATCTCCCTGGGACAGAGCACCTGGGATAAGGGGCAGCTGTGTGCACAGCTTCAGCAGACTTAAATGTTCCTGCCTGCCAGCTCTGAAGACAGCAGCGGATCTCCCAGCACAGTGCCTGAGCTCTGCTAAGGGACAGACTGCCTTCTCAAGTGGGTCCCTGACCCTCGTGCCTCCTCACTGGGAGACACCTCCTCCCAGCAGGGGTCAACAGATACCTCATACAGGAGAGCTCCAGCTGGCATCTGGCAGGTGCCCCTCTGGGATGAAACCTCCAGAGGAAGGAGCAGCCAGCAATCTTTGCATTCTGCAGCCTCTACTGGTGATACCCAGGCAAACAGGGTCTGTAGTGGACCTTCAGCAAACTCCAGCAGACCTACAGAAGAGGGGCCTGACTATAGAAGGAAAACTAACAAACAGAAAGCAATAACATCAACATCAACAAAAAGGATGCCCATGCAAAAACCGCATCCAAAGGTCATCAGCATCAAAGATCAAAAATAGGTAAATCCAAGAAGACAAGGAAAAAGCAGCGCAAAAATGCTGAAAATTCAAAAAAACAGAATGCCTCTTCTCCTCCAGAGGATCACAACTCCTCACCAGCAAGGGAACAAAACTGAATGGAGAATGAGTTTGACAAATTGACAGAAGTAGGCTTCAGAAGGTGGGTAATAACAAACTCCTCCGAGCTAAAGGAACATGTTCTAACCTAATGCAAGGAAGCTAAGAACCTTAATAAAAGGTTACAGGAACTGCTAACTGGAACACTTAGTTTAGAGAAGAACATAAATGACCTGATGGAGCTGAAAAACACAGCACGTGAACTTCATGAAGCATACACAAGTATCAATAGCCGAATCAATCAAGTGGAAGAAAGGGTATCAGGGATTGAAGATCAACTTAATAAAATAAAGCATGAAGACAAGATTAGAGAAAAAAAGAATGAAAGGAAGGAACAAAGCCTCCAAGAAATATTGGACTATATGAAAAGACCAAACCTACGATTGATTGGTGTACCTGAAAGTGATGAGGAGAATGGAACCAAGTTGGAAAACACACTTCAGGATATTATCCAGGAGAACTTCCCCAACCTAGTAAGACAGGCCAACATCCAATTTCCGGAAATACAGAGAACACAACTAAGATACTCCTCAAGAAGAGGAACCCCAAGACACATAATCATCAGATTCACCAAGGTTGAAATGAAGGAACAAATGTTAAGGGCAGCCATAGAGAAAGGTCAGGTTACCCACAAAGGGAAGCCCATCAGACTAATAGCGGATCTCTCTGGAGAAACCCTACAAGCCAGAAGAGAGTGGGGGCCAATATTCAACATTTTTAAAGAAAAGAATTTTCAACCCAGAATTTCATATTCAGCCCAACTAAGCTTCATAAGTGAAGGAGAAATAAAACCCTTTACAGACAAGCAAATGCTGAGGGATTTTTGTTACCACCAGGCCTGCCTTATAAGAGCTCCTGAAGGAAGCACTAAATATGGAAAGGAAAAACTGGTACCAGCCACTCCAAAACACATACCAAAATATAAAGAAAAACAACACTATGGAGAAACTGCATCAACTAATGAGCAAAATAACAAGCTAGCATCAAAATAACAGGATCAAATTCACACATAACAATATGAACCTTAAATGTAAAAGGGCTAAATGCCCCAGTTAAAAGACACAGACTGGCAAATTGGATAAAGAGTCAAGACCCATTGGTGTGCTGTATTCAGGAGACCCATGCCACATGCAAAGACACACATAGGCTTAAAAGAAAGGGATGGAGGAATATTTACCAAGCAAATGGAAAGCAAAAAAAAAGGAGGGGTTGCAATCCTAGTCTCTGATAAAACAGACTTCAAACCAACAAAGATCAAAAAAGACAAAGAAGGGCATTACATAATGGTAAAGGGATCAATGCAACAAGAAAAGCTAACTATCGTAAGTATGTATGCACCCAATACAGGAGCACCCAGGTTTATAAAGCAAGTTCTTAGAGACCTACAAAGAGACTTAGACTCCCACACAATAACAGTGGGAGACTTTAATGCCCCACTGTCATTATTAGACAGATCAACGAGACAGAAAATTAACAAAGATATTCAGAACTTGAACTCAGCTCTGCACCAAGTGGACCTTACAGACATCTATAGAACTCTCCACCCCAAATCAACAGAATATACATTCTTCTCAGCAGCACATCACACTTACTCTAAAATTGGCCACATAATTGGAAGTAAAACACTCCTCAGCAAATGTAAAAGAACAGAAATTATAACTGTCTCTCAGACCACAGTGCAATCAAATTAGAACTCAGGATTAAGAAACTCACTCAAAACCAGACAACTACATGGAAACTGAACAACCTGCTCCTGAATGCCTACTGGATAAATAATGAAACTAAGGCAGAAATAAATAAGTTCTATGAAACCAATGAGAACAAAGACACAACATACCAGAATCTCTGGGACACAGCTAAAGCAGTGTTTAGGGGGAATTTATAGCACTAAATGTCCATATGAGAAAGCAGGAACGATCTAAAATTGACACCCTAACATCACAATTAAAATAACTAGAGAAGCAAGAGCAAACAAATTCAAAAGCTAGCAGAAGAAAAGAACTAACTAAGATCAGAGCAGAACTGACAGAGATAGAGACATGAAAAACCCTTCAAAAAAAATCAATGAATCCAGGAGTGGTTTTTTGAGAAGATTAACAAAATAGACCACTAGCCAGACTAATAAAGAAGAAAAGAGAGAAGAATCAAATAGACACAATAGAAATGATAAAGGGGATATCACCACTGATTCCACAGAAATACAAACTACCATCAGAGAATACTTTAAACACCTCTACACAAAAAAACTAGAAAATCTAGAAGAAATGGTAAATTCCTGGACACATAAACACCATCCCAACCTCCCAAGACTAAACAAGGAAGAAGTCAAATCCCTGAATACACCAGCAACAAGTTCTGAAATTGAGCCAGTAATTAATAGCCTACCAACCAAAAAAAGCCCATGTCTAGACAGATTCACAGCCAAATTCAAAGAGGAGCTGGTACCACTCCTTCTGAAACTATTCCAAACAATAGAAACAAAGAGGGACTCCTCCCTAACTTATTTTATGACTCCAGCATCATCCTGATACCAAAACCTGGCAGAGACACAACAACAACAAAAAGAAAGTTTTAGGCCAATATCCCTGATGAACATCAATGCGAAAATGCTCAATAAAATACTGGCAAACTGAATCCAGCATTACATCAAAAAGCTTATCCACCATGATCAAGTTGGCTTCATCCCTGGGATGCAAGGCTGGTTCAACATACACAAATGAATAAACGTAAGCCATCACATAAACAGAACCAATGACAAAAACCACATAAGTCTCTCAGTAGATGTAGAAAAGGCCTTCAACACCCTTTCATGCTAAAAACACTCAATAAACTAGGTATTGATCGAACATATCTCAAAATAATAAGAGCTATTTATGACAAACCCATAGCCAATATCATACTGAATGGGCAAAAGCTGGAAGCATTCCCTTTGAAAACTGGCACAAAGGCTGGGCGTGGTGGCTCATGCCTATAATCCCAGCACTTTGGGAGGCCAAGACGGGCAGGTCACAAGGTCAGGAGTTCAAGGCCATCCTGGCCAACATGGTGAAACCCTGTCTCTACTAAAAATACAAAAAATTAGCTGAGCGTAGTGGCGAGTTCCTGTAATCCCAGCTACTCAGGAGGCTGAGGCAGGAGAATTGCTTGAACTCTGGAGGCAGAGGTTGCAGTGAGCTGAGATTGTGCCATTTCCCTCCAGCCTGGGCAACAGAGTGAGACTCCATCTCAAAAAAAAAAAAAAAAAGAAAAGAAAAGGAATTTTAAAATATGTATCATTCTTTTTAACCAATGGCTCTGGACCAACTGGCGTGCAAGTGCAAAAAAATGAACCTAGACATAAACCTTTCACTCTTTGCAAAAAACTCAAAATAGATCAGAGACCTAAATGTAAAACACAAAATTATAAAGTTCCTAGAAGACAACATAGGAGAAAATCTAGTTGATCTTGGGTTTGGTGATGAGTTTTTATCTACAACCCCAAAGGCACAATTCATGAAAGAAAGAACTGATAAGCTGGATTTGATTAAAATTAAAAATGCCTGCTCTATTAAAGCCCACTGCCAAGAAAATGAAAGATAAGCCACAGACTGGAAAAAAATATTTGCAGAAGACATACCTAACAAAAGGCTGTTACCCAAAATATACAAAGAAGTCTTAACATTCAAAGATATGAAAACAAACAGTAAAAATGGGCCAAAGACCTTAACAGACATCTTACCAAAGAAGACATATAGATGGTAAATAAGCATAAGAAAAGATGCCTTACAGCATAAGTCATCAGAAAAATGCAAATGAAAACAACAATGAGATACACACCTATTAGAATAGCCAAAATTCAGAACACTGACAACACCAAATGCTGAAAAGTTTATAAAGTAATAGGAACTCTCATTCATTGATGGTGGGAATGCAAAATGGGACAGATGCTTTCAAAGACAGTTTGATAGTTTCTTACAAAACTAAACGTGGTTACTGTACAATCCGCAATCATGCTCCTTGGTATTTAGCACAAAAAATAAAAAACTTTTATCCACACAAGAACCTATGCATGGATGTTTATAGCTGGTTTATTCATAATTACCAAAACTTGGAGGCAATTAAGATGTCCTTCAGTAGATGATGGATAAATAAACTGCTGTACCTCCAGATAATGGAATATTATTTGGTGTTAAAAAGAAAGAAACTACCACGCCATGAAAAGACATAGAAGAAATTCAGATGCACATTACTAAGTAAAAAAAAAGCCAATCTGAAAAGGCGACATATTGTATGATTCCATACTATATATTACCAATATAACATTTTGGTAAAGACAAATTATACAGACAGTAAAAAGTAAAAGGCAAAATTATAGAGACAGTAAAAAATCTGGAAAGGCTATATACTGTATGATTCCATACTGTATGTTACCAATATAACATTTGGTAAAGGCAAAATTATAGAGACAGTAAAAAGAATAGTTGTTGCCAAGGGGTTTGGGGAAGGAGGGATGAATAGGTGGAGAACAGAGGATTTCTAGGACAGTGAAAATACTCTGTATGATACTATAATAATGGATACATGTCATTCATATCCACATTTGTCCAAACTCATAGAATGTCCAACACCAAAAACAAAATTAAAAAAAACCCTAAAATATAGACTCTGAGTGACGATAATGTATCAATGTAGTTCCATCAGTTGTAATAAATGTACCACTTTGGTGGAGGACTTTGATAATGAGGGAGCTATCATGTGTGTGGGCAGGAGGTAGATGAGATAACTCTGTACCTTCCTCTCAATTTTGCTGTGAAGCTTAAACTGCTCTAAAAATTGTCTATAATTTAAAAAACATTGAAAAAAATAAAAATTTACTCTCTTCGATTCAGCTATTCTATTTCTGAGAATTTAACTGTGATTGTCTTTTGACGTGTCAACCTGGCTAGATTACAGTTCCCACTTACAAACACTTAGGTAGGTGATGCTATGAAGATATTATTTTTTAGATGTGATTAAGGTTTGTAATCAATTGGCTCTAGTAAGGGAAATTATTGAATATCATAGGTAATATGTGTAAGTCTTATTCAATCAGTTAAAATTAAATGCAGAGTTAGGCTTCTTTGAAGAAGCATTTCTGCCTGTAGGTACCAGTTTCCTTCCTTCCTTCCTTCCCTTCTTTTCCTTCCTTCCCTTCTTTCCCTCCCCTCCCCTCCCCTCCCTCCCTCCCTCCCTCCCTCCCTCCCTCCCTCCCTCCCTCCCTCCCTCCCTCCCTCCCTCCCTCCCTTCCTTCCTTCCTTCCTTCCTTCCTTCCTTCCTTCCTTCCTTCCGTCCTTCCTTATTTTTTCTATACAGAGTCTGGCTTTGTTGACCAAACTGGCCTGGAACTCCTGGCTTCAAGCAATCCTCCTGATGAAGTCAGATATTATAAAGGAAGAGATAAGCACTCTGAATTTTCAAATACTTTTTGGTACTAAGGTCTAATAACTTGCCTTTATTCAAGTTACAGTTTGTGAGACATTACATAGAGTGACTAGTAAATGATTACCATAACAAGCACAATCAGTCAGCAAGATAAATACATAGAAAGCACAGATAAGATAGTTACTATGATTCTGCTTGGTGAACAACTGCCTGAAATTAGATTTTCAGCAGAATTTTTTTCTATCAAAATGAACCATAATTTAAGTGGTTATAATAGGCATATATTTTAATGCTTGTATATCTGACTTCTATACAAAATTAATGCTTCTCACTACCCCGTTACTCTCATCACCCCATTTGTGAGTGTTCTGGCAGGTCTTTGCATATGCCTCTGAACATACCTTTCTTCTCTCCTAAGCTATCAGAGGAGTCAGGGAAAAAAAGATATAGATGAAATAAGAGTTATATACCCATGAGATGATTTAAGTAGTTAAATCAATATGGAGTATATACAGAGAAAGGTATGAAATGAATTCCCCACTTTCTTCTATGATTTGTTCAATGAAGATAAAAACTTGGTAATATACCTTAGTCCTAGCTGCCACATTCAGTTGCTTAATATCTAATCTATTATCACTACTTAAAACATATTTTGTATAGCCATTTATAGACACATCAAATCTAAAGCAAATAGCTCAATAGCAGAAACCACTGTTTTCTAAGAATTATACTACCCTTCTTTGTTTATCAAAAGATTTATTGGGCAAATATGTATATATGCATAGGAATATTGATATATCTCAATAGGTCAAATCCACAAATACGTAATTTAAAGGCACAAGAATCTTGATAACAAAGATTCACAACACAACATCAGTGTTTGGTATCCAGATACCAAATTCTGCTTGCCTTCTGTCTCTGGATCATGGAGTGACTACAGATTTTCAGATCTGGAAGGACTAGAAGTTTGGAAGATTCTGAGATCATAAAGCAGGGTTTAGGTTAAGAATGTCATGCAATGCATCTGTATGCCTCCCTCCCCCAGTGCTCCTTGGGGCACCAGGTCCTTTGAAAGGGCATCATCCTGGTGAGGGTATGCTCTTTGGTAAGCAATCCTGAACTCTATGAGATCATAATCATAATTTTATATAAAAATTCTGGAAGAAGTCAATAAACTTTGGCAATGTGCTATGGGCATGTGAGCTTATTAGAGAAAATGCAGTGATTGTGAAGGGCTGATGACAATTCTGAATCCTCTTCTTTATGGCCATCTGTTTTCATTTATATTCAGTTGTTCATCTGTTATTCATTCAAGAAGGTTTATTAGTAGCCTAGACATATTTAAGTAGTTGAATCATTGAGTCTACATAGAAAGTTAATAATATGAAGCTGAATCATTGAATCTACGTAGAAAGTTAATAATATACTCAATGATCAGTGATATGGTTCGGCTATGTCCCCACCCAAATTTCATCTTAAATTGTAGTTCCCATAATTCCCACATGTTGTGGGAGGAATGTGGTGGGAGGTAATTGAATCATGGGGACAATTACCTCCATACTGTTCTTGTGATAGTGAGTGAGTTCTTACGAGATCTGTTGGTTTTATAAGGGGCTTTTCCCCTCCTTCACTTTGCACTTCTCCTTGCTGCTGCCATATGAAGAAGGACATGCCTGCTTTCCCTTCCGCCATGATTGTAAGTTTCCTGAGGCCTCCCTAGCCATGCTGAACTGTGAGCAAATTAACCTCTTTCCTTTATAAATTATTCAGTCTTTATTATGTCTTTATTAGCTGCGTGAGAACGGACTAATAGAGTCAGAAAAGATTAAAGTTAAAAGATAAAAGATTATATTCTGCTTGTTATATATTCTGCATGTATATATGTGTACTAGAACTGGAACATTTTGTTATAGTATCATAAATGGATAAAGACAGTGAGGATATGGAGCAACTATACTCTCACATGCTGCTGATAGGAATTGTACGACTACTTTCGGAAACAGCTTGGCAGTTTCTTTGAAATTTAAGTATACACTTACCTCCTAGAAATTTACTCGAGAGACTTGTATACTTCAAATCAAAAATAAAATTCTAAGCCCGCAAACATTCTGAATGGACCTCTCCTCTCAGCCAAGGGCATTCCAAAGTTAACCTGTAAAACTAGTTCAGGCCATGATGGGAAGGAGAAGTCAGACGTGCCTCAATACCATTAACATCAACACAGACCTTAAAACTGATAGAAAAGGCTCTTTAAGTCTGATAAGAAACATTTACAATCTATTCTCTCTGAAGCCTACTACCTGGAGGCTTCATCTGGATGATAAAACCTTGGTCTCCACAACCCTTTATTGTAACCCAGACATTTCTTTCTACTGATTCCAGGTCTTTATTTTAATTTTACTTTTCTTAAAACTCCCACGACAGATTAGATTCCAGGTCTTTATATAACTCAACCAACTGCCAATCAGAAAAATCTTTTAATCTGCCTATGACCTGGAAGCCTCCACATCCTGTTGTCCTACATTTCGGGACCAAACCAATGTACATCTTACATGTACTGACTGATGTTTTTTGTCTCTCAGAAATGTGTAAAACCCAGTTGTAGCCTATTACTTTGGGCACATGTCATCAGGACTTTCTGAGGCTGTGTCATGGCCGCGTCCTTAACCTTGGCAAAATAAACTTTTAAATTGATTAAGACTTGTCTCAGGTACTTTTTGGTTTACAATACCAATGTTAATAGCAGCTTTATTTCTAAAAATCAAAAATTGGAAACAATCCAAATGTCATCAACAAGTGAATGGATAAACAAATTATGGTACATCCATGTGTGACGTACTATTTGGCAATAAAAAGAAAAAGATATGAATGCATGCAACAATGTGGATAAATCTCCACATCATTGTGCTGAGTACACACTGTATGATTTCATTCATACAAAACTCAAGAAAATGAAAAGAAATCTATAGTGACAGAAATTAGATCAGCATTTGCCTCAGGATGGAGCTAGAGAGAGAAATAAATTTAAAAAGAACTTAAAGATACTTTTGGGGTGATAGAGTTGATCATCTTGATGGTTGCAATGGTTCTAAAACAGACCAAACTTTATACATTCAATATGTAAAGTTTGATTACATCTCAAGTAAGCCATTTTTTAAAAAAGACTCCAAGTTCAAGCCCTGCTGACTGGAAGCACTGTAGTGTTATAGGTAGAAATAAGAGGGTAATATAACAGGAGAAAAGGTTGACTTGGTGGTAAATTTGCTTCCCATTTCAAACATTTTGAATTTGAAGTGGCCATCTGCAGCAAGGAGAAATGAAAATCTAGAGAATGGGAAAGAGTTCAAAGCTCAAAGAAAAGATGTACTAGCAATCCTCATAGAAGCATAAAAGCTTAGGGCTGGCTGGGCACCGTGGCTCACACCTATAGGCCCAGCACTTTGGGAGGCTGAGGCGGGTGGATCACGAGGTAAGGAGATGGAGACCATCCTGGCCAATATGGTGAAACCCCGTCTCTACCAAAAATACAAAAATTAGCTGGGTGTGGTGGCGCATGCCCGTAATCCTAGCTACTTGGGAGTTTAAGGCAGGAGAATCACTTGAACCAGGGGGTCGGAGGTTGTGGTGAGCTGAGATCACATCACTGCACTCAAGCCTGGTGACAGAGCTAGACTCCATCTCAAAAAAAAAAAAAAGAAAAAGAAAAAACCTTACGGTTGGCCTGGCACAGTGGCTCACACCTATAATCCCAGCACGTTGGGAGGCCAAGGTGGGCAGATCACAAGATCTGAAGACCGAGACCATCCTGGCTAACACAGTGAAACCCCGTCTCTACTAAAAATACAAAAAATTAGCCAGGCGTGGCAGGCACCTGTAGTCCCAGGTACTTGGGGAGGCTAAGGCAGGAGAATTACTTGAACCTGGGAGTTGGAGGTTGCAGTGAGCCAACATGGTGCTGCTGCACTCCAGCCTGGGTGACAGAGCAAGACTCAGTCTCAAAAAAAAAAAAAAAAAAAAAAAAAAAAACAAAAAACATGGCTTAGGGATGAGGGAGATGAGAACTGAAAAAGAGATTGAATTGCAAATATTAGGACCATCAAGTTAGAAAAGTACAATGAAAAACAAACCTTTAGGAAACTGAGAAAGGTGTTAGACCAGTGGCAAAATCAGGAAACCACTGTTTCATGAAAGCCATAGGAGAAGAGGGATGTGACAAGGAAGACGAGGTGGCCGACATCAGGCAAGCAGTGCAAACGATGTGAAGGATGAGGACTGACAAACAGCAGTGGGTTTGGTGATTAGAAAGCCACCAACAATTCCCTTGGGAAATATTTTTTTAAAGTAGACAAAAAGTTATCAAAAAGTATGTTAATCTCACTATTTTTTATAAAATCAAAAATTAAAAACAACACAAAAGTCTAATAAGAGAGGAAACAAATTATGTCACATTTGTACCAAGAAATATTTTGTAGCAATTAAAATATTTATGAAGAATTTTTTGCAATATGGAATTAATGATGAGGTAAACTTTAGGAATCAAAATTGTTTGTATATATATGTGTCTGTATATGTGTAGGTGTGCATTTGCATATATATAATGATATATAGAAAAAATGAATGTGAGGTAATATGAGAAAATAACAGTACTTACACTTCACAGTAGTGAGATTATAAATGATGGTTTCACATATCTTTTTATTTTTTCTGTACTTTCTGCAAATGTTATCTTTTTTAATAAACTATTTTATCATTATAATACAAATGTTTGATATATCAAAAAATATACGTGAATTTGGCTGGGTGCAGTGGCTCAGACCTGTAATCCCAGCACTTTGGGAGGCTGAGGAGGGTGGATCACCTGAGGTCAGGAGTTCAAGACCAGCCTGGCCAACATGGTAAAACCCCATGTCTACTAAAAATACAAAAATTAGCCAGGCATGGTGGTGGTCAACTGTAATCCCAGCTACTTGGGAGGGTGAAGCAGGAGAATCGCTTGAACCTGGGAGGCGGAGGTTGCAGTGAGCCGAGATTGCACCACTGTTCTCCAGCCTGGGCAACAGAGCAAGACTGCATCTCAAACAAACAAATATATATATATATATATATATATTTGAATTATCTGAAACAAATTCAGATATATATCTGATATATATCAGACATATATAATTTTTGTTCAGTAAAATATCAAAAAAAGTGGGTTAATTTTAGAAAACAGAAAAATATGTAAATATTTAAAAGAAAAAGAAACCCATATTCTCATGTCCCAGAATAACATGTTGGTGTATGTCTGTAGGCTTTTAAGATGTTATTCTATATTCTACATAAAGTATTCAAGTCTAGCTTTTGCCTTACTACTGCAGCCACTATCCTTTATACACACGGTATGAGTGACTGCAATTCCCTTGTTGCTTAATAGAATGTTTCCTTTATTTCTCTGTTATCAATAGGTCTGCAATGCATACCTAGGTATATCTAGTTATGTCCTTTTTTCAGAATATAAAGATACCAGGTTTTAATAATACGAACATTTTTAAGCCTGCAATGTATATTGCAGCACATTATTATATGGATGTTAAATAAATTAAGTATTGAGAAGACACTTAAAATGATGCTTGGCCTTTAATAAGTGACACATACACTATTGGTAGAAATCTACAAGATATACACAGCCAGACATGGTGGCTCAATACTGTAATTCCAACACTTTGGGTGGCTGAGATGGGAGGATTGCTAGAGATCAGCATTGAGACCAGTCTGGATAACATAGTGAGACACTCTCTCTAAAAAAAATAAAAAATGAGCGGGGCATGGTGGCATTCCTGTAGTCCCAGCTACTCCAGAGACCGAGACAGGAGGATTGCTTTAGCCCACAAGTTCAAGGCTACAGAGAGCTATGATCACTCCACTGTGCTACAGCTTGGGTGACAAAGCAAGGCCCTTTCTCAAAAAAAAAAAAAAAATTTAAAAAAAGATATGCACAACAATAAATAATAAATATGGTCCCCATCTGTGAAAATATAAAGAACCAGGGGTTTGTTAAAGAATAGATTTCTAGACAGAGTGACGAATTGAAAAATCCAAACTGCAGTCATTCCCTATTTTTACCAAATGGCTCTGGAAAGAAGCTGACCTCTTTTTTGAGACTGTTCTTCCACTCTCACTGCTAACATCACGAAGTAGGGAATCAAAAGCAAAAGCACTTGGACTTGTTGGAGAAAATAGCTGTTGTGTCAGTAGCTTTTATCACTGCCTAAGATCCAGTGCTGACTCCTGAGGTCTGTAACTCTCCAAAATACACAGTACAGGAACCACTAAAGGGCACGGCAATGAATAAAAGAAGAATTCTACTTCAGCTCATTTTTTTTTCTTACTCAAAAAGAAAACTAGAAGTCTAAGTTGAAAAAAAAATGCTCACTAGTACACCAAGGTATAGGGAAAGGAAATTTGAGATAAGAAGCAGCTAACCATATTTCCAATTTTAAAAGCCTGGGTCCTAGAAGTATTTCATGTCAATGCCCCAGGCTCACAGATTTAGGGAAAATGGAGATATTAAAAGCTAACTTACTGAGCATGAATAAGACTTGAATTAAATGTGTGGTTAAATAATCGAGGGAAAAACCATAGTCATCTGGGATTCAAAATGAAAACCAATAACTATAAGGCAATCCTGATGATTCCAGGCCACTGATGTCAGTAAATAAAACTGCACCTGGACTAAACAGACTCAGCATTGATCAAAATGATGGGAAGGGAACTGAATGTAGGAAAGGGTATTTGGTAACTCATTTTGTTTATTTGGTTTCCATTGCCTGGCCCAAAAGCTACTCTCAATCTCCACATTTAGCTTCCAATCCTAGAGACCATTCTGAAGAGATGAGTTAGTAAGTGAGTTAGTAAGTCATTAGTTGGAGTCTCAGATATGACACCCTTCCTTGTCCAAGAGACTTGATGAACTCTTAAGACTCATGGAGAGTCTACAAGATTCTGGTCTAGACCCATTAGATTTTGCAGAGATTAACAATTTGCAGTTTGCACAGTCAAAGCTACTAGTAACATTTTAAAGAGAATTTACAATAAGAAATTGATGTGGTTACTTAGCATTAAGGGAGGAAGAGGTCAAGGGTTAACAATGACATTTGAAACACAATGCTGAATTATGCAGTGTAATGGCCTCAAACCACGTGGATTTGAATTCAATTCCTTTATTTATTAACTGTGTGATCTTTGGCAAGTCATGACACATCTCTTAGAGTCAGAAACAAATGTAAAAATACTCACAAAGACACTCCTCTCGAAAAGTGGAGTCTTTTTCCCCATACTTTGAACCTGGTAGGAGTCGTGACTTGCTTTGACCAACAGAATGCAACAAAAATGAGGTTATGCTAGTGTCACGCCTGGGCCTCAAGAGGTCTTGCAGTTTCCATTTGAGAGCTTTAGAAAC
Organism: Homo sapiens; assembly: GCF_000001405.40. Lineage (NCBI taxonomy): Eukaryota > Metazoa > Chordata > Mammalia > Primates > Hominidae > Homo > Homo sapiens. The sequence goes on along the minus strand of NC_000004.12, from coordinate 174,334,791 downwards.
TGTGAGACTACTACATGAACAAGCCAGGGCTAGCAGGCTAGAGAATGAGAAACTGTGTGGGGAGAGGCCCTGTTGGAGTAGGACCTAGCTAAGGTCTTTATAGACCAGTCAAGCCCCAACTGGCTCACCAGCTGATCACAGGTTCATAGAGCTCAGCCAAGATCACCTATTCCTGGCTAACTAAGACCAAGAACAAGCCAGCTAAGCTGCACCCAAGGCATCAATCCACAGAATCTTGAGTTAAATGATGGGTTGATATTTTAAGCCACTAATTTTAGAGGTAGTGCGTTAATCACAAAAGAGAATTGACAGATATCTCATCCATAAAATGAGATAACAAAAGCACCTGCCTAATAGGATTGTTGGGAGATTCAAATGAGATAATATATGTAAACCACTTTGTGCCTGGCCAGAGTAATTAAAGTACTCAAACATGTTAGCAATGACTATTATTATTTATTATTGATAAAGATTATCTTGTGAAGGGACTTTTTCAAAAGTATGACAGGTTACGCAGCTAACATGTTATCTGGTAGGCTATAAAATTTCCACTCTGAGAAAATATTTACATCATGAGCTACAGTGCTGCTTGCTCTCCTACTACACTGTCTGAAAATCACTCTCTCTGATAGGGAAGCTGGAGGTGCTCCTCTAGATGACTGCCGTTAATGTAAACATATTACCCAAGAAGAGAGGAGGAAACCTTATGGTTCTTCTCCCTACTAATCTATCAGCTTATATTCTTCCATCAAATAAGCTTTTTGTCTTGTGTGGCATCAAGTTGGACCAAACAGATGTAAGGAAGGGAGGAAGGAGAGCATGAGAACAGTGTCATTAAAAAGACAGAGGTAACAGAAGGACCACATAGAGCTTGAGGAGAATATTTTGTTCATTTTTGTTTCACCATTAGATAGGACTCTTAGCCACATTCCATTAAATATTACTATGAACAAAAATGCTCATTTACATATAAGATTTAGAATTTTATTCCAGTGAATCTTCTCATTATGCCCCCAAACCCTAAAATTTGAAGGATACATTCCTAAAAATATATTCTAAAAAAATACATCCCTAAACCTATAACTGCTGGTCAAACACTACCCTTTTTAATCTTCCCTTCATTTTTTGCATAATTTTCTGATTTTTTACAAGGCTTTTCCAGCAATGCATTAACTTTTACACTAACAAGTATTAATGTAGTTCCTGTATTTCCCCGAAAGGACTATAAAACGGCAAGGCTTTTAGGATTTAAGGCTGGGATATAAATACTCAACCCAGGTGTTTCTAAATCACCTTCCACAATCTCAAACGATGCTATACTTGAAGAGCTCTGGCAAAATGTCTTAAATTGTATTCTGTGTTTGTACCAAGTTATGTTATATCCAGAATAAATGCATAAAATAAAGCAAAGCCTGCTGACATATTTATTTTCAGAATAGGTCTGTCATATGAACTTTATCATCATATTTGAAAATCCAGCTGTGGAAAGGTATGCATACTAGATAAATGACTATTGGGCCTTTGCCAGACCACAAAATTGAATCATATAAAGAAAAATTCTAAACCAATGTTAGAGCAATTCATCCTTTTACGCTCTCTAATTAACCACCTAATTTCTGTCAATATCAATATAACAATCTTTTTTATGCCTATTAAAAATTACAAAAAGTTGACAACATTTTTCTGAAAATGCCCACTAAAAGTGATTTCTGGCTTTTAAAATTCTTGTCTTATCTAAAATGTTTCTATAAATATAAATGTCCTATGTGCCCAATGTAATCAGTTTTCCATTTTCAGTAAATTCCGAAGAACTCTTAAAATGTGGGCTCAACATCCTGGTGGATTGTTTCTATTAGAAAATGTGTTAGTTAGAAAGGAATGTCTCCACGTTTTCTAGCCCTCAAACCCAGGAAGGTTAACAGGTTCAAACCTAAGCATCATATCCCTCCAACTAGGAACAAACTTGTGTTTATTACCCCCAAAATACACTGCTTGAGCCAGAGTTTATGGATATGCTCAACTTGAATAATTTTTTCTTTAGCCTAAGGCACACTCTGTGTCTAGCCCCATGTATTGAGTAAGTATCTGAACCAGGTCAGTAAGTGGTTGTGATTAATGCATGCTATGCCTGAGATCTCTGGCAGTTCAGATGTGAAGCCCATAAAATATCTGACACTTTAAGATATGGACCATTTGGGAAGATACTTTCCACTTTAAATATGTTCATACAAATTAAAGTGAATTTTATTTGATGAAAATTATATGAAAACAATTATATGTTGTCAATTTAAGGAGCCAATAAATGCAATGAATAAAGCCAAGGCCTATTACATATGGCCTATGGAAATGTGTTTTATAAGATGTGGTTGATGCAGTTAATAGAATAAGTATAGAATGCTGCCAGTGTTGCATGGTCAGAGAATGAGCAAATGCTATCCCCATTATTTTCCCTTCTTTCCATTGCCACTGTGTATGTAATCAACAGAGAAATAGAGGTCTTAGGTATAAGGGACTTAATTTATTTTTCTTCATATTGCTGTATTTAATATGGAACACCGTACCTTTAGCCTACTGTACCAACGGTACAAAAGATGGTCTTGGCCTTGCCCAGCTCTTTCCCTGCTACTTTCACTGTTGAGCTATATCTTAACCTCTACTTCCCTCAGCCATTGTTGGACTCTTTCACCATTCTGGATTTGTAACAGTTTACCTATGTGTGATCTTAATAGACATTGGGAAGAAAGGAAGAATGGTCTGCTTCAGCACTTCTGTAATCTTTGACTTTCTCTCTACTGATCTTGTACTAACCTTATGCATTTTCTAGAGCCGATAAAAATATTTAAATTAATGAAGGAGAGAGCTTCTGTTTTAAGAAAGCATGTGTTTTCTCACCTTCCACAGCCCCCATTTACAATAATAAAGAAATATGAAAGCTATAAACCCACATGAAAAATATGAGTGAGGGGCTATCAGCAGACATTTTGAGAAATTTCTGGAAAATAGAAATTAGACAAACAACTAAGTGTTACCCATGTAGCAGGAAGGAAAAAGTCATCAGTTTTGATATGCCCATTAAAAGAGCTGGAGCTGAGGAGGAAGCTGGTTTCCAGGCAGAATTCTGGACTTCGTGGATGAGCTTCACTGAAACATCAGAGTACAGCAGGAAAAGGTAAGCACAGGATCCAAGAAACAGAGATTACACACAGGAGAGAGGCCAAGCAAAGCTCTGTGATGAAAGGTATGAAGTATGCCCACGGAGCAGCCAGCTGAGACTGGAACAAGAGGATGTAGCACTCCATGCAGGAAAATTCTAGAAAGGAAACACAAAATTATACATTAAAATATGATCTAAATGCATTGGCAGAATGGGTAGATAGGAATTAGAGCAGTGTCAGAGTGCTATTAATATTTCCTCCTCTTCCATAATAGGTACTCTGAAAATAATGCCTAAAGAAGACCAAGCAAACAAAGAGAAATGACAATCATATTATTTAGAAATATGTTGTTAGATACCAGAATAAACAGCTAAATGTTCAGAGTTTTTTTTTTTTTCTCATTGGTGAGGAGTGATGGCAATAAGAAATCTATGCAATTGTCTTACTTTAATTAAAAAATTGGTAACATAATTATGAGATCTAATTTACGTACTAATTAAAAATGAAAATACTCCATTGTGATGAGCATACACTTAAACAACAATTCCTATAGAAAAGTATACCTTTTATGGGTGTAAAGACATCAGTAGATATCAAGTGCCTTAACCACTGCATATCCTGAAAGCACATCCTAAAATAATAATACATATCATCAAAGATTTACATGTAGATATGTTTACCATGGTACTTTTTATATTAACGAACTTTATAAACCAGCAAAATATGCAATAGGAAAATGATTTAAAAGATTATGGTAAATATTTTTAGTAGGTTAATAAAGAGGTTGAGAATGAATTCTGAGAACCCCTGACTATTAGATTATGAGTTGCCTCTAGCTCCCTTGATCAAAGAGAAACAGGCTTTCATGTGCATACTTGGCATAATCCCTGGAGAGAAGTATATTAAGAAAATGTTTTGAAATGCTTCTTTTTAATTAAAAAAACACATGCTATAATAAAAAAGATTATGGTGTTATGCCTGGCACATAAAAGATTAAATGTTTGTTGAACTTCTAGGAAAGAATATTTTGTAGTTATTAAAATCCATATTTTGCATTTGAAAATATATTTAATGATATGGAAAATATTCATGATTTCCATGAAAAGAATAAAAATTACATGTATCACATAATTTTTTTTTTTTTTTTTGAGACGAAGTCTCACTCTGTTGCCCAGGCTAGAGTGTAGTGGTATGACCTCGGCTCACTGCAACCTCCACCTTCCAGGTTCAAGTGATCCTCCTGCCTCAGCCCCACTAGTAGCTGGGATTACAGGCACGCGCCACCATGCCTGGCTAATTTTTGTATTTTTAGTAGAGACGGGGTTTCGCCATGTTGGCCAGGCTGGTCTTGAACTCCTGAGCTCGGGTGATCCACCCACTTCGGCCTCCCAAAGTGCTGGGATTACAGGCGTGAGCCACTGCACCCAGCCAATCTTCATTTTTAATAAACACAAAATCTACATAAATATAAATAGAAAAAATAAGAAAATAAGATACGTCAAAATATTAACAAAGTTTATTTCTGGGTACAACTTGATCTTTGACTTTTAAAGAAAATTTTAATGACAATAAAATGAATGTGTGTTACTTTGAACAATTAAAAAATGAACATGTGTTACAAATTCAGAACATATTCTGAATAAAAACATTAAAAATATTGTATTTTCTTATACAATCATTTTAATACGAAGTATGAAAGTTGAAACTATAATAAGTATTCCTATCTAAAATATTTTGGTTTACATATTCTTTTTGACCTAAGGGTAGAGGATGTTATTTGCAACTCATCCAAACTCATCTTTAAAAATTTAACAAGACAGTTCAGTAGTCTATTTTTACCATAAATCTATCTTGAGAAAGAATGATGATAGCCTGAAGGTTAACATATATTCATTAATATTTTTTTAACTAAATTAGAGAAGAACATAATCCAAACAGTCTTATCCTTTCTCTAAACCTAAAAAAAAAAGTTATGAAGTACCTTTTGAACTTTTCCCCTTTGGTTTCTCAAAGCATAACATTTTTAGTTCCCATGAGTAAAGTACATTCTTCAAGCTATAAAGTGTGAGAACATTATCCTGGAAGCAAGATAATGCTAAAATACCAAATATATTTCAACATTGACAACTTTATAACTTTTATAACTTTGAAGGCATATCAAAACAATTTAAACACGTTTCCTTAACATTTACAATGTAAAACCAACTTAAAACTGTACTAAGAGGGAAAGTGCTAACAACTTTTCTAAAAATTCTTATAATTAACTCCTATTAAAATGTGTGTGTGTGTGTGTGTCTGTGTGTGTGTCTGTGTTTGAGCAAAGGGCTTTCCCATGATATTTTCCTATTCATCCTGAATCATCTTCCTAATAAAATGGAAAAGTATAGGGCCAGCTTGGTGGCTCATACCTGTAATCTCAACACTTTCAGAGGATGAGGTAGGAAGATTGCTTGAGGCCAGGAGTCTGAGACTAGCCTGGGCAGCATAGTGAGATCCCAAATCCGAAAAAATACCAATAAAAAAAAATCCAGGTGCAGTGGCACACATCTGTAGTTCTGGCTACTCACGTGGCTGCTGTGGGAGGATTGCTTGAGCCAAGGGGTTCTAGGTTGCAATGAGCTATGATTGTGCCACTGTACTCCTGCCTGGGTGACAGAAAAAGACTCTGTCTTAAAAGAAAAAAAAGAAAAGGAAAAGTATTGCCATTACTCTTGTACACACTGATCTTAAATGTTAATGGTTTATCATAAGTTTTTCTATGTAATTTCAGAATAGAAACCTATTTTAATTTATATTGTTAAAGGATGATTTAGGCTTGAAAAGTTAAGCATAATTGATAACTTCTATGCAGAATTTAATTAGCCTGAGTTGTAAATTAACAATATCTTTTATATATGTCAAAGTGTTATGGTTAAAAAATCATATTTGTTGAGAAATTCTTTGCCATGACGGAAAAAAAATGAAAGAAATAAGTTTGAGTTGCTCCTAAAAATTACAGACAATTTTCTGGATACACCATAAGACTCTAATCAATGCTTCATGGAACTGAAAAGTCCATAGGTAGGCCTGGCTTTGACTGAAGCTTCCTCCAGCATTTCAAACACTGTCTTATAATTGCACTGTTCGAGATATTGGCTTCCTCCTGGAATTCTACGAGGCAGCTTTTCATTCAAGTACAAATCACTGTATCAATTCCAGTCTCTTCTGATAGTTACTATGGAAATACAAAATTTATTTCTTAGAAAAACTAGCAAAAGTTCCTTATCTATATTGAGTTATCTTCTGGACTACTGCCAACATTCTAGGTAACCATCATCTACTCAAAACAGCAATATCCTCTTCCTTTCTTTCCGTTATCCAACCAGTCAGCCCTTTGGGACTGGAACGGCCACATGGCCACAACTTAGATGTTTTCTCCTTTTCCTACTTCTTGGTGGAAATGTTGGGTTCTGGATTGTCTACAGTTCCCCCTTGGTCATCAGATTAATGAGCCAATTGATCCCCTTTCATGCTTAAGCCAGTTTAAGTTAAGCTTTCTGACACCTATTTGGGACAACTTCTGGGAAAAGGCTATCTTTTAGCTAGTAGTTGAAGTATTTAATTTTAATATCAAATTTATTTTTTCTCTTATGGTTTGTGCATTTTGTGTTTTTTAAAAACTATTTTCCCACCCAAAGTTATAAAGATAAATCTCCTTTACCAGTGTTTCTCCAACTTTAATATTCATATAATCACCTGAAAAGTTTTCAAAATGCAGATTTAGCTTGTAGGTGGTATTGATATTACTGTTTACAGTCCTTTCATTTCTCTTTTCACATTTATGTCTTTAATCTACCTGAAAATGATTGTGAATGGTGTGAAACAAGACTAAATTCACCACACACACACCCCGTCCATATAAATAGCCAGGTATTCCTAGAACTTTTTACTGAATAATCTATCCATTCCCCACTACAGTCAGTAATACAGTATTTGTCATACATCATATTCTGTAGAGTCTGTTTGGGGGCTCTGTACTCTTCAATTAGCCTATTTGCCCTACAACAATTGCTATAAAAAATTTAATTATTGTTATAATTGCTACAATTAGGAAATAATTTTAAATATAAGACAAATCCCCCACCCTGTTTTTCTTCCTCAAAGTTGTCTTAGCTACCTTTTCTATTTTTCTCTTCTTTAATATGTATAATCTTAGACTCTGGGGGAAAAAAAACTGTCAAGACTTTGAGATTACTTGAATTAAAATTATAATCTGGGTAAGAATTAATCTGTATTGAGTCTTCCTAACACGAAGATGGTATGTCTACCCATTTATTTAGGTTTTCTTTAATATTTTGTTTTTAATTTATATAAGTTTAATAATTTTCTACATAAAGTTCATGCACATATTTTATTACGTTTGTTTTTTTGATACCATTTATCTGTTTTTTCTCTCTCTCTCTCTCTCTAAATATATATATACATATATATACACACACACACGTATACACACATACTACTTATATATATATGTAGATATATATATACATATATATGTAAATGTCCACTTATGGCTCCTATCTAGAAGTAAAATTGGTTTGGATATATTGATCTCATATCTAAAAATGTGCCAAATTCTATTAATTCTAAAAAACTGTCTGTAGTTTATTTTGGTTTTTCTACATAGCTCTTCTAATTGCTGAAAATCAGTGGTAATGAGAAATCTCAAATGTAGCAAAGCAGACAAAGTAAAAAAAGACAGATTCCATAAAGAAACAAAGATAAAAATAACAGTAGATTTCTCATCAGAAACAATGCAAACCAAAAGACCATGGAGGGCCATCTTTAAATTACTGAAAAGAATGAAAAACAACAAACAAAAAAACCAAAAATCCCTATTCACCTAAAATTGTATCCTTCATTTGAAAATGAAGGTGAAATAAAGACTTTTCCAGAATTCATCACCAGCAACTAGTATTACAAGAAAAGTTAAAGGAAACCCTTCAGGCAGAAGGAAAATTATATCAAGAAGAAATGTGGATCTACATGAAAGAATAAATAGCACTGGAAATGGTAAATAGGTTGGCACATATAAAAGACTTTTAAAAAATTATTTAAACCTTTTAAAAAGATAATGGATTGCTTATAGCAAAAGTAATGATAATGTTTTGCAGTTTATAACATATGTAGAAGTCAATGTTTGACAAAAAAAGGCTTGGCGGGCGCAGAAAGAATGAAAAGTATATTATCGTAAGGCTCTTATGTTATACTTAAAATGAGTAGTATAATATTTGAAGGTAGCCTATATTAAGTTAAATATATATACTGAAAAATGAGTAGTATAATATTTGACAGTAGCTTATAGTAAGTTAAATATATATACTACAAATCTTGGAGCAAACACACAGACACACACACAGACACACACACACACATACACACACAGGATACTTCATAAGCCAAGAAAAAAATAAAAAACATTAAAAAATATCCAGTGAAAAATAATTCAGGAAAAGAGGCAAAAAAGCAGCTAAGAACAAATGATAAAAACAGAAAACAAATATAAGAAGGTGGTAGATTTGAACCATATCCATAATCAAGTTAAATGTAAATAATCTAAACATTCCAGAGATTTTTAGATTTGATAAAAGAGCAAGACCAAATTACGTTATCTTCAGGAAACCCACTTTAAATGCACAGACTCAGATACATTAAAAGTAAAAAGATGGGAAATAAATACTGTAGTAACACTTCCTAAGAGAAATCTGGAATAGCTGTCAGACAACATAGATATCAGGAGAGAATATTACCAGAGATAAAGAGGGCCAACTCATAATAAGAAATAAGTCTCTTTATCATGAAGAAATAGCAGTCCTAAATGTTTATGCATTTAAAAACAGGTTTAAAAATACATGATAGAACTGAAAGAAAAAATAAAAGTTTTTTAGTCTTCATCTACAGTTCTAGTTGGAGACTTCAACACCTCTCTTTTTCTTATTTTTAGAGACAGGGTCTTGCTCTGTCACCCAGGCTGGAGTGCAGTGATATATTCATAGCTCACTGAAGCCACAACCTCCTCAGCTCAAGTTATCTTCCCACCTCAGCCTCTCGAGTAGCTAGGACTACAGGTGCATACCACTATGCTTGGCTAATTTAAAAAAATTTTTGTAGAGACAGGATCTGGCTATATTGACCAGGCTGGTCTTGAACTTCTGGCCTCAAATGATTCTCCTACCTCAGCCTCCCAAAGTGCTGGAATTACAGGCATGAGTGACTGTACATGGCTACACCCCTCTCTCAGTGATGAATAAATTTATAAATGGATGTTATAAAAATTTAAAACTTCTGCTCCTTAAAAAACACTGTTAATGAAATGAACGAGAAACCACAGAGTGGGGGAAAATCTTTGCAAAACTGTTCAATAGAGGCCCTTTACAACCCAACAGGAAGACAAACAACCTAAATACAATTGGGAATATCTTTGAATAGACTCTTCACCAAAGAAGATATACTAATGGCAAATAAATACTTTATGCTCAACATTTTGGACAAATGTAAGCTAAAACTACGATGAGAGACCATTACACACTGTTTTAATCACCCCCCATTCACCATGTTGGTGAGGGAGGAATTCCCACCTAGGGTTATGGGAAGGCCCAACACAAAACCCAGCACAACGCAGATGAAACTGATAACAGCTTATTAGTCATATGTACTCACAGCTTATAGGGGAGGACACTGCCTGCTCTATGGGGGTTGAATTTGGGAACAGAGAACAGCTGGGAGATGTGGGAGGCAGACTTTGTAATATGAAGAGGGTGAGACATCCCCTGGTTCCCACAGGAATATATGATTGGTTTCTTGGAACAATTTCACAGCTGGCATGGAACTGAAACCCTGCTACTCAGGGGTAAGTGTCTGGTCCCTCTGTTAAGGAGTGGTTGTTTGGCTAGGGTACCTTATCCATGGAAGGAGAGTGAGGAGGGGATCCTCTGGTTAGGCCATTTGAAACCTTCTCAGTTTACCAGATGTCAAGACAGTACATAACATTGAGCCTTAACTTTTGGTTTACACCACACACGTCCACTAGAAGACTGACAAAATCAAGTGTTGGTATGGATGCTGAGCAACTGAAACTCTCATACATTGCTAGTGGGAAAAGCAAATGGGCCAGCCAGTTTGGAAAAGAGTTTGGCAGTTTTTCATAAACTTAATCATAACTTTACTATTTGACCCAGCCATCCCACTCCTAGGCATTTACCCAAGAGAGGTAAAAACATGTGTCCAGAGACACATGTTCCAGTGTTCATAGCAGATTTATAAAATGGAATACCTCCAAACTGGACATATCACAATGTCCATCAACTGATGAAATTGTGGTATGTTAGCACACTGAAATATTCATTGGCCATATAAAGGAATGAACTACTACATACAACAACATGGATGAATCTCAGAAGCATTATGCTACATGGAAGAAGCCAGACACAAAAGACTAAATATGGTATGATGATATTAATATAAAACTCTAGCAACAGCAACATTAAAATGATGGAATGCAAATCAGTGGTTGCTGAAGGACAAGGTGAAACCCAGGGCTAACCTAATTAGGCCTATCAAACTTAACTTGCCTTGTTTGTAGTCGCTTGCTTCTAGTTGATTTTAAAACCTACATAGCGAAAAGTCAATGCAACTAAGCAATATGTAACTAAACTTCCACTAGTTTCCTTATAGATAACATCTCTGATGTACAGGTCACCATAGTAATTAATAGTTGCTTGTTTTTCAGGAAATTAGGATCAGCTCTTGTCCAGTTCAAGCTGACTCCACTGAGCCTCCAATGGCCTGTATGAATGCCCAATGAGTGCCCTTTTGACATCAGAAGGCCAAAAACTCCACCCTCAGATTGTGCCAACGACACCATCTTGCGAACGTGGATCCTATGAAAAGCCATGAAGCTTAACTGCACTCGCACAGATCAGCAATTACCTCACTTTTCCTTACCACCAATTAACTTTTTCCATGCATTGGACTGCCTTGCTCCTTTATCCCACAAATATCCCTAATGCCCCAACTTCAAGGAGGAGAATTTGAGGGGTGTTATCCCACCTCCTCACTTGGCTGCCTCATGAATAAAATCTTTTCTCCACTGCAAAACTCATTGTCTCAGTGATTGGCTTACTGCAGGATGGGCAGAATGTGCCTGGTTTGGTATCAGAGGAATGACTGCAAAGAGGCATGTTCTATATCTTAAATATGGTGGTGGCTATATGAATGTATGACTGAAATTGGTGAATTTTATCGTATGTAAATTATAACACAATAAACGCTGATGCAGAAACATGAGGGGGGAAAACCTCTCAAGGCCTTAGTTTCTAATATCAACAATCTCTCAGGGCAGCTGCTGCTTCAGGCAAGCATAATACTCTGAATTTCTGCTTCCTCTTCTTTTGGCCTTTAGGGATTTCTTTTAATTTCCTGTGATATCTGTGATAAATATTTATTATATTTTTTTCAAGAATGTTTGATGATTTGTTGCAGGAGTTTTTTATATTTTTTAATACCTTGTATGCCATATTGCCGCAAACAGAAATATCATTTTCTCTAAAAATTTGCTGCCTTTTAGTGCTTTAAATGAGACCTGTGTACTTTTTTGAGTAACTTTTCAAAAATATCATTAAATTTCCTCACCTTTTTATTAGGAAAATCTCACATTTAGGCTCAAAAATATCAGTGCTTAAAGTATGGAGAAACTATTTTAAAAGTTACCAACTTGGGCATTAATGCTACATACTATATTCTACATTTAAATATGTGACCAAATACAGAAATGTAGTATAACAATAAAGTTGACATTAAAATGAAATTAATTTCAGATATTGAATTTAAAAATCAGCTAACAGTTGCTTACAAAATTTGAATTCTATCATAATATGGGGGATGGGAGGACATCTTAATTGTTTGTCAAGCCACAAAATAAAATGAGAATGTCCTATGTACCAAGCATTGTGCTAAGCATGGAGAATACATCAGTAAACAAAATTCAGGATCTCTTTTCACATAACACTCATAGTTTCGCAGGGAGGACAACCTTGAGCAACAATTGCAAATAGTAGGTTTATAATGTACAAACCGAAATGAAGAAAAATTACAGGGTGCTTTTCATAGCATAAACAGGGAATCTAAACTATTCTAGGGACCTAGGGGGCATTATTTGGAGGGAGTTATGTTTAATCTGAAGCCCCTATGATGAGTAGAATTCTACCAGCCAATGTGGTGCAGAGGATAGGAAATGAAGAGTGGAGAACAAATGAACATTTTAGGTGATGGAAGAGCATTTGTAAAGTCATGGAAAGCCCAGCACATTCAGAAAGTGGAAAAGCATAGTATATAAAAAGTGAAGGTGGAAGAGAATGATGATTTTAAAAAATGGTGCGAAATTGAGAGGATAATTGGAATACTGAAATGCTTTTAAACTTTAAACATTTTTCTACTTTCTCATGGCAGTGTGAAAAAATAAATAAATTTTAAACATTTTGATGTTTGTTACTGATCTTCATTTAAAAGTCCTCAGCTGTGGTGTTGTTTTAAATGTCCTAGTGTGAATATCAACAAACAATGATCAGAATTTAAAAACAATAATCAGATTCTTACCCAGTAAATCAAAGCTTACTTAAACAGAAGATGGCAAATCTGAAGCAAGATACATATTGATTGGGTAAAGTTTAAGAACTCCTAGTGGTTTCTGTTTTCCTCTCCTCTCGCTCTCTTTGCACCTAATTCATCTATGGAAACTGCTTTCTAAATATTGTATTTTCTTAAACTTAAGATGCTTTTTTTACTCCTTCATTTACTTCATTTTACTACTCAAATGAGATTTCCTTGACAAATGATTTTCAGAAAAAGTTTGTAAGACCATATAATACTGAATTTTAAATTAAATGTGAAACATGGATCTCTAATAATTGCTTTCCATATCTTCAGAAAAGTCACCCTATGACATAATAGAGAAAAACAAATATGTATGCAGAATATTGCCTGTTGTACTTTGGGCAACATAATTAAAAGTAAAAAACTAGGAAATTTTTCAACATAAACACAGATATTTCAAAGATGGAGGCTAATGGTATGAATTGTGCATGCTTAGTAAAGAATCATTATTGATGAGGACCAAACAAGTTATTTGTACAAAGCTTACACCTAATTTTGAAGAAAGGATGTTTTAATTCCTATTTATATATTATTTGACTGAGGAAAAAAAATCATTTAACTAAATGCACTCAAAACCCTAAAACGCTAACCAAAGGTGCTAAGGAGGCCAAGATACTAAATGTGAATTGCAAGAAGCTGTATATATTTAGATAAAAGCAATTCCGGAGAATCTGAATTTGAAGGCTTAGATTCAAATGTTAGTTATGATAATAAAACAAGAAGTATGTGAATGTAAACTAATATTTCTTGAACTTAAAGTACCTACAAATGTCTTTGGGTTCTTTGTGTAATGAAGAATCTAATGTAGTAAGTAGGTCAAGAGCAGGGCTTGAGATTTTGCACTTCTAACAAGATTCCAGACGGAACCAATTAGGCAAGATAACAGATTAAACACTAGTGTAGTATCTTTTTGCTATCTCTCAGTCCAGATACTAGATTGAAGATAGTCCTTAAACTGGAAGTACTACATTTGCTCCAAATCCCATTATTTCCCTCCATCTCCACTGTCATCATAATTCAAGTCACTCTTACTATGTTTCTTCGATTACTGTAATAGTCTCCCACTGATTTCTCTGCCTCTAGTTTTGCCCCCTTACCCATTCTCCATATTAAAGCGGTAAAATAAATCCTTCAAAAACTCAGATCTGGTTATCATATTCTGCTGCTTAAATGGTTCAGTAAATAAGATACAAGCTGCCCCTTGGGCCTGTGTCAACTGACCTCTAGCCACACACACACACATACACACACACACACACACAGAGCACACTCAGTATGCTAGCCCTAGTGAATTTCTTTCAAATGCTCTTCCTTTCAAGCCTTTGTTTATGCTAGTCCTTTTGCGTAAACCATCTTCCCTGGCTATATTCTGTTCACTCTTTAGGACTTAAGATAAACATCACTTCCTTCCACGCTGATCAGTTTGATGCCTTCAGTTTCAAAGAAAGGAGACAAACCTGGGGACTGTTAAAAAGTAAAAATCAAAGTTACAATGTTATTTGAGCTCAAAAAGTGTTGTAGTTTATAAAATTGAGAAGGTTATATTAATTTTTATGCTTCCTGAAGAGTGTATCAATTATATAAAGTTATGAGTAATGAATGGCATGAAACAAAGTCCCAACGTTTTCAAGTTTTATTTTTAAAATATATTACAACATCACATTAAAAACAGTAGAGGAAAACAAGCAAACATGATAGAATTACTTTTTTCCAACTCAATAGTACTTAGCTTTACCTAGAATTTTCATACAGTTGATGCTAACTTCTTCTGAACCCTTTCTGACTAGTATTTTACCTTATGTATTCTTTATAGTATTTCCATATAATCTTTACCGAGACCTATTCAGAGCATAACATAGACAGGGCAGCACAAGCAACTGACACCTTTGTTGGTAGTACAGTGTTTTTTCAACCAGTTTATGAGAGAATGAAAAGAATGAAAGTGAAAATTTTACTTAACTTAGGGTTATGTAGCTCTAGGTAATCTCTTCAGAACTCCCCTGCTTCACCTTCTCAAGTTAATCAACAGTGGCTAGTTTATAACTAGAAACCACTTACCAAATTGCCTAAACAAGAAAACTTTTTAAAATAACAATTTGCTGATCTGTCCAATAACTCCAATAAAGTTGAATTTGCTTTATTTTTCCAAAAATTATGTTGTCTAGATAAAGACTCTTTGTAAGTGTAAATGTATGATATATTGAGTTGATTTTTAGTCCCTATTAGAGAGTTGTTAGACAAGTTATTAAAGTTTAAGAAAATTTGGATTCTAAATTTCCACCTGATAACATATATGAAATATTTTATATTTTCAATATATACTTACTTATATTTTGCACACTGTATATAAACTAGGAGATTAGAAATGTTTTAAGTCCCTTCTCTGTGTGTATATCTGCACTATATAAAGAAAAAAAGAAAGGGTAGAAAGAGACTTAACTTTTTTTCTATCTTCCATAAGAAAACTTCAAAAATGTTTCTTTTTAAAATTGAATTTTTCAAAAGGGAAAAAATATTATCCTGTTTGATGGGAAATCACTTGTTTTAACAAAAGGTAAAATACTGGCATGTTAACCACAAGGTGGTGCTATAATTCCATGCTGGTACTGATATTTTAGGAGTTAATCGATACAGAAGTTTTTTCCCTTATAACTATAACCTCTTAACCTCTTAATTTTTATAAATGTACTTCTCTCACAATTGAAAAAATTAAAGCTAACATGCTTCATTAATTCTGGAAATATTTACTGAAACTCTGTTAAATTCAAAATTGTATGTTTCTGTAGGCTACCATTTTAAAGTTCTGATGACCAACTGTTTATTAGAATACTAAAAATGTGGCCAAGCATGGTGACTCACCCATGGAATCTAGCACTTTGGGACATCCAGGTGGGCGAGTAGCTTTAGCTCACGAGTTTGAGAACAGACTGGGCAACATGGTGAAACCCTGTCTCTACAAAAATACAAAAATTAGCCAGGCATGACGGTACAGGCCTATAGTCCCAGCTACTCAGGAGGCTGAAGCACAAGAATCGCTTGAACTCGGTAGGCAGAAGGTGCAGTGAGCCGAGATCACGCCAGTGCACTCCAGCCTGGGCAATAGAGTGAGACCCTGTTTCAAAAAGAAAAAAAAAAAAAACAAAGGAATTCTAAAAATGTTTTCTTAAAAGTGATTTCTTACACTGTTTCAAATTCACAAACACAAAAAAAATTTAAGTGATTTCTACTCATATAACAATATTTTATATTTGACAGTGTAATATAGAATTATACATACATACCATAAATAGATGAATAAATAAAATATAATCAGATGGTCCATATAATATTAAAAAAAATACTAATTTTCCTTCCAAATAATGAAGTCAATTTTCTTGAGGATTTTCTGATTACTGGAACACTTTTATCTACAAGTTTAAAAAAAGATAATTCATATAGTAGTAATATTAAAAATAAATTTCATTTTTCCATTGATTTACCTTCAGCTAAGACTTTTCTCTCCAAAAAATGTGTAACTTTTCATCATTAAAAAAACAAAACACAACACCTCACTGTGTATCTTTTAACGGTGGCTAGAATGGCTACATTCTCTTTCTGTTACACTGGTCTTAAAAAGTGTTACGCCGGAGGCCAAGACAGGCAGATCACCTGAGGTCAGGAGTTTGAGACCAGCCTGACCAACACGGAGAAACCCTGTCTCTAATAAAAATACAAAATTAGCTGGGCATGGTGGTGCATGCCTATAATCCCAGCTACTCAGGAGGCTGAGGCACAAGAATCACTTGAACCCGGTAGGCAGAGGTTGCGGTGAGCCAAGATCGTGCTATTGCACTCCAGCCTGGGCAACAACAGCGAAACTCCATCCCCCCCTCCAAAAAAATTATACAATAGAGCATACTAAAATGTTCAACACATTTCTCATGGTGAACCTTGAGACCATAGTCCTCTTGGTCTAAACTTGAGGACCATAGTCCTCCAGCCTGTTTCCCAGTACAAAAGGAGAATCTTAACCTTAATTTCTCAGTGTTAATTGGAAAGGTATTGATGTTTTTGACCAAGCATGAAATAACTGCCTTTTTGTTTTATTTAATTTTCAATGAGCATTTTTAACTGTTCATTATAACTTATTCATCAGTACAGATGCCAAGATGGTATATATGAGAGCCTCCTGGGTATAATACACAAGTCCCATTTGGAATGTTTCCAACAGGATGTAAACCATAGTCCTCAAGCCTGTGCTTTAAAAAACATTACTTAGCACACTGCCAACAAATGTCAACACAGAAATACAGTGCTGTAATGACTTCACTCTGTAAGAGAAATATACTGGAACATGAGTTTTTCCTAAAAAAAAAAAAAGTGACACAAGGTAAAGCAGTATAATCATTGCTCAAAAATATTAAAAGAGTTATTCAATAATGAATGCAAAAATTCATATACCAAATGGAATCCAAATTGTCAAAAACTGCAGTATTGCAGTATATTAAAATTGTATAAAGAATTCTTAAAATATACAATATGTATAGTAACCAAAGTCCTAGAAAAAAGTTCATGTAGAAAATCCTACAAGTAGTGATTTGGACATTTCAGTAACTCTGCAGTTTCTTCAAACCTGAAATATAATAAATAATATATTAAGTAAATCAATAATTCATAATAAAGCATAGCATTTTAGTTGTTGAAATTATGCTTTTTAGCCTAAAATAAATTTGAATATTTTTCTTATCTATAAGTACAGTTACTATGAATAAACTTAAGTATGACCAGAGGGAAGACAAAGAGGAGTCGATTATGAGTCATATTCTTGAAGTGTAAGTTAAGTACTTTTTGCATTTCTAAATAATATTATAATTTTCTATAGTAGTAGGCTGCATAATCATCTTATATGCAATTTCATTTCATATTTCCTTTGAACTGCTCTTTAGAAAAATCACACCATTTGTACTAGACAAAAACATCATTTTTAGTATCTCATCAATAACTTGCCGAAAAACACCAGTGATATTTTCACAACACTGAAAATGTCTCCAAACCATCCATCTATATATATTATTTAATATTTTGATAAATCAGTTATCAAAAATAGATAATACTCTTGATTAGTTACCAACCAAAAATATCTTTGTATTCTCTCTGCAGTTAATTCCATTAACAATTCCAACAAGTTTTAAATCGCTTGTTGGAAACTAAAACAGTGACTCATCTCACAAACACATAACTGTAGGTGGATTTATTATCCAGTGGAGTCCTGAAGGAAATTCCACACCTGATTGAGAGACCTTTAAGGTTTGAAACACACATGCACATTCTATATATACTGTAATCCAATACAATTCCCTATAGAGAAATGAATTTCTGTTGCCCCTTTCTGTTACTTACATTTTTTTCATCCTTTCCATTTTCTGGATTGTTGTTTCCTTTAATTTAAAAAGCAACAAATTTAGATGATTTCTCAAAGTAAACCATCATCAAAGATGGACCGAGAATGTACAAAACACAGTTTGAAACATTGCATTAAGTACTGTTTACTTATGAAAGAATTTTGAGAGACTAAGATTCGCGTTTGCTATTTTTCTTGCTAGCAATATTTACAACAAAAGCTAATGCTTGCTTGTTTTCCTCATTTAGAAAGGAAATAATCTAAGCATTTTCTTACCTCTGAAATCTCATTCAAACCACAGTAATTAACAGTAGAGGCTCTGGGAGTTGAATCTGATGATGCTGTACTATAGCCAGAGGACAGAGGAATACTTGCTGGCCTCTCTACTTCGCTTTTTCTGTCTGTGAAGAAATTAAGTTTTAGATTACCTTTTCCTTTCACAGAAGAGTCAAATATCTAAAAATATTATTTACAGATGGAAGAAAAACATACTATTTTAATTAAAAATGGCTATCCGCATAGATCAAAGAGTTTTTAGTACTCTTAAGGTAACAGCTTTCATATGGAGATCTAGATGTTAAAAATTGCCCAATAAAAATTACAAAAGGCAGTATTATTATCATGATAGCAATCAGTTTGAATAAACAGGTAAGTTAATAATTTATTTTAAAATATAACCTATTGAATCAATCATGTATATTCTTTTCTTTTTTTTTTTTTTTTTTTGAGACGGAGTCTCGCTCTGTCGCCCAGGCAGGAGTGCAGTGGCGCGATCTCGGCTCACTGCAAGCTCCGCCTCCCGGGTTCACGCCATTCTCCTGCCTCAGCCTCCCGAGTAGCTGGGACTACAGGCGCCAGCTACCACGCCCGGCTAATTTTTTGTATTTTTAGTAGAGACAGGGTTTCACCGTATTCTTTTCTTAAAATGGTGATATTTACATTAAATAATTAGTATCCATGAATTTGTCATGATGCTTTTATTCAGCAACATTTAAGCATTTCACAAATTTTTTTACTACTGTTCTGTGGCAAGTGACAACTATTACTATAACTGACCATATATATCTTTTAAAAATCAAGAAACATTCTAACTTGATTTGACATATATGAAAATAAGTAATGCAAAAATTTAAGATCCACAGATTTCTTTTTCTAAAAAACGGAAAAACCTAACATTTCAAATATCCTGATAATATTAATTTGACAAAATGATGGCATCTCCCCTACAAAAATATCAATTAGAGAAGATTACGGATAATGTAATAAATCCTACAAACCCTGTGTTTCAGTCAGAATACATTTGGCTGCAAAAGCAATGCAAAAAAAAAAAAAAATTAGACACCCATTTAAATTGGTTCACATAAAGAGAGCTTTATTGTAAGCCTACACAGACAACCTTAATTGGGGAACAAACTATTACCACTGAGAACTGAAACAACTAGAAGACTAATTTTTATCTCTCATAGAGCCACAGTCTCTTTTGCCTACTTCTGCCATTTGCTCCATCCCTCAGCTCTTCTCTGTAGAATGGCTTTCTCTGCTGACTCATCAGCGTAAACTTCCACCACATGGCCAGCCCGGCCCAGGCTCAATATCATTTGACTAACTAACTCGTGGTGTCCTAATTCCAAATGCTAAGAGAGAGAATGTAATTTGACTCATCACACTTTGAACTGGAATTCTCTGGGTCAGGTGTCTACTCTTAATCCAATTAGCTAAGCCTGGAGGTCAAGATTACAGGGTGTAATTCTGAAGACTACCTAAACCCAGATCTTTTAGTAGGAGCTATGGACAAGAGGTTATTTTAAGAAATAATTTGAAATTAGGCAGGAACTATATCTACTATGCACTAAATCTTGGATTTTTTTCTGTGGGTACAGATAGTTGTCCTGAACATTTCGGACATCTTTCCAAAAAGAGGAGGGGGCCCTAGGAAAAGGAAACAGGTCCGGGAAGACAGATAAAGGGTGAAGGAATGGCTCTCTTTGTCTTCCATTTTGGGGTCCAGACTTTGCGGTGTCTAACCTTATTCAAGAGTGTGCCTCATGGTGGGAGAAAGCTGGTATTTGGCAGGCTGGCAGGCTATTCATAGTTATTCCTACAGAGGATTCCAGAGGCTACAGAGTGGACCATTACAGAACACCAGCTATATTTAATAGCCAGATCAGTTAACTGCACATTAATTTCTATATTTTTTCTTATTGCTATCCTGAACCTTTAGTAAAGCCTTACTTGTTTAAACATTAATAGTTTCTTAGCTGTGCTATAGGGGATTGAGAAAAGAATTGGTAACTGAGTTCAGGTTGGAAAGGAAAGGGGAAAGGCAATGGCCACTGACACAAGGACCCTGACACCAGTTGTTATGTACTTCAGTAGTGACTGCTAAGAAGTCTCTGTAAAGAAAGGGACTCTTCTACTTCTAAGATTATGGGGGTATGGGACATGAAATCTTCTACCCAACTCTTACCACGTAACAACTAATCTTTCACTGCCATCTTTGGAGGCTTATCACCTTATTCCACGAAGGGAATCAGTAGGGTCCTTTACCATTTAATAATTTGTAAGCCAATACTTCTAAATCAAGGACCAATGTATGTATCCAACTGATTTCTAGATATTCTGTCTTAAGGATTTCATATATAATTTATTATATTCAAAAGTGAACTCATTATTTCTCCCAAACCTTCTCCTCTTCCTGAATTTTTTATTTTATTAAAGAGTAACAATCACCTACCCAATCACATGAGCCAAACACAAGTAGTCAGTGTTACCTTCCTTACTCTCCTTCACCCTTTTTGTATCTATCAGGATCAAGGCATATCAATTTTAACATCTAAATTTCTCCCAAATAAATCACCTGCTCTTTATCCTCACTATCATTGCCTTAGTAGAGACCCTCATTATTATTCTGAAATAATGACTACTAAAATTCTCTTCAAATTATCCTTGCCTATCTTACTTTCCTAACAAATCACTATTCTGCTTTGATGATAACCTTTGTGAAACACAAACCTAAGAATATTAGCCTTGCTGAAAATCTTCCTACGACTCTGGGATAAACTCCATGACTTGATCTTTCTACTCTTCTGCTACAGCTTCCTTCAGGTGCTCACATGTACCCTTCCTGCTAGTCACACAGGAACAAACCACACTCTTCTGTGGTAGCACACCTTTTTTTTTTTTTTCCTCTGAGGGAAAAAAGGCACAAAACAAAGCGAAACAAACAAGCAAATAAAAAAGGAGCACTAACAGTTGGTGCCCTGTCTGGCAATTAACACCTAAACTACTGTACCCTCTAATGAATATAAATAATTTCATGAAAAAGAACATCACATGAGGTCACTTCATTAGCATAATGAAACAACACACCCAAAACCACCATTCATGTCCGAACATAGACAAAACAAGGGCACCATGTAACCACATAAATGAGCAGATATAGCCCCCCTTGCCTAACATGAGTACTTATTTTATGCTAAAAATTTCATTCTTACCATCAATCATCAAATTGCTCCTGCTCCCTGACAGCACCCGTAGCCCTTGCTTCCTCAAACCCTCTCCAAAATTATCCAACACAAGTCCAATCCCTAAAAGCCTCTGCTAATTCACTCTTACCAAGACATTAAGGTGCCTTACAATTCCCCATGGAACACTGTATTCCTGATAAAGGCAAAACAAATCTGGAACCTCACAAAAACTATTCCTGATTTAATATGATCCTAAACCCAGAGTAGTAAATTATTGCTCTCTGCATTCAAATGAAATCAAACCCTATTTCCAAGTAGCATGTATAAGGTATAATGTGTAAGTCTTTATAAACTTGAGTCTTTTAATTAATCTAGATCAGATCATAAACTCTATGAGACCAGGTATTCAACCTAATCATAATCTGTAATCCATTTCAGATAGAGGCCTGTTAATTACTTTCAGTCCTGGCACAGTTGTTGAAATTTAGCTATGTGAACCCGGACATGTTAACTCACACCTGTAATCCCAGTACTTTGAGAAGCAGAGATGGGAGGATTGCTTGAGCCCAGGAGTTCAAGACCAGCCTGAGCAACATAGCAAGACCTTGTTTTACTAAAAACAGTATGTAAATAAATAAAAAATTATCCAGGTGTGGTGGCACGTACCTGTAGTCCCAGCTACTCAGGAGGCTGAGAAAGGAGGATCACTTTAAGCCAAGGAGTTAACATCTAGGAGACTGCAGTGAGCTATGATTGCACCACTGCACTCCAGCCTGAGCAGCAGAGTAAGACCACACTTATCTCAAAAAAATTAAAAAATTAAAAAAAAAAAACTTAGCCATGTGTTTTCTAAATAGGTTAAAGGTATATTCTATAATCATGTCATTAAAAAAAAATAAGCCTGAGCATGCAAAATCAAACTTGAAAAAGGCAATGTTTTGCAAATCACAAGCATTCAATATTCTTTCAGTGAATAAATATTTAAACTCTACTATATGCAAATACTGGTGATAAAAGCACCGACATACTTTCTGTGTGCTAGACAGGCAGACCATAAGATAAAGTTTTTGCTCTCAAGGATCTTATACTCAAGCATTAACATTTGTTGAATAGATATATGAATGGATAAATAAAACAGGCAACATTTTACCAAATCTGAAATCTGCAGCCTATAATAAATTTAGTTGCCTTAAATAGCATCTCAAATAATTATACTTAACAAGCTAATCACTGAAATTGTTCTTTGTGCAATGATATTGATATGTGCTCCAAATATGCAGCAGTCAAGAAAAAACTTCAGATCAGTTGCCTGGATTCAAATTTGATCTACAATTCAATAACTGTGTGACCTTTGCTGTAGTTACTTAATTTTGCTGTACTTCAGTTTCCTCAACTGTAAAATATAAAAATAGTACTTATCTTGCAATGGTTACTTCAAGAATTAAATGAGTTAATATAGTAGTTAGAATCGTGCCAGGCACACTGTTAGTGCTAGAATATATATTATTTTATTGTTACACATATAGTAGAGCTGAAAGATTTTATAACGTTAACAATCCACAGATATTAAAAATTTAACTTAACGATGAATTCTCAATTGGACAAAACATCTCTTCTATAGCTATGATTTAATCATAGATATGGCACAAAATTTAGATCTTTTAAAAATACATAACAATCAAAACAAAGCTGTCACTGAAAAACAGAAATCTTACCCTTGCTGCTCAGTCACACTAAGCAAAATATCAGTAGCCTAGTAAAGTGACCAGGAAAAGACCTATCCTAATATCAGATCTTTCCCATTTTATCATTATCAGTGAACTATTCACATGGAAGAAGTTTGCAATACTTTATAGATACTGACAAATGTGTTTTCTTCTCTTACATATTATTATTTACATATGAGAAAGCTACTACCTACCTAAGCTTAAATTTAAAAACTTGGAGGCCAACATTAATATCCTAGAGCACTTGATTATTCTCGAATGATTAAAACAGTAAAATATCTCTAAAAATTTTCAATTTTGTACACTGAAATTTATTCACCCACTATGTTATGTGAAATAAGTAGGCTGGTTAGTTAAGCAATTCTTGGCTTTAGTAGTCTGTAGGTTCATTATGTTCTTTGTTCTAGGAGCTTTGCAATTTCTAAACAATAAAGCTTAAGAATATTAAAATTACTATAACAATCATTTTTCTGAAAACTCATCATACCAATTCTCATAGTATTTACAAACTTACGAGGATTCAGAAGGTCCATGTCACTACAAGAAGCGTAGTCTTCACTAACTTCATTAAACTCTATAAATTCATCATTCTGGAATAACACAGTTAAATATTTAGAATGAAATAAAAAGAAAAACCCTCTCATTTTATATTCTTAATGCTGAGCATAAAATATAAAGGTAGCATGATAAATGTTTAAATATTTTTAATTTTTTATTAAAGCAATACATATACTGCATATTCCTACATATAAGAAATGTTTTAAATATGGAAGCAGATAGCAAGCTACTTGACTTCACCTTCTAGGAAGGAAAGACAGACCAGAAATTGAAATCCTGAGTAAAAAAAAACAAATTTCTCAGATTTGATAAGGCAATGGTAAATCTGGTAACTATTCTATGAAATTCACAATATGATTGAAGTAAATGAGTGAAAAAAAGATGGGAAGAGTTACCTATATCTTCTGTATCTTTTCTACCCTATGAAAATAGGTTATTTGTACTATTAAAAGATATAAAATAATTTTAAGCTTTTCATATCTATCATATTCTTACCTCATTTTAAATTCTTCAAGCATTATTAACATCTGTAAAAGCTCAACTGACAAGTTTTTCAGATTATCTTATTCAATGAAGAGAGAAACAACAGCCACAACAACATACAGGCTATATTTAAACAGGACTTCATTCTAACTAGACATTTTCTCATTATTCAAATATTCTCATATTTAGCATTTCCAAAAAAATACACATATAACAATCAAAAAAAAACTTTGTTATATCTGAGATATTTTATAAATGTTAAAGGAGGAAAATACCTTTTTAGACAAAAGCATTTCTGTTTCAAGAAGAGTGACACGACTAAGAAGATTAGTCCAGGTGTTTTCATCTACCATCACTTTTCCTTTCATTTTTTGTTCCAAACAGTCTAACCTTTTCTCTATCGAAGTCAGTTTCTTAAGATTTTCTTGGCATTCAGCAAGCATAGTTTGTAGTGCAGTAATCTCAGGATTAACATTTACATCCTAAAAAGGTTAGAGAGATTAAAAATAAAATTAAACAAACTGAAATTTCTTTAAAATTAATGTATTCTCACTTCCACAGCGTTATCTCAACAGTTAGGAGAGACCGTCCTGCTTGAGAGTTAAGAGAGCTATCTCTGGATGGAGACTACTTGGCCACTTAAACCAGTTCTGAGATTTATGATCTTGATGCCTCCATTTCCTCATTAAAAAAAAAGAGATAAGAGCAGTATCTATTTCATATGATTCTTCTGATAATGAGTTAATTTGCATGATTCTCTTAATACCAGCTAGTAAAATAAAACTATTATTAACTAGCTTCTTGAAACAACGCTTAGCACAAAGCTAAGAGGAAATGACCAAAAACAACACTTAGTGCATTGAGATTGTTCGGTTTGCCATATAACAGGAAGTAGGTCCAATGGCCATCTGGTAGTTTTTGTAAGTGCCAACTGTATATTGATATACTGAGATATATAGAAATCACAAGACATAGAAACACAGAAAAAGAAGTCTTAGCAGAAACAGTAGAGATCAGACATATTGGGGTCTGTGGCAATTAAGAGTAATAGAAATGGTTTTTTAAGAGAGACAGAAAATAACAGCAGGGACCCAGAAAGGAAAATGAATAGGCAATAAAGTGCCAATCTTTTCCATTCACCAATAAAGAAAATAGGTGGTAGAGAACCTCCACTATGCAAAGTAGCATATCGCTATGTCTCACTAAATTGTAGATTCCTTAAAGCCAAGTACCATATCTTATTCTACTTTGCATCACCCCAACACTTAGCCCAGCACCCTACACATATGCAGCAAATATTTGTTGAATTATTTTAGTAAGACTTATTGACACTTCAGTAATTGTAACATAGATAAAATGTCATGATTAATAATTCAAAAGGCTAGAAATATTCCAAAGTTTAGAGGCTGAAATAATTACACATATTTAAGTAAAAAATACTGGCATCTATTTAAAAAGTCCAAAGTTGTTACCTGTTGCTCAGCCTTGATTTCAGGAACCTTTACTTCAGGCATCTTTATTTCAGTAGCATTTAAGTCAGACACATCAACTGCTTCATTAACATCTGTTATTGGACTTAATGTATCCTCAGAAATGTCAACATTATCTTCATTATACAAGTGACGAATCACCACAGCTTTCTTCTGCATAGAGAAAAATATGTAAGAAACACTTCAATGTTTTCCTCCCACAATTATTTATTTTTTAACTTTTAAGTTCAGGGGTCCATGTGCAGGTTTGTTACACAAGTAAATGTGTGCCATGGGGGTTTGTTGTGCAGATTATTTCATCACCCAGGTATTAAGCCTAGTACCCATTGGTTATTTTTCCTGAACCTCCTCCTACCCTCCACCCTCTGAAAGGCTCCAATGTGTTTTGTTTCCCTCTATGTGTCCATGTGATCTCATCATTTAGCTCCCACTTACAAGTGAGAACAAGTGGTATTTGGTTTTCTGTTTCTGCATTAATATGCTAAGGATAAGGGCCTCCAGCTCCATCCATGTCTCTGCAAAGGACATGATCCCATTATTTTTTACGGCTACAGAGTATTCCATAGTGTGTATGTACCACATCTTCTTTATCTGCTCTATCATTGATGGGCATTTAGGTTGATTCCATGTCTTTGCTATTGTATTTAGCTTGATTCCATGTCTTTGCTATTGTGAATAGTGCTGCAATGAACATATGCATGCATCTTTACAACAGAACAATTTATATTCCCTTAAGTATATACCAAGTAACGGGACTGCTGGGTCAAATGGTCTTTAGGTCTTTGAGGAATTGCCACACTGTCTTCCACGGTGGTTGAACTAACTTACACTCCCACCAACAGTGTATAAATGTTCCTTTTCTTCCACAAACTCACGAGCATCTGTTATTTTTAGACTTTTTAATAATAGTCATTCTGAGAAGCGTGACATGGTATCTCATTGTGGTTATGATTTGCATTTTTCTAATGATCAGTGATGTTGAGTTTTTTTCATGTGATTATTGGCTGCATGTATACCTTCTCTTCAGAAGTAGATGTTCATATCCTTTGTCCACTTTTTAATTAGGTTGTTTTTTTCTTGTAAATTTGTTTAAGTTCTTTATGGATGCTAGATATTAGGCCTTTGTCAGATACAAGTTTGCAAAAATTTTCTCCCACTCCGGAGGGTGTCTGTTTACTTTGCTGATAGTTTCTTTTGCTGTGTAGAAGCTCTTTAGTTCAATTAGATCCCATTTATCAACTTTTGCTTTTGTTGGAATTGCCTTTGGCGTCTTCGTCATGAAATCATTGCCGACACCTATGTCCTGAATGGTACTGCCTAGGTTGTCTTCCAGGGTTTTTATAGTTTTGGGTTTTACATTTAAGTCTCTAATCCATCTTGAGTTGATTTTTGTGTATGGTGTAAGGAAAGGGTCTAGTTTCAATCTTCTGCATATGGCTACCCAGTTATCAAAGCACCATTTACTGACTAGGGAATCCTTTCCCCATTGCTTGTTTTCATCAGGTTTGTTGAAGATCTGATAGTTGCAGGTGTGTGGTCTTATTTCTGGGTTCTCTATTCTCTTCCATTGGTCTATGTGTCTGTTCTGGTACTAGTACCATGATGTTTTGGTTACTGTAGCCCTGTAGTATAGTTTGAAGTTGGGTAGCATGATCCCTCCAGCTTTGTTCTTTCTCCTTAGGATTGCCTTGGCTATTTGGGTCTTTTTTGGTTTCATATAAATTTTAAAGTAGTTTTCTTTAGTTCTCTGAAGACTGTCAATGGTAGTTTAATGGGAGTAGCATTGAATCTATAAATTGCTTTGGGCAGTACAGTCATTTTAACAATATTGATTCTTCCTATCCATGAGCATGGAATGTTTTTCCATTTGTTTGTGTCATCTCTGATTTCTTTGAGCAATGGTTTATAGTTTTGCTTGTAGAGATCTTTTGCCTCCCTTGTTAGCTAGATTCCTAGGTATTTTATTCTTTTTGTGGCAATTTTGAATGGGAGTTTGTTTGTGATTTGGTTCTCAGCTTGACTGTTGTTGGTAGATAAGATTGCTAGCAATTTTTGCACATTGATTTTGTATCTCAAGACTTTGCTGAAGTTGCTTATCAGCTTAAGAAGCTTTTGGGCTGAGAAGATCCTCCTACAATTATTTTAAACATACAGCAATTTTGCAAAAGGAACACCAATCTTTAAAAATTAAAAAAAGTTTAAATTATCACATATAATATATATATCAAAATATTACCATTACTAACATTACCAATAATTTATGTGTGATGATAAAATTGGGGTTATGACTTTTAAAACAATTCTTACATTTTAGGACAAGCGCTGAAATATTTATTAAATTATGTCTGAGATTTGATTTAAAATAAAGACAAAACAAGATTAGCAAAGAGTTGATAAATTGCTGAAACTGGATGATGGGTATGTTTGTAAATGTTTGAAATGTTCCATAATAAAAAGTTATTTTTAAAAAAGATTGCCAAATAATTCACTTATAAATAATCAAAAACTGGCTCTATGAGTAGGGCTCATTACAATTTTTCTGTTAAACAAACTGCAATTTATTAGACCTTCAGCTAACAATTCAAACCTAATAATGACAACGAAGAAGTCCTGACAAAAAAAGCATTAGGTCACGGTATGCATTTACCTAGAAATCCTCTACCTGCTTCCTATTCTACAGTTTGCATACACACTATAAAAACATATGTGACTCAGAAGCGCAAATAGGCATACTATATAAGGCACTGGGATAGGAGACAATTTGCTTTAATATTGACTCAACTTTTGCTTGTAAACAAAGAAATGTACTTGTAGACTCTTTTCTAAATCTGAGAACTTTTAATACTTATTCAAATTTCTGATAAAGATCTGGTATAAATTTTAATAGATAACAAAGAAAACTTTGCTTTAAGAAAATTAAAAATAAGTCTAATGTTTTGAAGTTTACATTTTTCTTGGCTAGGACAATTTACACTGTCCCCTCAACTCTCATACTGAAATAGAACATTGAAAAGCACATTATATCAATAAATAATTAATAAGTGCTCACAGTGTTCCTAATCCTGTGCTAAGCAAAATGAAGGTACAAAAAATCAGTATAAGAAAATCCCTGTTCATATATGTTCCTTCTAGTTGGGGAAGAATACAAGATATAAGTCATTTAACAGTTAGAAAATCATAAATAAAACTAACAAGAGTTAGATGAGTTAGAGATGCAAGTGTACAAAAACTACATGCACTTATTCAAAAATGGCGGCTTTGTATCATTCTTTATATTGTCTTCATTACCTAGAGCAAAACAGGTACATTAAAAAGAAGTGGCATAAGAACATTTTCTTATAATAAAATTTCACTTTTTTAAGGTATAAAGGAATAAACATATTTTTTTGAGATGGAGTCTCGCTCTGTCAGCCAGCCTGGACTGCAGTAGTACAATCTCGGCTCACTGGAACCTCTGCCTCCAGGGTTCAAGCGATTCTCCTGCCTCAGTCTCTCAAGTAGCTGGGGTTACAGGCACCAGCTACCACGCCTAGCTAATTTTTGTATTTTTAGTAGAAATGGGGTTTCGCCATGCTGGTCAGGCTGGTCTCAAACTCCTGACTTTAGGTGATCCACCTGCCTTGGCCTCCCAAAGTGCTGGGATTACAGGCATGAGCTACTGTGCTAGACCCAAGAATAAATTTTTAAAATAGATTCTGTTTACATAACTCATGTATTTTGGATTAGGGCAGAAATAATACTCTAGATTATACTTCAGTCAGAAAGTATTCACATCCTTTACTTAATTACACCATTGATAATTCATCTGATATTCTATCATTCAATCAGAGTCTTCTCCAGCTGGAAGACAGCTGAAAATATATTAATAAATAATATTTTAGCTTAAGTCTCCCTTAGTGATAGAAACACTGTAGCTCTAAGTGCATTAGATTCAATTTGCCACAGCTGCTCAAAGCAGATAATGGCAGAAAAATTATCTTTCAAGAAAGAGAAAATATTCAAAATATTAACTGAAAACCAGATTCTACGTGTAGGGACTACCAATTATTGGATAATTCATACTTGGTTACAGAAATATAATGTACATAAATGAATCATTATAACCTATCACTACTGCTAATGTAGGCTCTTCATATGTTCCCATGTTTTAGGAAGACCAGAACACAATTAAGAGCAAATGTAGATAACTGCATAAGATAATCTTCCTAAATCACTACTCTTCTGTTTAGGAAATCCGGCAGAATTAGAAATTAGAAATATAAAGAGAACACGTATTTAATTTTATATTTCTATCCTATTGTTATAACTTCAGGCATACTGCCCAAAAATATATGGCATGCACTGTTAAAAATCAATGAACTCCAATATCTAACTAGAATGTTCATCAGGTGCCAATCAGAAAAGTGAAAACTGTATATTGGATTAATTAGATAACTCTTAAACAATATGATATTTTCTTTGTGGTTGCATACCTTTCCTGAGGTCATAAACCTGCCACTGATATCAACGCCAACAGCCTCTGCAGATATTTTCTCATTGCCCAAAGGAGGTTCTGACTTACCAGAACTGATTTTCTTTCTTTGTTGTGATGGAATCTAAAAAAAAAGGTATTAGTCAAAATAACAAATTTTGTGTGAAAGCATAATTATATATTAAAATTCCATTAACATTTAAATTTTCATATATGAAATATAGCTGACAAATAATGAGACTCTAATGAGACTACATGACTTTTAAAAACTAAGAAGTAATGAAAATGTATTATGTTTGAACTATTAGTTTAACACTAGGAGTTCCCAGTCACAGGTGTATAAAACAAGAGAGTAGTATTTAAAATAAACAACAAGCTTTATAAGGTTACTCAAATCTTTGAATAATACAGTAATTACACTATGAAATAATTTGCTGTCTAGGGTTTTGATTTTATACATTAAAATACTGAGCCATCTATTAATAGCATACATCAGCATTAATATCTATTCATAAAATTACCTTCTGAAGACTGCTTAATTCCTTGTGCTTTTTCATCACACAATTCAAAATATCACAAACAATTTGGATTTTCCATTCTGCAAACCCACATTGGATAAACTGCTTTTTTGTCAAAATTGGTTTATAATTAAATTGATCACGAAGAAGCTGCAGAGGAAACAGACTCTTGTAATAATTGGGAGCAATTTATTTCTAAAATTCCAAATGATAATGCCCACCTGGTCAGGGGAATAATGGCCACCTTTGAGAGGACAAGGAAAACCAAGCCATTAACTAAAGAGTACTAAAGTAATTCATAGGGCTGGTGTTAAGTCATGATCCAGTAAGACAGGTATCAGGTGGAAAACAGGTAGCAAAGGATATGCTGGAGAACAGATGTCTGTCCAGAGAGATGGAAAAATATAGTCAATCATCAAAAAGTGTAAATATCTTCAGAGATATTAGAAAAACTTCTTAGTTCACTAGAATACCATACCAGAGTCAGAAACTATAGTTCTATTTGTTTATAACTCTTCCACTATGTGATTTTTGGATACGTCAGTAGGCCTTTTGGTCTCAATTTTTCATTTGTAAAATGAAAAAAAACACACTAGATCAGTAGTTTCCTAAATCTACTCTGTGGAGCTCTAGAATTTCTTAAAAGTGCCTCTTAGGCTTCCATGGATGTCTTCTGGGATCAAAAGCAAGAAAGAGAAAGATTAAACAGAGACTACATATAAAAGCTCCCATTTCATTGACTGCAACTCTGCTTTTTTTAAAAGACTATTTGAGGCTGGGTGCGGTGGCTCATGCCTGTAATGCCAGCACTTTGGGAGGCCAAGGTGGGCAGAGCACAAGGTCAGGAGATCGAGACCATCCTGGCCAACATGGTGAAACCCTCTCTACTAAAATACAAAAAATTAGCCAGGCGTGGTCACGGTGCACGCCTGTAGTCCCAGCTACTCAGGAGGTTGAGGCAGGGGAACTGCTTGAACCCAGGAGGCGGAGACTGCAGTGAGCCTAGATCGTGACACTGCACTCCAGCCTGGTGACAGAGCAAGACTCTGTCTCAAAAAAAAAAAAAAAATAGACTACATTTGATAAGTGGGTTTTTACCATTAAAAACTAACTTTAATACAAACCACAGTACTTAAGCAAAAATTAATGATAAAAGCAGGGTTTTAAAAAAATCAAATAAGAGATTAAATTCAGTATACACATAGTACAAGTATAAATACTAGGGTAGATACAATATAAGACATGCTCTCAGACCTCAAAGAATATATCAGTTTAATAAAAAAAAAATGTCAGTAATAGTTCCTTCTTACAAACAACTAAATTAACATATAATTCTAAAAAACTGTAAGTTTTATTGAATATAATTACATTACTCTCTAATTTCTGCCAGTATATCAAATTTTACTAAAATTTGATTAAAAAGGGCAAACAATAGCCAACAACAAATATTTACCAGTTGCTGTATTTATTAGAATAGGTAACATTCAAAAAGCAAACATGAATTGCATCTTGATTTCAATAGAGACTACATTTAAATGAGATAAATACAAATGAAAATATCCTGTCAATTGTATATGCTGCATATATTTAAGAAGTTATGACTAAATCATTAATTTTTAAAAATCATTCAATAACTAATAGTTATTGTTTGATAAACTCAAAATACCTTATAGACAGCATCTATAAAGCGCAAGTCATTTTTTGCTATGAGCTCTACATTGGATTCCATTATAAGTTCTGTTACATAAGGTGAGTATGAGGTAAAAGAATAGCTGATGATGGGCAAAGATGCTGCTGGGTCTCCCTTTATCAAACTGTTAGGAAAAAAAGAAAAATATTTTTAATAAGCATTTAATAAGCATAATTCCACAAAGTTGGATAATCAAGAAAATATTAGAAATGTTTATAATAATTTAAAACTTAACACTATAGCTATAATAATTAGGTGATACATGAGACTTTCTAGATTCCATTCCCCATTTGAAACCAGTCTAGCCAGACTACTATGAAATACCACTGTTCGTCTGCTCAAAAAACTTACTATAGGTCTCTAGTACCAACTATTTACCATTGATTTTCCAAAGCTTAGTCTTACGTGATCTACTCCATTTTCTACTACTAATAAAAGCAATGTACCATCTTACAAAATTGAAGTACACTTTATGGTTTTGCAAACACTTGTTCTATTACCTCCTTTGCTCTCTACCACAAACTTCCAAAGGTAAATATTATGAATTCTAAGTTACAGATGAGGAAGATGGGATGGGAAAAAGCATGAACTGTGACTTGGTTGACCAGTCTATTACTTTTCACTTACTGCTCCTTCTAAATCGTATATTATTACCTATGTTAATTCCACCAGTCTAGAAAGGTATCCCACTCTTCTTTGCTTATCCAATTATTATTTATTTTTTACAAATCATTCATCAAATCTCAAGCTTCCCATGAAGCTTTCCTCAACTTTCTGATCTATACTGATCTCTCCAAGAAAGACTCCCAGGCTACTCAGTATCTGCTGTGTCTTTATCTGTCTGGTAGTGTTTCCTGTCTTATTTTCTCAATGTGAAGTACCTTCACTGATTTTCCCACAACAAAGCACAGGAGGTATTTGTTCAATTTGCCAGTTACATTTGTTCAATTGCAGTATTTTGTACTTATATAAAGCAAATGTTTTCCAAAAAATTCAAGATGTTCACATAAACATCCCCATCTCCACCCAAATTTTTAGTAAGACAGAGAACAAATACATGATGATAGCACTGCATTTTGTTTTACTGGACAAATATGAATTATTTCTTTTATGTTTCTTTGAAATACTGTAATATTTCACCCAATCAGAAAACTCCTCTGGCAACCTTGTCTATCTGAAACACAGTCCAAAAACAGGAAATGAAAAAAAAAATACCTTTGAACAGCAAAATCTGTCCATTTTATGCACACTATACATAGATGATAGCCAGGCACACA
Source organism: Homo sapiens (assembly GCF_000001405.40). Taxonomy (NCBI): domain Eukaryota; kingdom Metazoa; phylum Chordata; class Mammalia; order Primates; family Hominidae; genus Homo; species Homo sapiens. The sequence goes on along the minus strand of NC_000004.12, from coordinate 174,300,885 downwards.
TTTAACACTTTTTATGTTAAACAATTTCAAAAATCTTGATTATCTAGTTCCTAAGGACTTAGCATATTAGAAACAGTAAGAAAAACAGATGCCAACACAAAAAACAGCAAATGGCCAGAAAACATAACAAATGTGAAAAAGTAGAAAAAAGAATCAAAATGATGGGGGTGTTGTGTGTGTGCTTAAATGTGTGTGGCAGGGAGACTAGCAATCTGAGTGCCTCTGTGGAAGAAGCAAGTAGCATTTCAAATCTCAATAGACCCTGCAGATTTTAGTATGTTATATAATAATCTAAAAATTGTTGTTCTTAATGATGCTTTTGGGTAATAAGAAAATTAAATGTTTAAACACTGTATTTAGAAAACAAGATAATACTGGTATATTTTAGAATTATTCCTATTTAAAATGTCTTTTAAAATGTTGACACTTAAAGTGGCAAGGAGAAGACTTGGCTACTCAAACTGGTTAAACCCCTGCAAGTTCTGGATGGTCAGGATTTTCATGTTTTGAGGAATCAAGATGATTTTTACATACATGGATTACATCTGTTTCATATCTTCTGCCTCTCACATATAATGCCTATAATAACAGCAACTTGAGCTAAACTTTCTCCTTACTCTCCTCTCTATCCTTTCACTTTCAGCCTTCTCTTGAGTTACCTCTCCCTACTGTAACCTCAAGAGTTATTAGAATATCCATTCTTATATGGATATCCATTCTTATATGTAAAGCCCATTACTGAAGGATTCTACTTACAAGTTTCCCTCTACTCTTGAACATCTAACTTGGACTTGTCCCTGGACACTCATTCATTCAATAAATGTCTAATCAACTCCTAATATGTGCCATGCATAATTCTAGATGGGGGGATTCCACAGTGAAAACAAAAAACAAAGTCCAAGACTTCAGCTTACATTCTAGTAACCAATGAACATTTAACCAATCCATCAATTAATCAATGATAAAAGGTTAAGGGTAAGTGTCATGAAGAAACAGAATTATGAAGGGATACAGAATGACTGCAGTACCATATTATATAGGCATGAATATAGGAAAATGTATGTTGCCATATTCTAAAAACGTTGTCATAGTTGCAAAATGGGAGCTAAAGTGAAAGGTTCAAAGTGGGGTCTGTTAAATGGGAGAGCTTAAGCGCAATCTTCAGGTTGCCATACACAAAAAAATCTACTAACTAGAATATTCCATATGAAAAAGAACACTCGACTTAAATGTATAAAATCTTTCCTCTATAAAAGAATAAACAAATAAATGATAAGAAAAGACTGACAAGAAATGGCAACAATCTCTTCTTATTCTGGATATATTTAACTGTAAGAAATATCATCCAACTGAATATGAGAGAATGGTAGATTATACAAATAATAAAATCTATTATACCTCTATGAGTTTAAAAGCTGTACAGAGATTATAACTTATACAGATAAATACTGTGCTTCTAAACAGTTTTAAATCTTTTAAGTTGGAATTCTTCATTAGTTCATACTTAGAAATAAACTCCTATAATTCCCTGCTTTCTCAAATATTTTAATCATTTCAAGGCAGATTTAAATAGGAACCAGGTAAAATCTGATTTTTCTCAGGTAGTCCCCCATGTTAAATATCATCTCAAATCACTAGCAAGAAGAATACAATTAAGTTTGATATTATAGCTTACCCTACACAGTCCACCTCTTCAGGATAATTTAGCAAGCGGAGCACCTGTTCTAGGTTCCGTAAGCTTCTTTTTAAGTCACCTGTTGCCATTACTTAACATCAGATTCAGCTCCAATTCTTGAAATCGTCTAATTTTTCACCTGAAAATAGAAATCCATGAAATACTGGTTAAGTCTCTGTATTTTTGAAGCTTCTTGATTCTATTTTGGTCATATCTCCTATTGGCACTTACCATATTTATCTTACCCTAGCTCTTTTTCCCCGAGCTTCTTCTCTACTACTCAAGTTCTACTTTGTAACTACTATAAGTTTCTGAATATAGGGTGTCTCCCCTACCCTCCTACATGTTTTCCTCCCAAAAAAATAAGTTTGCCTTATATTCATCTTATTATAATGTATCTTATATAACACTTGCCCAAATAGTTTTTTTTTAAGCATAAAGCACCGTTTGAGAAGACACATCAACTTGGAATAACATCCATCAGTGACTCTTTTGGATGCTTATAGAAGCTACATAACACAATCAATAAAAAATGGAGACAAATTTAGCGCAGATTTAATCAGAGTCACAGGGCTCTGATCTCACATAGTTGCCAAAAAGATACCTTTCCTAAAAACTAAAAATACATTTTAAAAATGCAGGGTTCACTTGGATAAATATGACAGATTAAATGCATGTTACCTTCCTTTCCATTTTCTAAAGATCACTAAAATGAAAGTAAATAATTAAAAATCATGGCTGGGCGCGGTGGCTCACGCCTGTAATCCCAGCACTTTGGGAGGCCGAGGCGGGCGGATCAGGAGGTCAGGAGATCGAGACCATCCCGGCTAAAACGGTGAAACCCCGTCTCTACTAAAAATACAAAAAATTAGCCGGGCGTAGTGGCAGGCGCCTGTAGTCCCAGCTACTTGGGAGGCTGAGGCAGGAGAATGGCGTGAACCCGGGAGGCGGAGCTTGCAGTGAGCCGAGATCCCGCCACTGCACTCCAGCCTGGGCGACAGAGCGAGACTCCGTCTCAAAAAAAAAAAAAAAAAAAAAAATCATATATACCCACCAGGACAAAAAGAACTACAGGAGATTTCACATAACAAAACAAGTATCAACAAAATTTTGGAAAATGAAAAGCAAATGAATAAGGGATAACCAACCTAGCAGAGCACAGACCAGCCAATCCCATCTGCCTAATATTTAGGAGGAAACCAACTGAAGCAAGATAGGTTCACAAATCAGGTACACTTGATGCTTCTGAAAGACAAAGGGGTAAGTCCAGGGGGCTGAAATAAGAATGATTATTTGAGAGTCTACATAAGAAGCAGCTAACCCTAGAATTTATTTTCCCTCCCGCCTCCTATCCCTACACACATAACTTGCTCAGCAAGGCAACTACCTCTCACCTTCCCTGGAAAGAGAAAAGAGCTTTACACTCCAAAGAAATTGAATCAAGGAGGCACTAAATTTGGTAACATCAGGCAAGGCGAACAATACAGAAGGAAGTGTTCGAAGGCAGAAAGAAGTATTAATGAAAACACACACACACACACACACACACACACACACACTAATAAAGTTTCTTCCTATATCTCAGCCTCAAGAAGCTGTTAGACTTACATCCTCTGTGACAGCAGACTATCAGGTTCTATGCTAGAGAAGGTGGATGGACCTAGAGAAAAAAGTATCACATTTCTGACATTTGAGGAAAATCCCCATTGAAAAGGGCAGGTCTTGCCCAATAAACCTGCAGCAAACTCACTTATTGATAAGCCCTAACCAGGCACCTTTTTTTCTTAGAGACTCATGTTTAAAACTGAATATATGCCCAAAGGTCAATAACTATTAGAGGGAAGCTTCAGTATGAAAAGTATATATAAATACCTTAAACAAAATAAGCAGAGAAGAAAAATTTGGTGGAAATAGAGATAATATAGAGAAAAAATTTCAAAATGAAGCTTTCAATTCTCAATGAGATTAGAAAAAAAAATTAAAACCTAAAACAAGAATAGAAGGATATAAAAAATATTAAGCTTGTGAGAATGTAAAATGAGCCAGAGATTGTTAAAGTGGATCAAAAATAAGATCTAACTACATGTTGTCTATAAGAAATCCATTTTGTTTATAAGATTAAAAGTAAATGGATAGGGAAAAATATACCATGCTAACATTAATCAAAAGAAAGCAGGAACAGTTATAATAATCTCAGACAGCAGACTTTATAATAAGGAAAGTTATTAGGGACATAGGGTCATTACATAAAGATAAAGGACTTAATTCTCCCAGAAAATATAACAATCTTTAATGTATATGCACCTGACAACACAATGTCAAGATATATGAAACAAAAACTGACAGAACCACAACGAGAAATATACAAATCCCCTATTTTAGTTGGAGACTTCAACACTCCTCTATGAGAAATAGATCCAGCAGGCAAAAAAAAAAAAAAAAAAAAATCAGTAAGGACAAACAATATCATCTATCAACTGGATATAACAAATATTTATAGACTACTTCATCAAACAACAATAGAATACATATTCTTCTCAATTTCACATGGAACATCCACCAAGATAGACTATCTTTGGCGTCATAAGGCATACCTTAACACATTTTTAAAAAGTATAAATCATACAATGTCTGCTTTTAGACCACAATGGATTTAAATAGAAATCAACAACAGAATTGAAAATGATGGCAAAAATAAAAATTTAAATAAGACAAGTTTGAGGAGATAATTATAGTTACACAATGGATGAAAAGACACAAAAGTGGAATAGAAATTATAAGAAAATTAGAGGACCAAACTGAAAGGTTCAACATCTCATGAACGAGAGAAAATGAGGGAGGAAATTGTGACATAATACAAAAACACCTCTTAAGGCTGAATGTCATGATTCTCTAGATTGAAAGAACACAATGAGTGATAAACACAAGAAGTGAAACAAAACTCACACCAAGATATATCACTGTGACATTTCATAAAGTAAAAGAGAAGTTTTGATAAACATCCAACAAGGCAAGAAAAGATCACATAGGAAGAATATCAAAATAGCACCAAACTTTCAATAGCAATGTTAGAAGCTAAAGGATAAAGAAACATTATCTTCAAAATCCTGAGAGGAATTACTTATAATCTTGAATTCTATACTAAAGCAAGGTATCAAATACCACACCCAGCAGATTTACTCTAGGTATGCAGGGGCTTAGTACAACATTCTAAAAATCAATGTAAGCCACATTAGCAGGTCAAAGAAGGCAAATCATGTATTATCAACGGACGTAGAAAAAGCACTTGAAAGAAATCTAACACCCATCCATAATAAATACTCTCAGCAAACTAGGAATAGAGGGAAAGTCCCTCAACTTAATTGGAAAAATACCTAGAATTCTGAAACAAACAATACAATTAAAAAATAGGCAAAAGATGTTAACAGATATCTCACTAAAGAGGATATATGGAGCCTCGGCCTCCCGAGGTGCCGGGATTGCAGACGGAGTCTGGTTCACTCAGTGCTCAATGGTGCCCAGGCTGGAGTGCAGTGGCGTGATCTCGGCTCGCTACAACCTCCACCTCCCAGCCGCCTGCCTTGGCCTCCCAAAGTGCCAAGATTGCAGCCTCTGCCCGGCCGCCACCCCGTCTGGGAAGTGAGGAGCGTCTCTGCCTGGCCGCCCATCGTCTGGGACGTGAGGAGCCCCTCTGCCTGGCTACCCAGTCTGGAAAGTGAGGAGCGTCTCTGCCCGGCCGCCATCCCATCTAGGAAGTGAGGAGCGCCTCTTCCTGGCCACCATCCCATCTAGGAAGTAAGGAGCGTCTCTGCCCGGCCGCCCATCGTCTAAGATGTGGGGAGCGCCTCTGCCCCTGCCGCCCCGTCTGGGATGTGAGGAGCACCTCTACCCGGCCGCGACCCCGTCTGGGAGGTGAGGAGCGTCTCTGCCCAGCCGCTCCGTCTGAGAAGTGAGGAGACCCTCCGCCTGGCAACCGCCCCATATGAGAAGTGAGGAGCCCCTCCGCCCGGCAGCCACCCCGTCTGGGAAGTGAGGAGCGTCTCTGCCCGGCAGCCACCCCATCCGGGAGGGAGGTGAGGGTCAGCCCCCGCCAGGCCAGCCGCCCCGTCCGGGAGGGAGGTGGGGGGATCAGCCCCCCGCCCGGCCAGCCGCCCCGTCCGGGAGGGAGGTGGGGGGGTCAGCCCCCCGCCTGGCCAGCCGTCCCATCCGGGAGGGAGGTGGGGGGGTCAGCCCCCCACCCGGCCAGCCGTCCCGTCCAGGAGGTGAGGGGCGCCTCTGCCTGGCCGCCCCTACCGGGAAGTGAGGAGCCCATCTGCCCGGCCAGCCGCCCCGTCCGGGAGGGAGGTGGGGGGATCAGCCCCCCGCCCGGCCAGCCGTCCCGTCCGGGAGGGAGGTGGGGGGGTCAGCCCCCCACCCGGCCAGCCGCACCGTCCGGGAGGGAGGTGGGGGGGTCAGCCCCCCGCCCAGCAGGGAGGTGGGGGGTGGTCAGCCCCCCGCCCGGCCAGCCACCCCTTCCGGGAGGGAGGTAGGGGGGTCAGCCCCCCGCCCGGCCAGCCGCCCCGTCTGGGAGGTGAGGGGCGCCTCTGCCCGGCCGCCCCTACTGGGAAGTGAGGAGCCCCTCTGCCCAGCCACCACCCCGTCTGGGAGGTGTACCCAACAGCTCATTGAGAACGGGCCATGATGACAATGGCGGTTTTGTGGAATAGAAAGGGGGGAAAGGCGGGGAAAGGATTGAGAAATCGGATGGTTGCCATGTCTGTGTAGAAAGAGGTAGACACGGGAGACTTTTCATTTTGTTCTGTACTAAGAAAAATTCTTCTGCCTTGGGATCCTGTTGATCGGTGACCCTACCCCCAACCCTGTGCTCTCTGAAACATGTGCTGTGTCCACTCAGGGTTAAATGGATTAATGGTGGTGCAAGATGTGCTTTGTTAAACAGATGCTTGAAGGCAGCATGCTCGTTAAGAGTCATCACCACTCCCTAATCTCAAGTACCCAGGGACACAAACACTGCGGAAGGCCGCAGGGTCCTCTGCATAGGAAAACCAGAGACCTTTGTTCACTTGTTTATCTGCTGACCCTCCCTCCACTATTGTCCTATGACCCTGCCAAATCCCCCTCTGTGAGAAACACCCAAGAATGATCAATAAAAAAAAAAAAAAAAGAGGATATATGGATTGTAAATAATATGAAGAGGCTCAAAATCATTTATCATTAGAGATTTGCAAATTAAACCAAAATACCACTACACACTTATTAGAATGGCCATAAAGCCTACAAAAAAAACCAACAGCTAACACCACACTTAAGGCTGAGAAACTGTATACTTCCCCCAAAGACTGGGAATAACACGAGGATGTCCTATCTCACCACTCCTATTCAACAGTGTTCCAGAAGTCCTAGCTAGTGAAATGAAGCAAGCAAAGGAAATAAAATACCTTAGGAAGAAAGGAATAAAGTGGTCTTCATTTGCAAAAGACATGATTGTTTATTTAGGAAATGCTAAAGAATTAACAAAAAAAACCCCCTAAAAGTAAAAAGTGAGTATAGCAAAGTCACAGTATATAAGGTTAATATACAAAAGTCAAATGTTTTCCTATATACTGGCAATAAATGATTAGAATGAAATATAAAACTAAAAACACCATTATCATAGCACAAAAAACACTTATAAGTCTAACAAAATATGTAAATGATCTGTATGTGACAAATTACAAAACTATGAAAGAAATCAAAGAAGGTTTTAGCTAGAAAAGGATAGTGGAACAGGACCTCCCCAGCCCTTGTCCTTCACAGAAACACCAATTTAGCAACCATCTATGTATAAAAGTGCCCTGATGGGTCCAAGTAGAAGGCTGTGACATCCTTCTGGAGTCCAAGACTGATAGAAGCCATTTTGAGAAGGCAGAATCATGCCCCAGTAGCAGGCATGTGACTACAGAACTGGCTCCAGACCCAGCAGCAGCCTCATCAGCATGTGGGCTTCAACTCACCTGTCCAAGGTCTCACAGGAAGACTTGTTTGTCTGGGAACCCAGAAGGAACCACACCCACCCAAGCCCCAGTAACAGGCCCACAACCGCAGACCTGATTTTGAACATGTAAGCAGACCCACAACCTGGCTCCACCTAAGTGACTGTGGTTTGGAAGTCAGTCTCACCAAGGGACCCAGCAAGAGAAGATCTTCATCTACTGAAATCACTCTGTTTAGTACAGAAGTGGGAACTGCTCCTTCAAATGTACAGACACCAATGAAAGACTCAAGGGATTATTAGTAAATACAACATGCCAAAGGAAACCAATAAGGTTACAGAAACTGACTATAACAAGATGAAGATCCATGATCTGCTTGACAAAGAATTCAAAATAATCATCTTAAGCTCAATGAGCTACAAAAACAAACAAACAAATAAACAAACCCAGATAGAAAATGAAATAAAAATCAGGAAAACAATACATGAACAAAAAGTTCAATAAAGGAGAAGCATAAAAAAGAACCAAACAGAAATCCTAGAGCTGAAGGATACAATGACTGAACTAAAAAATTCAATAGAAGGCTTCAACAACAGACTCAATCAACCAAAAGAAAGAATCAGCAAACCTGAACACCGGTCATATGAAATTATACAATTAGAGGAAGAAATATTAAAAAGAATAAAAAGTGAAATGAAGTAATACTACGGGACTTATGGTACACCACTAAGTAACTTAATAAACACATTATAAAAGTTCCAGAAGGCAAAAAGACAGAGAGAAAGGGGGCAGAAAGCACATTTAGATTATGGCTGAAAACTTACCAAATCTAGGGAGGAAAATGGACATCCAGACTCACGAAGCCCAAAAGTTCCCAAATAGGTTGAAGCCAAAGAGGTCTGTACCAATAGACACTATAATGAATTTGTCAAAATTCAAAGACAGAGAAAAAATTTTGACAGCAGTGACAGAAAAGTAACTTATTTCATATAACAGAGCCTCCATAAAGGTATTGGTGAATTTCTCAGCAGAACACTTGCAGGCCAGGAGAGAGGGAATGACATATTCAACATACTGAAAGTAAAAAAAGAAACCTGCCAACTGAAAATAATTACCTGAAAAAACTGTCTTCAGGAATGAAGGAAATAGCCAGGCATGGTGGCTCACACCTGTAATCCCAGCACTTGAGGAGGCTGAGGGCAGGCAGATTGCTTGAGCTCAGGAGTTCAAGACCACCCTGGCAAACATGGTGAAATCTTGTCTCTACAAAAAATACAAAAATTAGCCAGTCATGGTGGTGCATGCCTCTAGTCCCAGCTACCTGGGAGGCTGTGGTGGGAGGCTGACTTGAGCCCAGGAGGTTGAGGTTGCAATGAGCTGAGATCATGTCACTGCACTCCAGCCTGGGCAACAGAGCCAGACCTGGAAAAAAAAAAAAAAAAAAAAAAAAAGAAAAGAAAAAGATAAAAGAATAAAGAAAACATGAAAACTTCCTCAGATTAAAAAACTCAGGGAGTTTGTCACTTTTAGACATGCCCTAACAAGAAATGCTAACAGGAGATCTTCAAGTTAACTGAAAAGATACTAAACCAACAGTATGAAAGCATATGAAAGTATACATCTCACTGCTAAAAGCAAACATGAAAACAAACATGGAATATTGCAATACTGAAATCTGTGGCACGTAAATCTCATTGAACACTAGTATATAAATTAAAAGACAAAAATAGTATGAGTAACTACAACAACCACAGAAATTTGTTAATAGAAACAATATAGAAAGAAGTAAAATCTGAAATCAATTACATACATTGGTGAGGAAGAGGGGGGAGAAGTGTAGAGATTCTGAATATGAATGAAGTTGTTACTAGCTTTAAAAAGCCTGCTATGACTACATAATATTTGATGCAAACCCCATAGTAACCAAAATAAAAAGTATAGTAAATAAACAAAAAAAAGAAAAAAATCAAAGCATTCTACTACAATCATCAAATCACAAAGACAACAAACAAGAGAAAAACAGGAGAAACAGAAAGCAAATAGAAAACAATGAATAAAATGGAAACAATTAAGTACTTAATTATTAAAAATTATTACTTTAAATTTTTAATAATTAAGGGCTCTCAGTAGACATGGAATGGCTGAAATGGATAATAAAAACAACACTCAACTATACGCTATCTACAAGAGACTCTAACATTTAAGGACACACGTAGGCTAAAAGTGAAGGGATTGAGAAAGATATTCCATGCAAACTATAACCAAAAGAGAGCAGGGTGGCTATCTATATCAGACAAAATAGACTTTAAGTCGACAACTGTCAAAAGAGACAAAGAAGGCATTATATAATAGTAAAAGGGTCAATTCAATAGAAAGATACAACAACTAAAAATACATATGCACCCAACATCAAAGCACCTTAAAATATACAGTGAACATTGACAGATTTGAAGGAAGAAATAGATATCGATACAATATAGAAGGAGACTTTGATACATCACTCTCTATAATGTACAGGTCATCCAGACAGAATGCCAACAGCAAATATTGATAGAATTGGAGGAAGAAATAGATATCAATACAATACAGAAGGAGACTTTGATACGTCACTGTCTATAATGTACTGGTCATCCGGACAGAATACCAACAAGTAAATTGCAAACTATACAACACTATAGACCAAAGACCTAACATGCATATACAGAACATGAGACCCAACCATAGCAAAATAATCATTCTTCTCAAAAGGACATGAAACATTCTCTATAACTGATCACAGCCTAGGTCACAAAACAAGTCTTAACAAATTTAAGAAGACTAAAAACATTCTAAACATTTTGTCTGATCACGAGGGAATGAAACTAGAAATCAATAATAGAAAGAAAATGGAAAAATTCACAAATACAGGGGAATTAAATAACATACTATTAAATAATACTGGGTCAAAGAATAAATCAAAACAGAAATTATAAAATATCTCAAGACAAACAATAATAAAAACACAGTATACCCAAACATATAGGATGCAGTAAAAGCAGAATAAGAGAAGTGTTTATAGCAATAAATTCATTAAGAAGAAGAAAGAGGCAGGACACAGTGGCTCACGCCTATAATCCTAGCACTTTTGGGGGCTGAGGCAGGCGGGTCACTAGGTCAAGAGATTGAGACCATCCTGGCTAACATGGTGAAACCCCATCTCTACAAAAAATACAAAAATTAGCTGAGCATGGTGGTGCGTGGCTCTAGTCCCACCTACTTGGGACTCCCACCTACTCGGGAGGCTGAGGCAGGAGAATCACTTGAACCCGGGAGGCGGAGGTTGCAGTAAGCCAAGATCATCACGCCACTGCACTCCAGCCTGGTGACAGAGCAAGACTCTGTCTCAAAGAAAAAAAAAAAAAGGTCTCAATAAAACAACCTAACTTTACACCTCAAGGAACTAGAAAAAGAACAAACTAAATCCAAAATTAGCAGAAGGAAGAAAATAATAAAGATTAGATTAGAAATAAATGAAATAGAAAATTGAAAAACAATTTTAAAAATTGACAAAACTAAAAGTTCCTCTTTTGAAAAGACAAACTAAATCAACAAATCCTTGGCTAGACTTTAAAAATAGAAGACTCAAACAAAATCAGAAATGAAAGAGGACACAATTGATCCCACAGATATAAAAAGTATCATAAGGGACTATTATGAACAATTATATGCCATCAAATTGGACAATCTAAAAAAAAATGGGTAAATTCCTAGAAAAATATAACTTACCAAGACTGAATCAAGAAGAAATAGAATGCTTGAATAGACAAATAACAAAAAAGGAGATTGATGGAATAATCAAAAAATTCCCAACAAAGAAAAGCCAAGAGCCAGATACATTCTAGCAAACATTTAAAGAAAAATTAATACAAAACCTTATTAAACATATCTAAAAAAAAAAAAAAAAGAAGAGGGAACACTTCCAAAGTCATTCTGAGGCCTGCATCACCCTGATACCAAAGCCAGACAAATACACTACAAGAAAACTACAGTCTAATACATTTGATGAATATAGACGTAAAAATCCTCAATGAAATGTTAGCAAACCAAACACAACAGCACATTAAAAGAATCATATACCATGACCAAGTAGGATTTTTCATTGTGATGCAAGGATGGTTCAACATATGACAACCAACCAATGTAATATACTGCATTAATAGAATGAAGGATAAAACTCACATGGGCATCTGCACAGATGCAGAAAAAGCACTTGACAAAATTCGATACTCTTTTGTGATAAAAACTCCCAATAAACTAGGTATGGAAGAACCTTATAGCAAATTAGGTAAAGGAAAAACAAAATAAAGTCCATTTATGAGAAGCCCACAGCTAAGATACTTAAAGATAAAAAACTGAAAGCTTTCCCCATAAGATGAGGAACAAGGCAAGGTTGCCTACTTTAGCCTCTCCTATTCAGCGTAGTATTTTAAGTCCTAGCCAGAATAACTAGGTAAGAAAAATAAATTAAAAACATCCAAATAAAAAGAGAAGAGGTACAATATCTGTTTGCAGATGACATGATCTTAGATGTAGAAAACCTTAGGGACCCCAACAAAAATGTGAGAATAAACAAATTTGCCTTTAAAAAAGAAGGAAATCCTGCCATTTGCAACAACATGGATGAACCTGAAGGACATTATGCTAAGTGAAATAAGCTAAACACAAAAAGACAAATACTGTATTATCTCAATGTATGTGAAATCTAAAATAGTCAAATACATGCAAGCAGAGAATAGAATGGTGGTTGTAAGGGAACATGGGGAGAACAAAATGGGAAGCTGTTGTTCAAAGGGTACAAAGTTTCAGTTAGGCAAAATAAATAAGATCTGCAGGTACAACCCAGTGTCTGTGATTAGCAATATTGTATTCTTAAAATTTTGCTAAGAAGTTAGATCTAATGTTAAGTGCTCTTATCACAAAACGTGAAAAAAAGATGAGTAGAAGGAAACTTTTCAAGGTGATGGCATTGATTTCTTGTAGTAATAATGGTTGGATGGTTTCACAATATCTACTTATCTCCAAACAGAAACTGTATACATTAAATGTCTATAGCTTTCTGTATGTCAATCATACCGCAATAAACAGGTTAAAAAATGAAGCAGCACCAGATCCCTGTACACACACCTCTAAAAATAGTCCCTTTGTATATAAAGCACCCCAAATTTTCTCCTTCTGAGTGTGTTATCTACTTAATTAAGGGCCTGGACTACAAAATCCAAGTTTTCACTTTTCACCCAAAGTTTTCCATTCTCACACACAGAATTTTCTCGTTCAGTTAGCAGATGCAAGAAGAGAATTTCAGATATTAGCTTTAAATACTACATTCTTGTCTATACCTGGTATTACTAGCTCTACCTAATTCATTTTCTTTCTTACCATGAAATTATAGAAACAAAAAGGTTACTGCAAAACACTTATAAACATATTGTCAGCATGAAATAATTATAATTATCCTATAATAAATTGTACCTTTTGAACAATTTTGGTCACTTTTTGATCTTCGTGTATTAATAAGTTAATACATGTAAATCATAACCAGAAGGGAAAATCAAAACATTCCACTTACCAAGTAATGATGAAAAAGAGAATGTGTGTGATTTAGTTAATTTAAAATATTATAGAAAGCAACAAATAACAGAAATGGTATCTGGGATAAAGTTCCTGGACCTGGATAAGGATGTTTGGTGATATCTCAAGCTGTTCAACACCTTTGCACATGCCATTTCTTCAAGCTTGAAGAGATACAGAGCAACTCCTTCCCTCTCCCATTCTCCATCTGGCTAATACCCCTCGGCATCCTGCTTAAATGTCACCACCTCAAATAAGTCTTAGATCCCAAACTAATTAATCCCCCTCATTAATTTTCTCTAATAGACCCAGTTCTTTTCCTTCTTGGTACTTATCATAATAAAGAACCAAAATCTGTGCCAAGGGTCCAAAATAGCACTCTACCTGAAAAGCAACACTTAATCCTTGTCATTTCTCAGCTCTATTTCAGAATGAGCTGGGTTACTACCTGGGGTCCCATAACGACCTATATCCCAATGGCCTAGAAATAGAAGGAATACACCGATTCCCCCTCTTGATGCTGATTCTTCACTTTAATAAGCCACCACCATTGTCAGTCAAGATGTTTTGCACTGTCATCGGTCCCAAACTCCTGCTGGTTAGCCAGCTGTCTACTTCCAAGAAGAAAAGGTGAACACAGAAAAAAAGGCAAGAAATTCAAAATATCTATGCTTTTTACAGAAAGAGTAAATGGTACAATTATTTTGGAAAACTTACTGGTGATACCTACTAAAAGCTGACATACATGGGGCCTATGAAACAGGAATATGACTCTGAAGAATGTACACAACAGAAAAACACATACGTGAACCAAAAGATTTGAACGAACTGAGACTTTAAACAAAATGATTCATTTTTTAAAAACTGCCCCAAAAGTAATAGCATGGAATTTATTTCTAAATGACTAATTTTCTTGCATGGAGTGGGACTTTCATTAGATTATCAAAGGAGATTTTTCCCAAAGAAGAGTCATAAATAGGTATATAAACGATTAAGAACCTTTGCTGGAAGGAGGTAAGTTTCTGAACTATAAAAGTCTAGTCAGCCAGTAACGTGAAACTCAATAACTTACATAAAAACATCTACCACAACTGTCCATGGACACTTCATAGAAGAAAAGTAATACATAACAATACCTTGAGTAATGAACCCTTTGAGAATGAAGCTCCTTTAAAATGAAGTTATCACATTAAAATGAAGTCATTATATTAAAATGAAAACAGAACAATTCATAAATCAGGTGAAGCTGGGTTAGTGTGATCTTTTCCTCCAATTCGCATTACCCAGCTGTCCAGGATACAAATCATCCCTTTACACACCGTTTCTCTATCTTTAAATAAGGAAAGGTAAGAAGGTCACCGATTTACAAAATCCTAAATTTAGTAAGCTTCCTACTTTAAGCCCCTCGCCACTCATTTCCACAGCCATTTCCCCAGGGTAGAGCAACTGCTCCCTCTTTATGAACCTACCTTTCTGTTCCTAGTCTCCTTTATCAACATGGTAGGCAACAGCTTATTGAATATACTTTATAGACTTGTGCATGCACATTTTAGTCACTATTTTTCAGCCAATAAATTACTTCAACTAAACATTTACATTTCTAGACAGAGATAATTTTAGGTACTGTCAAATGGGAGATAACTAGAAAAAGAGAAAGTCATCCTGAAATCACATTATACAAAACACTGGCCAAGAAGGTAAACCCTATTTAATATCCTTTAGACTGACTGGGGGTAGATGGACACACGGAAGCCTAAAAGGGATTTCCCAAGATAAGCCTTTACTTTCCTGAAAAACATGAAGTGAGGACTACTCTGGCTTTAACCGCAAAAAATGTATTCTTGGATTTTGCCACTGGCCAATATAGTAGGTCTGAGCTTCTTTCGGGTTCCAGACCCATCTATCGTAACACAATTCTTCTAGGGATACCTTCTTCCCAGTAACTTTAATGTAAATTCTATGTCTTTCCAGACTTCCTTTAGTCCTTCCAGATGTATATTCCATTTTCCCAGTGCAAGTAATTCTGTTTTACGTAACACTTTATGATATCTTCTCACCTTTCCTTTTTCTGACATTTTGGAAAACATTTCAGTGTCTCTTACATGATTTCTACCTCTGATAATGGAATTTCTGACAACAAAGTTATGTCTCTCTTCAGTACCAGTGAATAAATATTTTGAAGAGTAATACAAGCAGAGCTCGTGAACGAGGTAAGTGATAGGAGACAGAAAAATAAAGGGATTTAAAATTGGGATTATCACAGAATAAAATTACAGCTACTGCTCTACATTCTCACAAAGGGCTTTACTAAGTCTACTATAAAATTCAAAAGCCTTAAAAACAAGACATTAAAAGAAGCCAATCTATTACTTATGTACATTTTAACACCTTACTTTCATTAATGAAAAATACTTTTAAAAATTTAACATTTTCAACTTATAGCACTGATCAAAGGCAAACTAAGGAAAAAAGGAGATACCACTCAGCTTGCAGCATAGATTCAATAATAAAGAAGCTCTCAATATTCCTTTCTAGCTTCCTTCCTTGTCTACAAGTCAGATCTGCGCAATTGAACTTGTGGGAGAGGTTGTGAAAATAGTGTACTCTAGCAGTTTAGGATTTTCAACATCGCTCAATCTCATTGCTGTTAGAGGTCATTAAAACAATGCCTCCCAATAGAATGTCACTGGACCAGAGTGATTTTTGTTTAGAATGAAGCAACTACACTGACTCTAATAACAGTCAATGGCTAAGAGTTTGTGACATAGCACATAATGCTCGATATTATCTAAAAACACGTATCAAAAACAAAAAAGTAAAGATGAGAAAAACAGTTTATGAAACTGCAAAAGATATTAGGGAAATACTTCTCTAAGAGATAGGAGAAAGGTCTGAGAAAGGCAAAGCATCGAGAAAGCTGGGCGGGAGTGGGGAGGAGTAAGGGACAAGTAAAGAGTTCAACGGGACTGCTGTGTTCACACATAAAATTAAAAGGTCTGCAGATAATTCGGGAAAAAAACAGTCTAGCATGGCCATAATTCCAGAGTAAAAGAGAATAACAACTTCAAGATTAACTTGTTACAGTGAGGGAAAAATCTGTAGCCTTCAATAAAGGTGGAGAAATATTTGAAAAGCTGGGGAAATGCCAACAAGGAAAACACGAACTGCTGTCCTGTCTTCCTTATAGTCAGGAGCCGTTTGTATCCTCACCCCAGAGGATCCAATAGGAATCAGTAAGCCTATAACTTTCCAACCCTAAGTCACAACCTAATTCTGATAGGATGAGCTACCACGATACTTCCCACTTCGTTGTGACTAAAAGCATATACTAGTTGGGTATATAAGCAAGGCTCCCCTCCCGCCATTTGATTTAAAAGAATGAAAAGGCGGATCTGGTCATTCGTCTCCGCCCGGGGTCTCTGTAAGGACGGCGGAGAGAGGCGACCTCCGCCCAATACCAGGCGCAGCCTTGCCGTCTCCTCGGGGCTCACCAAGCAGCCACCAGCAAAGAAGCCGGTTTCAAAGGCCCAGCACGACAGGGAGAGGAAAACGGAGCATATGCAACCATACACAGTCACCAGAGTCCAGCCTCCCGCAACCAGTCGCTACAGCCAGGCGCCTGCGCCCAGAAGCGCTTCTCGCGCCGACCGTTTGTATTTGGAATTGTGGGTTCCTGCCCGCCACGCACCACCGCAAGACCTTCAAAGCTGGGAGCTTCTCTGTGCTCCAGGATTCCTCGCTGCCGATTCCACACCGCGTTCAAGACTCCTGTGAAGAGCGACTCCGCTGAGAGCCTCCTCAATGGCCAGTCCACTTCTAACTTGCAGCTGAGAAGTTTTTCTGATCTTGATGGTCAGAGTGGCTCGTGCTACGAAGTGAGAAACAAGGAATCTATAGCGAATCGTAAACAACAGAAATAAAAATGCGTCTCCGTTAAGAGTCGGAGCCTAACGTCACTTCCGGCAACAATAGGAAACGTCAAAATTGGGATAGTCGGCAGTTCTGGCCCCTGCAGCTGGAGGTACCCTGAGTTCTGAGGGTCGTAGTGCTGTTTCTGGTATTCTCATCGCGGTCACCTCTACCGGTGTGGACAAGTAAAGTTTGAATCAGCTTCTCCATGGCCTGGGCACCAGTTCCCGGCTGAGCCATTTTCCTTTTGGCTAAAAGTCCCCGCCCAGAGGCCAATTCGTCGCGGCGGCGGTGGAGATCGCAGGTCGCTCAGGTACAGGAGTCAACCTAGATATTTTAGATCTCTTGTCTCTTTTCCCTGTTCACCTTCACTTTTCTCGAAAATAAAGACAACCAGTGCTTGCCAGTTGGCCGAAACTGGCCGACCAGCAAGAGTTTGCGACCAATGACAGTGCGAAGCATCTTGAGTGACAGTAGTGGTGGCTCATTAAAGTGAGGAATCACTGTCAGGAGGCGGAACTGGGTGTGTTCCTTCTGTTTCTAGGCCATTGGGGTGTAGTTCGGTTTAGGACTCCAAGTAGTAACCCAGCGTCATTGTGAAATAAACCTGAGAAATGACAAGGGTTACTTTCTTCAGGTCCAAGTGTTGGTTTTCGGGTCGAGTGTTATTTTGGTTCCTAGACAGTTTTTGGTTCTTTACCACTTTCCAGTAATATGAATGCAAACACAAGTATAGTTAAGATCACGATGGATTGCTAGCTGCTACAGTAGTCAAACTTGGGTTATAAAACTTGTCAAACTTGTCTTTTATTTGTTTCTCAGCGACTGGGTTCTAATCTCTTACGTAGAAGGTTCTCAATATTTATTTGGCAAAATCACATAAATGGATCCCAATCCTCAGTCATTTAATTTTTTTAGTTTTATTTTTAGGTTCTGTATGAATTTACTAATAAAATAATTGATTCTACTTGTTTTACAAGTAAAATATTCATTTTCAAGGCTCCTAGGTGTATATCCACAAATGAATATATCATGATTTTTATTACGGTAAAGTGAAGACAATTTATGTTTTCTATTTCAGCTTTCCTCTTCCTTCTTTTAATGTTTGAAGTAATGTATTTCTGAGGTAGGAGCTCTACACACTTCTCAACTCTACCCTTCACGAAAATGATATGTGAAACAGAGTAGGTTTCAGAATAAAGAATGCATAAGTTTTATTATTTTTTTCATATTGGGTCAGAAATTCATCTTTAGCCAATTAACCTGACAATATGTCTGATGAGGTACTTCATTAGTTGTCTATTGCTGGGTAACAAATTACCCCCAAATTTACCCCAGCTTAAAACAACAAATATTATCAGTTTCTGTACATCAGGAATTAGGGTGCAGCGTAACTTCATTTAATAATAAGTTACAGCAAATTAACTAATATTACTTGGGGCCCTTGGATCAATTACTTCCATCCACAAAATATTATAGTAACTTCTAGATAAGCCAAAACATTGATCATAATTTATTACATATGGTCACTTTAATGGGGAATGTTTTGTGTGTTTACTGTTGCTAGGTTAAAAGATATCTTCCTCATTTTACAATATAAAAACATTGAATTACCAAATCTTTAATCACAGTGTGTTGAAATTAGTCATTCAGATTTGTAACTTTATGGTTTATTATTTAACCAACTGCTAATGTACAACTAATTTTTTCCTCATTTTGATTCAGATTTGGAAACTGGCACTATTCCATTGACTGACCCATGATAATGCATCAAAATCATTAATACTAAAGTCTAAGAATTATGCATTTAATTTCTGTTTCTTTTTCTTGAATTATTTTACTTAAATAATTTTTTAAACAATTTAAATGAAATACATCTATTTCTGGAAATTTATGTTCACTATTTCTTTTTCGTTTTGCTCTCATTGTTTTGTTTTTCTGACAAATTTCTTGACTTAGCTCTCTAATAAACTAAAACATTTTTGGCTGACTTGAATAAATTTATATCATATTTGGGGCAAGTATTTTTTTGAGACAGATTTTTATTCTGTTGCCCAGGCTGGAGTGCAGTGGTGCGAACAAGACTCACTGTAGCCTTGACCTCCTAGGTTCAAGCAATTCTCCCTCCCACCTCAGCCTTCAGAGTACCTGGGACCACAGGCACACGCCATCACGTGTGGTTATTTCTTTTAATTTTTTTGTCTGACTGTGCTGCCCAGGCTGGTCTTGAAGTCCTGAGCTCAAGCGATCCTCCTTCCACAGCCTCCCAAGGTTCAGGAATCATAGGTGTGAGCCACTGTGCTGGTGCAAGTACTTTATAGCAATATAAGATAAAAATATTTGTGGTTTGGAGTTTAGGCAACAGCTTTAGGGAGTTTAACCATTTAGTCAGCAGTTCGTGTATTTTTCAAGAATAGATTGCATAGGATTCATAAGCTATTTGAATGAAGGAACCAGATTTTAGCAAGTAAGCCAAGCTTGGAGAGACTCTATATGGAGTAGTGATTTGTGGAAGTCATGAATATAGGGAAAAAAGAGATGGAAAGGACAGATGTTAAATACACACACACGCACGCCATCATCTCTTCTTTTATTTATTAATTTGTTTTTCAGAGTTTTTTCCCTCATTTTATTTTTATGGGATCACAGAATTGTTTCTTCCAATTTTTAAATTGTAGTAAAATATACGTAACATAAAATTTACCATCTTAACCATTCTAAGTGTACAGTTCAATGGTATTAATTACATTGATAATGTTGTGCCACCATCAACACCATCTATCTTCATTACTCTTTTTATCTTGTAAAACTGAAACTCTATACCTATTAAACAATAATTCCCCTTCCCCATTCCTAGGTCCTAGCAATCACCATTCTACCTTTTGTTTCCAGTTTTGGAAACCGGAAGTGTTTGTATTCATATTACTGGAAAGTGGTAAAGAACCAAAACCTCATATAAATGGGCTTATCCAGTATTTGACTTTTTTTGACTGGCTTATTTAACTTGGCATAATGTCCTCAAGGTTCATCTTTGTTGTAGCATATGCCAGAATTTCTCTTCTTTTTAAGGTCACATAACATTCCCTTATATGTGTCAGCCACATTTTGCTTATCCATTCATCTGTTATTGGACACCTGGGTTGCTTCCATGTTTTAGCTGTTGTGAATAATGCTGCTATGAACATGGGTGAACAAATATCTTTTCCAGACCCTGCTTTGAATTCTTGAGGGTATATACCTGAAAGTGGAATTGCTAGATCACATGGTAATTCTGTTTTTAATTTTTTTTTAGGAAGCTCCATATTGTTTCCGCAGAGGCTGTACCATACGTATTACATTCACATTAACAATACATAAGGGTTCCAGTTTCTCCACATCCTTGCCAAGACTTATTTTTTTTTCGATAGTAACTATCTTAATGGGTATAAGGTGGTCCCTCATTGTACTTTTGATTTGTATTTCCCTAATGATTAGTGATGTTGACTGTATTTTCCTGTGCTTATTGGACGTTAGTGTATTTTCTCTGGAAAAATGTCTTTTCAAGTCCTTTACCCATTTTTGAATCATGTTTTTGTTATTGTTGAGTTAAAGGAGTTATCTGTAAATTATAGATATTAGATTTTATCAGATACATGATTTTCAAATATTTTCTCTCATTCGGTGGGTTGCCTTTTTACTCTGTTGATACTGTCTTTTGATGCACAATTTTTTTTTAATTTTCATAATGTTCAGTTGGTCTGTTTCCTCTTTTGTTGCTTGTGCATTTGGAAATCATTGCCAAATTCAGTGCTGTAAGCCTTTTGCCCTGTTGCCCTGTTTTTTCGTCTAAGAGTATTACAGTTTTATGTCTTAGATTTAAGTCTTTGATCCATTTTGAGTTAATTTTCATAGATAATGTTGGGTAAGGTTCCAACCTCATTCTTTTGAATGTGGATATGATTTCTCAGCACCATTTGTTGAAAAGACTGTCCTTTCCCCCATTAAATGATCTTGACACCTAGTCAAAAATCTTTTGACCATATATGTGATGGTTTATTTCTGGATTCTCTGTTCTATTTCATTGGTCTGTATGTCTCTTTTTATGCCAATACCATACTGTTTTGGTTACTGTAGCTTTGTAATAAGTTTTGAAATCAGAAAGTGTCTTCCAGCTTTGTTGTTCTTTTTCAAGTTTGGTTTGACTATTAGAGGTCCCTTGAGATTCCATGTGGATTTTAGAATTTTTTTCTATTAATGCAAAAAACGTCATTATAATTTTGGCAGGAGCTACATTGAATCTATAGATCACTTTGGGTGGTATTGCCATCTTAATAAGTCTTCCAATCTGTAACCACAGGATGTACTTCCATTTATTTGTCTTTCACTTCTTTCAGTAGTGTTTTGTAGCTTTCATTCCAGAAGCCTTTTACCTACTTGGTTAATTCCTAAGTATTTTATTCTTTTTGATGCTGTTGTAGTTGGTATTATTTTCTTAATTTCCTTTTCAGATTGTTTATTGTAAATGTATAGAAATACGACTTATTTCTGTGTCTTGACTTTATGTCTTTCTACTTTGCTGAATGGATTTATTAGTTGTAAGTTTTTGGTAGAATCTTTAGGGTAACTACAAAGGATTTTACTGCTTTCTTTCCAATTTGGTTGTCTTTTACTTTTTTTCTTGTCTAATTACTCTTGGAACCATGGAATTTTATAGCTAAAAAAGACCTTAGGGAACACCAGTTTCAAAACCCTTATTTTACAGGGGAGGAAACTGAGACCTCAAAATTTTAGTGACTTGGCTGATGCTCCCTACTAGCTAAGGAAGGAGACTGAGTCAAACTCATGTTTTCTTTCCATCAGTCTCTTTTCACTATTAAATGTTTTCTCATTTTTCACCTTCCTCCTATTTCTGGCTGCCTTCAATATTCATTTAATTTAATACCTTGTTTTATTTGTATAAAAGCAACTCAGTGAGAATTATGACTTTTGTTTTGGTTTTTAATTCCATAGCACTCATAGCAATGGCCTTTGTGGTTAGTGGGCAGGTGAGTATGTGTATACTGAGAAGGTGGGTTAGGATATGCTACCATGACTACAGCTGATTACAGCCACTTTAAGTAAATAGTGATACAATTAAGTAAGAACCATATAATTAAAAATAATGCTAGTGAGAAGTATGATACATTTATTTTAAAGTTTCAAATAGTTGGACAATGGAGCATTTCTTGAAAAACAAACCACAGAAATTGAATAAGCCTAAAATTCTTAGATTTTTGGTTGCATTTAAATAACACATCTTAATTTTTACATTTATTTAGTTGCCATTTTGGTAACACTTTTTATAGAATAAAATTAACAGGAAAAAAACCTTCAGGGAACAAAGTAATATTGTAAATCTTTTTGAATTAAAAAAAACCAAAACCTGCAAATGGTATGCCTTTTAGTAACAAAAACTGCTCTTGCAGGACCAGATCTTTAAATTTAATGAGTAGGGGCTTTTTATGTGTTCAATGTACCTTGTGACCTCTTAGTACTTAGCTATTTCCCTTTTCTCCTTAGAAAGACCTCCTTGTGGACTTACCCTTCCTTTATTTCTCTACATTTGTTGCCTTTAAATTTTAGGGATGTGATTGGTTATCAGGGTTTTTTTCTTTTTTAAAAAATTTCTCTACGCAGTCTGTTCTAAACTTCTTTGGTGGTCTATTCTTTTGGAAGTGAAGAAATAAATGCTAGGCTCCTGATTTGATTCAAAATGTCT
The DNA here is from genome assembly GCF_000001405.40 of Homo sapiens. Lineage (NCBI taxonomy): Eukaryota > Metazoa > Chordata > Mammalia > Primates > Hominidae > Homo > Homo sapiens. Next base: position 174,277,985 of record NC_000004.12, on the reverse strand, counting down.
CAGAAAATATTTTCTCATAGACTCTCCCATGTTCTTATGCTATTGAATAATATCACATGATATCCCTTAAAGATTTTTAAAACCTGAAGTAACCAAAAATAGAGTTGCTACTTTTTACTTAAAAGCACTGAAAATTTATAAAAACATATAAGTGGATTTCCTTATCGTTAGAATTTGTATTTTAGAGATAACTATTGTAGCACACATTTTAAACCTTTATCTGAGACAGGACATTTACTTATAAATTCCACTATTTAGACAACTAAGAAATACTGAAGAAAAATGACCATTTATAATGTGTATTTAAATGAGGCTATTCATATGTCAGTCATTACATACCAATGATTTAACACCGTTTGCTCAGTAAAAGCTTTATGGAATTGGTTTGCTTCAAACAAAAGTACTTAAAGCAGAATGCTTTTTTGAGACATCCGGACTCCTTTCTATTCTTGCCATCTTTCCCTGTGTAGATTTTATATGCCCAAATAGTATATAAACCATTCTTCATTACTTATTGTCTGCACAGCATGTGCCATTTGAGTGCTTAGTGCCATGAAATTATAAGCAGTAGTTACCTTTTTCTTAATAAATACTACTTTATTTTGGTGTTTAACTTGTTACAGAGAGATAGTTTGATTAAAGCTGCTTAATATTTTACAGATAGACTTTGTATTAGATACAAAATATTAATAAAACTTGTATTTTAGTCTTTTTAAGAAATAGTCTACTATTTTGAATAGGAAACAAAACATAGTAGTCAAAAATACCATCTCTTAGAAATGTAACGATCTTCTAGAAGTTAAAAAGTATAGAAAACTATTATTGTTCTTATAAATTTTAATAAATGTGTAATTATTTGTAGTTAATCCATAGTTTGTACTGCTTTTAAGTGGAAGCGCTTTTATGCTGTTGTAACAGACTTGGTTAGACTAAAACTGCTACTTTAAAAAAAATACATCCAAAATTATGTCAGAACAATATAGCTGTTTCAGAAACTACATACTGCTTTACCAATTAAAAGATGCTTTTATATACATTCTCTTAGTTAAGGCTCATAGCCACCCTGTAAAATAGATAGGAATGATTTCCCCCATTTTATAGGAAACAAAAGATCAGAACCTTGTTTGAAATACCTAAGGTCACACAGCAAGTTACAGCGTAATTGGAGCTCCACCTTTAAATTCATCCTCCACAGTAGTAGTGTCAAAAAACTTCTACATTACTGTAAAACAGAGATTATAGTATATAGCCCACTTTAGAGATTTCAGTTTTATTTATTTATGCTGAAATTAGCATAATAAAACTGAAAGTGGACAAATTAATTTTTAAAAACCAAAGATCTACACGCCACTGCACTCCAGTCTGTTGACAGAGCGAGACTCCCTCTCAAAAAAACAAAACAAAACAAAATCTAAATATATTTAAATTTTTTTTAAAAATTGGCTCTGTCAGGCAGTCACAGTGGCTCATGCCTGTAATCCTAGCACTCTGGGAGGCCGAGGCAGGCGGATCACATAGTCAGGAGTTCAAGACCAGCCTGGCCAATATAGTGAAACTCCGTCTCTACTAAAAATACAAAAATTAGCCAGGCATGGCGGTGCGCGCCTGTAGTCCCAGCTACTCGGGAGACTGAGGCAGGAGAATCGCTTGAACCCAGGAGGCAGAGGTTGCAGTGAGCCGAGATTGTTCCACTGCACTCCAGCCTGGGCAACAGAGCAAGACTCCAACTCAGAAAAAACAAGTTGGCTCTGTCAAATAAATATTTGGTCAATATGTAATAAAAGTATTACTGTTAATATTGCTATTGTTATTTTAATGGAAACAAGGGCATATAAGAATATAGGAGATTCTAAATAAAATTTACCAATTTTAATGTATTTTAATAAGTAGAAGCATTTTTCTACAGATATTAGAAATATAATATTTGTAGCAATCCAAATTAATTCATATAGCTTATTACTTTGTTTTTAAATAAGTAATTATACCAATTTTCTAATTAATGTATTTTATATGTACATTGTCTTTTTTATTAGACTAAGAGTTACACAAATATCGATCCTTTTTGCATTTGTACCTTACTCTGTTGTTTATATATCCTATGTAAGTGGTCAAAACATCATTTAGGATTTGTGTCTATAAGGATTTGTATTCCTTAATTCCATCTTCTTTTGATCCATATGTATTCAAATTTACCTGAAGTGAGAGATGATTCATAGGTTGTAGATTTTTCACAATTAGTTGGATTCCCAAAATCTAAAATAGTTACTATTTGTGAAATGATGGTAGACTTCCCATGTCTTTGCTCACCCTCTTTAAAGCATTCATTAGAGTTTCTAATTCCTTTTTATAAAACATCTTTATTAAGGTATCATTTACATACAATAAAATTCATTCACTTTAAATGTGCAGTTGCCTATCCTTTTTTAAACTTTTTTTGTTTTTTTCCATCCTTCTATGATTTTTTAAGATAATTGTAGATGTACATGCAGTCTCAAGAAATATAGAGTCATCCCTTGTACACTTTACCTAGTTTCTCTGATTGGTAATAGTTTTGTAACTATAATATACTATCAAAACCAGGATTTTGACATTGATACAATCCCCCATCTTACTCATATTCCCCTAGTTTTATTTTTACTCAGTGTACATATGTGTGTGTATGAAGTTCTGTGCAAGTTCACATATCCAGCACCATAGTCAAGATAGTAAATAGTTGTAACACCACAGGGATCTCTCACACTGTGCTTTTATAACCGTACGCACCTCTCTCCTGGCTAATGATGTTGACCATCTTACCATGTGCTTATTTGCCATTTGTATATCCTCTTTCATGAAACGTGTGTTTATATCTTTTGCCCATTTTTATATTGGATTGTTTGGTTTTTGTTTACTATTGTTTTGAGAGTTGTTTATATATTCTAGATACTCGTCCGTCAGATATGTGGTTTACAAATATTTTCTCTCAATCTGTAGGCTTTCCTTTCATCTTCCAAATATAGACTTTCAAAGAGCAAAAATTTTTTATTTTGATGAATTCGATCAATTTTTACTTTCATGATCATCCTTTTGATATAAGTCTGGGAATTCTTGGCCTAGCCTTAGACCCCAAAGATTTCCTTCTATGTATTTTTCTAAAATTTTTATAGTTTTATGTTTTACGTTTAAGTCTATGGTCCATTTTGAGTTAATTTTTGTAAAAGGTGTAAGGTTTAGGTCAAGGTTCATGTAATTCATTTTTTTTAAAATCAGTGCTTACTAATCGTTTATTCATTCAACAAATATTTTCTGAGCACTTTATATGCCAAGGCACTGTGTTTGATACTGGGTTTATTCATGTAACCTATTGTGTGGAGTCAGTTCCTTATTTTAGTACTTACAGTCATCATTTTGCATTTTACCATGTTAACTGAAACTAGTGCGTGTTGGAACTATGGCCTTGCTATGTAAATGGCATCTCTCCAAATTTCACAGATCCCAAATTAATGAAATTCAGGACCAGGATTATGACTACTCAGGTAATTAATCCACAGTTATCAGGTGTATTTGAAATGAAGGAACCAAAATAATAGTTATCATTTAAAGAGGGCGAGAGGGATGAGTACGAAACTACCTTTTATTGTAAACTACCTACTATGGGTTAAGTTCCATAAATGTTATCCCTACTAAGTCCCATGGAATAAGAATTATTATCCGTTATTTTACTAATGAGAAGAATGAGGATCAGAAATCACAGGCTAATCAGATTCCGTGTTGGGGTTTGATGCTGATCTTTCTTCACATCAAAGCCTGTGTGCTTTCCACAAGAACAGCAGTAGCCTGAAAGAGCAGCTGCAGCTGGGACCAACGATGGAGGTAATAAACAGTGACGGGGTAAAAAGAGATGAGAACCAGTGGTGAAGAAACAGATGGTAAATTGCTTTTGTCATCCATGGGCTCCAGCGGTTCTGGGAATATGGTTTGTGGGTTAAGAATAAAAGCTTTGGACTCAGATAGAACTGAGTTTGAATCCTAAATCTTCCATTTTTCCAGCTTTGACTTCTCAGGCAAATTTGCTTAACCTCTCTGGACCACTATTTCTTTAGTAATGGTCTTCAGTCTGTATTACACTGAGCCCTAAGGTAATAATAATAATAATAATTCTTAAACTGAGTACATAAACTCAAACACACATCTTTTTCAAATTTACATGCCTGGATTCCACAACTAGGAGATTTGTAGTTACAAAAAAATTGTTAGAGGAATAAAAATAACCCTTGAATACTTTTTAGCCAGGTTTACAAATTTTTAATATTTTGCCACATCACCTTATTGTTCCATCTGTATAGACATAGACGTTACTGTTTTGCTGAACCATTTTGGAGTAGGTTGCATACATCACACCATCACACTTCAGTGTGTGTTCCCTAAGAATGAGGATATACTTCTGTATAGCCATTTCACAGTTATCAAGTTTAGGAAATTTAACATTGATACTATGATACCATATTTTTATCCAATCTTCAGCCCATATATCTAGTTTCTTATTTATCTCAATAATGTGCGACATAGCAATTTTTTTCCAATCCTGTTGACATACTGCATTTCGGTGGTATTGTTTTTAGCCTCTTTTAATCCAAAACTGTTCTTCCACCTTTTTTCTTTTCTTTTCTTTTTTTTTTTTTTAACTTTTATGACATTGGCATTATTGATTTATTTTTTAGGAACAGAGTTTTGCTCCGTCACTCAGGTTGGAGTGCAGTAGTGTAATCTTAGTTCACTGGAACCTCCAATTCCTGGCTTCAAGTGATCCTCCTGCCTCAGCCGCCTAAGTAGCTAGGACTACAGGCACATGCCACCACACTCATCTAATTTTTAATTTTTTATAGAGACAGGGTCTCGCTATGTTGCCCGGGCTGTCCTCAAGCAATCCTCTTGGCCTTGCTCTCCCAAAGCACTGAGATTAGAGGCATGAGCCACCATTCCCAGCCTGGCATTGGTGTTTTTGAAGGAAAATATTCTGTTATTTTACAGACTGCCTTTTGAGTTTCTCTGATATTCCCTATTAAATTCAGATTATGGATTTTTGGCTGGAATACTATATAATGATGTTGTGTCCTCAGGGCATCACATCTAGAGGCATATGATGTGCATTTGCCTCTTATTTGTAAATGTTAATTTTCATCATTTGGTTAAGGTTTTGTCTTATTTCTTAATTTTTTCTTGTAATTAATGACTGATATGTGGGAAGATACTTTGGGATTCTGTAAGTATTCCATTCTTTGTCAAACTCCAGATTCAACAACATCCATTGATAATTCTTGCCTAAATTATTTTTTCTCTGATGGTAAAATGATAATTTTTCTAACTACATTATTCTTTCTATCTTCTTTAATTAGAATTCTACTCTAAAAAAGAGCTTTCCTTCTCCTTTATGTTTTTATTGATCATCATCAGTGTAGACTCACAGATTCTTTTTTTATGTAATGGATTATACAGTTGGTCCTCAGTATTTGTGGATCTGCATCCAGTGTCATCCAACCACAATTGAAACTATTTGGAAAAAAATAGAAAGTAACAGTACAACAATAAATAATAATACAAATTTTAGAATACAGTATAACAACTATTTACATAGCATTTACATCTTATTGGATGTTATAAGTAATCTAGAGATGATTTAAAGTATACAGGAGGATGTATACTATGCCATTTTATACAAGGGACTTGAGCATTCATGGATTTTGGTATCTGGGGGAGGTGACATGAGGGGGTGATCCTGGAACCAGTCTACTGCAAATACTAAGGAGCAATTAATTCATTACTGTCATTTTTATTTTGATGTTCCAGGTTTGGCCAATAGAAGCCTCCTTCAAATTAGCTCCTAATGTCCTTTTGACGTTATCCCATTGCTTTTGTTTTGTTTTGATTTGCTATTAGTTCACTGAACACTCATAATCCAAGTTTAGGAAACATTGCCTTAGGAGTTTCTTTGTAGCCCCTAAGGGGGTCCCAAGTAAACTGGAAAGGTACAAGTTGAGAAGAAGATGCACCTTTTCACCATATTAGTGTATAGCAGAACTTTGATGAGTACCTCCTATAGGTAAATCCCCCAAATACATAATATATATAAGATTTTATATCTATTTAAATTAAGATTAAAATTTATTGACCAGTTACCAGATGAAATCAGGAAAAATAAATCAAGTAATTGCTATGCAAGTGTTTCAGCCACATTTTAATGCTTGAACATTGGATCTTTGAGGCAATAAGAAGTGACTTACAGATTTGTGCACCATATTCCTTCCATTGAGGTGATTGGTTTGACAGCCATTATGCTGGGCCAATTGTAAATATAAGGAGGGTGGTGGCAGGGAGTTTTTCTCTAATGTCATTCAATTTCTTTAGCAAAAATGCTTCTTCATTTTGCCTGAGTGAGGGAAAGGGGTTGGGGTACATACCTAAGCATTCTAGATATGTGATGTATGTGTGTTGAGGGGAGAGGTTGTGGTCCATTGTTACATATACATATGCACATTATTTCATTTAATTCTCATAAAAATCATACAAGGGGGACATTTTTATTCTTATTGTGTAGGGAAGGAAACAGTGACCCAGAGATGTTAATATCCTCATTGTTTTGCTCATTTGACTCTGAATTTCTCTCTTCCTTGTCCTATGTTTTGGACTCCCAAGCCTCTTGAGGTTTCTGCAAGGTACATAAGCTTCTGCTTCCCTCTCCATACGATTGCAGACTATCCTCTGTCTTTCTCTACATGGCTTCATTAGTAGCCACTCCTCCTTCTACTTTTCATGTTGCAGAAATATGTTGAAATCTCATGTTCATGAATGTCCTGTTTTCATTTTCTTTTAGTTGTAGTTTCTACCTTTTTTTTCTCTGTCATTTTATGGGAGAGAGAGGTGATAAATATATGTGCTCCATCTTACAAGAATACAACCAAGGTTGAGATTTTTTTCCAAAAAAGTTCCATAAAAGATTGTTTCAAAAGTGAGTCCAAAAATTGTTTCTTCTGTTTCCTGTCCAATTGATATCTTACAAATTGCAAATCATGGTCATGAGATGATACCCTGCCATTTATACTTATCCCAATATTAGTTTAAAACCTATTCCTGAGAAGCCGAGGCGGGCGGATCACCTGAGGTGAGGAGTTCGTAGACCATCCTGGCCAACATGGTGAAACTCCGTCTCTACTAAAAATACAAAAATTAGCCAGGCGTGGTGGCAGGTGCCTGTAATCCCAGCACTCGGGAGGCTGAGACAGGAGAATCACTTGAACCTGGGAGGTGGAGGTTGCAGTGAGCCGAGATCGCGCCATTGCACTGCAGCTGGGGAACAAGACAAGACTAAATCTCAAAAAAAAAAAAAAATACTATTCCTAAGACATGAGCATGAATAAAAATGATCTTGAAGTTTAGCATATTAAATTTAAGCTATGTAATACCAAAAGAGCTTTTGTAGAAAGAAAAACACCATATATGTTTAGTAATCCTAGATATAACTTTACTGAAATGTTAGCAGGTGGGAGGACAACAGATCATATAGGGGTGATAGTGGCTGTTTGCTCTATAAAAGGACCTTTAGCTAAGTAGGAAACTTTATGCAGTCTTCTAGATAAATACCTCTCAAAGGCATTATTTTTTAATAATGCTGGACTCTTCCTAAAATCATGTTACTTTCCATTTACGTCTTCCCAGCTACTGTGCCACAGCAGCATAGGACTTTAGGAACAGAAAGTTAAGTTTGAAATGTAAGCTATGATAATAAACCAAAATATGAAATTCTTATACATGAGATTAATTTAATAAAATAGCTCTGTCTCGGCTAATGTGGCATGTTTATACACAATACCACTGAGTGTTCAAGGTCGCACAGTTTGGTTGCCAGTCCACATTCAGTAGCCATTCAGTAGCCATTCATGTCAGGCTTCTAAGTTTCCTGTTTACTACCATGCTCCCTGAGTGTATTTGCAGGTAGTACAGAATTGAACATGAATATTTTATCCTTAAACCAAAACAGTATATAATAGCTCTGAGACACAAGGAGCATTAGTTGACTGCTGTATTAAAATGGTTATAATTAATTGATAGTTATATTTGCATAATTTCAGGGAGTAGAAATTCTGGGATCATATTCGTTTGCCTATTTGGCTGTTGCTTCATTTGATGCTTCATCCAATTTATAAAGGAGTTCTGATTTATTCTATTTTGTGCTAATCATTCTCTGGAAATTATCAATTTAAGTTTACTAAATAGTATCTAAATCTTCAGTTGTAAGTATTCATTTTATTACCATTCTTTTTTTTTTTTTTTGAGACGAGTCTCACTCTGTTGCCCAGGCTGGAGTGCCACATTCTCGGCTCGGTGCAACCTCTGCCTCCCGGGTTCAAGTGATTCTCCTGCCTCAGCCTTCCCAGTAGCTGGGATTACGGGCGTGCACCACAATGCCAGGCTAATTTGTGTATTTTTAGTGGAGACGAGGTTCGCCATGTTGGACAGGCCAGTCTGGAACTCCTGACCTCAAGTGATCTGCCCGCCTCGGCCTCCCAAAGTGCTGAGATTACAGGCATGAGCCACCACTCCTGGCCGCATTTTATTACCATTCTGAAAAATAAGGAGAAAATGTACAGTTGCGATTGCTTTGGGGTTTTTTCCCCCATTTTTTTTTTTGTTTTTATTTCCTTGGAAAGGAAGAGTTTCAACTTTGAAATCTTATGGAGAATTTTTTTGTAGCATAATTTCTCTCTGTGACCTAAGTAATTATGAAATTTTTGTTTACTTCTGTCAGATGATAAATAATGAAGTTATGTTTCTGTGTTTGTAGACCAAGAAAAAACATGTTTGGTTTCATTTCGAAGCTCCTTAGAAAGAATTCTATAGATCCTCTCAACATGATAAAGAAGCTTTGAACAAAATAAATTCAAATTTGGAAGAAAAGGCATGGGACACCTTGAATTGTATTAATTACAGTTGATCTTCATTATTTATAATTTTGTATTTGTGAATTTACCTACTCACTAACATTTATTTGTATCTCCCAAAGGAGTACGCCTGGTGCTTCTGCCGCCTTTAGCAAACATGCGCAAGAGCTGAAAAAACTGTTGTTCAAGGTGCACATTCGCAGCTGAAGTTGAAGGCAAGGCTCTGCCTTCTTATCTTAGCTGTCATTATAAACAAGTGTCCTTTTTGTGGCTTATTTAATGCCACATTTCCCACATGCTTTTTCTTGGTGATTTTAGTGTTTAAAACGGCCCCCGGCCGGGCGCGGTGGCTCACGCCTGTAATCCCAGCACTTTGGGAGGCCAAGGCGGGCGGATCACGAGGTCAGGAGATGGAGACCATCCTGGCTAACACGGTGAAACCCCGTCTCTACTAAAAAATACAAAAAATTAGCCGGGCGTGGTAGCAGGCGCCTGTAGTCCCAGCACTCTGGAGGCTGAGTCAGGAGAATGGCGAGAAACTGGGAGGGAGGCGGAACTTGCAGTGAGCCGAGATCGCGCCACTGCACTCCAGCTTGGGCGACACAGCGAGACTCCATCTCAAAAACAAAACAAAACAAAACAAAACAAAAAATGGCCCCCAAGCCTAGTGCAGAAGCGTTATCTAGTTTTCCTAAGTGTTGTGCCTTATGGATAAAATACATGTTAGATAAGCCTCATTCAAGCCTGAGTTATAGTGCGGTTGGCCATGAGTTCACAGTTAATGAATTAGCAATATGTATTAAATGTCTTTCAGCAGAAACACACATACAGTAAGGTTATGTATTGATCAGTTAATGAAAATATTGTGAATAGAGGCTTACAGTAACCTAACCCTGTAATTCCCTAGGAACAATGGTTCAGTATTGCTAATTCAGTGTTTGCAGAAACTTTAAAGAACATAATTGCCATGAATAACAAGAAGCAACCGTGTTTCTTTTATTTCTGTATGAGATAGACTAACATAGACTATGCTCTTAGAAGAGTAAATATTTTTTCAAAGAAATAAATATCTATTTTCTCCACCTATTTTGAGTGAACAAATAAAGCTGTAGTTTCATCACAAAATCCATATTTACACCAAAACTAGTGATTTCAAATACAAAAACTTATTTTGTGTTGAATTTTTTTTGAATTTGAAACTTTTTGCATATTCAGTGATTCCACATTGCAGCTGAATTTTATTTTACCTAACAATTGCTGCAAGTGACAGGACAGTAATATATCTTTTATAATATTATGTTTCAGTTTTAAAATCTTTATACCAAGATATTATTAAAACTTTTAACACAAATCTGAAAACTTTATACTTTGAAATTAAGTTTTAATTGGTTCAGTCTAAACACTATTTTCAAGAGTTTGAAATCATGGACGAACCCCGCATGAAACTGCATCATATTCTACATCTCTTTTAGAGCTAGTGTTGACAGTTTATTTTCTTTTAATTTTTAATTTTAATTTTTTTTAGAGGCAAGGTCTCACTCTGTCACTCAGGCTGGAGTGCAGTGGTGTGATCATAGCTCACTATAACCTCAAACTCCTGAGCTCAAGTGATCTTCCTGCCTCAGACTCCTGAGTGGATAGGACTACAGGTATGCACCATCGCACCTAGCTAACTTTTTTTGTATTTTGTTGAAACGGGGTCTATGTTGCCCAGTCTGGTCTTGAACTCTTGGTCTCAAGCAGTCCTCCTGCCTCAGCTTCTCGAAAAGTGCTGGGATTACAGACATGAGTCACCATACCTAGCCACATCTTGACAGATTATTAACAATAACACAAAGACCTATTTCATGGAACTGCTATTGGCACCATCCTCAGGCATGCTGAGTTTTAAAATTTTCTGTGAAAGACAACACAGCCTTTTTTTGTTTTCTAGAGTTTTTTGTTGTTGTTGCTGGGTCATTGATATAAAAGAATTGGATTTACAAGAAGAAACAACATAAAAACATGGTCACAATATGAAATAACTAAAGGAGGTGAATTGTGTGTAGAGGCCCTACAAAGCTGTGCAAGTAGCAACATGAACAAATAAGCTTATTCAACAGGCAGGACATCAGAACAGTTTAAGTATCATTAAATAAGCTTTATGAAAGTGCTTATTTTCACTTGATAAAAATATGCTTGTCAAAGTAATATCTAACGTATTGACTGTTAGTTAACTGTTAGCCATGAAATTAACTTTATGTACATTATCTTACTTAACACAATAGCTTTTTGAGCTATAGACATTTTTATCATTATTATTTTTTGCATTGTACATGAAGAAACTAAAGCTCAGAGTAGTCAAGTAACTTTCCCAGGGTCCTGTAAGTAAGAACTAATAAAGTCAGGATTTAAACCCAGGTCTGTCTGACTTCAAAACCCATACCACTATACTCCCTCCATGACTTGCTTTACAACTTATACAATGGATGTCACGTCATTTTGAGAGTTTTAAAGCTTTTCTGACAGTTACACCCATGTTTCACATCCCTATTATGCTAAGGAAGATAGGGAATGGGGGCAGAACGCTACAGACTCCCTTTTCTTTCTCCAAATGCTAAACTCATGATGTTACTCTTTCTCAGAGTGCTTTATCATTACTGTGTTTTTACCCAGGATCAAGAACTGCTTTAAAGGGAAACGAAAGTCCCAAGGGGACAATTTTCAGTATTGTTTAGCAGTAGGAATACAGAAAATAAGGTATAATTTTGCAGTTTTCTTTGTCTGAACTATGTATACATGAGCCTCAACCCTCCAACCTCCCCATTATTATTATTATTATTTTTTAAAGAACCAGCTGCTGGCTTTACCTCTTTCTACCTGCCGGATGCTTTCTGAATCATATTATCCAGTGTGTTCAATTTAAGTGATCCCCATTAAAGTCCGGAGCCTAGGGAAATCACCCTGATTCTTTGTTCCCTAGCAACAGGCCTAAGAGTAGCAACAGCTGCTTAACCATATGCCACTAGAAAGATTCTGTAGGAAAATAGACTGAAATTGTTATAAATGTTTTAAATATTGAGACTTCAGATACTGCAGTTACCATGTTTGATAATTTACCTTTAGTGGTACAAAAACAAAAGAGAATAAATTTAATTATTTAAAATAACAGCTGTGCTAGGTGAGCTCAGCAATTAATGTGATTTCTAGATATTTTCTTGCTAAGTTAAATAGAGGAATAGCAATGGTGAAAATAAAATACTTTTCTTTATGATTAGTAGACTTAAAATGTTCAATTTGTGTCAAAATTAAGTTGTACTTAATGTTGTAATGTGACATGGTACATTTAAACAAATATAAAACTTGTACTTATAATTTTTTGTTGACATTCTCTATTTTTTGTACGTTGATCATTTCTACTGTCTCCATAGTTTTGCCTTTTCCAGAATGTCTTATAATTAGAATCATACAGTAAAGAACTTTTTTAGATTTGCTTCTTTTACTTAACATTAATAATAGGCACTTAAAGTTCCTCCATGTCTTTTCATTGCTTGATAGCTCATTTCTTTTTAGTGCTAAATAATTTCCCATTGTATAGATATACTGTACCACAGCTTATTTATACATTCGCATAATGAAGTACATCGTAGTTGCTTACAGGATTTGAAAATTAATTACCAAAACTGCTTTAAACATTCACGTGTAGGTTTTTGTGTGGACATAAGCTTTTAATTAGGTAAATACCTAAATAAAAAGCTTTTAATTAGGTAAATACCTAAATAAAAAGCTTTTAATTAGGTAAATACCTAAATAAAAAGCTTTTAATTAGGTAAATACCTAAATAAAAAGCTTTTATTTAGGTAAATGATTCAGCTAATGCTGAATCATACAAAGTATGTTTAATTTTTAAAGAAACTACCTGTCTTCCAAAGTGGTTGTATCATTTTGCATTCCTACATTCTTGCCAGCATTTGGTATTGTCACTGTTTCGGATATACTCTTTTAATGGGTGTGTAGTAGTATCTCATAGTTATGTTATTTTCAGTTCCCTCACGACATATGATGTTGAGCATCTTTTCATGTGCTTATTTGCCATTTGTGTATTTTCTTTGGTGAGGCGTCTATTCAGATCTTTTGCTCATTTTTAAAGTGGATTATTTTCTTACTGCTGAGGTTTAAGAGTTCTTCACATATTTTGGATGCACAGTCTTTTTATCATATATGTGTTTTGCAAAGATTTTCTCCTGGTCCGTGGCTTGTCTTTTTATTTTCCCGATATTCTGTTTTTTTTTTTTTAAGAATTTTATTTGTATAGCTTAACCACTGATTTAGGAAAAAATACCATGGTGTCGTGTGTAGTAGGGAGAGAAGGGTTATCTTTTGTGCCTTCTTTTCAAAAACAAATGTGCCTACATTTTAAAATTATTAATATGTTTCTTCTCTTTGTACCTCCCCACCATACCTGTATAGCTTAAGCTGCTGGGATTCCAAGCAGTGCAATATAAGGTGGGGGAAGAGTTAAAAATTATCCTGGACTATTTTTTCTGTTTTAATCAACAAATGACCGAATTTAGTGGCCATTACCCAAATAATAGCCAATGGTTTAGTAAATAAATGCGTGGATTATACCTTTTTAAATACTAAAATAAAATCCCTATGGATTCTTCAGAAGTACCTGGGAAAAGACACCAGAAGAAGGCATGCTCTAGTCTGCCCACTATTTTTTCTGTTTTAATCAACAACAATCTTTGACATTCTTTGAAGTTCCACTCAATTTTCAAATTATTTCTGATTAAAAGATATCTAGTCACTGTTGTTGGTTTGTTTTTTGTCTTTTGGGGTTTTTGCTTTTGTTTTTGTTAGTACTTATTGTAAACAGTTAATTGAAGCCACATTATATTTTAAGTTCGGGTCATGCTATAAAAATTATTTGACTATTTTAATGATTTTATGGGAAAGTTAGTATTTTTTCCAAGTTTTTGAAACACACAGGTATTAGTAGTCAACTCGAGTTGATAAAAGTATTTTGTTTGAAAAAGAGATCATGAAAGTAATTATTTGTATTCATTAGGAACTCCGATTTAGTTGTTCTGAATGACTTTATTTGCTCCAGAAAAGCTATTTAAAGGCAATGCCAAATCTAGCTCTAGGAATTTTCTAATACATTTGTACATGAGGAAGTCAATATATGTGACAGACAAATGTAGAATGCTCTGGTGGGAGGTCAGATGGTAGTGGGGAGACTAGAGCACACCTTTCTTCTGGTGTCTTTTCCCAGGTACTTCTGAAGAATCCATAGGGATTTGTGGAGAAGAATTAGAAAATTTCTCTAAATTACAATTTTTAATTTAAGGCAACAACAAAACTAAATAGTCTACTGTTACCGAGCTATTTATCATGGAGTTCTAGGTGTCTAATTTACAAGGTTTCTGAATTAGACTTCAGGGCCTATGTTACATTTTATTACAGTCTACAATGTAAGTGTAGACTGGCAAGAATTAAACTAAAAGCCTGTTTCCCAGCTGTTACGCATCTGGGAGTTTGGTTAAAAGGAGCTAGCTTAGCTTAGACTGAATTGTGATAAAAAGCAGGGTCTGGAGGCCTTTTAACTAAAGTCCGTGCTCTGATCAGAGCTGTATTTAATACTGGCCCATAAGTCCACATAATTATAATTTGTAAGAGTATTAAGGACATCAGTAACTTTTAAATCTTACCACGTGAAAAATGATTATGTCACATATGGACTTTAGAAGTAGTTAGCAAACTGGGATAAAGGTGATGATCGAACCAAGTAATTCTGAAACTTTGTCTATCAAAATTTGCACTTATAATTTTCCAGCTATTCTTAGTAATATACTTCTGGTTTTAGTAGGTTTTAATGAGAAGTTTTAATTCTGATAAATGAATGCTTCATGTCAGATTTGTTATACCACTGGGAAAAATGGGTTACTTTTTAAATGTCACCCTTATTACATTCTGGCTTTTTCCCAGGCTTGCAGATGGGTCAAGGGTTGTGGAGAGTGGTCAGAAACCAGCAGCTGCAACAAGAAGGCTACAGTGAGCAAGGCTACCTCACCAGAGAGCAGAGCAGGAGAATGGCTGCGAGCAACATTTCTAACACCAATCATCGTAAACAAGTCCAAGGAGGCATTGACATATATCATCTTTTGAAGGCAAGGAAATCGAAAGAACAGGAAGGATTCATTAATTTGGAAATGTTGCCTCCTGAGCTAAGCTTTACCATCTTGTCCTACCTGAATGCAACTGACCTTTGCTTGGCTTCATGTGTTTGGCAGGACCTTGCGAATGATGAACTTCTCTGGCAAGGGTAAGTTAAACCCACCAAAGTTGAATTCAGGTATCTCTAAACATAATCATGCTTCAATGTTCTTTTTATAATGTATATTACAAAATATTTTCTTTAAACTTGGGCTTGTACTTTGAGATGCTCTTTATTAAAACCTGGAAAAATATACAGTTAGCATCACAGTCAAATTTGATCTTGTGAAAAGGAGGACAATAGAAAATAGAATAATAACTTTACAGTTAGAAGAGAGGTTACCAATCAGGCTCTGTCAGTTGATTATAAGTCAGAAACTCTCACTTTATTCTGAAAATACCGCAAAGTTGTGGAGTGAGAATTTCTAATTTAAAAGTTGGAGTGTTCACATGCTGTGTAGTTTGTGCTTCCCATAGGATACCTGCCATCTGAATAATAGGCAGACTTCGAAATCAATGAATAGTCCTCAAATGTTACTGTTTTTAATTTTCTTCATATAGAGCCTTACATTTTTACTCAATTCTATATTTCTTCAAAGGTGCTTGTTAGAATAAAATTTAACTGGTGAAAATTTTATCTACTTTTTTTTTCTAACCAGCATTTCAATGAAGTAGGCAAATATTAGAAAGCAAGGGGACAAATAGTTGTTTTTATTTACTTGCTGAACTTAGATTACATAAATTTCCACATTGTACTAGTCTGAATTAAAACCACAAATCTAAGAACATTTGCTGGAATAGAATCTGTTTTATTGAACCTAAGTTACTCCTTAAATAGCATCATATACTTTAACAAAAAGTATAGGTACATGATTTTTTGGCCTAAAAATATTACCAAACATGGAATCATTGGATCTCAGACCTTCTAGCATCCTTTACCAAAGTTTATTTGTCTTATTATCTTGAAATAGGTCTTTATAAAAATATAGACTATAACTAAAAACAAATATCTTTTTAAGACTTCCTATAATTTCAAACTAGAAATCTAATTGAGAGACTTAATAAATTACAAACTTTAGTCAAAATATATTTTCAGTAATGACATTCCTAAATTAGGCTTTCTGATGTCACACAGTTCTAGTACAAGTTATATAGGTCATTTCTCAACCTCTAAATAGATAAAAATCATCAATATCATATCTTGTTATTCTTTTACTCATTTGTTTGACATAGTGAAAGTACTACGTGAGAGGAAATTCTGTTAATGAGGAGTCTTTAAAATAAATGTTATTAATTTTTTACTCATGAATAGAAGAGGAAATGAAAGTACTTTTAAACTGGCTCATTCTTTCTAATCTCTTTTCTACATTTTAGTATTCCTTACTAACTTAATTTCTGTTTGTTTGAACTTTTTTTAAAAGTTTAATTTCTAGCCTTACCTGAAGTCAACCAGAATGTATTCTTCATTTGGGGTTTAAATCTGAATTTTTCATTTGTGAAAGAAATATTTGCCATAATTATGCCTATTTTTATAATACTTGGATTTTTTCCTTAATAATAAATTGCTTCTATTTGAAATTAAAGGCTGGCTTAGTTTTAATTTCAACTTTGGATGTATTGAATACTCATTGATGTTGGGAAGTTCTCTGGTTTTCACAAAGCTTAGTAATAAAACTCTAGTTTTGGGTTTTATTGGGACTAGATTAATAAGACTGAAAAAATATTGATAATATTCTAAACAATTTTTTATACTTACAGTTTTGAGTCAGTGATTTCATTTGGTGGGTAAAAATAATGCAGCAGTATAAATCAACTACTAAGAGGGTAGTCTCATGTTAAATTAGATATTTTACCCCCTTGTCCTCACAATTTTTGATGTTATATGCTCAGACAGTAACTTTTTCTTGTTGCTCTGCACTTTGTGTGTTTATTAAAAGAAGGAAATCTGAGGCAGAAATTAATAATGAATATAAGAAAGTAAACAGTTTCATTTGTCTCAACAAGTAGCAGGTGTTTTTGAATACACAACAAATCAGATAATTTTGAGACAAAGACTCATCACAATTGTATCAGAATATAATTTCAGTATTCTCTGTTTCTCTAGAATAATGCATTTATATTTAAGGCTTTTTGGTGGATATCCAGAATTTCCAGGCATTATAATAAGATAAAACATTAACTTTCAAATAACCAGTAGCTATTGCCTCTGTGAAGAGTTAGAAAGTATCCCAATCTGCAGTGTGTTTTGAGATATGAACTGTTAGTATTTTCGGTTTTATAGAATTTCTAAACAATCATGTATCACTCTGATAATAAAGAACTAGTGTTTTTGAAGCAGTATCTTAAAAACAGCTATGTTGAACATCACAGCTTGATGAATGTATTCAAGTTGTGGCATTACAAACAATTTCTGTATTTAATTTGTCTGTTGTAACGTGTATTATTTGAAAAACAAAAGCTGTTTCCCTGCCCAGCATTCTTTTCCTCCCATTTAGTTTTATTTCACAATAGAGCACATAGGTTAGTTAATAAACCCTATTTAGATTCTTGGTTAATAATTGCAAGCTGTGGATTACTCATTGGGTTGAAATCCTGCATCTGTACATATTAGCCGTATGATCTTGGGCAACTGTTTTGTCTGTGTTTCTTATCTGTATCACCAACGTCATAGGATTGTTGTGAAGATTAGGCAGGCTAATCCAATTAAAATACTTGAAATAGGGTCTGACATCTAGTAAGTATTCAGTAAATGTTAGCTATTATTACTATTATTAGGAATAGTTTATGTTTAACTTCAGATAGTACTCATGAATATTATTAATCTCTATAACTCACATTTATTAGATGCTGTCAAAATTGCTAAATTTAAAGCATCTGTCATACTCTAGTAAACAAATAGAAAACAAGTACAAACTTAAAAATTTTAAACTTTAGAACTATAAAATTCAATCTTATTTCATGTTACTATTTTTGCATGTATATGCATATTTAACTTAGGAAATTAAATGTAGTAATGTTTTCTTGTCTCATTTTCTCTGATTTTATAGGTTGTGCAAATCCACTTGGGGTCACTGTTCCATATACAATAAGAACCCACCTTTAGGATTTTCTTTTAGAAAATTGTATATGCAGCTGGATGAAGGCAGCCTCACCTTTAATGCCAACCCAGATGAGGTTAGTGAAGAACTTGAATATTTGTATCCAGTGACCTTTATTACTATCTTGCTGCAGCTTTCCAATATCATAAACTAGCAGGGAAAACAAAAAGTCATTGAACATGCTTTTTTGATCACTGAGAAAACCAATATTTTAAACTATTGCTATGTGACATAGTCATTTTTCTTCGCCTTACCATGTCACGTTCTAACCTTTCTACCTGTTCACTTTATGTAGCAGCATCCATGATATATATTCAGTCCTCTACTGACCTGATTACAATATTAGTACATTATAAGTAGAGAGCACAAAAATTTGATAATAAGAACACAGAGTGTGTTCATCAGATTTTATCTGCAGCAGTTTTTTTCTGTTTATTGTTTTTCCTTAGTAGTGATGTTACTTTTATCAAAGATAATCATTGAGGACATTGTTCTATTTTCTGACAAATCAAAACGTTGTCTTCAAATAATGCCTTTAACAATATAATTCCATGTTGACATAGGAACTATTTATAGATTGTTATAAAATTGAATAATTTTGTATTAATTATTTAATTCTTTCTTAACATAACATGTAAGCATGATCAAAATGTGAAAACAACTTTTTCACTGATTTTTTTTTTCTCTATTCTTATTTTACTATGTCATGGAAAAGTTCAGATTTTCAGAAATGTTTAAATACTTACAGATTTATTCTTAGAAATCTAAGTGAAAATTATACAGCACTCAGAACTACTACTTTTGGGTGCATTATTTTTTGTGGAAAAATTTAATCTGCAGCATTATTTTAATTTACCTAATTTTCAAAAACAACTTTTTTTCATTTGTTGTCGAGGTATTAATGACAGTTCAAATCATACAGCCAAGTATTTTCTAAAGTTATCTTAACTTTGTTATAATTAGGGAAATGTTTCTCCTATGTAAAATATTTGAGTCTTAAACAAAAATACCAATTTTATACGTATGCATATAAAAATACCAATAATATCTTTTTCTAATCAATTGATTTTTACTTATGTATGGTTTATTTTTTGTTAAATTTTTATGGTACATAAATTTAAAATAAAATAAAATGCCATTGCAAAGGTTTACTGATACACTTCTTACCAGTTAAGTCATATCTCCAGAAATATAACAAAGTATATATATTGTAAAGCCAGGTATAATATTTAAATTCAGATATTTCTTTTCTTTCATCACTATTTAAAGAGGTATTACTGTCAATGAATAGCAAACTGATACCTTAATGAAATTAGAATGATTTATACGAAGTTCAAATTACACATTTACCAATATAATATTGCTTTTTAGAATCAAATGATCATTCTTCAGAAAGGCAAATAAATGGATAAACTATTTATCATAAATTTAAATGTTGTTATTGTGCCTTTATTGCACATTTTTTCTCATGCCTTTTATTATAAAATATACTTGTTTTCACCTTGTTTTTGGTCAAATCCCAGTTACTGTCCATGTAAACATATGGCAACATAAGAACGTCACTTTTTTTATCCTGCACTGTGGCATACCTGCTCTTACAAGAGATTCTGCTGCACTTACATATTCAAATGATGGCACAGTTATAGAGACTTTATTATTCTTAATTCTTTATTTAGACTTAAACATTATTTGTTGCTAATTAAAACAGTTCATATGATGAACTTTATAATAAAATATATATTTTTCAGGCCAGGCATAGTGGCTCATGTCTGTAATCCCAGCACTCCAGGAGTCTGAGGCAGGCGGACCACTTGAGCCCAAGAGTTTGAGACCAGCCTGGACAACATAGGGAGGTCCTGTCTCCACAAAAAATTTTTAAAAAATTAGCTAGGCATTGTGGTGCATTCTTGTGGTCCCAGCTACTCCGGAGGCTGAGGTAGGAGGACCACTTGAGCCCCAGAGGTCAAGGGCGCAGTAAGTTGTGAGAGTGAGACTCTGTCTCAATGATAATAATCATAATCATAATAAAGATATGTAGCCCCAGAGGTCAAGAGTGCAATAAGCTGTGAGAGTGAGACCCTGTCTCAATGATCTTAATAATAGTCACAATAAAGATATATATTTTGCATCAGTCTGTTGAGGTAATTGAATGATGATTGCTGGAGTAAAACTGAGGCAGAATGGTACAGTGCTGTACTGTACAGTACATAAGAATCAGGAGAGGCAGCTGTTTTAAGCCCCAGTCTTATTATGCCCATTTAATCAAGGCATGCTGGCTCCTGTCATGAATTATTCTGATGTTGAGTAAAACTGTCATCTTCAATTCATATCACTTTCAAATGTTACATTATAAGAGAAATGTAACCTGGTAAGTACTAAGTTGTAGATTGTTACAGAGTCAGAAAAGTTGGATGTAATTGCTGATATTGATTATGGTAAGTAGTCTTTCCTTGCTAAAGGAATGCCAATTTTTAAACAAATTATAAAGCAATCATTTTTACACAAAGATGAAAATACACATGGGTCCTCATATGCTA
Source organism: Homo sapiens (assembly GCF_000001405.40). NCBI lineage: Eukaryota > Metazoa > Chordata > Mammalia > Primates > Hominidae > Homo > Homo sapiens. Next base: position 174,257,237 of record NC_000004.12, on the reverse strand, counting down.
AAATGTTATATGTATAGGTTTAAATATCTAATTTGGAAAAGCTAGACATATAAATAGGTTTTCATCCTTGCAGCTACCAATATCAAACTATACAGTTCTTGTTAGTACCTCCTCTAGGGTGTTTGGAGAGGGGGCAGAGAAAAGAGCTCAAATTCAAGTTGTTTTTATATCTGACATAATTTTTTAAAATTATAAGTCAAATGTTTGTTAAGGGAGGGGATTTAAGTTATTAATTAAAATAAGATTTTTAGATCTTCAGATTTTACTTATCTATCCTACCTTCCATTGTTATTGAGAGTTGGCTGTATTTTCTTTTTTTTTTACTCCCTGGCCTGATTTAAAGATACTCTGGAACATTCCAGAGGCACTGAATTTATCATTCTAAAAGGGCCATGTAGTACTCCCAGGAGGCATAGAGCTGAGCCACTCAATGTGTCTTGAGGTTCCAAAATTCTGATTCTATGCTTTTATGAACATGTAATTTAGCAGATGTTACCTAATAGCAAAAGAAAATGCTATCTTTACCAGAATGCACTTAGGAAATATATAGGAAAAAAAGGACATTGCAATACACTTAATAAGGTCAGAGAAATGAGGGGAAGTAGTTCAGTGACTATATTCTGTACTTTCTTTCATTGACTAACATAAATAATGTTAACTTGGCTAATTGTTTACCAAGTCAAGTATTCAAAATTGAAATCATGTAAGTGAAAGATCCATCCTAATAAATGTTCTTATATAGCACTTATCTGTATGAGTCATACTTTAGCCAGACTTTAGAATGACTCTTGCCAAGTTTTTTGAGTGCTCAAAATTAGGCAGTACTTTTTGGAGACTGTATTTTGTTTTCTTTTTCCCCACTCACTGGAGCACTGTCATCAGATATATTATTTTAGGTTCATTTAACTCTGAGCAGTAAATTAGTTTTGATGATACGTTTAAATATGTGATGCTTTTTGCAAGTACCTGAGATAAGATGTATATAATTGCTTAGTATTGTAAAAAGTCTACTTTTTCATAATTTCCAGTATTGTACTTAACATTTTGATAGCAAACATCATTAAAATATTATAAAAATAAGAATACTTACAGCCACAGGGAACAAGATTCTCCAAAGGACACCGTTCATGTCACGGATATGGGTAACCAAGCTCCACAGCAGCTGCTGGCAGTGGCTCATGGGGTGGGGGAGAACATCTGCACAGTTTGTGGTACGATAATCTGGCACGCTGTTGTACTATGCATGACATTGTGATCTCAGCTGTATGTAACGTCTTGATCTTGTGCATGAGCTTGTGTACTTTGTGGCAGGTGGCCACATTCTAGTAAAGGAATGTGCTGAAAACCATCTGTTTACATTAAGTTGTATTTTCCCTGCATGTACAAGTTGTGTGTGTCAATTTTATTCCACTAGCAGTAGTATAATGAAGTAATTTTATTTAACAACCAGTAAACTATATTACTTGTGCTCCAATGTATATTAAAACACTTTCTTGACGTAGTTATTTTTAAATTTAGGATCTGAAAAATTGGTAGTGAACATGGTTTAACTTTAATATAGGCTTATTTTTGTTTGTGTAATTGTGTTTTTAAACAGTTTTTGTTTTAAATATCCTCATTGGGGTCAGATAACAAGTTTTTTTTTTTAATGACTATGTAAGCACATTTTTCTGGTATTTATGCAGAAATATCCACATGTGTATAATTTTATACATTTTACTAAATAATCTATTATAAAAATATTTTAAATTTGACCTATCCACATGTTTGAGGTAGAAATGAATATGCAACTTATTTTCAAGATAACATGTTATTTTTGTTATTGGACCAGCTAAAGTATAAACAGGAAATTTGTAGTTCTCCATTATAGAAAGCATTTCAGGAATTTACATTCAGTTCTTAAAAATAGTATCTCAGATATATGTTAATGACTTTTTGCTCCAGTATTCAACAACAAAATCGTCATTACCATTACTTCATAGCGTAGCAACAGTGGTGAAAAATAACTTTAACTTCTATTCCTAGGGAATGAAAACCCTCATGGGCATTATTAGAATGTACCAATAAACATTTCCCAAGTGCATTCCTTGGGAATACACAGTTAAAAAGGAATTCTTAAGTCTAATTTGAACATGATAGATTATGATTAGTTGGCTTATTTACAGCCTAACTTTTCAAAGCCGTTAATACTTTGATGTACATCGTGACTATCTAACAAGGGGGATGTTATATGCAATATATATCTAATTTTGTTTGACGTGGTGTTCTTTTTTGGGAGGAGGAAGGTAAAAACATTCCAGGGAATACATTTTGAAATAACCTAGTATAGATTATCTGTAATCCTACTGTGTATAAATAAATATTTTAGAATGGTTGAAATACCCTGTTGTTCACTTGCAGTTATCTGATGTAATCTTCTCTCTTATCAAAGTCTGTGGGTCTGTAATTGTTTTCTTTCCTTTGGTCTGATAGTACTTACTACAAAACAAACAAACAAACAAACCCTGAGAGTTGAATTGAGTCTTGACAGACTGAGAGATTTTTCCATTTTATATTTTGATTACCATCTGATTTGGAAAGGGAAGTATTACTTTGGACAGTAAGGGTAAGGCAATAAACCTGAAAGCAATATTGAATTCAAATAACTGCCTGTACATATTGATAAATATATCTGTGTCAAATAATTTGTAACTAATAGACCATTCATCATTATTTACTTGGTATCGCATTCTCTGTACTAACTCTTTTAAATCTTAGTACCTCCTGCAACACAGAAGTATTCCTAATGAAAGCTGACAGGCCACTAAGATACTTTTTACTTTAGAAAATATACTACCTTTTGAGGTTTTATCCTTAGTTCTATACATCTAGAAATTTGGCTTTATCTTTCTACTGAAAGTGAATCTCTCAGGAATAAACTTACAGGTAGTAGAATGTGAACCAAGTTGACAGTAAGACACACATACTTCAAACAATGCCAGATAGCATAAAGAAAGAGAAAGATAAACTCGAAATTCTAATTCTTGGCTGTGATATAAACTAAGATCTAGCTAGGAAGAATTGAGTTCTCAGCACCCTTCATTATGCTGCTCGACTCAGCATGTTCCACATTTTATGACTGGCTTCTTGCAGTACCCACTTCTCCCTGTATGTATCAGCTAAGATGTTTTTGGCTGCAAGGAACAGAGAACCTAAACTGTGACTTAAACCCTTTACATTTGTTTACTTCAAAAGAGTCCTGGATGCAGGTATCCCAGTTACTTTAGTGAGATGATGATCTCTTGATGGACCTGAGTGTGTTGACTTTCACCCTCTCTTGATAGCAAGATGCTACCACAACTCAAAATATCACTTCCCCCATAATAGTGTCCCCAGTACAAAGAAAGAGAGGCAGAAAAAGAAGCTTTCTCCTCATATTCCTTATACTTATTAGGGAGAAAAATCTTTTTGAGAAGCCTTTGGCGTACTTCTACTCATTTCTTATAGAACATAATTGAATCACACGAGCACCCCTAGAGCACTAGCGAATAGAATAGAAAGATTACATGATTGGCTTAGACTTATAATTCAACAACTGCAGCTAGGATGCTAGAAGAAATGAAAAACAGGGAAATGGCCTTTGTTAAGGCATCCAAGCATCTGTAACGCCATTTTAACTAGTGATACACTTAAAACATGTGATTCAGCCTTCCTTGTTTCTGGTCTCTGCTGGGTTAGAGGCCTTAGTATCCAAAGGAGGAACATTGGCACCTGTGGCACAACAATTTGGTTGGTAGCTGACCCTACCTTCTTGCCAGTTTAGGTCTTCCTGCTACTAAGCAAACATATCAAAATTTTAAAAGGGAGGAAGACGGGATAGGAGGGGAGGTGGTTATGCTGTGATTGAAGTGGTTAAGCCTGATAACCAGAGGGAAATACTACTACACAGTGTGGCAAAAGAAAAGGATATAGGTGGAACTCAAGAGATGTCTTGGGGTTCCTTCTAGTGGCACTATATCCTATGATAAAAGTAATTTTTTAAAAATCACACTGGGCCTACATGGCCAAGGCTTATAACTCACCATTTAGACTCCTCACTAGGGAAAGCACCTCAACCAGTTGTGTGGCTGGCTCATTCCTAGGGTCCAGAGTTGAATATGGATTCTTTATTCCAAGCTCCATTCACCTTGAAGGATGCTTTTATGGCATCCGTGTAATCTATCTCTTGACTCATGAGGTTGGAAAATATGTGTATAGAGAAAGATTTTTTAGATTTTTTATTTTTCTTGAGACAGAGGCTCACTCTGTTGCCCAGGCTGGAGTGCAGTGGTGCAGTCTTGGCTCACTGCAATCACCACCTCCCGGGCTCAGGTAATTCTTGTGCCTCAGCCTCTGGAGTAGCTGGGATTACAGGTGCATGCCACCACACCTGGCTAATATTTTTTTTAGTAGAGACAGGTTTGCCTCAAGTGACCCACCTGCCTCGGCCTCCCAAAGTGCTGGAATTACAGGAATGAGTCATCATACCTAGCCTATTTTTTAGGTTTAAAAAAGAGACACAAAGAGGTAGTATTGTCTGTGCGTGTGTGTGTGTGTGTGTGTGTGCATGCACTCACATGCACAAGTACATGTGTCATGTACACCTCTAGGCATTGGTATGTGAGAATATAATGGCATGACCATGTGCAGCCATCTGGTAGCCATGAGGGGTATTAGTAACCCTACCAAGAATAGCAGACTGGAAAGAAAGAATTGGGTCTGTGATGCTATCTGTGAGCCCAACAACCTGGAGCCATATTAGTTTGGAACTTCTTGTTATACAAGGTAATTTTATTTTTGAAGTAAATGTATCCCTTTATTTTGAACTAGGTCTCCTGTTGTTTATAACCAAAAACATCTTGATGTATTATTGCTATTATTATTATCCAGACTCTTAGGAGTTTGAGATGTAATCCTCAATGCAAATTTTTAAAAATAAACATTGCTAACTGGGTACAGTCAGTGGCTCACACCTGTCATCCTAGCAATTTGGGAGACCAAGGTGGGTGGATAACTTGAGCTCAGGAGTTTGAGACCAGCCCAGGCAACATGGTAAAACCCTGTCTCTACAAAAAATACAGAAATTAACCGGGTATGATAGCATGTGTCTGGAGTCGCAGCTACTTAGGGGGCTGAGGTGGGAGGATCACTTGAGTCCAGGAAGTTGAGGCTTCAGTGAGCCATGATCATGCCACTGCACTCCAGCCTGAGTGACAAAGCAAGACCCTGTTTCATAAATAAACATTGCTAATTCTCAGTAGCAGATCAATTTATCTCCAAATTTGCTGAAGGGAATTTAATCAGGGCAAAAGAAGCTAGATGACAGTGAGAGGAGTCCCTCACCAAATATGGCTTAAGTAGCTCCCCCCTCTGTAAGAACTGTTTACCCATAGGAGCTAAAATGCTGGAGTTTATGGCAGGCTCCTTCTCCTTGATCAGCATTAGAGTCAAAGTGAAAAATTATGCCTCTCAGACACTAAATAGCCTCTTCCTCTGCCTAGACAACTTAATACCTTCAAGCGACTAGCTACAATTAGTCAAATGGTGCTAAACTGGAGGTGATTTTCTTTTTTTTGAGAGTAATATGGTATGTGTGGATATGCATGTGTGTATGTGTGTATGTATCCATCTCTTTTTAATCTAATCCATCAGGTGATTTTATGGTTAAGAAGGCAGCTTTACCCTTTGCCTTTTAGGACAACTTTAGTTTACACCTTACCCTAACCATACTCTATCCCAGCCACCCTCCTTTTCCCTTTTCTCCCAGAGTCACTCCAACATGTGGTGTAGAATCAGTTCCCAGAGGAGGTTTGTGGACTCGGAATAAACCTTTTAGAAACTTGAAAGAAAGACAAATTTCCGAGGCCCTCTTCTAATCTTTATCTGGTTGAAAAAGAGATTCAGGCCCTAGAATATTCCATAGTTTATTCATCAATCAAACCACCTGATGTATTTTGCTCTTGTTTTATTCAGTGTGCTATGGGAACTACTAATTTGCTGTATCATTGAGTGTGAATTGTCTAGGGTAAAAACTGAAATTAGTGGAAAATGTCTTCATCCTAGGATACATTTTTAAATTTTTAATATTAAAATATGATATGCTACAATGAACAATTTTTTATTTGAATTTTACTTTTGTTAGCAATTTAAGTAATTGTAACTAGAGACTTTACAGTGGTACATTGAGCTTTTTAAGTGCATTTTAATGAAAAATCTGTTTGCTTTTTATTTTCTCATCATACACTACCTGACCCTCTTGATACCTCCCAAATATTTTTCCTTATCTATTGTGATCACAGTTTCAGTGAAACTTGATATTACTTCTAGATTTAAGTTCTCAGCTTTAATGTCCAAGGTGTCTGCCTCTACATGTCTTTCATGAATTTAGCAATTGTTACCAGTGTCACAGTAGATGTCACTTCAAAATATGAGTATTGTGTCAGAAACCCAAAGGATAATATTTCCTCAATTCTTGGATGTCATCAATTGTAAGACATCCATCAACTTACTTTCAGCTTTTCAAATATGGGAGTATGAAGGAAACACTACCTTAAGTGCATTTTTTAAAACCAGCTAACTGTAGTGTACATTTATCCATAAAACTATATAACGTTTTCTTCTTTTATATCATAAAGTTTTTAGAGAGATGCCTTCTTTATAACAAAATTCCTAAGATTTCTGTAAATCTCTTTTGGTTGTTAGCAGTTAAATATAGCATCAAAGTGATATGCTACTTTGGATTATTTGGATTGGTGACTCTGACCTTTGAGAATCTATAACTTGAGGTATTTCAAAGTGTGCTGGGGTTTTATCTGCCGCTAATATTTGATCCAGCTTATACATTTTATGGAAGGGGGTTGTTTTTGTATTTTTCCCTTGGTTGAATTATATAATCCTTGGAAGTTTACAGCATGTCTTGAAAGTCAGCTGGAAGCTTTGTACACGTAGATTCAAACATTCATTCAACAAATATTTATTAAGTATCTCTACCACTTACAATTTATGTAATGTTGGCTCTGAGCAAGTTATTTAACCTCTGTGCTTCAGTTTCCCCATCTGTAAAATGGGGACAGTAATAATACTTATAACAGTGTTCTTGTGAAGATTAAATGAAATAAGACATGTTAAACATGCCTCTAAGTGTTCACCAAACTGTAACTCTATGTTTATACTAAAGGTACAACTACAACAACTTAAAATACCAAGAACCAGGCACTGTTCTAGGCCTTGACGTTCTTCCTCTTCTTGAACTTTTGGATTCTAGTAGATAACTATATGACACCTGACGAATGGTCCTTCATGAAGTATGTATTGGTCACATCAATATCTCCTAGCTTTAAATGATACCCTTTGTCTTTAATTGTATTTTCTGACATGTATATGCAATCTTTTGCATATACAGTAACATTTTGTTTCAGTAGTGCTGCTGAGTTTAATCTTTTTGACATTTAAGCAATAATTAGGGGTCCAGAGTTATGTTAAAATTAAAATATGTGTCTTGGCTACAATGTTGGCAGGATGAACAGATACTTACGTTACATGATTAAGTATATACATGTGCTAGCAGTGAAACTACCATGTAAATCCCAACTTGCTTGTCTACTAGTAGACTTTTTTTAAAAATGTTGTTTACTTTAAAACTGTTTCAGAGCTGTTAAAATATATTTATAAATGTACATATTAAGATCTAGGTAATATGATAAAACTAGTATTTATGGGTTAGTCATTTAAACAGTTGTATATATGCACATTGCAAATCCAGTATTTGTATGTGATTCTTATAAAGCAAGAATTCTAAATTAGCTAGCATCATTGTTAAATGTGTCACTTTCTCATTAGTTTCAATTATTAATCATAACCTAATAGAGATTTATCTCCATATTTTGATTAGAATGCTTTCTTTTTCTAATATAGAGACAGGTTAGAGATAGAGGGGGCTTTTCCAAGAAGCGTGACTCAACTAGCAGCAACTTTTTTGATAATAATTACAATAATGATTGTTACATTTAATTGATAGTAGTAATTTATTATTTAGGAAATACTTTCTTAGCTATCATATTGATCCATCCCAGTCACTAATGTGGTTCTTTTGGGGGATATTAGAATTCACAGATGTTCTTTTTCTGTTTGAGGCTATTAGAACGAATTAATAGGGGCTTTTAATTATTTAAAACTTTAGAAAATTAGGTTCATGTTATTTTGTTTGCCATTGCTTTTTCTCTCTTGAAAAATAAGCAGGAAGACCTGTCCTATACCTCCTCTGTGTTTTCCCTGGACTCCATTGGAGGGAATTGTTATTTTTATTTAGATTTTCCTTAAACCATCACTCTTTTATGTGGGATTTTCTGTTGACATCTTTTAACTGCAGATAATTTCAGGTGTATATATCTCTGTCCTTAGCAGTTCCTCAGCATTCTGCTCTTTAATATGTTGAAAAGTCTTCCATAAATCATTCTAGCTGAAATCCTTGCCAATTCAAACAATGTTTATACATAAACTGGTTTAATATTATACGAAAGGTAAATGTAAAATCAAAACTCTTCATTATCCTCCAGACAAAATATGGTATTATGTTTCATAGCTAACTGAGAAAACTGGCTACAGGATACTGGCACTCTCTCTTCACAGCTGTTAATTCTCCCACTTCAGTGTGGACAGTGTGTGCTCTCTGTTCTTGCTCTGGAAGAAAGGAGACTGAAATCTGCTATTTAGACTTAAAACTGACATCAAAACTATCTTTACATTTCTTTCCCAATTTTCACTGCCCCCTTTCCTCTTAGTTCTGTGTAACACAGAGCCTTCTGGTGAATAGCCTAGTTATGGGTTCCTCAGTGAGAGGAAAACTTAGTACTCTTATAATCTTTTTATCTAGGACAACTTTTAAAATCTGGGCATAGATTTTACTTTAGTCTTTGAATCTAGTGACTGTATTAGGAATAACTATTGTTATATTTATAGGCAGCTTAATAAAAGCAATGTGTGACATTTCTGTTATGTATGTGCTCAAGGTCAGTGTTAAACATAGAAGGTCATGGAAAATTACAGAAAGCAGAAAACATTACAAAATTTAGTGGGTAGAAAGAAATGAAATGACAGGATAAAAACATAGACACCTAGTCTTAAACATACTAATTAAGAAATCTTCTGCGCTTATTTCACCGCAGCCAAAAAGCAAGGTGTTGATTTTTTATTTGCATAATAAATATCCTCAGATAAATATTGTCAATTATTCACATTCTGTGAGGCCCACCCTCCCTTAACTATAGAGCACATGTTCTCTGCTTAAATAGGGAGAATGAGAACTTCTGGACTGATAAAAATTAATAGATTTTACATTTACCTTAGCAATTCTTCAAACACTGTAGAAAAGAAGAAATAGTATCAGAGCAGTCATCTTAACCATTGCTGCTGCTATTTGCAAACAAAACAATGGGGATGTTCCCATTTGACCTGCAGATGTGTCAATTATTTTTACTATTAATAACGTATATTGTGTCACTTAATTTTTACATTATCTTCAGTTTGAAAATGTTACATTTCAGTTTAAGTTTCATTGTGCTCAAATGTATACTTGAAAAATAATATATTCAGTTAGTTTCACTGTGGTTAAAATGTATACTTGAAAAATAATATATTGGTTATCATGTTGAAAGAAAAGTTAGAAATCTAGATTGAGCTATATTGTTTAAGTATTACTATTTTTAAAGTCTTCAAAATGTTTTTTTAAAAGAAAATTAAATGCAGTATCCAATTGGCTTTCTATTATATAATGGTCTAAGGGCAGTTTGATGACCTGAAAAGTAGTGGCCATTGTACTAGATTTTACATTTTATACAAGGACGAAATTGAACAAAACTTGCTAAATCAAATTTTTTTCTAAATTTCTTTACTATGTTGTTCTTTAGGAAAAAAATTAAAGGTACTCCCTAGTATGTGACAGTTTTGTTTTATTAGTGACACCAATAAAACAAAACAAAACATCATGTAACTTTTATTGATACCAACTGTTACACAATGTGTGTGCCAGGTGTCTGTGGCAGTAGACAGTACTTTCAGTACCAATTATCAGTACTTTTTCATTTGGCTTTGCATGTCTAATTTTCTAGAATTCACTCTGTTCCCAAATATATATTTACTGATTCTGAACATATGTATGGTAGATTTTGCTTAACCTTAACAAGAGATGGGCTGAATTCACATTAACTTCACCTAGATTCTCACTGCTGCTTGGCACTCCTTTAGTTTATTCCTAGTGAATTCCCAGTCATATCCAGTCATATCCTGCATCGTTGTTGATAGAAATCTTCACCACTTTGCCCAAGAATCCAAATCAGCCCTCTCTTTTCCAATGCTCCCCAGATAGACCTAAGAAAGAAACCAACATGTTCTTTGTTTTCTGCTTTTCACTTTCTTACTGTAGCTGTCTCTGAGCCGGTGCTACTGTGCTGTCCCCCAGGCTAATCATTATAAACTCCAGCAGTATTTTCAGACCTTTCCCCTGCTCTCTTTTTATCGGCTTTGCTGCCCCTGCAGCAAAATCTCCCGCACATCAGTCTTTTCCTGTCTGCATTGACCTCTCTTTTTGTCTTCTAACATGAGTAGGTCATAATTATCTTGAAAAAAAAATACTTTCTCTTTTTTCCCTTTAATTTTGCCATTTTTTCCTCCTTTGTACTAATATATTTTTCAAGTGAGTGGACAATACTCAGTTTCCTTACCTTGAGCTCATTCTTTTGTTTTCTTCTTGGATTTCAGCCTCTGCTACAGTGTGGAAAGAGACCTCTTGAAAGTCACTTCTTTCCTCCCAGTCACCAAACTCAGTGCCCTCTTCCTATTCTAGTATCCTTCAGCTATTTGAAAGAAAAAGAAAACTAGCTGTGTTCCTTTTGCTATGCACTTAGCCCACTGAGATTTTTACTGATTAGGAAACTGAGGCTCAGGAAGATTGTGTAGATTGTTTATGTTCATATCATCATTAAGTTGCAGAACCATGGCTTGGTCCCTGTCCTAAAAATGGTGCTCTTTCCATCATACTGCATAATTGCACTAGACACCCTGTTCTTTAACTCGAAGGCTCTTGGCTTCTGGAACATTATTCTATCATTCTCTTCATTACTCCCTTACTAATCCTTCTTATCCAAGATCCTGAATCTATATCTTCAACCCTCACTTTTAAAATATATCCTATTACATTACCAACTGCCTACTATGCCTTTCTAGTTATATCTGTCATCACCTAAAATTCAACATGTCTAAAAGCTAACTCATCACTGTTTTCTTCAAATCAACACCCTCTTTGACTTTTTTTGACCTGTCCATCATTTTTCTGTCAGTCATTTCCCTCTTCATCTAAGCCAGAACCATCAGCTGTCTTTCACTTTTCACTGTCACATGGCTTGATAGTCAGCATATTTATCAAGTTATTTTCATATATGTAACATATATGTAACATATACAGTTGTATAGCCCGCTATCTATTTATTTTTATTTTTTAAGTGAGTGCTCCGCTGAATAGCCCACTATCTAATTTTTCTTTCATTATTTATCTTTATATTGCTGCCAAATTCACATTATAGCCCATTGCTTCATCAGGTTTAAAAGCCTTCAGAGGCTTCCAGTTAGATTTAGGATAGAGAATAAACTTCTTACCCTAAAATTCAGCACTATTTCTGTCACTGTCATAGTCTGGTTGTACATTTACTCTCCAACCCAAAATATTTCCCCTGCCTTCCTAAAAATAGTCTTTAAAAATTATATATTACTTTTGCTCATATAATACAGTATTAACTGGAACATTCTTCTCCAGTGTTCCCCTCATTCAGAGCTGTCTAAACCCCTTAAATTCCTTGTCTAAACCCCTTACAATACTTCAGTCTAATCTCTAGCAGGAAACCTTATCCAAACGTCCTATCCCATAGTGACTTTTCCTTTCATTGAACTCTGAAACACTTACTTTTCATAAGCATTCATTTAGGTTTTCTTCTACTGCCATGTATTATTGATGTACCTTGGCACGTGTGTATTCTAGATGTTTATGTATGTGTCTCATTGCCACAGATAAACTTTAAATTTTCTTAGGGCAAAACTCTGTGTTACACTACTCAGTGTCTATCACTGAATACCTTGCATATCACACCTTGTGTTTAATATGTTTCAAAAATAAAATGTGGACAATTTTAATGTATTGCTTCATGTTTTAAAAAATATTTTAAAGCAGATGCATATATGTAAATATGCACAGATATACATATATCTATTTTACAAGCTAGTCTTATAGGCATTCATCTTTCTATCTAAATGTAAAGTGAATTGGATACTTTTTTAAAAAAATCAAATGACTAGGAAATTTTTAATTAGTAGCATGGACATTATTTACCAGTTTATTTTCCCAAGAAATATGAGGCCTAATATCTATTTTAATAAGAGGAATTTTATTTACCCCACTGTAACTATCCTTTAAAACTATTTTTTAAAAATATATTTTGGCCAGTAGTTTCCTTTCACCTGACAGGAGCTGATCTCTATGCTTGGAGGTATCTGAGATTAATCATGATGGTTTCAGCCCATGATAGTACTAACACCATCATGATTCATCTCAGAGTTATCTGACAAAACTATCTTAGAATTCTCCCCACATGCAAATAAAAAGGAACTACATTATGACTGCAACAATTTAGATAATTCTAAAAGTTGAACAGAGTTGCAAATGGGAGTTAAAATGTGTATAGATTAAACGGTCAAATTTAAGTAGTTCTGAGTTTGAAGCTTAATCTTATTTTGAAAATGTAAGAACAACAACAACAACAACAAAATTGAATCAAGCAAAGACAAATGATTGGTCTTTGAACAGCTCAACTAAAGTTACAAGCATTCCCTTCCTTATGTGGTACTAATCTGTCTGCCTATAATTGAGATTTCCTGACTTTACATCTATACTCATCTAGGATAAGGATTTGTAACCTGCAGTCCTTAGATGGAACTCTATTTCTGTTTTAAAAAATGTGTATGTGCATTATTCTGGGAAGAAGTTCTGTGACTTTCCTAGTACTCAAAAGGGTCCATAGCCCCCCAAAAGAGCTTAATATCTTCACTACAACCACACACATCTTTTCCTTTTTCCTTGTGACACAGTCTTTTAGATATCCTAAAGTCTTAATCTTTTCTTCTTTCCTAAGTATATCTTCTTCTCTGGCCTAATACTCCTATGTCCCTCCGCTCTTTCTTACATAACATGAATTCTACAGCCTTCAACGATCTCACCAGGTCTTGATTTCCTTTATCCAGATAAGTCCTAATTTGTCAGTATGCCTTATAAAATGTGACACCCAAAATTGGAAACTTTTATAGTCAATTTTGTAGACTATACTGAGCTACAACCTTCCTTCTTTAGAATACTATATATATATATATCTAGACTAATGATTTCCTTTGCATGTGAGACACTGCACAGATGTCCATGCACATACACACTGCTCAGAGTTCTAGTCCTGACTAGTCACTGATATGCTATGTGGTCTAGGAGTTTCTCTGTACCATTCTTCTAAAATTTTATTTTTAAAAATGTTTATACCACTTACTAAACAAATATGTAGTTATTCAACAGACCTCATGCTGTGGTATTTTTTTGTATTTAATTGTACGTTGGTGCGAAAGTGATTGCGGTTTTTTGACATTACTTTTAATGGCAAAAACCGCAATCACTTTCGCACCAACCTAATACATAAGAAGATAAGAATTTGGGTGACTTACAGCTTGCTTATTAGAGACAGTTATAATCTGTTCTCATGTCTTTTTGTATTTGTTATTCCTTTACCATTCACTTTGGTAGCCCTTCTAAAGTAACCTTCCTCTCCAAAGGAATCCCAAGCTTGAACCTGATGCCTCTTTTCCTCATAAAACCAATAGAGTTGGCTTATTTCAATCTATGTTCCCAATTTTCAGGATTGAATTTAAAATTCTTTGTGCTCATGACTGCTTCTATGTATTTGATTGATTTGGGAGAACTGAGGTTAGATTAGATATAAAATTCTCAAAATGTGTTTTTTATAAAACAGAATATGGCTAACAGTGTATTTTTATGATGTTTACATGAGGCAAATACCAGTGTTAATTTATAACTATCACCAAATGATATTAAAGTGGCATAGATTATGTAACTAGAGAATTAGATATCATTAATGTATACTATTAGTAGGTTTGTTTATTTTGCACAATTTTTAAAAAGTAGCTTAGCATTAGTTCTACATCTCAGATACTGATTTAGGTATGAATAAAGAATCTATTAAATAATGCTTAATTGACATTGTTTTTAAATCATTTCAATTAAAATTAAATACTGGAAATAATTCTAAAATATTGTTATCCTTTTACACTGAGGAATTTTGGAAACAAACCTGACTTTTGCTAAGCAGATTGAGTATACAGTCAACTCTCGATTATTCAAACTAATGGAGGAAAGGATAGAACAAGCATTAACAGTTTTCTAGTTGCTGCCCCCTCGGACAGTTGATGAAAGCCTCATTCCAAAGAAGTATTTTGGCTTTCCATCTTATCATATTACATTTTCTAGCCCTTGTATTCAGGATTTAGTCTGAAATACAGGTTACAACAGAGTTGACAAGAAAGTTTCACGTTATCACGTTCTTTTCTTCATGTACATTTTTAAAATCAGTGCCTTAGCATTGCTTTTGTATTATTAAAATTCACATGAAAATTTGATCGAATTGCTAGTAGGCTATTATGTTGATGGCTCATAAAGTTAGTTTTATATAAAAAGTCTGATCTTTGAATTACAACTTATAGATAATTATAACCTTTCAAAAGCATTACCTCGTGGTACCTAATTACTTAAAAAAAATTTTTACCATAAAAGTTTTATGAGAAAGTTTTTATCTTGAAAAGGTTTTTATAGATATTCTTCCAACTTTTAAAATTCTTAATGTGTGTAATATTTCTGAGTACTATGTAAGTGTTTGTAAAGTGAAGAAATGCCAAAGGAATTTATGTGTGAAAACATTATGTTGTGTGTATATAATACGTCATTTTCTCTGCCAATTAACGGCACATAGTGTGCTAGTATCCAGACATAAGTATTCATGGGAATGCATGTATCTGGATAACCGCAAGTTGAAATAAACCCACCTGCCTTTTATTTCAATAACTGCACATTCAAATCCAGCGAAGACATTTATTTGAATGTAACCTCTGTATATGTGAGAGAATACTGTTTTCAGCATTTGATTTTTTTGTTGGTGGTGTTTTGTTGGTGGTGGTTTAAATCTAAAGTAGGTAAAAACTTATGGGTAATGCTTCTCTGGAAAACTTTGCATGCAGAGAAAAGGAAATTCAAAGATAAATTCTATGAAAAACATTGAATTGTTTTGTCTTACTATGTTTTCCCTCAGTGTGTATTGTAGCTAGGTTTTTGTAGAACATAGCAATGTTTAAAGCCAAAGTAGTACAACCTATACATTGGTTTGGAGTTGGGCTTCCTTTACTTTAAGTTAAATAATTTAATATTTTTCTCCCAGAATAAAATTGCTAGTCTTTCATTTGGAGCATTTTTTTATCAAGAAGCTCTTTCCTTGAAAGGCATACTGCAATATATATGTGAGCTTTAAGAAATCATGTTTTGTATTAGACAGCAGAAGTGTTTGTTAAAAGGCTTGTTTTAACGTCTGTATTGTGGTTTCATCTGCAGCCCCCTTCCCCAAATTAGGCCGTATTTCTGTATAGTTAGTTTTACCTGACATGAGCCAGAAAATTAAATAAGATTTCTTTAACAGTCTTAACTTTGAATTTCCTGCTTTTCATTGCATGTAAACTATCAACCACAAACAATAGTTTCAGTTCAAGTTCTAGCTTGTATTTTGCATGATAAAGCTACAAAAAGTCTATTAATGCTGGAAAGAATTTATAGCTACTGTTGTGCTATTGCTTAATTGTTAAAATGCATAAATAAAGAGCAATTTTATTTATGTAGACTTGTCTTTCTGCCTTAGGGAGTGAACTACTTTATGTCCAAGGGTATCCTGGATGATTCGCCAAAGGAAATAGCAAAGTTTATCTTCTGTACAAGAACACTAAATTGGAAAAAACTGAGAATCTATCTTGATGAAAGGTAAAAACGAAAATTAACTTTTCATCCAAAATGAGTTAAGTAATGTTTTTGATGAGTTAAGTTTTACTTTAAAACTAATACTGCATAGTAATCATCTGGTTGCAAAATTGAATAAAGACAGGGAAAAGATTCCTATATCTCACACATCATTTCTTTCGTGAGCTTTGACTTGTTGATGAGGAAGTTACCATTTTAAAAGTAAGTAAAAGTCCACATGTACACAAAATGGAAGCCCAACGTCTTTGTAATAGCAAACCAAAACAAAATATTTTTCAGGAATCTGCAACCCTGATTTTTTAAGACAAGTAGCCATAATCTAAGTGTTTATAGTGGTAAAAATTCTGAATTATGAAATTATCCATATAAAAAACCTAGTACAAAGACAGATTATAGTCATAAACCCCAAATCCTAGGGATATAAGGTATATATATTTGCATGTAGACACTATATAGAAATGTTATGTTCAAGTGTGAAAATTATGAAAATGTAACATTTAGCAGTTTTACACAGAGATGATGGTTAGTATGCTGTTCTGATTTGATAGTTATTCATTTGTACACTTTACTTTTGATTATTAAAGAACATAAATTTGGGGACAACATTTTGATGCCACATAACTGAACTACCATTTTTAAAATTATAGCTCTCGTGCTAATGTAATGTATGGCTTAAAAATAGTTTACCTTCATTGTAATTCTCAAACTTTTGTATATATCAGTATTTTTCAACAGCAATCTGTAAATATTCATTATATTCCAGAAACTTTGCTAGAGTAGTAGCACACGGATGATTAAGATACAGTCCCTGTCTTTGAGAAGTTCAGAGTCCAGCATCCTGGTCATTGAAAGATGTAAAGATCGCATCATTAAGTTTTTTTGTCTTTAAGTGCCAAGTACCTAGGGATAGGCAGGGGTTTTTTTCTTTCTTTTCTTTTTCTTTCTTTCTTCTTTTTTTTTTTTTTTGTAAATATTTTAGGTTTTGTGGGTCATATGATCTTTGTCACAGCTACTTAAAACTCTGCCATTCTGTGGTGAAAGCAGATATAGACAATACATAAAGTAGTGTGGATGTGTTCTAATAAGCTGTATTTACAAAAGCAGGCAGCAGGCCAGATCTGGCCCAGTAGCTGTAGTTCGCCTGTTCCTGTTATATGCAATTGGTAGAAGTTGAAGATTTGATCATAAAATCATGATTGAGTTCAATAAGAATTGAAGGACATTGTAACAAAGTGTGACTCTATATTGAAATGCTAGTGATTTTTTTAAAAAATTAGATATACACACACATATATTTATATTATAGCAAATAAGCTAAATGTATATCAATAGGATTGTTGCATCCATTAGACAGGATACTGTGCCATTAAAAATAAATTAGGTGGATCTAGGTATAAAGATATACAAAGCTGTCCACAATATACTATGTGAAAAAAGCAAAAACAAATTATAAAACAATATATAGCATATGTAGGCATTCTTAAAAGTCTATGTAAATAGTTTTTACCTCTGAAGATGTGAATTGGTATAGGTGGAGACTGTCATTACTTTCATAATTTGAAAAATAAACAATTCTATTGCTATTTGGATTTGGCCAAGAAGGCACTTAAAAAGAAATTGTTCATTTTAATACTGCAGAATTCCTTTTTTCTTCATTTTAGAAGTAAAATTACTAGGTTTTACCTTGTTTCATTTTGTCATAAACTACTCATGAGAGATTTCAAAGTTAACTTCTTAAATAATCATACTTAGATTTTTTAATGTTGGGAATTATATATACTTTTATAGGATTAGCTGATCTAGTAATCAGTAATAAGGTATTTTATCCAAAAAATGGAAATTTGTTATTTTTCTTACCATTTTTTTAATGAAGAAAAGTTAACCAAAGCTGTGCCTTTTTTTCTTTCTGTAGGAGAGATGTCTTGGATGACCTTGTAACATTGCATAATTTTAGAAATCAGTTCTTGCCAAATGCACTGAGAGAATTTTTTCGTCATATCCATGCCCCTGAAGAGCGTGGAGAGTATCTTGAAACTCTTATAACAAAGTTCTCACATAGATTCTGTGCTTGCAACCCTGATTTAATGCGAGAACTTGGCCTTAGTCCTGGTAAGAATATATATATTAATAGTACATCACCCCCTGCCCATCTTTAGGTAAAAACAGAGATATATGAGACATTTGTCTCACTGTGGGGAAAAATATTCTCAGTAATTACAAATACTTGTTTTACTGTTTGTAGCAGTGACTGACTACTTCATCATTTATGGGAGCTTGGAAAAAACAGTTTGTCATAGCTATGGTGTGCGTGTGTGTGTGTGTGTGTGTGTATATATATATATACATGGCTATGTATATATAGCCATTTATATTTTTTATATATTACCTACAAATTTATATATAAATATATATATTACAAATTTATATGTATACAAATGTCTATGTCTATATACACATATAGACATACACATAGACTGTGTCTATGTCTATATACACATATAGACATATAGACATTTGTATATATATAAAGTTGTTATATATGTCTGTTTGTGTGTACTTCTATCTATATGTGTATGTTTGTATGCTTATGATATAGCCTGAATCTTCTACATATTGTTTCAATTCATATAGCTTATCTTTTCATATCAAAAATTTTATTGTGCTTATCTGATTAAACAGAAATTACAAAACTGTTCCTGTCGTGTGAAATTTGTTGAGCATGCTTTACAAGACATAATGTTCAACTTGGCTTTCTTAAGACTGCAGGATTCCGAAATATCAGCACTATAGTAGTAGAACTATTATGACGATTGTTACTATTTTAATATTAAACATCAAATATTACCCTAGGCATATATAAAATCTTGTTGCATGGTGCTCAGGTGTAGCAGTCTTTTCCCTAAAGATTTGCTTTCAAAATTAATATGTAAGTTCCACAGGCCTTTATAACATCTTAAATGAGAATATTAATAATCTTTTGAGTTATTTACATTTTATTTTCTAGTACCAGATTCATGTTTTCTTGTCATTAAAGATGCTCTCAAATTAAAATAGGTTTTTATGAAAGCATTCTATATAAATTTTTTTTTAGAAAGAGGAGATAAATACAAATGTATTTTATGGATGTTTGAATAGAAATATCACATTTGAAAGCAAAGACGAAAATAAAGCCAATTCTAAATTTTTTAAATCTAGAATGAATTTTTACTATACACTCCTAAACTGTTCTAAAGTTCTTTTGAAATGAAGGAAATGCATGCTTAGTTAGTATTAAGATAGGATGATAACCATCCTGGTTTGCTCAGGATTGAGTTTCCCAGGATGACAGGACTTTCAGTGCAAAACTGGGAAGAGTCTAGACAAACTGGGATGGATTGGTCACTCTGTATTTATGAGCTAATCTTGATATCTTGAAATTATGAACATTTTTGCCTTATATAATGCCATTGGAATCATATTTTGTAAACCAACTAATAATTTGAACTGTTTCTTTTTCTTTCCAGATGCTGTCTATGTACTGTGCTACTCTTTGATTCTACTTTCCATTGACCTCACTAGCCCTCATGTGAAGAATAAAATGTCAAAAAGGGAATTTATTCGAAATACCCGTCGCGCTGCTCAAAATATTAGTGAAGATTTTGTAGGGCATCTTTATGACAATATCTACCTTATTGGCCATGTGGCTGCATAAAAAGCACAATTGCTAGGACTTCAGTTTTTACTTCAGACTAAAGCTACCCAAGGACTTAGCAGATATGGGGGTTACATCAGTGCTGGTCATTGTAGCCTGAGTATACAATCAAGCTTCAGTGTGCAACCTTTTTTTCTTTTGCCATTTTCTATTTTAGTAATTTCCTTGGGGAACTAAATAATTTTGCAGAATTTTTCCTAATTTTGTTTATCACGTTTTGCACAAAGCAGAGCCACTGTCTAACACAGCTGTTAACGAATGATAAACTGACATTATACTCTAAAAGATGGTGTATTTGTGCATTAGATTTGCCTGAAAAACTTTATCCATTTCCATTCTTTATACAAATACCATGTAATGTGTACATATTTAACTAAAGAGATTTATAGTCATAATTATTTTATTGTAAAGATTTTAACTAAAGTTTTTCCTTTTCTCTCAAACTGAGTTCTGAAATTTATTTGATTCTGATCTGAAACTATTGTCTTCGTAAAAGTTAGATCTGACTTCAGACAGAAACCAATACCAGCTTCCTTTTCCTTTAAACTTTGAAGAGTGTTGATTTGTTACTATATTACTATGCAAAACTGGCAGTTATTTTTATAATATAAATTTATAATTTGATTTTTTATTTTAAAAACTGGGTTAATCAAGTCTCGGTAAGTCCTTTAAACCATTTAGGATTTTTAAAACATCAAAATTTATGATTTACATTCATAGGAATAAAATAAAATATTATTAGAACTCTGGTAAATGTTTGCTTGCTTATATGTGGTGTGATTATGCAAACTTTACTATTTTTGTAATCTTGATGATCCCCGTTCAGAGTCCATTGAGAAAGACATATTGTGAAGAACAGTAAACACTCTTTACTCATTGGTTCAGTGAATGTCTATCCAGGGCTTTACATGTGTTAACATTGTGCGAGGTACTAGACATGGGCCCTGCTCTCACAGATAATACATAACTGGGTACTGAGAAGAAAAAATCTGCTGAATGGAGAGCAACTATATGAAGTATATCTTAATTAACAATTATTTAATAGTTAAAATATGCAGCATTAGAATGATAGAGAACAGTGTAGTTATATGGTAAGTTAAAAGTGACCTCCAAGTAAAAAGCATAACCTTAGGAATGAAATAGTATGTGATGGGTTGAGCTACTAGTTTAGAGGAGGGAGTTGAGGGAGGTAAAAACTCCTTACTAGAGGTATTGAATCCTGGCTTCCTTCCAGATCTGACCCTTAGTCAAAAGTGGTTGTCAATATTACAACTGGAATGTTGTACTACAGATTTTTCAAGGACAAGACATACGATAATCAAATTTTGAATGTCTAAGGGACTTTTAGACTGATAGTAAATAATTTCTAAGATTCTGAAGCAAATATCCAAATCATTTTTGCATGTGCACAATTTTGAATTCCATGACAATTCTAATTTTTAACTTCAAAACTGCTTTATTACATTTCAAAAGACAAAGGGTGGTGATAACTATTATTTACTATCATGCCTAGTTTTCAGTGATTAACACTTTGCCCTCTCCCTCTGTCTACCTCCTTCTGTCTTTCCTTCTTTGTTTTTCTTCATACCTGTCTCTTACCATCCAGTTCTCTCTGCTTCTGTTTTAGCTTATATCTTTTCCTTTTTTTGTATCCTCAATTTCCTAACTTTTTTTCTTTTTCCTATTTTATTTTTCTACCCTGACTTGATTATAAATGTGGATTGGCAATATTTCCTTTTCCAACATTTTCTTAGGAATATTTCAAACACATAGAAAAGTGGGGCCAGGCACAGTGGCTCATGCCTGTAATCCCAGCACTTTGGGAGGCCAAGGTGGGAGGTTTGCTTGAACCCAGGAGTTTCAGACCAGCCTGGGCAACATGGCAAGACCACGTTTCTACTTAAAACTAAAAAATTAGCCAGGCGTGGTGGTACATACCTGTCCGTAGTCCTAGCTACTCAGGAGGCTGAGGCAGGAGGATGGCCTGAGCCCAGGAGTTCGAGATTGCAGTGAGCTGTGATTGCCACTGCACTCCAGCCTAGGCAACAGTGAGACCCTGTGTCAATAAAATTTAAAAATAAAATAAATTTTAAAATAGAAAAGTGGAATTATTTTGCAGAGAATGCCTACTCACCACCTAGATTCTACAATTAAAATTTTACTGTATTCACTAAATCATGTTTATCTATTCCTCTATCCATCAATTATTTTGATACAGCTAAAAATAAGTTTGAGACGTAACTTCCTTCCTAAAGACTTAATTAAACTTGCAAATCATTAGCTAGAGATCATTTTTTTAGCTTTTTTTTTTTTTTTTTTTTTTGAGACAGAGTCTCCCTCTGCTGCCCAGGCTGGAGTCCAGTGGTGCGATCTTGGCTCACTGCAACTTCCGCCTCCCAGGTTCAAGCGATTCTCCTGCCTCAGCCTCCCAAGCAGCTGGGACTGCAGGCACGTGCCACCACGCCCAGCTAATTTTTTGTATTATTAATAGAGATGGGGTTTCACCGTGTTAACCAGGCCAGGCACAGTGGCTCAAGCCTGTAATTCCAGCACTTTGGGAGGCCAAGGTGGGAGAACTGCTTGAGCCCAGGAGTTTCAGACCAGCCTGGGCAACATAGTAAGACCACATTTCTTGCTTAACCAGGATGGTCTCAATCTCCTGACCTTATGGGCCACCCATCTCGGCCTCCCAAAGTGTTGGAATTACAGGCATGAGCCACCGTGCCAGGCCAGCTTTTTTGTTTGAGGTAAAATTTATGTGTACTAATCAATGAGTCTCCGCAAATGCATGTATACCTGGGCAAAGCAAACCCAGTTCAAAATATACAACTTTACAGCCTATTTACAGATAATATTGTACTATATAACATGAAACATCGAAAACTTACAACCATGTAAGCCTCTTTACCCTATCACCCCATCCATTATCTTATTAAATGTATTACGTATATGTTATAAACTCCACAATATAATGTTATAATTTTCTTTGAACAGACATATATATTTTAAATTTAAAAAAATGCTCTTTTATATTTACCCAAATTATCATTTCTGATGCTCTATTTCTTCCTGAAAAATCCAAGTTTCCTTGTAGCATCTTTCCTTTCAAACTGAAAAACTTTAACATCTATAGTTCAGATCTGCTGGAAATTAAGTATGACAAATTTTAAAATCTGAAAATGTCTTTATTTTGTTTTCCTTCCTGAGGAATATTTTTGCTGAATACATAATTCTAGATTAACTTCCCCCCACCCCACGTTTGGCATTTTAAGGATATTGTTCCAGTTTCCTGACCTCCATTGTTTCCAATGAGAAGAGTAGTGTTCAAATAGTTTTTCCCTTGTGAACAAATGTAATTTTCCTCTGAGTGCTTTATTTCATCAAATATTGTTTTTCAATCTCATTTTCTCTTCTCCTCCTGGGACTGCATTTATGAATATGCTAGACCTTTCGATATTGTCTCACAGGTTTTTGAAGCTCTTGGTTTTTCATCCCTTTTTTTCTCTTTTTTCTTCAATTGGATTTTTTTCACTTGATTTGTATAGTCCAACTCACTGACTCTTCTGTACTCATTTTCTTTTAAGCCCATTCAGTGAACTTTTATTCTAATTATTGTATGTTTTAGTTCTAGAAATTCTATTTAGTTTTTATAATTTATATTTCTGTGCTGAGATTATCTTTTCATTCATGACTGGTGTATTTTTCCTTACACCTTT
The DNA here is from genome assembly GCF_000001405.40 of Homo sapiens. Lineage (NCBI taxonomy): Eukaryota > Metazoa > Chordata > Mammalia > Primates > Hominidae > Homo > Homo sapiens. The sequence continues at coordinate 174,233,695 of NC_000004.12, read as the reverse complement.
TAGCATAGTTATAATAGCTAAGATACTTGATGGCTCATTTCAGTATTCTATTTCAATATTAAATACTTGTCTATTTTAATATTTAGTATTTTAATATTCAATATTTCAGTATTGGATATTTCAATATTCAATTTTCAAAATTCTTATTTTAATGTATGAATATATTCAATATTCATTTCAATATTCTGGATCATTTCATTGTCAGTCTTCTCTAATTTTCTTTTCTTTCGAGAATGGGTTACATTTTCCTGTTTCTTCATATGTAGAGTAATTTAGATTGTGTCTGGAACATGGTAAGTAAAATGTTGCAGAAACCCTGGATTTTTATTTGTTTCTCTAAAGGCTTCTTTTTTTTTTTTTTTTTTTTTTTTTTTAAAGCAGCTAGTTAACTTGGCCAAACTGCCAGCTGCAAGCTCTGGTTCCCCTAGAGTTCGTGGCAGCTCAGATTTTAGTTCAGCTTTTTAACCTGGCTATTGTACTTGAAATCTCTTCTGTACATGCATGCGTGGGAGACCAGCCAGCTTTAGCAGAGTCATACACAGAATTTAGGGCTCTCTCTGTGGTTCTTTTCGTATCAGGATTTCCCTCTGCGTTTTCCAGCAGTTGCCATTACCCCAAACGTGTCCTAGTGTTCTTCAAGTCAATACAACTGTAGTCTCCACATGATGCAGAGTGAGGAGTTCCTCAGGCTATGAACTATAAAAATAGGAAACTCACCCAGTGCTATTTCTTCTAAGTATTCACTCCTCTGTAGGATCAACCTGCTTTTGGTTGTTTTCTATTACTTTCAGTTAGTTAATTTTTAAATATTTTGTCCAGAGTTTGTAATTTCATATGTTGGCAGGTTGGTCTGAAAGAACTTCTTGACCATCACTTGAAGTGGAACCCTCTCCAATTGGGTAGTATTCTTTTTCTACTTCCTATGATTACTGAGTAGGGATTTGTTCCTGATTATTTTTAAAACTAGGTGAGTAGAAATTTTTAACATGTTCTATCTATGAAAAACCTTAATTATAAACATTTAGTAAATGTTTACCAAATTAGCAATTCAGTGTTTCCTAGTTGGTGTCCTACTAGGAAGGAAAAAGAAAATGAAAAGAAGAAGAGAGGAAAGAACAAAAATGCTTAACAACTTTTAGAATTCCCTCCAAATTTGTCATCAATAGGGTTTTTACTGAATACATTCTTTTAAAATTAGCACTCTCTAATCTTGATGAATTTGTATTTTCATAAAAATCTGTATTTTCATATTTCCATTCATTTGCACTGTGTTTCTCTTCGGGAAAGCTGTTAACCTTTCTTCATATTTACCTGTTGAATGTTATTTGTCCTTCCAAGTCCTGTTAGATTCTTTCCCCTCCAGGACAACTTTCTTAATTCTTGCAGGTGGAAATTTTGTTCTTGTATCTCACTCAGTGCCTAACACAGATGTTAGCCCAGAGTAGTTTCTCAATAAATCCAGTTGAATCATTTTTGCTCTGGTTTAGATTCTATATAATCACATAGAAATATGGCTTTACTATTTCCATTTTTAAAAAATACATCCAGACCTTTCACAATTTACAAACCAGAGTATATTAGCTAACTTTTAAAAAATATTAAGATTCAACTGTGTATTATTCTAGACATAAATTCACCTCTCCAGAAATAATTTGAACTATCTGAATGAGTTATTGCTACTTGGAGATTGCCTACCTACTTTTTTTCGTGCAGACTCGGTGACCTTTTTTAAAAATAAGAAAAACATCAAGAGTTTGTCATTGATCTTGTTACTTCTTTTAATTGGTCTAAGTTTTTGACAATATTATGAATATTGTGCTCAATGAGAGTAAGCTTATTCATAAGCTTTAATATTTAAAATAACAACTTGTTTATTCAAATTAAAACCTGTTTTCCTGTGTCAAAAGTGAACTTTTTCCTAAATATCATTATTAATAACACTATTGCCTACAGTTTCTTGTCAAGCATTCATAAGTGAATGTGTCTTCTTCTAGAAAGTCATCTTAAGGAAATAATTCCAAATTGGGAAAAGGCAATATGCACAACTTTAATTACATCAGTTTTTAAAAGAAAAAAGAGATGGAAACACTGAAATTCTAACAAATACCCAACAAATATTCGAGTACATTCTATGTACCAGACACTATGCTAAGCACTGGTTGAGAAGACCAAAATACATCCTCATGATGTATTACTATGATGCAATGATATTTATCAATAATATGGGAAAATTCTTACAGATATTATAAAGTATATAAAATTGTACATGTGTGTATTGTACATATATATACACAAATTACAATTATTATATAAAACAAAGCAAAAACCTGTGAATACAAAGAAGAGACTGGCATAAAATATACCAAAATATTATAGATAGTGGATTTTTTGTGTATTTCCTCTTTAAAATCTTCTTAAGGATCATATATTTTAGATAGAACAAAATAAATTAATCAAACTATTCAGAATATGAACAATGTCCCTAATTTACCTAGTAGGCTTTCCCTTCAGAATGTTTCCATGTATTTTTATTCAAAATTTATTTTAAAAAGACACTTAGTTGACCTGTTAAATCATTATCTGGACAAATGTTTTGTTTTCAAGCTTAAAAATGTACATTGTTTTATTTTATTTTTGTCTCATCAAATTAAAGACCAACAAGAGAAAGATATCAAATCTTTACTGAGGAAATTTTTATTTGTTAAAAAAAAAATAAAGGCTTTCTTCCTGGCATGGTTGGACAGGAAGGTTGGATTTAATTTAAAATGATTAATGAGATTTTGTCAGACTCCTTGACTTTGCCACCACTGCAGTTTGTCAGTGCAACAACCTGGGAAGCCGGACGCCACTCTGTCGCCCAAAACCATTCTCCAAGGAAAAAATTAACTGGAAGGACTAGTGCCAGGTCCCCATCAGTGGCGTTGTCTCTCTGGTATTGACAGTTTAAAAGTCTAAATCAGAAATATGTATGTTTGGGGACTCACATACTTAAGATATTGTTTTTAGTCTCTTTGCAAGTAGTTAATCACTTTTTAAATATTTAAGTTGTTGACATTTTCTAAAGGAAACTTTGAAGACAAAATCTGTACTAATGTCCCCTCTCAATTTGTTTTAAAAATTAAAATAAACAAGGAATTTTAGGATCTCAGGTTACATTCTATTTTTTAACTTAAAGAATTAAAGTGAAGCATTTTTTTAAAAGTAAAATCATTTTTCATTGTTCAAAATACTTTTAAAAAACAAGCATGACTAATTTTATAATCAAGTTTTTAAATTAAGGTATAAGGTTGCAATATGACTTAATACACCCTTATTTATGTATGTATTGTTTAAAAATGATGACATTAGCTAAACTCAAATTGCTGAATATACCTAGTTACTAGGTGGCAAATGGAATATATATTTTTGCTTCAATACTGATATTGTATTTAGTATTGTACAAATTGTTGTATTTGACATTTGTGTTTAACTGAAAGTTAAGTAAATGTTAATACCAATTAAACACCAAATGTCAATTGCTAATTCCAAAAACAATACCAATACCAAATTACAATAACAATTGTACAAATTGTTATTTGTATTTGTAGCAATTACCAATACCAGTGTTTATCATTTTATTTCAAAACCTGTCCAAAAGAATTCAAGCCAGAGAAAATTCTTCCAAAAAAATCCTCATAGAAAATGTCTTGATATAACAAGACATCCAGTAGCTCCTTTTACAGAAACTTAATGTGTATTTGCCAATTTTTATCTAAACAAAAAATGAACAAAGAGTGCCCTCATCTTGAACAAGTTGAGGGTAGTTGTCTCCTCTGAGCTGCATGAATATATGTTCCCAAAGGGAAATTACCTTTTGCCAGGGCCAGAGTTCCAGTGAATATCTGCCTGTGCTCCTGTGGTAGGCAGTCTGAGAAAAGTGGGGTGGCCCAGAAAAGTTTATCAAAGCTGCTGCCCTTTTAGAGAGGACAATAAAAGGAGCTAAGTAAAGTAGCTCCGTGTATATACTAGCACAGTGACACCCATCACATTGCCCTCCAGTGAGTTTCTTCCAAAGCCCATGTCATTTTCAGTCTTGCAGCCATTGAATAGTTTATTGTATCTCTATAATTCTCAACAATTATATATTTTATTTTCTCAATGTTTGTGAAATTAAGGGAAGGAGAGAAATACATATTTTTCCCTAAAAACTGATTGCAAAGTCTAATTTAGGCAATTGTGTTTGCAAAGGAGTTCATAGTTATTCATTTTCTTTCCCTTTGGAGTTTTTTGTTCTTACAGCATAAATTCTAAAAATATGTATTTCTCTCCTTCCTTTAATTAATCTTGGTACTATAATATATAGTATTTTCCTGGATGCCATCCAAAAAAGATTATGACCATTGTCAATAATAAGCCAGAGAAATGAAAAACTTGAATGAAACCAAGCTTATATTGGATTAGGTGAAATTCAATGCCTTGTAACAGCTCTCCCAGAGTGGCATTTATTACCATGATGGATTTGTATTGGTTCTGGGTCTGGTTCTTAGCCTCAGAAATCTGGTTTTGTCAGCACCCCTCAAGCACGTGTATTTTTCATGACATGATTTTAAATCCAGAACTAAAGGAAATGTTACAGTGATAACCTACTAAATGTGATCAGCACCTTCTCTCTCTCTGTTTACCAGCCTACAGTAAATTGATTGATGGGCATGGAGTCCGATCAAGGGGAGTTACCTGAATCAAATGCTTTGTGTTTTGCATCAGACTTAAATAGCCAAATGCACTCCTCAATAGAGATCATTTTGCACATTTAAAATTTGATAGCTGAAATCACTTTCTACTAGAAACTGCCAAGAATTGCTCCCATATTGCTTTTAATTTTATACTAAGTAGCATGGTGTTTTGCCCTTTCTTTCATCAGTTTCCCCTTTCTTTGACTCAGAATGTTTCTAATACTTCCACTTATTATTACATCAATTTATTAAAGTCTTAATGTAGCCAATCACGTTACAGGCAAGACCTGCTGTTCCAACATCATTCTGATGTACTTTGTGCTTTTCTCACTGTTTAAGGGAAATATCATTTCTCACATATTCAAGTTCAAATTTACCATAACCCCTAAGTACCTATGATACAACGATAAATTTAGAGCATTATTTTATATTACAGTGACATTTTAATTTTTAATATTTAAATAAGCATTTAAAGATGGCTTATGTTGTGCAAGAAAGGAACTTACTAGGTGTTGTGAAAGAGACAAAAATGAAGAAAACTACCCCTCATTATTAAGGACTTCAGTGGGAGGAAGGCAACCATAATACATCACATACAGTTCTGTAATACTTCATATATAGTATCACCACAATTTTTCAGAGGTCTGGAGGAGTTACGTGACTTTTGGAGGATCACATGACCATTTATAGGGACCAAGACAAACACTGACTCCCATGTGCCTTTTGTTTATTACTAACCTTAATGAATAGCAGAAGAAACGATGTTAAAAGATCTTTTTAAAAAAGTACTAGTATTTTAGAAAGAGTAGAGTAAGCAATTAATACCAACTGGCTTAGTGTGAAAGAATGAATGCTATTTCAGTAGGTATATTACCGACTGAGTTAATAACATGATCAAAGGCATGGAACCAAAAGCATATAAGGGTCATGAAATAGTGAATAATCTGCTAGAGTTGGAGGGTAAAGTGGGAGTGATGTGGAAGAAAAGCCTGGAAAATATAGTTTGAACAGACAGTAAGCTAAAATAGAGAGTCAGTACTTTATTGTGTAGGCAATTGGATATTTTTCAAGAAGAAAAGTATCATTTCTGATCTGTGTTTCAGAAAGATCTCTCTAATACATGAAGTAGAAATGCAATAGACTGTAGTCTAAGGAAATTAGTGAAGAGGCTACTATAATTACGCAAGTGAAATACAATGGAAATCTGAACTTTAGTACTGTCATTGGGAGTAGAAGTGATAGAAGCAAGATTTGAGATAAACTTTTGAAGTAAACCATTTTGGTGTACTACTGGCTGTTGGACGTGAAGATGAAGAAGTTAAAAACTACTCCAAATACTCTGAAGAAGGAGTTCTATTCTAGATGGAGGGAATGTCAGTGAAGGACACGTCTTCTTGGGTTGGGAGGAAGGTAGTGATGATGGGGAGGATGTAAGCAGGTGAGAATGAGTTCACTGTGGTCAATTTGAAGTATTCATAAGACAATTATGTGAAGGTATTCAGCTGTTAGTTGTATAGTGTTAAGATGGGAGATAAAGGCTAAGATACTGTTCTGGGAGAGTCCTCAGCATAGACATAGCAGAAGAAACTAGAGGAGTTGATATGCATTGTGATATTGTCATGAGCACTTAGCACAGTGCATGGCAAGCTGTAGGATCTAAATACGTGTTGTATGAACAAATTGATTTTGACAAGTGCTCTCAAATCAAGCATCCAAAAATCTCAAAGTACTTTAATAACATTCCTTGTATATAAAAAGTTACCATCCTGTCTCAATTTAAACAATCTTCCAGAATAAAAATTTTAAACTAAATAACCAAGGTGCACTCTGTTCAGAAAGGTTTCCTCCTGCCAGGACATGAAGTATTCTACTTAACAAATATTCTTTTTTAGCTGACAGACTGTATCTGACCCTTTAATTCGAAGTACCGAAAACTAAAACTTTAGCATGAAACCAAACCAAATTATATCTTACTCTGGTGATTAAGATGCATGCAAACCCAATCCTCAGCCAACCCCAAATGTTTCTTCTAGTCCTCAGAAACCCAGGTTTAGTTGTTTTCACACTTCACTGAGGTTTAGGATTGCAAGGCATCTTCTAAGTTTTGTCTCATTGCCCTTGATTCCTTGCTGTCTTATAATACAACTACAAGCCTCAAAAGAACCAAAACGAAGCTGTTCTCTTCCATCCTCACTGCCTTAGAATGTGTTGTGTTCTTAGCAGAAATGAGAAGAGGAGCCCTCTTCTTCTAGAGTTTAGGTGTAGTCTTGGAGACCCTCCTTACTCTCCTCCACTGATTCTGCCCTTGGCCCTCGGTGCCTAAGTTTCTCCTCTATGCCCTTCTCTGCATGCAAAACAAGCAGACATCTCTGGGTCACCAGCATCACCAATTTCTCAAACAGACCCACACTTAGCTTAGGACCACCCCAGTGCTCCTCAGCCTCTGCAGCCAGGCACCTGCCTCATAATTGGGGGACTATAGAGTTTATTGTCTAAACCAGGACACTTTTGAGAGTGCTAAAATGCTAAACCAGATGGTACTTCAGGACAAAAGGCATAAACTTAGGATGTGTGGTTACCCTACCCACGACTATAATACAATGTGATAAATGCAATAATAAAAGTTTAAACACTTTGCAATGGAGACATTTTGAATGTAACGCACCATGGGGTCAAAATTTGTTTCCAATCAAAAACATCACTAAATTATGTTCTAATCAGCATCCATGATAAAAACCATGGCGTTAAGCTTGGGATATTTGTATTATGCTGCACAGCAGAGCCCTGGCTCTGGGAGGAAATACTTTTCCAGCTTCTTGGGAATGTATTTTGTAGCTCAAAATTCCTGCAGGGGAGCTCATTTTGCAGTTTGGTCAATGCCATAAGGAAGCAAGTCTCAGAAATCTCTGAAAAAGTTGTAGAAATATTTCTTTGCAAAACTGATAATAAAAATCCAAATTATAGATCATATTTATCTTACATTTATTGTGCTAAGGGCTTTGTATTATTTAATTTATTTAGCCTGCAGAAGTATGCTCTGAGGAGATAAACATGACCATTTATAGAGGTCACAGGCTAGCGAGTCCTGGATCTACTGATTAATCTCGCTCTGTCTTTGCAGCCCTGAGAGGATAAGTGCTTTCCAAAGCAGAGGAGCAGTAAAGGCTGAGCCCGGGAGGCAGAAACAACATTGGTCCATGCACCATAAAATGTAAGCGCCATGAAAGAAGACACTGTTATATTCACTTCTCCATTCCCAGCACCTAAAAAAGCCACTAAAACATGATAAAGGTCAGGAAATATGTGAGGAAGGAAGGAACTCACAGAGGGAGATGGGTTTGGAAAAAAAAAAAAAAAGGCAGAAGCCGTATCTGGCAGGGCCTGGTAGGTAGTAGCAAAGAATCTGAATTCTATTTCAAGGGCAATAAAACATTACAGAAAGATTTTAAAAGAGGAGTCATGTGATGTGATGTATGTTTTTAAAACAATCATTCCTGACTGCTGCGTGAAGAGCGGGTAATAGGCTGGAGCAAGAGTGAAAGCCCGGAGTCCAGTTAGCAGGCATCTGAGGCTGTTCAGATGGAAGGTCATGAAGGCTTAGAACTGGGTGGCGGCAGTGGAGATACAGAGAACTGAGATGGTGCCATGGCTCATGCCTGTAATCCCAGGCCTTTGGGAGGCCGAGGTGGGAGAATTGCTTGAGCCCAGGAGTTCAAGACCAGGCTGGGCAACATAGTGAGACCCCCATCTCTACAAAAAATAAAAATATAAAAATGAGCTGGTTGTGGTAGTGCACACCTGTGGTCCCAGCTAGTCGGGAGGTTGAGGCGGGAGGATTGCTTGAGCCCGGGAGATTGAGGGTGCAGTGAGCTGAGATCACACTACTGCACCCCAGCCTGGGCGACAAAGGAAGACTGTGTCTCAAAAATAAATATATATATATATATCGCGAGAGAGAGAGAGAGAGAGAGAGAGAAAAGAGGGGAGGAGACGGGAGGGGAGGGGAGGGGAGAAGAGGGGAGGGGAGGGGAGAAAAGAGGAGAGAGGAGGGGAGAGGAGGGGAGGGGAGAAAAGAGGAGAGGGGAGGGGAGGGGAGGAGAGGGGAGGAGAGGGGAGGAGAGGGGAGGAGAGGGGAGGGGAGGAGAGGGGAAGGGAGGGGAGGGGAGGGGAGGGGAGGGGAGGGGAGGGGAGGGGAGGGGAGGAGAAGGGAGGGCCTGAGAACTCCTGGATTTTTGGCTTTAAAAACCGGACAGCTGCTAGTGCCCTTTACTGAAATGAGGAACACTGGGAAGGATAATGCTTAGAAAGAAATGCAAGGGAGTTTAGCCATTAATCTAGATAAATATAAAAACTAGTTAAGGATAAGATAACTGTTTATAATAACATATGAAGTAAAAACCCTAAATAAAATGTTTACAATAATTATAATTATGAAGAAAATGTATATTGAAAATTTTGAGTAGAAAATATGGTTACATGAAAACTTTGATGTATTGAGGAGTTATTGAGAAATTTGTGGTTTTAAAAAATTTTATTGAGTTCTGCTCTGCTTGTCATACTATTGTGAACTAAAAAGTAAAATTCTCGTAAAAGACAGTAAGTCTATGAGAAAAGCCTAAAATGATAGTAATCCAGAATAGAATTTCATCATAATAAAGTCATTAAAAAGTTGACATATTTTGTAATGGGAATTAAAAATAAAAACACTAAAAGCTCTATTTCTAGGTCCTGAAACCCAAAGCAGAATTATTGCAGTGAGGGTTGGGGGGAGGGTGGGTGAGATTTATTCCTTTGTTTAAACTAACTGAAGGTAAAATCCCTTTACATTTAAAATTGTATTAAGAATGGATTTTTTTTTTACTAGTAATACCTTGGCTTGATTACATTATGATCTATAAATACATTTTGTATGAATGACTTCTCCATGAAACAAATTGTAGTTATCAATCAGTAAATTTGTTAATTGAACTATGTGGAAGGCCCTGAGCTAAGCAGAACAGATATAAATTGGTGCTTGATTGTGTATTGAGAGGAATTGAGCCTGACTTAAAAGTTTTTCCCTAACTTCGAAAAATAGCTTCCCTACAACTCTGATAAATGGAAAACAACCACATCTATCAGAAACAACCCATATTTCCAATTTATGTATAAAATAATATATCCTTTGCTTATTCACAGCTGTTATCAAAACTCATGGCCAAATGTATAAACTCTGCTATGAGGCACACATTTTGAATGTGTTGAGAATTATCACAGCCAAAGTGAATATCTAAGGAGAAAAATTTCAGCTATAAACATTAAAATGTTAATGTTTTACTAATAATTATGTCCTTAGACACACAGTCTTGTTGGGGAGAACATTTTCACAAAGAAAAATATTTATCTCTAAAATCTCACTTTATTTATGTATTTTTAGAGAGTGGGGTCTTGCTATGCTTCCCAGGCTGCTCTTGACCTCCAGGGCTCAAGCAGTCCTCCTACCTTGGCCTCTCAAGTAGCTGGGACTACTGGTGAGTGCCACCATGCCTAGCTAATATCTCACTTTTGGATTAGAGGCTACTCATCTGAAAACAAAGATACAGATTTCATATGTTAGACAAGCACAGAAAAATCTCAAACTCTATATTTAAACAACCCTACAAGTGTTCTACATCCTGTATAAACCATTTTTCAAAGACGGAAAGATTTTTTTTCTTTAATCTCTTTGGGAGATCTAAAGATGCATAAAGATCCAATTTCATTGAGAGAAAGAACACAATTCTTTACCAAAGAAAAGGTGTGATTAAATGAAGTAATTGTGTTTCTTTGCTATAAATGTGAGATCTCACTTAAATGGTCTCTGAAAACAAAATACATGCATAAAGGCCCAATTTCACTGAGAAAAATATCACAATTCTTTTCCAAAGAAGAGGTCTGATTAAATGAAATAATTTTATTTCTTTGCTATAAATGTGAGATCTCACTTAAGTAGTCTCTGAAAATAAAATATATTCATAATTGCATGTATGTACATATGGGCATATGTGTTTGACTACTTATCAGCATGGATGTTATTGTAAGATGTTAGTGTTTTGGACACTAACCCCCCACATCAGCAAATCAAAGTGTGATATCTAAATTGATCTAGGTAAATTTGAATAAAATTGAACCAACGCTTTGTGGTCCTTCTGCAAAGCCAGATGTTCAGACCCTTAGGCAGATTTCATAATCCACACATCTGGGGGCACAGAGAAATATAGGGAGGAAAAGAGAAAAATCTCTTAAGGTAAGCTGGGGGATCTTGTAGATGGGCCACTAGGGAACACAGCTGGCTCTCTTCTTGAAGAGATGAGCCCCAAGCAAAGAATGCTTTGTAAAACTGAACACAGAGTGAATCCTGACCGTTAGCTATTAACTGTAGAGCTCAAAAAGAGACTTTACAAATATCATTACAAACAAAATATGGTGGAAATTTTCATAGAAAGCCACATTCTTTGTACCAAATTTTGCTCTGCAATAGGCAGTCACTTTTGCACACCTTGCCACCTAGTGGATAACCTGAAACCTACAGGATTTTTCCCCTTAATTTCCATGCTCTGCGGAAAAGTTCCCCAACTCTACCAAGGGAAGGTTATTTTGTTTGTTTTAGTCATTGGTGCTCCGAGAATTGTAGTAAACAGTCAACAAATAGTTGTTACATTAATAATAAACATTAAGTTGAGGCATACTTCATTTAAAAACTATTGTTATGGGGAATGTAATGGAAAAGATAGACAATATGATGTTGGCAAAATGTGTTTCCTAACTGAAATGAAAGTTTTGAATTATTTCAAAAGCAAATGCTGGGGGATCTATAGTTTCCTGTTAGAGATGTATCTACATAGCACATCAGGAAGAGGAGCCGGGCGCGGTGGCTCAGGCCTCTAATCTCTGCATTTTGGGAGGCCAAGGCAGGCGGATCACTTGAAGTCAGGAGTTCAAGACCAGCCTGGCCAAAATGGTGAAACCCCTGTCTCTACTAGAAACACCAAAATTAGCTGGTGTGGTGGTGGGCACCTTTAATCCCAGCTACTCAGAAGGCTGAGGCAGGAGAATCTCTTGAATCCGTGAAGTGGAGGCTGCAGTGAGCCGAGATCATGCCACTGCACTCCAGCCCGGGCAACTCCAGTCTGGTCAACAGAGTGAGACTCTGTCTCCAAACAAACAAACAAAAAACAAAACAAAAGCAAACAACAACAAAAAGAGATGTCATTATTGCTCTGTGTAGACAAATCATCCAGATAATTTAATTTAGCCATTGAGAGCCTACCCTTCTTTCTTCCAAGATATCCCAAATAAAACTAACTGTAAAAGCAAATATCCTTGCTCCTTTGTCTAGACACCATTGCTACTTTCATTCTTGCTTTGGGCTGTGATGCTTGCTACTCCCTTTTTCTGCTGTCCCAAATTATGAAGCCCTTTTATTCATTTAAAAAGAATACCTATGCATATGTATAAATATATATATATATTTTTCCTTTTTCTAAATAACATTTTATTCATTTTGACCATGTGACTCATTCGTATGGTCAATGAGCCCAAGGTGTTGATGACTCTTAAACATGTTTCTCCTAGCATAAATATTGGTGGCAAAAAGCAGAATAATGATCATAGTTTTGAAATAGAGAATACCATTAATGTCTTTGATTTTTGAAAATGATATTTTAAAAAACAAACATGACTATGTCGTGATACCTTAAAATTCAGGCTGAAAACAATTTATTAGGTAATCCACTTCAGGTTTCTTTTGCAGGAGGATTATTTTCCATTTTCTTATGGATTATTTTCCATTTTCTTGCTAAAATCAGCAAAACATATATACATATAACAATATACCACTAGTTCATTAAAAGAACTTATTCTTTTTGTTCTCAAATCAAGCTCATTTTAGATTGACAATATCTTAATGCATTTTAGGAATATATTGTCAAGATTAAAATCTTACTTTTTATTAGCTGAAGTTGTATATATTCATTATATAAAACTGACTTATGTTGCATAGAATTAAAACCCTCCCCAGAGTTCATAGTTTTAAACAAATATGCATACATATCCAAATACATATTAAATCCAAAGCAAACAATAACTTTATGTTGACAGTGAAAAATGCAACCTTACATACATAGTCTACAAAACAACTGAAAAATTTTAAATGCCAGATATGAGGAAGCCAAAGAATTTTAACAATGAGAAATATGTTATGAATTAAAATATTCAATCTTGAAAACCTTTAAAAGTGAAAGTTGCACTGTAACTGCTTTCTAAGGTAATTTTTGCCACTTTTAGGAAAAAAGATGTTTACGTAACATTTTTAAAAGTACAATCATTTCTTACATAGCTTTATGATTGAGGATAACATTAGTATGCACATACAACATAACACACAAAAGCAAAGCTTAGAATAACATTTTAATTATGTTTTAGTGTATGTGAAATAATTTGTTTTTCTCAATTATATTCCTGGGTCAAGGCCTAAAACATTTATTTGAACCAGCTATATATCTTATTTTCATAAGGGTCTCAGGAGGCAGTAGTCATATGTTGTTACTTCAGCCCTCCACAAAGGCAATACAGTACAGATCTCTGTACTGTAAACGACAACAAGGACCAGTCACAATTTCAGTTCTTGTTACATTGATAAGACTCCTTCAGGTAAGAGATTAAAACATGCCTTTATTATTATAAGGTTAGTGACCATTTTAATGGAATAAAAAGATTATTCCTGTTGCATTGGAGATAGGAAATTTGGGATGTGAATGTATGAGGTAGGTGTCTTTTCTCTCTTGTGCCTGTATTGTTCAAAAGCTCTTTGACATTAGAAAAAGGTTAGCTCTATAATCTTAATATTAATATTTAGTATAAAATCTATGGAGAACACACATTATACAGGGAGCCAAAAAGTTCAACTCTTTTTTTAATGGAGAGAAGGTAAGTAGGTGATCTTCACAGACTAAGAGGTTTTGCCTTTTAACACCAACAACATAATACTATTTATATTTGCTCTATCATTGTGATTAACCTACCTTCCCCTTCCAAAAAAACACACTTAGCTTACTCACCTAACAGTAATGACATATATCATTTTAAAAACAAAGAATAGTTTCAAAATTAATTTTTTCTACCTAATGTGCGTGACTGATGTTGAAAAGTTAGTGAGGGTTACCCATATATTCACACATGTAAATTGTGGAAATAAGAGAGAGAGAAAAAACTCAACAGATATAATCTGTAAAGCTGTCAAAAGACTTTCAAATAGCGAATTCCTTCAGATCATATATTTCAATAGAAGTTGCTGTTTAAATAGAGGTCTCTCATTTGGTGGGAGGAGCTTTTAAAAGAAAAAATACTTGAAGATAAGTAATATTACCTTTGCCATTTGTTATGAAATAAATATATCATGAGGAGTTATGCTTCATTAAAATGTAATACTTATAGATGACAGTTTCATATGGTCAGATATAAAATGTATATATGTTTTACCAGGAAGATTATACAGTATTTTTAATCTTGATTTTTCATGACTTCTTGCAAATATGCATTTATTGCTTTCCAAACCATGCCTGGGAATGAAGGAGAAAAAATTGTTTTATCCGAAGAGTTAGCTGTTCTTCCTTGGTTCAATCAGGAGTAAGTTCTGATATCATAGAGGGGAATGTATTAAGATAATTCCTAAAATATAACTGTGCTTTTACTGTTTTGCCTATGCTGCCAGAAAGTTAAAAACATTTTGTTTCAAATAACTGTGTATGTTTAAAAGTCAAACCTATTATTTGCTATATTATTTGTCATGTGCTATAATTTGACAGAGGGGCAATATTTCTCCAAAAAGTAAAATTTTATAACCAAAGGCCATCAATTGTACAAACGACTAAGAGAATTAAATTTTATTAAGTTGGAAATGTAATTTATTCATTGTAACTGTTTTAAGAGAAATTAAGTGAGCACTTTGTATGTAGTTATCTTAAATGTTACGTGTATTCTTTTAGAAACTCTTTCTTGTTTTCCTTCTTTTCACCTTCAGTGTCCTGGCACGCGACTAGCACAAATCAAACCTTATCTGTCATAATAAACTATAGCGTTGGAAATTCTAAAGAGACTAAAAATTACTTAACGTCTTTAACATATTTGAAGTAATATTTATGAATAAGGGAGGGCTGTCCATTTTTGAGTTTCGTCGCGCCAATGGTTGAGGGATTTTCTCATTATCATCTCCTGATTCCCAGAGAAGAAAGCCAGCCGCGTGGCCTTAGGACCCCTGGCCACCGGGAGTGGAGGAGCGGAGGGTCTGCCCCAGCTACCCCTGTGGCCACCGCCTCTCCCTCCAGGTGTGTGTGGGGAGGGGGCTGACAGAAGCAGGAGGCGACTTGCTGAAGTAGGGAGGCCAGACTGAATTTTTCCAGGATTCCGGGACCTTATCTCTAGGAAGCACTTAAGGACTTACTATCGCATTCTTTATCTCACTGTCTTCCGACTGCCAGGCTGGGTGCCCAAACTTTGGCGGCTTTTTCACAGTTTCAACGGCAAGGGTGGGAGTGGGGCTCGGGAGCTGGAGAGGAATGGCACGTTACGCCCCGTTCGGTTTCAAGGCCATGATTGCATCGCTCTCTGGAACGAAGATGGCCAGGAATTCGGGCAGGGAGAGGAACCACTCAATGGCAAAGTTGGTAGTAACGTCGTGAATTGTAAAGAGGGATAGCCCTCTCCTGCAGTCTCCAAGCAAAACCTTTTTCGCAACATGGGTGCCTGTCCAGCTTAATTCTTTGCTATCTTTCTTACTCGTGTTTTTGTTAGGGGACCGTTATAAAGTGAATTTTTGAACTGCTGGGTTGAGAAATAAACAGGGAAGGAACTGGGAAGATTCAAATTAGCTTCCACCGACCCTATTAGAGGTCCCTGGGCAGGAACCCCCCTGGCCACAAAATGTCCCGCAGGAGGTCTGCCTGGCGGAGGCGCTGCCTGGCGGAGGCGTGGGCTCAACCGAGTGGGCGCTACCACCGCTGGCTTCGGAGAAGCAGCCTGCGGAGAGCGGTAAACCGCAAGGGAAGCGCTTCAGGATCTGATTGCTTTTTAATAAAAAGATATGTTTGTAACCAGATGGAACCATTCTGGCTCCTTTATCGAGAGCGCAGCTTGGCCGCTTGCCTGGCCCTGGGGCTCTGGCCACAGCCTCTGCTGGGTTCTGGAGGAATTCAGATCTAAAAATAAATGATCGGGGATAATTCTTCCCCGAGGCGAACGGCTCGAACTCCCCTCCTCCACCCGCCACTGTCACAGCAATTCACCTTGAACTCTAAGGCGGATCGTTCCCACCTCCGCTCAAGGGGCCTGGACGCGGCGGTGGCTTTGCAGCCTCCTGCACCCGGAGCTCTGCTGGGCATGCTGCAGCCAGGACCCGCACCAGACTGCTCCAGGCGCCCTTAGGGTCCTGCCGGCTGGGTGGAAGTCAACACACTTTCAGTTAACCGAGGGGATTGAAATTGGATCCAATGAGGGAGGAAAAGCTGAAATCCCTGCTCTCTGGAGCTGTAGAGCACCAGGTGGGGAGACATTGCAGGTCAGAGGATAAGTCCTCTGCATTAACTGCGGCGCAGTTCCCTGTACGTCTAGCAAACTAGGTTTATGGTCTACGTGGGTCACAAGCGCATAAATCATTGTCAGCCCCGACAGTAGGTGCAGAGCTCTCTGCCTCGCTCTGGCCACACCAGCCTTTAGACAGGCTAACTGAGGGGGGGGCTCGGCGCGAAATTTCCCAGCCTAGAATATTTGCCTCGAATCTTTCTGTCCAAGTCTCCGAGACAGCTCCAGAATATGCGCTTGCCCTTTTGATAGACCCGCAAAGGGCGCGGTCTGGCAACCAAGCGCATCTGTTCACTATGGCCTAATGATTGTCCTGCAGTCAAAGAATCCAAGAGGGCATCATCTGATCTTATTTTATGCGTGAGGAAACCTGACGCTATCCAGGTTAAAGTGACATTGCACGAGGTCACACAAAGCTCTGGTAAAACTCCTTGATCCTAGGTTTCTTGATTCTCGCTCTCACACCTGGCCCCATCCATCGTCCTGCCTCAAATATCCACTGTGTTGTAGAGATACCAGGATCTGAGAATGCCTGTAGAGAAGGACTCATTATTTGTTGTCTTTGCAATTTACTAGTACAATTTTCAATATGATAATTTCCAAAGTCCCAGGAATGTACTTCAGATCTTCTTCCTCATTCTACCTCACAATTCACATAGGAGGAACCCCAGTGGCAGCCAGATATCGGGGTTTTAGACACCCAGCTGCTTCAGCCACTGAGCCCTGGGTTACCAGCACTTAAACAAGTCAAGAAAAGGAATTCCTCGCTGAGCCGGGAGGACTGGGAGAGATGGGGGCTCGGACTTAGAGAAACGCTGGAGAGAGACGAGTGGTCAGGCAATCAACTTTCACCTTCTCACAAGCTATTAGTAAAGGGACTGTTTTTTGTCCAGCAAACTCTCCCCTCAGGCATGCAGGGCTTGATGTTATCGTGATTACTTTTCGCTATTCACATTAATTATTTTAAGACAACACACACACACACACACACACACACACCTTCTCACTTAGAGTCAATGCCAACTTGAGCCATTTCAAATCGTTAGTCCTCTTTGTGAATGTGTTTGCATTTTTAAATCTGGGTTAGAAATTTGGCAGTCCCTCAATTATTCCTGAAGTGAAAAGGCCACAAAGTGGTCTCTTCCCTTCTTTTTTTCATTCAACTCTCTCTC
Organism: Homo sapiens; assembly: GCF_000001405.40. Lineage (NCBI taxonomy): Eukaryota > Metazoa > Chordata > Mammalia > Primates > Hominidae > Homo > Homo sapiens. Next base: position 174,216,216 of record NC_000004.12, on the reverse strand, counting down.
TCTCTCTGTCTCTCTTTCTCTCTCTCTGTCCAGGAGTTGAAAAGAGAAACTCCAACCTTCAACTGTCAACTGTTTTCCAAACATCAGATTAATGTTCCCCAGGACTCGGTAGTAACGTGACCTTTCTGTTTTCAGATGTGTTTTTCAACATGTAATCGTTTGTTTGTTATGTCTCTCATATGGAATAAAGAAAGCTGGGGGAAGGAGTGTGGGCTGCCAGAGGCAGGAAAAAAAAAAAAAAAAAAAAGGATGTGGAGGCTGTTTTTGTTCCTTCTTCAAAATGCTCGAATCATTTTATTTTTAGGCAAGTAGTCCCCAAGGGAGGAAAATCTACAATACTCGTCCTGAAAAGAAATCCAAGCACTTGATGAGCAATTATTTAAACATAAACATCCCCAAAACAAAAATCTAATAAATTGATTTTAAAAAACATCTTGCAGGAGAGGAATTTCTGGGATGCAGGTAACGCTCTTTATCTTGATCTAAGAAATTCCATAAGAAGGTTTTAAAAAATAATTTATCAAACTTTTCATTTATGCCTCATGCCCGTTTTTGGACGGTTACACTTAAATTACCATTTTTTTTTTAATTTGAGAAAGGAAACCTCTAACGTGTGTATATTACTATATTCTACATCTTAGTTCTAATAAATTTCCAAACCAATATATTTATTAAACGATTAAGAACTTTGCCACTAACTTGTTTTCTGAGTAATAGGTTCTGAATCAAAGTGAAAACAGTATACTTGAATTAGTTATTCGAAAACCAGCATAATTATTTCATCACTTTCTAATATAGTAAAATGTCAAATATGCAATGAGTTTAAAGTTTGTTTTACGAAACCCCAAAGAAACCAAATAGTTATTTTGTTAAAAACAAAAGCTTTATACTTAAAAAAGAAAAAGTATTAAGTTGGTGCAAAAGTAAATGCGGTTTGTGTCATTTGAAAGTAATGGCAGAAACCGCAATTACTTTTGCACCAACCTAATATTAACTTTTTTTTGAGACTAACTCTTATTAGAAAACGTTTTATTCCAAAGAGGAATTTTAAAAAGCCATACTCAAAGGTGAATTTCTGCTACTAGAAAGATGCCAGTTTTAAACTCCTCCCCACCCCCATAAAATATTATTAGGCCGCTTTCATGGTTAGTGACTAAGCATTTTACCAAGAAACCAAAGACTAAATTGCTCCCCTCAATTAATCAACAGCTTTTATCTCCGGCATCAGCTTCACTAATGACCTCACTGCGGCCCTCCAATCCTTATTTTGTGCTTTCCCTTATCACCGTCTTCCAAATCACCCCAATATTTCTCCTGCCCCGTTCAAGTTAGAGGCATCATGATCCCCATCTAGAAAGCAATTTCCTGACGACTCGCTTAATTATCGCCCGCTCCCCCGCCCCCACCTTCCTAGCTCTACTTCCCTAATCGACCCTTTATCACCCGGGAACAATCGCTAAGCCTGAGCTGCCCACATGGAGGCTTCGCTGCTGCTTTACTTTACAGGCCCTTCCGCGGTTTTATGATTGGTTGCTGTGGTTGGAATGTTTATAGATAATAAACAACTAATCCATTTCTTGCCTAATGAATTGCCCCACCCGCGTACCAGTTTAACACCCGTAACTAGCTCCAGGATCAATCTGCGCCAGCGACCGAGGGGATGAGGGGGGCGAAACCACCCAGCCTCACTGCCGCTTAAAATCAAAGCCGAAGAACTCTAGGTCAGCAGACACCTATTTCCCATTTTCCAGTTCCTCTCCTCCGCGACCCCCCACCCTCAGCTAGGGCTCGGCGCCCACCTGCTCCTCTGCCCACGGTCGAAGGAGTGAATTTCAAAAGTGCTTTTCTTGGCTTCTAAAAATGTGAGAGGGCGATCCGCGAGCTTGGGCGCGCTGCCTGCGAGACTGGCGCGCCCACAGGAACCGGCACTCAGGTGACGGGCTGAAACTGGTGCCTGCAGCGACTGCTATTTTGGCCCAACCAGCCTCTTCAGGCTTCGGCGGTACACGCCCCGGGGGTAGTTACAGTCCTCCTGGCTCTGATGAGTCTCTGCCCGCGGAAGATCAAAAAGGCTGAGGTTGGCAAGGGCGTTCCTCCCGCACCCGACGGCTGAGAAGGAAGATGGGCAGGATAGGTAGTGGGGAGGGCACAATCTAGTTAACACTCGGAATCCTGTCTGAAATAAAGGAAAATGCATGTTCAGACTCCCAAGAGACCCGGAAAACGCGGAGGATCTGCCAAAAGCATTCCAAGAAGAGAAGAAACCAACGCCAGGGAGAGATTCTTTTATACACATTATGGCAGCTGCACATGGCTTCCGTCAGTAACTGGGGCCAGGGGGTGTGAGGACGGTGACCGGGAGCCAAGGAGAGGGCCACGGGAACCGAACACCGGAGTCCCTATGGTGTTGCGCTGTGGGAGTCCAATGTCTAGTCCTGGAGCCTCCGAGAGCGCGCTGGTGGTCCTTTGGGACCTTCCCTTTCGGTAAGGACCCAGAGGAGGGAAGTCGAATAGGAATGGAAACCCGAAAATCGCAGATAGGTTCGCTTACTAGAGCTGTTTCTAAAACCCACTTAACAGCCAGCTGAGCTTTCAGTGGAGAGACTTCCTTTACTTACACAGTAGTTTGAAAGTTCTGCAGTTTTGTGTTTATAGATTTAATTTTAGAAAGCTAATGTGTATGCCACCTTCCAACTGAGCCCCCTGTTCCAGGATATCTTCTTTCCAAGATCCCAGAGAAGGACCCTCAGAAGCACTCTCTGCGGCAACGCCCCCATCTTATTTACCTGTGATTTTACTTCCCTTTATTATAAAGAGTAGGCGAAGATGTCGTTGGGTCAGTACTTATTTTACCAGGTGGCCAATTCTTCCCAAAACTCTGGCAAAGAGCACTTTAACCCCTGTCTTTTCCTTCTTTCACTAATCTTGGCTGGGAAATTCCATTTTTCACCGGGGTGGGTGGGTGGGGTGCAGTGGGGATGGTAGTGTTGCTTCTAATGTTCTGTCATTCAATTCACAAATATTTACTTGATGCCTACTGTTTTAGACACTGGGGACACAGTTTAAAGACACACATGCACACAACAGTTTAAAGACACACATGTGCGCATACACACACACACACACACACACACACAGACCCTTTCCTAGAGCTTCCACTCTAGAAGGAGTCTCAGGTTAACATTAGGACTCACTTTGGGCTGGGAGCTGAGAGGATGTGATTTTTAACAGAAACGTAAGGAACAACGCCAATCATCTGGTCAAAACTTTTCTCTGTGTCACCTAAGAAGTATCTTCATTATGTGTAGTTTAAGTCATAGCCTTTCCACAATGTAATTGATGTGCTTAATAGCAGATAGCACTCTCCACACCTTTGTGCTCACAGAGGCTATTTTCATTGCTGGGGTGGGGGGTAAGATGAAGGGTACTCCAGGCCATTCTCAACTGGTGTTGGTCATTGTTCAACTTATGAAGTCAACAATTTCAGATTTTTAGTGTCCTGAAAATAATCTTGGCCCCCACATCTTCAGTAACACAATGCCGACTTCAAGACAAAAAGCAGGTTCTGTCCCTCACTGAGAGAGGGATTTTTCTCACTCCATCAGCACTGAGCTTGGATCTTTTACTTACCTGAGGTCTCATTCTCCTCCTCCTCTCTAGGGGAGTAGGAGTTGCCTGGGAAAGAATTAGCAGCTCCTGAAAGGCAGGTTTCTCCATGCATTGACTGATTTTGCTGGAAAGTTTTTCCATTTCTCTTTCTCCACTGAAAGTCTCCTCCTCAGTGAGAAGGGAAGCTGCCCATTGAACACTGGGGCAAGGAAGCTCTCTGGGCCTTCTTAACTACACGGGCCACTCTTGCTGAGCACAAAGATACAGATTTAACTACCCCTTAACAAAGAAGAGAATTAAAAATGACCCACCAAAGAAAACTAGAATAAAAACAAAGGCAAAGCGGCCACCGCGAGCTGTTTGATTATTTTCTCTGACTTTGCTCTTTGATTGGAACCTGCCTCATCAGAAATAAAAATAAATAAGAACACAAAACGTTGATTGGTTCTTCATCAGTGAATGTGTCCATGGCTGATACAGAGAGAAAAGAAAATAAATCCTGATTGCTTAATGAAAAGAAGAAAAAAGTAATTTGTATAAATAGAGCTTTAGAAAAAGGAACTGAAGAACCGCGCAGGAAAAGGCTGCCTGGACCAGCGGGACATTCGCTGACGCGAGGGAGCTGGGGATTCTGGAGTGAGTCTTTGCGGAACCCGCGGCAGCCCTTAGAGAAACTGAGCCACAGATCAAACAGCAGGGAGCTGGCCTTAATTTTATTTGATCATCAAAGGATCGGATAACTCAGCAAGGCGTCGATGTCTGCATTTTAGGAAGCACTGAAAACTTTAGAAAGGTGTTTGCACTTCGGAGTGGCTTCTTCTGCACGTGATGCACAAAAGAAAAGCCTCTTACCCGCAGGAAAGTACGGCTGTTCCTGTGTCTTGACCGTGCCAGATCCGGTAGACACCGTGTGAGCGCTATTGACTGTCCAGCGACTTGCGGAGCTGAGAGCGTAGTGGTGGTCACTTCCCTGAGAGGTGGTGCCTACTGAGCTGGGGACCCAGAACGCTACTCTTCAGCCTCAAGTAGCATCCTGGAGGTCTCTCTGACAAGGCTGAGAGTGTTCAGGGATCATAGCCTGCAGAAAAGGGAGAAAATGCGTATGAAAGCACTTTGTCAACTGTAGAGGATTAGATGGCAAGATTACCATGCGCTTCTGAAAATTTCATATATAAATGCAGGGACAATTGGTAAGAAAACAGTAGGTAGAGTTCTGGTTTCGTTTCATTGTCTCTGTCCCATGTCCTTTAGTTCCCACTGTCATCCGAAGCTGACGTTTACTGAAACTTTACTTGTAAAATCCAGTGTTTCTGCTTCCTTTTTCTTTTGTAAAGTTAAGCTGCTCATAAACTTGGCTTCAGAATTAACCAGGAATCACTCTCCATTCAGAAGCACAAAATTACCATTTGTACAGAGGTATGTTTAAAGGAAACTTCCTCTAGTGTAGGCCTGGAAATGTGGACTAATAATTCACACATAGCGAGTCACAGCTATGACTCCAGTTTACTTCTCACGTTAATATAATGTAAAAACTAGCCACAGTAGGATTTTTTCTCATTTCATTTAAAAAATTGCAAAAGTTAAATAAATGCTCTGCCCACATCTTGCTGCAGGGAGAATATAATTTGAGAAATTATGGCACATTTCACTTTAGCACCTTAGATGATCATTTATCAATAATTTTCTATGCAAAAATAGAGGCACTAAACATCAATGTGTATAACAAATTTTGTGCAGACCTTTGAAAACTTTCTTGCATGGATTTGGGGCAGATTATAATATTTTATAAAACAGAACTCGGGTTGAATATTTTAGAAATTATTATTGGTGTTGGTGACAACAGAAGGCTTTTAGAGTAAGATTCAGTTAAAATGAAAAGATAGTTGAAAGGATCAGAAAAATAAAATACTTATAACAGAGAAGAAAAATCTATGTTGATCTGGAAGTAGAAGCTTGGCTGACCAAGGGAAGGGGTGGAGGAGAGCCTTCCCCTTTACTAGGGATCAGCCCTCCACTCTCTTGGTGGCAAGCCTCAACTGTCAGAGCCTGGGTTTCCTATCACTGCCCTCTACTGCTCAGGGTTGCATTCCTTTTCTTCACCCCTCCACTGCCCTGAGCTTCAGAGTACTTTACAGTTCCCTAAAGTGACAACCCAGGGAGCATTTTTTTTTTTAAATCCCCTGATCCACCAAAACTTACTAGATTTTCTCCAGGCCTCTCGAGGTCCCAAGAGCTAATAGATAAACTTATTCGTATGGAGGTGCTAATGGATGGTTTAATGTGTTCTCTGGTCCACTCTGTTATAGCTGCCCTAAAACTAATGTTTTCAATGCCTTTAAAAAGATGGGACTAGAAGTAGAAATTGTAGGCAGCATTGTTTACAAGGGGAAATACTCAGGGGGAGGTTGCTTGTAAGGGACCTTTTCACTGCAATAATATCTTGTTTACCTATGGTGAACTGGCCAGGCCATCTCTAGTAATGAGTGAATTCACTTATCCTCTAAATTAGTAGTGAAATCTTTTCTTCAAATGGAATGTTACCTGGAAGTCTAATATATGAAATCAATTCAAAATGACTACCTTGGTTGAAAGGAGACTGATGGACCTATTACTTTGTAAACTAGGATAATATTAATAGCAGCCAATCACTCGCATCTTTTTCACTTCTTCCCCGGGGCTCCTGGGAATACAGTTTTAACATTATTATCTTTCATGGGGTCAGCATGGAAGATATAAACATCATTTATAAAAATAAGAAACAATCGGAGGCAGAAAGAAATCGTATAATTAGAAGCATTTTCAGCGGCCATGATGAGAATAACTATATATGTATAAAATATGTGTACAATTAATAGATCCCATAGTCACAGATTCATAAATATGTTTATAAACAATGATTACTGGGAAGCATTCACTTTTATATCTTCTTTAAACCAAGTGTCTAGTCACCATCTGTGTTGTCACCATCTGTGTTGTCACCATCTGTGTTGAGGAATGTACACTAGAAAAATCACAATTCAAAGTCTGGGAAGAGAGCCACAGGAATGAAATGCAGAGAACATTGTGGAGATATATTTTCTGTTATCCCCATTCGAAATAGATCAGGCTGCACTGATAACAGCTGCAAAAACAATTGGGGACCTTATTCATAAAATCAAAGGTAAACTGCCAGATGGCAACCAACCAGAGGACCTGAGGATGAAGAGGATTGCAAAATGCTGGTGACATAGAGAACAAACCCTTTGGAGAATAAACATGTCTGTATCTTTGTTAAAATGTAGAAATCAGAATTTTTCCCAAACTTGCAAGTAATAGAGAATAAAATAAAAACAACAAGTGTTTGTTAACTAGAAAGTTTGCCTATGGAAAAAAACAATTTTCTTAGTTGAAAATGTGACGGGCTGTTCAGGCTTCTCTGTCATTCTTCTTGTCTCTCTTCATAATCTCTATGTAATGCAGAAACAGCCAGTAAAAGAAGAGAATCTGTGCGTCTTTAATTACTTCCTGTAAGTTTCACAAGTACTACCACAGTCTCATTGGCTATGCTACATCTAAATAAGCCACTCTTTCAAAGACAGCATAATTATTTGCATACACTTGCTTCCCTAGCTATATATCATGCCTATCAAAACTAAGTGCTTCCAACCTACCTTAACAGTGTCTTAGCAACTATCTCACTTGTTACTAAATTCTGTGTTGGTAAATATTCAAACCATTTATGATAATATATACTCATAATCTGAACTAAAACCCAGAACAGAATTTATTAAAATTGAGGATAAAAATAAACTCAATCTTTATGACAAATCAGAATTATTGATTCCTACTTAATCTCACTCACACCTGAATATTTTGTAACATAAATTTTATATTTATGAGACTTTTAGGTGAGTAAGCTTGTGCGTGAGCTTGTGAAAATGTGTGTGTGTGTTTAGCTGGGAAGGAAATAGTCATCAAGAAGAATCAAGTAAAATGGAACATTTTTTACTATTTTGGTGATTTAATAGCTACTAAAACTGTAAGCCTAAAATACTGATATTTTCCATGTAGTTCTGATAAAAAATATTTTCAAGTTTTTAAAAGCATCTGTGCTGGTATAGATAAAGATAGCCTACATTAATTTTGAAAAACTAGGCCAAGTGTGGTGGCTTATACCTGTAATCCCAGCACTGTGAGAGGTCCAGGTAGGAGTATTGATTGAGGCCAGGCATTCAAGACCAGCAAGGGCAACATAGTGAGGTCCCATCTCACTGTGTATGTAAATACATACCTACATACATACTAAAATTGTATTTATTGGTTCAAGATACATTTTTCTAAGAAAAATTGTGTCTTTGTAGATGATATTTAAACCTTGGGCATTGATTTAAATACAAGATTAATAAAAAGGAAATAATTCCAATTCAAGGTACGTGTGTGGGATATACATTGAGGTTCTATTTTGTGAAATCAAGGGAGTATCTGGCACATGCCCAGAGTCTGATGCATTAAAAGCAGCCAATTTGATAGTTAAAGGCTCTTTTAACTAATGGGTTTTGAGGCATTCTAGCTTATGTGGTTTGGCTCTCTGTTGGTCAAATAAACCATTTGATTCCAAATATCTATTATATTCTGTATGATACTTTAAATTAGTAATGCCAGGTACAATGTTTAACTATGAATGAAGCTGACTTTGCTTCCAACGCTTGACTTAGGCATTATTTTATTTCTTTATATAAAACAGCATTTTGGGGTTTATCATTTCACAAATTGATACATATGTTTAAGATAAGAAGAAACTGTAGGGTATTTAGGAAGCAGCAACAAGGTGGGTGGGCTGTCATGTCATTTCTAATAGGTGCAATATGAAATGGAGATAGACGTAATTATGAAAAAAAGTTTCAATGCAAACACACCTTTAGTGAACTTGGAATGCTGCAGGGATGGGAGAGTTCTAAAATGAAACAGAATCATCCATTACAAATCAGCAATTTTGCTAATCTTTGTATCAGCGTATGTATCAGAACCAAAGGAAACATGGCAATGTGTGCTTGTATCTGGAACATATTAAACTATCACAGTAAAACAATGCACATCTGCATATGTGATTAGTCATGTTTCAGTTTCCTCTTAAGGACTGTGTATGGGGAGGAAGTGTTTGAAAAAAACCGACTGCTTACTTTATTATCTTTCTTAATTGAGGAGAAGGGGGTAGAGAGTCAATCTTACCATGAAATAGTCTATCCCAGACTTGAAAAAAAGAATTGCACAATCAATCAATGAATATTTATTTGACAGACATTAATATAAAGAAGCCAAGGCACATAGACTCCATAAATAGGAGGATAACTTGTATGTACATAAAATGTTAAATATTTGTAGAAAAAATAAATAGATACATATTTGCTTGGTACAAAGTGCTAAACATATGAAAAGACAGTAATTTCCATTTGCTTCTAATGAATTATCCCTGGAAAGATCCCTGGAAAGATCCCTGATAATATTGGTTGCTTCCAGGAGGGAACCTTGCTGGCTGAAGGACAAGGTTGTGGGGAAGACAGTTAAACACTTTTGTACACCTTGAAATCTAAACACTGAGAATGTATTATACAACTATTATAAAACTAACAAAATAAAATAATTAAGCACATGGTTGGCTTCCAAAATAATCGTTCAAATGGACACCAAGATACCTTGGAAATTTGTGCTGGCCTTAATGAAGAAACAGTAGTCTGGACTGAATATTAAAAGATGGATAAGGCTGGGTGCGATGCCTCACACCTGTAATTCCAGCACTTTGGGAGGCTGAGGCGGGAAGATTCCTCAAGCCCAGGAGTTTGAGAACAGCCTGGGCAACAGATCATGCCACTGCACTCCAGCCAGGGAGATACCTTGTCTCAAAATAATAATAATAATAAAAGAAAGAAAAGATGAAGAATATTTGTATACACTGATAGTAGCCGGAAGCATTCTAGTCAGGGCAACTGACATGAAGCAAAAGTATCAAGTAGGAAAATAAGACATGTGTGGTTTCAATAAGTAGAAGGGACTGGGTGTAAGTAATTTTGGGGGTATGGCTGGAGAGATTAGGGTACAGATTATGAAGGGGGTCTCGAATGTCAGGATAAGGAGCTTAGACTTTAAATAATACAGGCAGTGAGAAACTTTTGAGATTTTTGAATAGGAGGGAATTAGTCTCCTATTAATACTCAGTGTGAATTGGAGTGGGAGAGGTTGGAGTCTAATACAATAGTGTAAGCAAGCAGGCTGGGCGTTAGGTGGTGGGGTTAGTTTGTAAAGGTTGGAGGGATGAACTGAGACAAAGTGATAGGAGGGGTGAGGAGAACCAGTATGCCGGAGGGTCCGTAAAGATAGGGTCAACATCAGCGTCAGATTTTTAAGGGTCAAAAGGAGTAGAAACTGAGAATACGTTATTTTATTTATCGATTTGTAAGTAACTGTGTTGAGAAAAATAATATAGCATATGTTTTTGGTGAATGTACATTTCCTTGAGAGTGGAGGGGGTAGAAACCAGATTTTCAGGAGTTATAGTGGAGGTGATGAGAAACGACAACAAAAAAGTAACATTGTTAAGATTATATAATCCAGGCCAGGCGCGGTGGCTCATGCCTGTAATCCCAGCACTTTGGGAGGCTAAGGTGGGCGGATCAGTTTAGGTCAGGAGTTCGAGACCAGCCTGGCCAACATGATGAAACCCCATTTCTATGAAAAAAAAAAAAAAAAAAAATACAAAGATTAGCTGGGTGTGCTGGCGGGCGCCTGTAATTCCAGCTACTCAGGAGGCTGAGGCAGGAGAATCGCTTGAACCCAGAAGGCAGAGGTTGCAGTGAGCCCAGAGATCGTGCCGCTGCGCTCCAGCCTGGGCGACAGAGCGAGACTCCATTTCAAAAAAAAAAAAGATTAAATAATCCAGTATAATCAATACTTTTTGAATGTCTAACATGTTCTACAAACTGCATTAGGCACTTGTATAAACTGGAAGAAGACAGACTTAATCCTTGTTTTTATGGAGTTGATGTTATGAGAAGACAGACATTAAATAAGTAATTAATAATGAGTGGATTACGTTCCATCATATGAGAAGAAAAATAGGTGCTCGTGAAGTTTATAGCAATGAAAAGAAGGATAGAAATGGAAAAATAGTTGTAGGAATGCGATGGGGACACATGAAATAATTTTTTTCCCAATTAGAGACAAGTCTTTGAAGGCATATTGGAAGGAGTTTATGGCAAAGACAAGAACAAATAATTAATGATGCAAACTCCTTGGGGAGGTGGGAGGAGATGAAATTAAGCACAGGTGCAGAGGCTTACATGTGGAAAAGAAGACACTGATTTTTTTTTGAGTCAGAAAGGAAGAAAAGAAAACGACAGTATAAAGGTAATGCTGTTCAGAGTTTGAAAGAAGGAAAGCTGAGAATATTCAAGTCGGGGTGCTTTACCTTGAATGTAAAGTTGAGGCTTGAGGAATATGGGTTTGGCATAGCCAGTGGGGGTGTATGCTGAAACTGATTGGCTTCTTTCTGTTTCAGGGTTATAGACTGCACCTTCAATGCCAGGTCAACTCAAGGCAGTGGTGTGGCAAACACATGGGGTATGGTTACATAGAGCCTGAAGTGCTGAAATAGAACTTGCTACATATCAACAAAAATCCATCACTGCTAATTTGAAAACTCTCATAATGCAAGGCCTAAACAGAAATCTTTAAAACCAGTAGGATTATGTAAAAAGCATTTTATTATTTTTGCATACTATATGAAAATAAGATATATTCTTTACTTGTATATATAATGATCTCGCATAGTAAGTAGCCCCTATGTGGTAAAAGATAATAATTTTAAGAAGGATCAATTGAAACAGTAGAGATTTTCAGCTAGTTTGGGAGTCTCCCTGAAACTGTGTGAAATAATCATCAGATCGGGGTGGCCATGGACCTTCTGATGAAAAGATACGGTTGAGAGTTCATTCCGTGGCTTTGGTCCGAGATGTTTTGGAAAGATAAGAACTGACGGGATTGAGTCCACAGGTTTCTTTTCCCAATGCTGCTTTCAGATGAAAAGCAACTGGAAATGGGAACAAGCCTCTTTGTGACTGATATTCCTCCGTGGTAGACAAGATTGATGCATCTGGAAGGCCAGCACTGATGTCTGCTCTGGGGTGGCCACAGAGGGAAAAGGAAGCACAAGTTGCCAACTCTGGGGTGTCTGATGACCGTGGGGCCTCATTCACAGCTACTCTCTCCTGACCAGGGGGAGCCCGCCTTCCTCTTTACTTCAGCTAAATGAGAAAGCCTACCTCTCAGCAGGCCTGGGAGGATGAAGGATAAGAATCCAAAGTTGTGTAGATGATAATCAGGATTTATCCTGGTACATTTAATGCATTTAATAGCTTGGGGAGTGTAATCTGAAGTTGAGTATTCAGAAAAAGAATAACTTCTGGCTGGAGACTGAACAGGATTAAATCAAGCCGTTAGCTAGAAACACAGTGTTGATAGGGCCGTTGTAATTCAGGAATAGATATTTTAATGAGAAAAGCTGCATATTATGTTGCATACACTCCCTGCAGACATATCTTTGTCGTTTAGTTGGATATGCATTTCTATTTTCTTAAACAGCATTGCCTATCATTTTAGATCATGTGATAAATTGCAGTTAAATATAAAGAGTTATTGCAATTTAAAAATAAATATAATTCTGTTATTGCCACATTTTGCGGGGCATTAGAAGTCAGTCTGTCCTCATTATTATTTTTTAAAATTAAATCTGTTTGTCAGATAACCTAACCCTTTAAAGCCATATATCCTATTTTAATTAAATAAATTCTGGTTGTGATCATTGTATAGAATTAAAATCTCATGTAAAATATGGGAAGAAGGGAGGCAAAAGGAGGTCATATAGTGTTACCTGATAAAAGGAGACAGTAATATTTAAAATGAGGTAAGTGTTGCACCGATTTATGATGTATTTTATCTGTAGGAGAAACCATAGTTTATCGTGGTGTCATTCAGCTTGAATCGTCAGCTGTATATCTTTGACTTTTTGAATGTAACTGCTGAAAGGAAAAGACTTTCAGAGATGTGAGCTATGAGATAGATCAAAAGCTTAAAGCAATTTTGCTTTGCTAGTTCAAATATATTTTTATTGAAACATATTTTGTTGTCATGCATGCATAAATATTATATAGTATCAGTCAAAAAGAGTGAGTGTGCAAGAGTTTCTGGGTGTTTTTAACAGAAAAATAAGAATTTAAAGATCCCTAAAACTTCTGTAATCTTAAACTTTGCTTCACTTAGCGTTCTTCTTTTAACATCTAATTTTGTAGTAGTCCTTCTTTTCCATATGTAATTTCTATTGTAGAAAATAAAAAGAAATTAATGATATTAGACTTACAGACTAAATTTAGCAGTAAATTTAAAGGACATAAATCCTTATGAGATAATAGGAAACACTAATTAGAATGTCTTAGGAAGCTGAGTATAGTTCCATATCCTGTATGAGCCATATGCTTAAACTGTATGGTTAGTTTTGTGTTTTAGCTTATTTTTTTTCTGTCATTATATACTTTTTGTTGTTTTCAATTGGTAGCACTGTAAATAGTCATAAAATAATTAAAACTAGTCAATCAATGCTTTGATAAAAATTTGTTAATTTGAGTTCAGTTTATTTTCTTTCTTCAACTAGAGATTTTCTCACTGTATTAACATTGCCTCCTCTTTAAGTATTTTTAGAAACCAAAGAAAATATTTTTCTTCAATTTTTGTAATTATTGGAATTATTTTATAATGTATAACGTTTCCTTTTTCAGGAGTTGGTTTTAGTTTAGAATTGAATGATAAAAATAAGCTATTAAAAAGAGTTATTAAAGTTATTAGAAATAGAGTTGAACAACTATACTACAGTCTGAAGACAGGAAGGAATTTTAAATTCTTTAAATAGTCTGCAGAAATCAATCCCAAAGGATTTAAATTATTTAATTCAAAAATAGTAGAAAAGGTAGGTGAGACCAAGAGGAGAGAATCTACTGCTGTTTCTACACTCAATTCTATTTCAAAATAGATTTCAAAAGTTATTCTCTCTTTTGGCTCTTAAAGACCACAGCTAGCAAAGTAATCAGAGGTTAATTTGATCTACTGTGTCCCCTTTACAATCTCTTTCGGAAGAATAAATGCTTAGAATGTGTTCTTGCTCATGTCATCTTTGGTATCCTCAACAGTGTTAATGAATTGAGATTTTAGAAGGGGAAGAAAAATAATTAGTGCTCATAAATTAAATGTACTGATCTCTGTCTCCAAAAAGTATGGACATTTGATAAAATACAGATTCTTTACTGCTGCATTCTCACCTCTCTGTAAAGTGAAGGAAGAACTCAGGTTTTCTGAAAAGGATTCAAAAATGATAAAGCAGCCTAGTGTTTTGAGCTGGTGTAGCAATTTATACAAGGAACTTGGAGGCTCATATAATTCTTAGTGTTATTTAGAGAACAGCAGCTTGAAGGGTTCTGATGCCTTGTATATCTTACCCAGGCTTTATTACAATGTTTACGAAAGGACTCACTTCATAACTCACATCCTTTCTTAAAGCAGTGACCATAAAGCAGCAAACATATGACAGATGTGTGTCTGTGTGTCTTTTCTGCCTTGTTTAGGCTTTATAAAAAGTTTTTTCTTTTTAAAGAAAATCATTAGTGGAGGATTGTTTCACATTAACATACGTTCTTTTGTTCATAGTATTTTTTTTTAAGCTTGCCTTAAATACTGTATTTTCATTAGGTCCATCAGAGGAAATATTATGTAAGTTTCTGTATTTAATTTAGGTCACTCCATGCTAAGTTCACATTTACTGCAGCTTATGGTAATAAAATACCTTTAAACATCATTTTCACCATATTTTATACTTTGCTGTTTCAAAGACCTTTTTTTTCCCAAAGTTTCTTTGCCTTGATCCACCCCCCCACCCACTTTTTTGTATTTTAACAAGATGGACATCTTATTGAATAGAGGTTTTAAAAATAAAAAATCTTCTTATACAAACTTGAAAAAATGAGTTCCAGAATTTTTTATATTTAAAAATAAAATAATTATAATTTATTTAAGTACCTAGCACATGTATTGAATGTAAACAATCTAGGAGTATGGAGTAAGTACTAAAAATATGCTAAATATTATACTTTGTAAACAAAAAATGTCCATCTATTGAGAAAATTAATTTATTAATCATGATATTTCTTAAAGATCCATTATGTGACAAACATTGCATTAAATAATTTAATTGTACAACCTAAACAACACTATCAACTATTTTGATTTTTTGTTTTTGAGAAAAGAATAGAATATACCACATATAATAAAATTGTGCTAATTAATATTCCACTTATTTATCCAATGATTGATTTAAGTGGCAATTAGTAACTATTTGCACCAGTTAACACTATTAGTGGAATTAGTAACAATTCAGAGCAAAATGAGTTTATTAAAATGATTAAAATAGTTTAAGAAAATTTATTTTGTAAGAATGTTTGAGTCCCTAGAGCAACGAAAGGAACAGGAATAAAAAATGAGAGGTTTCTACACTGTGTTTTTACTGTTGTAATAGACAACATAGTCTTTGCCTGGAAAAGCTTTTCTGTTAGTTTTATTGGTTATGTGTTAAGTTCTGATATGAACTATAATATTTCATTATAGTATAATTATAATATGTTATTTATATTTCAATATTTTGATCCAACTAGATTATTCTTCACACAGTAAAATTTAACATAACCTATATTTCAGAAGCATAAGCAAATGATCATTTCTTAAAACATGATGCAATTTGATTTCGGACAATTCAGTTGGTGCTTTTAGATCTGCCCTTTTCTTTGCCAACCCAGTTTCCTCCTTTCTTTTTGTTTTCTCCGTTTTTTCTAGGAAAAATTTTTGTATCAGTTTTATCATTGTGGCTTCATTTATAAGCATTTGCTTTTTAGAGACATTTAAAAATGTTCTCTCAGTAAGTCCTTTTCAGATATTACATAAAGTGTCGATTTATATTCTGTTTCTGGAACTGCTTTGCAGTTTAGAGGGGAGTTTTTCTAAATTTTCCCTCACAAGTTCAGTAAGTGTCTTCCAACTAACTTACCCCTCCAGCCTTTTGATAAAACTCTTTAGTACAAGAGAATAACACTTCCTTTTAAATAGTAAATTTTGTAAATAAAAATAATAGGGTGATTACAGTGATTTTAATGATCACATTAATATATTTCATTACTAGTTTATAATCTTCTGTTGGGGTATTTTTAAAGAAATTTCAATTGCAGTTATTTAAGAGACATATAACTTAGCTATGACATATGCACTGATACTACAATAACTCAGATAGACTTATTCCTGAGTGTTAATTAACTTTAAAAAATTACATTAGCAAAGTGATTTTCATTTTATGTTAATGGATGCTTTGTGAATAACCAGAAGAAAAAAAATTATAAAATAATATTACAAAACTGAACCAAAATGATGCCTCTTCAAAAATGTTTTAAAATCTCTTTGATTCTGAAGAATATCTTCTAATACTCCTATTTAATAGTTTTAAAGCTCGTAGTTATTATATTTTAAAATAAATAAGAAGAAAGGAAACATTCTCATCTTTATCTACCTTTATCTCTCATCTATCAACGTCTATCTATCCATCCATCCATCACCTACTTTGCCTTCATATTAGCAATTGAATACCATCAATCATTTGCTAATATGAAAAAAAAATTTAAGACTTCCAAATGTCCTGAAAAGCTGACTGTTATTTGCATTTTACTTTAGTAGAGCTATATTTAAGAGAAACATCACTATGCCCTCATAATTCAAAAACCACTTAAAAAAAGCAAAAATGAATATTTTATATCATATTAAAATTATGTTATTTAAGCTTTTTAGTAATCAGTACAAAGATATTTGAGATACCTAAGCATGGTTAAAATTAAATTATTGTGAAGTTTGTAATTAGTACCTGCTGTCAAAATAAAATTTCAGGTTTAAATGGCACAAAAGGAAAAGCTACCCGAACCTAACCAATTGATTGATTATTATGGAACGTATTGTCTTTTCCTAGAAGCCAAATGCTATCATATTGAGTGTGTTATTATATATTTCTCTAATCATTAAACAGATGCTTTATAAAGAATGACATTTTATGAATTGAAATAAATCATTGATAAAGGCAGAAGACATTGTCAATTTTCAGTCTCATAGTGAGAACAGTTGCAAAAATGTATTATCCGTTTGAATTTTGATCATATGCTTTTTTAATGCTGTGAAAAACCTAAAGCTTTCTGCTTGCTACATTGCTACAGTTCTTCTATCAGAAGACAGGACTGTGAAAATCTGCAATAGCCTTCAATGTGACTTGATAAATAGCAAGAGAGCTTAGTGGAAATGTTGAACTCCTTCATGATTAAAAAGCAAACCTTTAATGTAGTTTTTGTTTACCATGTCATAAGTGCAGCGTTGGAAGTTACTGCCAAAGAGTCATTGGAACAGGCATCAGTAAGGCAATGTCAGCCAGCCAATGCTTTGAAAATGATTCAGTTCCTCTAGCCTTATGACTAAAATAATATCCAGTGGCTCCAGCCCCAAGCCTGGTTAATGCATCTGTCCAGAACACGTAATTACTCGGTCATAACATTCCCCCGGCCACCAGCCAACAAACCAATCAGCATTTCTTCCTAACTCACCAGAATTTTTGCTGTGTCAAACTGTTTGATCCCTAGGTAGTAAAAATGCAAAAAATGAAAGACACTACACTGGAAGGTTTTAATTTAGAATAGTTTCTCATGGAAATTAAATTGAAAGAGAAATATGTTTTTGTTGTCATGACTGAAGTTGAGATTTTAATTTGTATCCTTTTTCATATAATGTAGTTTGTTTTTGCATCATAAGCTAATGTTTTCAGTCATTTTAGTGAGAAAATATTCTAAGAACAAAATAATACTGGATATATCTCCAGTTACTATTTGTTTCAAAAACATTAACAAATATAGTGGCAAAACATAGTTTTGTTTAACATAAATATGCTGTATGTGCGTATATTTACATACATGGATGTATATAGAATTCCTTATATTACTTTCTGAGGGGAATTAGGAAAGTGTATATACTTATGTATATATGTATGTGTGTTTGTTTTATAGTCTAGGCTTTTACAAGCTCATTACATTTGAATAATTGTTAATAAGATCCTTGAAAAGATTCTAGATTAAATCACAAGATTTTCATATGTTTTTCACAAACTCAACTAAAAATGTTTTGAAATGAATTTCAAAAATCATTTTTATGAAGTGAAAGTTCACTGAGTATATGAAATTTGAGCTTAGTTATAAAGAATAAATAGATTTAAGCCACCAGAGGAAATGAGGAAGAACACTCCATATAGAAAGAAAAGCATGTGAGAAGCGTAAGTGTGAAAGAAAATGACATGCTTAGGAAAGTATAAGAAAGTTGATCTTTCTGGAGTGTAAATGGCCCATGTGAGAGTAATGCAAGTTGAGGTTGCAGTGGTGGCATGGGTCAGGTTGTGAATCCCCTTAATATGCAGAATAGAAACATGGTTATTAGGCCTGATAATTTAAAGAAATGGTATGAGGGTGCTTCAGGGAGTTAACTTATGGACACATAAAAATCTTTTCTCTATTGTTATTTCCTCTTAACTTTACTTCATCTTGTATCAGGTTTAGTTGTCCATGTGCCCCTTGGATCATATTTCTGGCTTCATGTTTGGTATGAAGAGAAGTGTAGAAGTACTTCATTCCCACAAACAGTTGGTAATGTTTGTATAGCATCACTTCTTTATCTCAGGCACACACCAACCTGCAAGGGAACAGGACCTGGAATGAAGATAAAAGACAATGTCACAGAACAAATTTGTCTTCCAAATAGCTGGTTATTGAACACTTGCAAGGAGGACCACAGTAAATGTCCTTTTGAGCTCAAAAGGGGAGAATTCTGCATATCCATATACCTACATACACACACATAATGTTTTCCACATACTTTCTCTCTCTACTGTGCCATCAAGCATGCTTGTGTGTGGACATTCACATTTATGGTTTCTGGACTGATCTTGATGTCTCACTTCATTTCCTAGTGACAACATTGTTTGCATGTCAAAAACCTTGAAGCACTTACCAAGATACTGTAATAAATAACACATACGCCATCTCTAAGACATAATTGTTTTCTTGTTTTAGTGATTTTATATTTCATAATTTCAAAAGCAACTTGAGCTTCCACTAAAGTCAATATGGTTAGCTCCTAAAATGCAAAGTGTTTCTATGGAGTGAATGTGTGGTGTGCTGAGGCTGCTGCTGTTGCTGTAAATTTGCATTCTTATATTCACCTATAGCCTTACAAATTGATTGGGTTTGAAAGAGAAATTTGTTTGAAAGATGGATATAACTCTTAAAGTGATAAATTTAAAAGCTACTTTATCTTAAAGGGAAGAAGACAGAGTGTTTGTGAATTATCATCATCTCTGCTATTAATAAACTGCACTGTGATTTCAGGGAATAGGCATCAAATACAGGACTTTTCATTTTGAGTTAATGGAACCCACGCTGTAAGGCAGCACTGTCCAGTAATAATAGAATGGAAACCACATACTTCATGTAATTAGTGGTTTAATAGCCGCATTAGAACAAACAAAATGCAACAGATAAATTAGAAGTTAATTTTAATAATATATCTTATTTAATCCAGTATGCTAATACTATTTCAATATTTAAGCAATGTAAAATATTAATAAGATATTTATATCTTAAAAAATTAAGTTCTCTAGAGCTGGGTACATTGGCTTATGCTTATAATCACAGTATCTTTGGGGGCTGAGGCGGGGGAAGCACTTGAGCGCAGGAGTTGGAGGCTGCAGTGAGCCATGATCGGCCACTGCACTCCAGCACAGGTAACACAGCGAGACCCTGACTTAAAAAACAAAACAAAACAACAAAGTTCTTTCATTTCAGTGTGTATTTGATCTTTACAGCATTTCTCAATTTATACTAACCTTATTTCAAGTGCTCAGTAGTCACGTGTGGCTAGTGGCTACCAGGTTAGACAGCAGAGTTCTGAAGCAAAAGCAGCTGAACTCAAGGTTATGGTCGTGCTAACTTGGAGGCACACTTGAAGCTGCATATACCTTGATGTTTTAGTCCTTGGTTAGCAACATTACAAAGACATTCCCTATAGGAGTCTTTTATCAGATACCGAATTCATTTAGATTTACCCAAATATGCATCAGGTTTCTTGCTCTCTATTTCTTCTTGGATTTCTGAGTTTTCCTCAGGGAAACATTTTCTTCAGCGTAAAACATACTTTAAGTTCAAGTCTGCTGGAGATGAATTTGCCCAGTTTTTGTTTGTCTGAAAATGTATTTTCATTTTTGGAGGGTATTCTTGTTAGGCATATACTGTAATTCTAATTTAGATTATTATTTTTTAAATGCTTTAAATATAGCTTTCTGGGTTTTTGGTTTTTTGTCTTTTGCTTTGTTTTTTTGTTTGCATTTTTAAATTGTTGTTGTTGTTTGCTCATGTTGTTTCTGTTGAGAAGTCAGCTGTCCTTCTAATTGCTGCTCCATGGAAGGTATTTTTTTTTGTTTTGTTTTGTTTTGTTTTTGAGATGGAGTCTCGCTCTGTTGCCCGGGCTGGAGAGCAGTGCTGCGATCTCTGCTCACTGAAACCTCCGCCTCCTGGGTTCGAGCAATTCTCCTGCCTCAGCCTCCTGGGTAGCTGGGATTACAGGCATGCGCCACCATGCCTGGCTACTTTTTCCTTTTTTTTTTTTTTTTTTTTTTTTTTGTGGAGATGGGATTTCATCATGTTGGCCAAGCTGGTCTCAAACTCCTGATCTCAGGTGATCTACCTGCCTCAGCCTCCCAAAGCATTGGGATTACAGGCGTGAGCGACCGTGCCCATCCTGTTCTTTTTCTTTTAATTGCTTTTATGATTTTCTCTTTGGATTAGTTTTCAGCATGGGTTTCAACATTAGTATTATAATGATGTGAGTAGTTGCTGATTATTTTTTAGTTTTTCCTTTTTGTGCATTTATAGTTTTTTCAATTTTGGCTTCATTTATTTCATCAGTTTATGAACATTCCCAGTGATTTTGCCTTTAAATATAACTCCTGTTCATTCTCTTCCTTTTTTCTTCTGGAGCTTCTATCCATTGTTGTTAAACTTTTATACTATACTATATCTCCGAATCATTCTTATTTTCTCTTCTGTATTTTCTGTTTTTTAGTCCCTTTATGCTTCATTTTGAAAATTTTCTTCGGATTTACATCTCAGTTCACAAATCTCTCTTCAACCGTATTTGATTTACTATAAAACTCATCCATTGAGCTTTTTAATTCTGGTTATTTCATTTTCTGTTCTGAAATTTTCATTTTTAAAAATAGATTTTAGTGCTCTACTTAAATTTGAAATATTGTCCCTGACCTTGAACATAGTAAATGTTAACTCCAAATTAGGTGTTCCTGTGAGTGTGTTTGTATTGTTTGTTTTTGCTGTTTTTCACTAGTGTTGCTTTTTTGTACCTGCTTTTAAAAAATATTCTCTGAACATTGTGTTTACACAATTGTTTTTAATAATATTCTGGAAAACAGGGTACTGTTGTAATTTCCAGAGAGGATTTGCTTTTCCCCCTACCAAGTAACTGGAAGCACGAGCCAAGTGGGATTATCTTAACTCAATTTCAGTATTGAGATGATTTTAAGCTCAATTACAGTTCCTATGAGTGCTGTACACCACCACCCCACTCTTATCTTTTCTTTCACCCTTTTCATCTGAAGGTTCATTCCTCCAGAGTTTCAACTCAAAATAAGGAGAATTCAACTGGGAACTCCCTTTGGCAGGCTCTGGACTGTTTCTGTTCTCTCAGTCAAAAGCACCATTCCCTCTCTCACCTTTTCTCTTTCAGATTAAGAGGACAGAACCCCACAAAACAGGGGAAAAGTGGCCACAGAGCTGGACTTACTTTTCTGATTATCTTTTATACTTCAGGATCCTGAACTAGTAACTTCATTAACACGTAAGCTTTACCATGCCTTAAAGTAAATATTTTATACATTTTGTCCAGCTTTTCTAATGTATTAGAGACCTGCTTCAGATGATCTAGTGTACCATTCTCCCTTTAATTCTTTTTAATTTCTAAAACTGCTGTTATTTTTGTTCATGTTATGATCAAATTCACTTCAGTGCAGTGGCAATTTATTTGCTGTTTGGTGAAGCCGGTCTAACAGACTAAAGTAGGATCTCTGTGAGCCAGGCATCATCTAAAAAATCTTCATATTTTTCATCTGTTTCACACCTCTTTCCATTCAGATTTAACTAGAATATTTCTTTAAAGTTTTCCAATTATCTCATATTTTCTTTGAGATAAAGTAGCTATTTTTCAGTTATGTGATATACCCAAAGTAGCTCTGGTTTGCCTCCAGGGATCATGGCATCTCAGTAAAATGCATGTGAAACACTAACTTGCACAGACACCCTAAAGATACTTTTGTCTAAATATTATTCAATATGAGCAGTTTTTAACATCACTTTTGAAAACAATAATTGAGGAAGTTCTTTTCTTTATGTGTGTCATGTTTTCTAACTGTACTGTTATAGGTTGCTTCAGTTGTTTTTTGTCTGTATTTGATTTTTTATTATTTCATTCATTCATATGACAGATAATAAAATGGGATTTGAAAAGACTGAAAATCAGTTACGATAGTAGATTTCTTGGGGCCTAATGGAGATAGAAAAGTCCATCCATGAGAGCTTGAGACATTCAGATAAACTTGATATACCCCAGGCCCAGAAAATTTAGAAAAGAAAGAGGTATGATTTGATTAGTCTAGTAATTCTCAATCCTGTTTCCCTCAGCTCAGAGCTCCCTAAGCTAGTGTGTGCATCAGTGAGCTGAGTCATTACCCCAGCCCCATGCACTTGCCTTGCTCTCTGGCCGGAGGTGTCCCTGTTCCTATAGATGAGTGGGCCTGCTGTGGCAATTTCTCCATACTTCCTTGTGTTTTTCATAGAAATGTTCCTAAATCATTAACTTACTCTCCTCAATGAACACCTCTTTTTCTGGTCCTGTGGCTTCCCTGCTGCTGAGAAGTTAGCAGGATACTAGGGAATCTGATGGTCACCCGTGTATATAGAACCTATAAGTGTTAATGGTTGTGGGGCAAATTTTGAATAGTGTGAGTGCTGGTAGATAAGTTTTATTCTCTCCTTTACCCTAAAAGGACCATACTTTCATAAACGTCCACCAGAGAGATCTTGTGCAAAAGGGCAGTCAACTTATCATGAAGCTGTATCCAGAACAACACACTCCCTTCTATCTCCCTCACATTTGCTTTCATGACTGCATTCCTGGATTGTACTCCCCCAATAAAGTGTTAGCACATCTGCTTTGCCTTGGGCTCTGTTTCTAGAGAACATGGCTAAGATAGACTTTATCAGCAACATAATGAGTATTTATGACTGCGATATTGCTGAGTAGGCCCTTGGTAAACACACGTGCAATATTGACTAAAGACTTGCACTTCCCAGAAGGTATTTTGATAAGTATGATTAGCCAATTGAAGTTCAAAACGATAGTTAATAGCAAAGATTTAGTGAGAATTCACTGTCTGCCAGACATTGTGATAAGTGCCTTGCAAGTGTTCTCTTTTTAGTCTTCCCAGTAGTGCGGTTGGTTGGGATACTATTAATCCCATTTTTCTATATGGGGAAGCTGAAACCGAGTGGTTAAATAACTCATCCAGGATCATGAGCTAGAGTCAGAACTGGGATCCAAATTGTACAATTCCAGAACTTATGTTCTTGACCACAAACTGTACTACCCGAACAAAGCTTGGTTTTTGTTTTATTTAGTTTTATTGGTCATACCGCTGTTTCTTACTGTGATGATACTAGAAAGGGCATCTGGGAAAGCCATGCTTTTCAGCATCTTCTACCTACCTGTCCTCTAACAAAGCTCCTTTTTAGAACACTTCTAGGATATTCATGCCCCCATCTAGCATTACTTTTCTCACAGTGTTGACAGTGTCAGCCTCATCCTTAAAGTTGAAGAAAGAGGAGATTGCAGTTGTTTCTGTGAAGAATGCAGAAATATGAGAACTAAGTGTGAGAAATTCTTAAAAGTTTAGCAGTACCAAAATTTGAGTCATAAATGTCAAGAAATGACTACACATTGGCTCTGATTTAAGAAACTATAGAAATTAAAAAAAAATCCCATATGGAACAGCTGAGAAGATATCAAAAATGACAAATATTGTTACCAGAACTAATCAGTCAGACATCTGTTAGTCCAGATTAATTATAAAAATCAATAAACTGATGTTCTCCCAAGGGAAGAAAAACGTGAATGCAAGTGTATGGTTAAAAGCAATTCCTTTTTTGATATTTTCATTATTCTCAAAAAATAATGTATTATTTCATTAGTTTACCTAGCATGTCCCACCTGGCTTTTACCTCAAGTCAACTCATTGAAACAGATAAATACGTTAATGCTTTAAAAAGTATTTGCAAATTAAAACAATTAATTTGTTAGAAACAATGAAGGCAGTATAGTCATTTTGGCTTGATTTTATCCTTTTTTTATTACTTAGAAACATGATTTAAAATGATATTATAAATTGTTTCCAAATTGATATTTAAATCCCTAGTAGGAAATAGTCTCAGAATCCATTTGACCTGAAAGTGGTTGTCACTCATCTCAGTAGGAAAATCAGGCATTTTCATAATTAAACCGCATTCAACAAGTATCTATCTTGAGCCTACTATTTTACTATTTAGGGGCTAGAAATATGGAAGTGAAAAAGGCATAAAATTCCTGCCTTCATGAAGCAAACATTCTTATAAGTACTCAATCAAGATAAGGGCAGGTTTGCTTGAAGTCTTGTAAACTAGAAAGAATGTCATCTTCTGGAGTAATGGGCCGGCACTGAAGTCCCAAAGCTCCATGTTCCTCCCCAGTGACACAACCCATAGCAGAATGTAGCCCAGTGATAGAGGGACTTCTCTGCCATTTGCCACTGGGTTGGGTCAGGATTTAACATGAGTGCCCTTGCTTTCTGATGTCCTCAGCTCTCACTACACAGGTGCTGTCCTGTTGGTTGACGTGGCAGATGTTTCAGTCTCAATAGCCCAGATTGTGATGCTGTGACACCTTCACTAGCAGGGACGTGGTTGATAAATGCCAACAAAATTCGGTGGCCTGCTCACCAAATAAAGGTTCTTCTTATTTTGGGAGTGGATTCACACTGTTCAGTTTCTCTGAAAGTCAAGAAAAAACTGCTGTCTCATCAGTCCTGCAGGAAATAAAAGAAAAAAAAAAGACTCAGGATCTTATTAGACTCTGGGCATTGGAGAGAGCACGTGCCTCTCTTGAGCATTCTACTTAAGCTTTCGCATTGGCTGACCCACAGATTGCAGTCTTT
The DNA here is from genome assembly GCF_000001405.40 of Homo sapiens. Taxonomy (NCBI): domain Eukaryota; kingdom Metazoa; phylum Chordata; class Mammalia; order Primates; family Hominidae; genus Homo; species Homo sapiens. The sequence goes on along the minus strand of NC_000004.12, from coordinate 174,191,156 downwards.
GAATGGGACCCAACCAATAGGCTACTTTGAAAGCTGTGCAGCAAACTGAAGCATGCTCTCTTTGTAGTCCAACAACTCAAATGTCCCCTTAAAGCTATACACATTGTGGTGACTGATGGCATTGCTGATTAGAGGTAGCCTCTGTCAGGAAGCTCTTGCTGCTTCAGACTTGTGGCCTCCTAGACATGGCTGCCTGATACTCTCCTTTTAAAAAGCAGCTCTTAGCTTTTATTGGGTGTTTGTTGACATTGAATGCCTGTCTGTCCCATGGAAGCCTTGTGCCCCTCCAGCCTGATATTCCTGTTTTGTGGTGGGTCAATTTGGATCCAGTGACTAGCACGCTGGGAAGTAAGCCTTACTTACCAAATGAAAAGGATATATTTAAGAATTCAGCTGGCCTGGCTCCAGTGGTATCTTGACTTTCTATAAAAAAGTGGCAGCTTTTTTTTTTTTCCCAGTATCTTTATCTCCTATTATACCACCTGAAACAAAGCTGCTGCCCCAATGGGACACTGGGTACACAGAGTTTTCTTGAATGTCTAGGACTGGGTTCACTGTTGGTTTGGCTGAGATAAAACTTGATAGTACCCCTGGGCTGCTGTGTTTTCAATCTCAGCACAGCTAAGCAGTACCTACAGTGGACACAGCGAGTTTACTCAGTGAGCAGAATTCAAGGTCATTCTCCCAGCTCTGATCAACACTCCCCTTGATGAATTTGTATTTTCACTAACACTTGGGCTATTGCTAGTGGCCTATTTGGTTGGTTTGCCACTTGGAAAACTACAGGTTGGCTGATTAAATACCCCTTTTTGGGGTCCCAAAATGTGGAAACAAATCCTGATCACACTATTGGGTCACTGGTATAGATGGCTACAGTTAGAGACTGTTCTCTGATGATACTGACTGGATTCAAACTGATGATAGAGCCTCCACCACCCAGTTGACCGCCAGAGCTCACTGGACCCATCAACAACCCAGACATGGCAACACATCCACCACCAGAGACTGGGCACAAAGTAAAGGACGATGTTTCTGATGCAGAAGCTACCACTGTGTATTAGTCTGCTAAACTCACCATAACAAAGTATCACAGACCAGGTGGCTTAAATAATAGAAATTTATTTTCTTACAGTTCCAAAGGCTGGAGGTCTAAGATCAAGATGTTGGCAGGGTTGGCTCCTTTGATGCCTCTCACCTTGGCATGGTGATGGCTGTCTTCTCTCCATGTCTTCACATGGTGTTCCTCTGTGTTGTGTCTGAGTCAAAGTTTCCTCTTCCTATAAAGACACAGTCATATTGGGTTAAGGCTCAATAAAGCTATATATGTCTTGGTGATTGATAGTTTTGCTGATTAGAGATAGCCTCATCATGAGCCTAATGACCTCATTTTGACTTACTGCTCTCTTTAAAGATATCCTCTCCAAATATAGTCACATTCTGATGTACTGGCGGTTAAAACTTTCAACATAGGAATTTCGGGGGGCAGGGCACGATTTACCCCATAACACAGTTCACATAGATTTGTGACTCCTGACAAAAGGAACTTGTGTTGCACATTGGCTCGTGGAACCTACAGCCTGTTGAGTGGGGCTCTCAGGGTTGCCTCACTGCTGCTGACTCTTTCAGTTTACAGAGTTGCTTGCTGCTGCGGTCTGATCAGGCAACCCTGGGTGACATTAATGGGAGTCTTGAAACCAGTCTGTGCCAGGTTTTCAGTTTTCTAGACCACTTGCAATCTCACCATGATGAGCTTTTATTGCAGAGCCATGAGTAGTGCACTAATAGTCAAGGAGTCATAGAACCTCCTGAGCTTCAAAGGCATCTGATATTGTTGACTGTTAGAATAACATCTTACGAAATGGATGATAGTGTCCCTTGTGGGCTAAATTTGAAGACATAATGGGTCTCTGTTTTACAAAACTGTCTTTGTCTTTCTACCTACACTCTATGTTCTCTCTATATGTACTGTACTACATAGGTCTGGGTGTAAGTTGGAGATAATTGCAAAAAAGATGAAGTTACATCTGCTGAAATGAGACACACTGATTTTTATGACATTAGAGGAAGAGCAAGAGCCCTGGCTCTCAGGGAGGGAACATTCATGCCCCGCATCATATGAGGGAGAGAGAAACATTAGAAATCTTTACTTTCAGAATACTCCTGGCTTCTTTCTTAGAAATGAAAATGCCCTGGTACAGCTCTCCCAAAGAGCTTCAAGTTACTTAAATATAATGGATGGATCTACCATCCTCTCCCAGACCCCTCTGACTATGATTTTATCACCATTCCACTTTAACTTTACTGAGAAATCTATTGAAAACTGCAGAGAATGGCCTCAGCTTCCGGGCTTTCCATGCGAAACACCTGTTAACACCTCTAGATGGCTGCTTTTCCCATCCTCATTGTCAGGTGCCTTTGCTCAGTCAGTCAACTGGGTTGATGCCTTGGGTGAAGTGGAGAAGTCAACAAAGAGCCTTTAGGCATGTCAGCTTTCACCTGACTTTCTAGGGAAGGCCATGATGGTTTAGGGGCTTTGTTTATTTGGTTGAGTCCTGGACTCTGGGTAGCATGGTTGAGGTTAAGACCGCAGGTTGGCCTCATCCTGCTTCTTGGTGTTCTGTTGGTAGTAGCCTTATTAATGGCCGTATGAGACAAATTGAACAGATTTGGTCTTAGCCTGTGTCAGTACGATTCATCAGAGAGATGAATAGAGTGGCATTCTCATGAAGAAATTCAAGCTAAGCCTGACTCCATCCTTTTTTAAAAATTTAACTTTTATTTTATGTTCAGTGGCACATGTGCAGGTTTGTTATATAGCTAAACTTGTGTCATGGAGGTTTGTTATACAGATTATTTCATCACCCAGGTATTAAGCCTAGTACCGAATAGTTATTTTTCCTGACCTTTCCCTCCTCCCACCCTCCACTCTCCAAGAGGTCCCAGTGTATGTTATTCCCCTCTATGTGTCCAAGTGTTCTAATCATTTAGCTCCCACTTATAAGTGAGAACATGCAGTATTTGGTTTTCTGTTTCTGCATACATTTGCAAAGGATAATAGCCTCCAGCTCCATCTACCCTTCTGCAAAGGACGTGATCTCATTCTTTTTTTGTGGCTGCACGGTAATCCATAGTGTATATGTACCATATTTTCTTTATCCAGTTTACCATTGATGGGCATTTAGGTTGATTCCATGTCTTTGCTATTGTGAATAGTGCTGCAGTGAACATACATGTACATTTGTCTTTATGATAGAAAGATTTTTATCCCTTTGGGTATGTACCCAGTAATGGTATTGCTGGGTCGAATGGTATTTCTGTTCTTAGCTCTTTGAAGAATTGCCACACTGTTTTCCACAATGGGTGAACTAATTTACACTTCCATTAACAGTGTAGAAGTGTTCCTTTTCTCTGCAACCTCACCAGCATCTTTTTTTTTGACTTTTTAATAACAATGATTCTTTTTTAAAATTTACATTACCTTATTTAAAAAAATTAATACCTTTATATCAATAGGCTTTTTGGGGGAACAGGTGGTGTTTGATTATATGAATAAATTTTTTAGTGGTGATTTCTGAGATTTTGGTGCATGCATCAAAGCAGTGTACACTGTACCCAATGTGTAGTCTTTTATCCCTCACCAACCCCCACCTCTTCCCCTGAATTCCCAAAGTCCAATGTATTATTCTCATGCCTTTGCATCCTCATAGCTTAGCTCCCACATATGATTGAGAACATATGATGTTTGGTTTTCCATTCCTGAATTACTTCACTTAGAATAATAATCAGTCTCCAATTCCATCCAGGTTGCTGTGAATTCCATTATTTCATTCCTTTTTATGGCTGAGTAGCATTCCATGGTGTATACATATATATACCATGTACCATATACGCATTTTCTTTATCTACTCGTTGATTGGTGGGCATTTGAGCTGGTTCCATATTTTTGCAGTGGCAAATTGTGCTGCTATCAACACGAGTGTGCAAGTATCTTTTTTGTATAATGACTTCTTTTTCTCTGAATAAATACCTAGTAGTGGGGTTGCTGGATCAAACAGTAGATCTACTTTTAGTTCTTTAAGGAATCTCCACACTGTTTTCCATAGTGGTTGTACTGGTTTACATTCCTACCAACACTGACTTTTTAATAACAACCATTTTGTCTGTGAGATAGTATCTCATTATGGTTTTGATTTGCATTTCTCTAATAATCAGTGATGTTGAGCTTTTTTCACATTTTTGTTGGCCACATATATGTTTTCTTTTGAAAAGTGTCCAAGTCTTTTGCCCACTTTTAAATGGGTTTTTTTTTCTTGTAAAGTGTTTAAGTTCCTTATAGATTCTGAAGATTAGACCTTTGTCAGATGCATGGTTTGCAAAAATTTTCTCCCATTTTCTCCCATTGTAGGATGTCTCTTTCACTTTGTTGATAGTTCCTTTTGCTGTGCAGAAGGTCTTTGGTTCAAGTAGATCCCATTTGTCAATTTTTGCTTTTGTTGCAGTTGCTTTTATGTCTTCATCATTAAATCTTTGCCTGCTCCTATGTTCAGAATGGCATTGCCTCGGTTTTCTTCCAACGTTTTTATAGTTTTGGACCCCTCCTTTTAAAGAAGAAGTTGATATTATTGAGAAGCAATTCTCCATGTGTCTTTCATGTTTCTGCATATCATGTAAGCAAAACACTGAGCGCTTTTTATTCTGGATTATCCTTTTAATGATGTTGGTATCACTAACACCCTTGGAAGATAGAAATAGCATTGATCTGCAGAACAAAGAAAAGACATGATTGCTTTCAATATATAAATGATAATGGCTTCCTGTGGTGGAAAAGCCAGGCAGGCTGTCTATCAGAAAGTATTTGGGTTCCCTGGGCTCAGATCTTCTCTCCTATAATGCAGCTCACACCTGGCCATCTTCTCATCACCCTGTGGGAATTCGGCCTTGGAAAAATAGTACAATCTGATACTCTGGTTACTGCTTGCTGTGAGCAGTAAAGTCTTATGTCTTCTGCTGGCATCCATAAAACCATTTCAGGTTAATTTGTTAGCTTGCAATTAGGGTAAATTCTCAGACCCTCCACAGTTTTTGACATTACCTTCCCTCCCACCTGTTCACTCTTTTTTCTTAGCGTATATCATCATCTAATATATCATATGTTTGACTTATTTATTCTCTTTATTCTTTCTCTTCTCTGGAAGAGCGTTTCATCTCTTTTGTTCACTGCTGTAGCTCTACTGCCTAGAGCAAGGATGGGCCCATAATGGGCAGCTCATGCATATTTTTGAATAAATTAACTTGCTGTATTGCATCACTGATATCCATGCAGGTGGAAAGTAAGCAAATGGATTATGATCCAGCCTCCTGATAAATATTGTTGATAATATTCATGTGTGAACAGAGTGGAACATATACCTATAAACTGATATAGCTACAATTATGCACAGAAATGTCTATGATACAGGAGCCCCTTTGTATTCTCTTCTAAATAATCTGTCTCTATAGCACTTGTCGTCTCCTTTTTATTAGTGTTTTGGAAGAAAGAGTTTGCTGACTATTTGAAAAGGTTAAACTTACCTGTGTTCATGTTATCATCACTGCCTGCTTCATTTTTTTCCCCCAATATTACCTTACAACTCCTTTTTAGTATTTTTCCTGCATTCTACCAAATGGCCATTTGCCCCTTGTTTTAAAATCATCTACAATTTTATCATCCCTATTATTACCACAAACTTCTTTTTTACTGCTTGTGCTATTTGCCACTAAATTACTCAAAAGAGTGGTGTTTGCTAGATGCCATTCTCTCTCAATTTTCAATCTTTTGCTATCTGATTTCCTTGATCATTACCATAGAAATTTTTCTGGAATTGTCAATCATCATTGATTTGCTAAATCCAAAAGTTTCTTCTCTGATTCCTTCTTCCTAAAATTGTTCATAGCTATCTCAATTACTATCTACCCCTTACTTATTAAAATTCATATCTCCCTTTCTATTATACAGGGTGATCTTGTGTTTATCTTCCTAAATTATGACTACCCTTTTTGCTCTTTCTCTTCTTATTTAGTACTCTAAATATAGGCAGCTATTCATTAACTCAACAAATATTTATTGAGTGCTTATAATATTCTAGGTGCTTGGACTACATTTCATGGACAGAATATTCTAAGATCCCAACCCTCATGAACTTATATGTTAGCAACAAGAGTTAGAAAATAGTAAATAAAATAAATAAGTTAAAATTACATGGTATATTAAAATTCAGTTGAAAAAAGGAAAATGCAAGCAGGATAAGGGGCATTCTGAGTGAGGGTGAAATGTGGGTGATTGGAAGCAGGCAGCAGGAAGCATGAATAAGAGTAGATCTCATTGAGAAGATAGTTCACCAAGGGCTTATCTTTTTTTCCTGTGTACCATGTTCCTTGGGGGAACTCATCAACTTTAAATTCTGCAACCAGTGCTTCTATGCTGGTGATTTTCAAATCTGTACCTCTAATACTATCTGTCCTCTGAGGTATAGTCTTATGTAAATTTTAACATTGTTCATTGATTTAACAAAATTTTGAGCACCTATTCTGTGCTAGGACTGCAAAGGTGATACAAAGATAAATAAATCAAAGCCCTCAAATTCAACCAACACATGTTGTAGCAGCATTATTTTAGCAGCGTCATTTTAGGACCTCCAGGAAGGGCATTGACAGACATATGGGAATACTACAAATGGTCACATAATGCAGGCTTAGAGAGGAGTTGTGGAAATACTCCTGGAGAGGTGACACGAGTAAAGAAGGCTAAGAAGAGGTGTCCTAAAAGCGTATCCAAAATGCCACAATTTTAAAATTCCATCTCATTTGGATCATGTCAATCCTTCCTTTGACCCTCATCTCCAACCCAATAGCACTTCATTCATATTTTCTTCTCATGAGACATCTTATACTGCAATGTATTATAGTTATCAGTGTACTTACTTCTCCCAATTGTGAGGGCAAACCTGTGACTTACCTGTATTTGTGTCCACAGTGCTTGTACATAGTCACAGAGTTGAATATTATAAAGGAAAAGGCCAACGAACCAAATGGCAAATGAAAAATTACTGAGTATGTTTTATTTGTTTTTATAAAGATAAGATGTGCTAGAAGGGAATGAATCTTATTTAAATATAGACAAGTATGTAAGTTCAATGTTAGGAATGCCAAGAAAATATTTTGCAGTTTTCCCTTCTATCAGTTCAGCCTCCTCAGACATTCAATCATCATATACCCAAGGAAATCACTCTTTTTGATGGACCCTTGACTATTCCAAGGGCCCGCCTCTATGACAACTACTTCTATGTGACCTGACAATAGTAAATTGCAGGTTAGGTTTCTCTAGGCCAGAATGATGTCTAGGGTAATTCGCATGGAAATGGCTGTGATTACATAGCACTGCTTCAACTAGAAATTTTGTTATGTAATAGTTTGTCATTATTCATACTTGCAGAACATGGAAGTAATTCCATGCTGACTTTACAACAATTACAGTGACACATGTGACTCAGAGAAAAATCCTTATGCATGAAAAAATTACTTTAGAATGTATATTTTATTTGTCTAAGGATCTGTGTAGAATGGCAACATTAAAAACAAACAACTAAAACTGTCACCAGCCAGCAGCACTTATGTATTGCCTCCACATAACTAGGGCATGTAACAGTGTTGTGGAGAAGTCATAAGTTGTAAAGAATTCACTCCTGAGACTTACCCATATCTTGGGCTGCAGGGTTATGGCTTAGGGCTGGCTGTGGCTTCAGAGTAGCAAAGAGCAGGGGTTTTTCTTACTTTAGAGCTGGAAACTCAGGACTCTGTATGTTTAAGTTGTAAGTTTTGATGAACTTAAGAGAGCAGGGAAAGAAGCATATAATGATTTCTGTGATCACCTTAGTTTTTAGAAATTCATGTCATCTAGCACCTTCAGTAATTTTTTTTTATCTTGAAGCGATTAGGACTATTTTTACTTCCCTGGTGTTTGCTAACATGAAGTACCAATCATTATTGAGGTGTTCAAAAATCAGAAACATTTCTAGCAAGTGAAGTTATCATGTACTAATGAGTCAATGTAATGTTCAGGAGCTTTGTCTTTGAATTTAGATAGAGCTGCATTTGAATCCCTGGTATAATAGATTACATGCTAGCTAGGTACGTTGGACAAGATGCTTTACTTCTAAGCTTTAGTTTTCTCACCTGGGAAATGGGAGTATTAATACTACCAACTCCATGAGGTTGCTTTGAGTATTACATAAGATAATATTGTTTTCTTAAAAAGAATCCTTATCTTCTAGACATTATACAGTGAAACGTTTATGGATGAAATATATGAAGGTGAAGATATACTTCAAAATAGTGCAGATAAGAGGAAATGGGTGAGGGTATAGAAATAACTAGATTGGCTATGAGCTTGTAATTGTAGAGGATGAATGATGAGAATGAGTTATACTTTTCAACTTTTGTGTGTTTTTGAATATTTTGATAATTAAAAGTTAAAACATATAAAAGATAAAAGAAGGAAAGCTCTTAGCACTGTGTTTGCCACACAGTTTGAATTCAACAGATTCGTTATTGTAATGGTAACCTTTACAAAGTAATGGTTACCTACATGGGAGTGGTGAGATATATATTGATGTACATATGTCATTTTTAAAATCCACGGTTCTAACTTTTATGGTTTTATCAGGATAATAACCAAGTATATCCCTGCTATTTATCAATTGTTTTTCTGTTTTAGCTGACAGGATATAAAATTCTTTAATTTTACCAACAGATAAAGAACCTAATCATAATTAATTTTTTCATCTCATCATAACCAAATCACGTAGAATGGAGGAAAAGAAAAAAATTAGGCTATTTCTGAACATTGTGACTTAATAGTAACAAAATCAAAAGCACCTGCAAAATTTTAAGCCAATAGGAACTGTTTTAATTTGTTTCATTAATAAAAGGAAACTTAATAGTCACATAATATGTTTTAGCACAATGATAGTGAAATCTGAGCTGTGTTGGCAGAAATATTTGAATTAATGTTTATTTGTTATAACCCATCTTTTCTTATTCAGATGGGGCTTGTGTGCAACTCCATGCCAAAGCTAGAAACCAGTTACCACTAGGGGCTTTTGAGTATTTCAGGATAGGTTTTGATCTTCCCTTTTTATATATTCATGGAGCTCTCCAAATCATTGGAATGACTACTGAACAACATACTTCCCCACATCCCTGTGAGATTTTCTGATGTATAGTAGATTTCTCATCCTCTAAGATGGAAATTTAACTGTAAAACAGGTATTCCCTATAGGACCTCACAAATCCTTCTTGAAGATTTTCACTTTTTCTTACTGTCTGAAAGACAAGCAAATCTCTAACACCCCATGTCCTCCAATGGTCAAGCTTCCTTCAGAGACTTCTGGAAATAATTATCTTTGTACTTCAGAGATGAAAGCTGAGTTAAATATGTGAAAGACCAAGCAGATGTGGCAGAACATTTTACGCTGCACATCGTCTTGTGTCACAGCTGTGTAGCTGATGAAGAACTTGCCTAGGATGGTGTCATTTAGAGATGTTAGGAATGATGGCTGTTTAGCGAAGAAAATTAGCATCACTGTTATTACATGATCTAGCCATAAAATCTAGGATACTGCGTCCAAAGCATATGGATTCATTTTTAAAATAAAGAGTAGTATGTATCAACACTGTCCACAACTACATCTCATCTTATTTTTATTATTGGGCCTATTGTATAACTTTTTTTTTTTTTTGAGTCAGTTTCACTCTTGTGGCCCAGGCTGGAGTGTAATGGCGCAGGCCTGGCTCACTGCAACCTCAGCCTCCCGGGTTCAAGCAATTCTTCTTACTCAGCCTCCCGAGTAGCTGGGATTACAGGTGCCCGCCACCACGCCCAGCTAATTTTTGTATTTTTAGTAGAGATGAGGTTTTGCCATGTTGGCCAGGCTGGTCTTGAACTCCTGACCTCTTCTGACCTCAGGTGATCTGCCCACCTCGGCCTCCCAAAGTGCTGGGATTACAGGCGTGAGCCACTGCGCCTGGTCTTTTTAAAAAATTAATTGATTAGTTTATTTTTTGAGACAGAGTCTTGCTCTGTTGCCAGGCTGGAGTGCGGTGGCGCGATCTCGGCTCACTGCAACCTCCGCCTCCTGGGTTCAAGCGATTCTCCTGCCTCAGCCTCCCAAGTAGCTGGGACTACAGGCGTGTGCCACTACGCCCAGCTAATTTTTGTATTTTTAGTGGCGACGGAGTTTCACCATGTTGGCCAGGATGGTCTCGATCTCTTGACCTCGTGATCCGCCTGTCTCGGCCTCCCAAAGTGCTGGGATTACAGGCATGAGCCACTGCACCCAGCCTATATAACATTTTTATACATGATTTGAGAAATTTTTTGAGGAGAACTTTTTATTCTTTAAATAATTCTACAAGTTAGAGTAGTAATGATGTACACTTAGATAGTACTTTACATTATTAAAATAATATCACGCCTACAGGATTACAAAATGCTTTAAAAAATATTTTTTAACATGTGACACACAGTAAGGAAGAGTTCCATATGCACCTCTCATGTCCCGTAGCACACATTAATCCTGCACTCTCATTCATAATTCACTGATGACTGAGGCGAAATCTTTTACTTTTTCAAGGCTAAAAAGAAGAAGTAGGAAACACAAATCTTTTGATATCTAGATGAGAAGTCTCACTGAGTGGCTTGGGAACCTGGTGGCATCTGTTTTAGAGGACATCAAAACTTTGATTAAAATGGGCCTTCAGATGTTTGATAGAAGGCAGCCAAAGCTCCATTTTGATGGAAGATCAAGTTGTGGGAGACTTCTTGTAGTCATGGGAAAAACTGTTCCTAAAAAATAAGAAAGAAAGAGGAGAGAAAGAAAAAGATAGAACACCTGCATGTTTGTGCGTTTGCGTGTCTGTGTGTATGAAAAATGAGGAATGCAGACATTACTATATTAATCTATTCTCACATTGCTATAAAGAAAGGCTGGATTTTATAAACTTTTATTTTAAAATGACTAATGTCAGGTGCTCACATATTTAATTTGCATTTTGGACAGGACCTCTTTTGCCTCAATATTTGCAGGATTTGTCAGTATTTGAGGATTTTAAGATTCAGGGTATTTTGCATTTTCTAGCTGAATACTTTCTCATTCATTCTGTCTCCTTTTCAGTTCTCTTTGCTGGAAGGTGTCCCACTTTGCTTCACGGGATCACACATCCTGACCATCCTTGGAGGCCCGGCTGAATGGGCACCTGCATTATAAAATCATCCGTTTACCCTTTAGGCAAAAACCACGTTATTTTTTTTTGAGCTCACGTGATACTTTGTCATTACTATCCTTTGTCTTTACTATCCTTTATCCAATCTATCTCTTAAAATGTTCCTTCATATTTTATTTTCTTTACATATTTTATTTTCTTTACATATTTTAAATTACTGTATGTTTTTATATCCTCCTACAGAGTTTATTGCGACTTTAGTAAGTGATTAACACATATTTGTTGCCTAGATATAGGAGAGAGATTATTGCTAATGTCCTTTAAAGAATTAGCCTTCTCTTTGCTATTACTGTAAAAAATTATAAGGGGATTAATAATCCATAACAATAATAGCTAAATTGTTTTGGGAATTTAAAAACATTTTTGGAAGTGTTTAAATATAGGATCAATAGTTACCTACTTTTTAAAAGTATAAATGAGAATTAAGGCAGATTTTCCATGAAAGTTTCCTGATTGGCATAGAAAGTTGTATATTCTTTGAAAGATTTTTTAGCACTGAGACATTTAACGTATGCTGCCAGTAAACAATTCCATTTGGGCTAAATCTTTCTATGTTTTACTATGAAGGGTAGTAATGTCAGCTGTTTCTTTGGCTTGTGAGTTATCAGCAGTTTGGAATATACCTTTCTGGAATCCTAGACCCTCTCTGTCACCCTCTTTCAAAGAAGAGGAAGAATATTTATAGGCATATCTATCGACCAAAATAAACTTTCCTTGACATAATTTACTTTAGCTTGAGGCACAAAGCCAGTTTAAATTGTTGGACTGAAAATACTTTTCCTTCTTTCAACTTATTTTTATGATCAATTTGGAAATTCCTCCAAACATTGGAAAGTTTTATAAAGAATAAGGAAAAGATGATGCTTTGTTTTCAATAGAGATGTACTAAAATGATGGTATGCAAAATGTTTTTATTTTTTTTTGAGACGGAATTTCAGTCTTGTCGCCCAAGCTGGAGTGCAGTGGCTCAGTCCCGGCTCACGGCAACCTCCCCCTCCCAGGTTCCAGCGATTCTCTTGCCTCAGCCTCCTGAGTAGCTGGGATTACAGGTGCGCATCACCACGCCTGGCTAATTTTTGTATTTTTAGTGGAGATGGGGTTTTATCATGTTGGCCAGGCTGGTCTGCAGAATGTTTCAAATGGGTAATATTAGGACCAGAAAGTTGAGATAAAATTAGTTGGCCTTACTTTTCTACATAAAGATGCATTTCTAATTACTATGATTAATCTATAAATTGCTGTAGTTAACCTGATTAATGGCTGGACATGAGAGCATCAAGGCATAAAATCCATTTGGGGTTTGAAGTCTGTTTTGAAACCTTTGACTAAGAATAACAAAAACAGAAATAAGTTATTCAAGAGCTAAAGGAGTCATATTATATTGATAATTGTCATGGAAGTAATTTAGTATGTGGGAGATAGATTTTCAATAATGTTAAAACTGGATGTTAAGGTTATGAGATTCATTCACAACTCTAATCAGTACAACAAATACAAATTTCTTTATGGCATCAAATTTCAATCATCAGAGTAGAAAAATATAATTTCAGCAACACTTTGCAGATAATAGTATACTAAAAACCTTACTGATAAGTGTTCAAAAATATTCTTTAAAAAATTAAAACAAGCAATAGAGTGATTAAAATTCACTTATGTGACATCTCACCAATGTACATAAAGATCAACAGATTTAGAAAGTGATGAAAAATAACACTCTTACCTTAATGCTAAAATGTGCAAAAAACTTATAATGAAGCTACTTTGTCCTTGATTGTTTAATATAAGACCATAACAGCTTCAAATTATATTAAGCAAGAGAGGAATTAGAATGAGAGAGGCTGAAATTCAAGTTTTTTAAACATATTTCAGACTCATGTGCACAAGAGTTTTAGTGATGCCACTTAAAATCTGGTTGTGAGTATCTTATAATCCCTTCCTCGTTTTTGCTGTTATGCCAACTGAAAACATTTCTAGCTGTGTCTGGAAGATGTAGGAAAGGTTTAGCCATTTGATTTATGAACTCTACAAGTGGAGTGTCTAGGGCAGGGGCTTTTAGTCCCCAGTAAAGTCTCTGAATTCATAAACATCTTGCAAAATCCTATTCACATACACAGAAAATGTATTTCATCAACATTGTGCAGGAACCAGAGCACAGCAAAAGCAGCTACTGAATAGTTAGGGCTCAAATACTCAGGACTGGGGAATGTTGTGAGCTTGTGGTCTATTTCCAGTATTTTCCTATCTGAACTTTCTTTTGATTGAATTTCCCTATTTTAGCTACAAAGGCAAAAGTTTAAGTTTGCCAAAGAGTTTCTTGGGAAATGAAATCCTATGGTCCTAATGACTGTCCAGCAAATTCTGAAGCTTAACTCACCATGATTTTTGTGTTTTTTGAAGGTGTGTTTTGCTTGGTGAAAAGTGCTTTTGCCATCAGGTGCCCCAGATGTGTCTAAGTGTTGGCAGGTGTCTGAGTCAGCAGGTGAACAAACACATTTATGCCAGTTGGAAGTTATTCTGTGGATGAGGTCAGCTGGTGGCTGCTTAGTTAGAATACTCCTAGGACCTTTTAAATACAGTTGGATGGGGATGGGGAAGCTAGGATGGCAAGAAAGGGAATCATTTAGTGGCTGGGAATCAAGTAAGAATGTTCATACATGTGTGGAATCTGACCTAAGTCCTATATTAGGATGGAGAATAGGAGATAGAGTGGTTTGATGGGAGTTAACTCTACCAATTTCCAGATGGTTAGTTTGGTCTTTGGGGTCATTTCCTATGCCTCTTTCTCCCTTTGCATCTTGTTGCTTTGTTCTCTATCTTGTTTGAGTAGCCACACTAGCATAGAGCCTTGTTTACTCAACTTTATTAATTAGAAATTTCACTTCCTTGATTTATCTATCTGGGGGTAGAGTGTAATGATAATGGACCCATAATCTAGAAGAAGGTGGATCAGAATAGATGTATGGTTTAATTACTCCTTTTCTGTGAGAACTTGGCCAAGTTATCTAACCTCTCTGAACCTCAATTCCTCAACAGTAAGTTGGGGATAATACTAATACCTATCCCCTATGCCACTAAAGAGGTTAAATATCATAAAACATGTGGAACATTTAATTCTGTAGGGTGTCTGGCACAAGAAGATTGGTCAATTAATGATACTGCTTCCTTCTTCTTTTTCATCCCCAAGGTGAACTATGTTCTTCCATCTCTCAAGCACCTTTTATTCTGTCTTCCTTCTCTGGTCCAGGGGTGATTTTCCTGAATGATTTTTCTTCCCAGCACTTCCCTCCTGTCCTTTTCACAGTCCACCCCTTGCCTGATAACTTCACAGTCCTAGATTACTTTGTACCTTATTTAGGTAACCGACCCTGATTTGAATTTAGATAACTGGGTAGTCTGCAAGGAACTATGGTAAGAAGCATTGGTATAGAGAACCTTGGCTATTTTGGGAAGTTGAGGAGAGAAAGAGAGAGTGGAACTGAAAAGACAGGAGCAAAGAAAAGTAGATTTTAAGGGGTGATGGATTAATCTGCTAGGGCTGCTATAACAGATACTACAGGCTGGGCAGCTTCAACAGCAGAAATTAATTTCTCACAGTTCTGGAAGCTAGCAGTCCAAGGTCAAGGTGTTGTCAGAGACATTTGAACCACAGCAACTCCATCTTGAATAGGGGTAGGGTAAAATAAGGCTGAGACCTACTGGGCTGCATTCCCAGGAGGCTAGGTGTTCTTAGTCACAGAATGAGATAGGAGGTTGGCACAAGATAAAGGTCACAAAGACCCTGCTGATAGAACAGGATGTGGTATGTTCTCACTCCTAAGTGGGAGTTGAACAATGAGAACACATGGACTCAGGGAGGGGAACATCACACACCGGGCCCTGCATGGGGTTGAGGGCTTGGGGAGGGATAACATTAGGAGAAATACCTAATGTAAGTGACGGGTTGATTGGTGCAGCAAACCACCATGGCCCATGTATACCTATGTAACAAAACTGCACGTTCCGCACATGTAACCCAGAACTTTAAGTATTAAAAAAAAAAAAAAAAAAAAGGACAGGATGTGGTAAAGAAGCCAGCCAAACCCAAGATGCTGATGAAAGTGACCTCTGGTCATCCTCCCTGCTCATTATATGCTAATTATAATGATTAGCATGCTAAAAGACACTCCCACTCACACCATGACAGTTTACAAATGCCATGGCAATATCTGAAAGTTACCCTATATGGTCTAAAAAGGGGAGGAACCCTCAGTCCCTGGAATTGCCCACCTCTTTCACAGAAAATTCATGAATAATCCACCCCTTGTTTTGCATATAATTAAGAAGTAACTATAAGTATGCTCAGTTGAGCAGCCCATGCCACTGCTCTGTCTATGGAGTAACCATTTTTTATTCCTTGACTTTCTTTTTTTCCCCCTGGCTTTTGTTGCCCAGGCTGGAGTGCAATGGTGTGACGTCAGCTCACTGCAACTTCCACCTCCCAGGTTCAAGTGAGTCTCCTGTTTCAGCCTCCCAAGTAGCTGGAATTACAGGCGCCTGCCACCATGCCCTGCTAATTTTTTGTATTTTTAGTAGAGATGGGGTTTCACCTGTTGGCCAGGCTGGTCTCGAACTTCTGATCTCAGATGATCCACCTGCCTCGGCCTCCCAGGAGAGAGCCACTGGGCCCGGCCCCTTAACTTTTTTAATAAACTTACTTTCACTTTATTTACTCCATGGATTCACCCTGAATTCTTTCTTGAGTGAGGTCCTAGAACCCTCTCTCGGGGTCTGGATGGGGACCGCTTTCTGGTAACAGTGTCCACTGGTTGTTTTCTTCTGAGAGCCTCTGTGACTTGTAAATGGCCGTCTTCTGGGATCTTCACAGGGTCTTCCCTCTGGGTGTGTCTGTGTCTAATCTCTTCTTAAAAGGATACCAGTCATACTGGGTTAGGGCCCACTTCATCTAAACTTAACTCTTTAACGATTCTATCTCTACAGTGACATTCTGAGGTACTAGGTTTTAGGACTCCAACATATGAATTTTGGAGGGACAGAATTCAGCTCATCACTCTGGACAAAACATAGAGGAAAGGAGAGGACTGAGTGTCACTTTAGAAAAGGTAAAAGCCTCAAGTGAAAGGCTGGTCAAACAAACTTAACCTGAAGATAGAAGGCAATCTCTGCAGATTATCCCAGCGAGGGAAATCACAGTTCAGCAGGCAAAATAAGTGAAAAGTTAAAGCCTTCAAGAAATTGCCAAAGTGAGTTACATGTATAAAAGGTAATTTTTTTTTTTTTTTTGAGACAGAGTCTCACTCTGTCACCCAGGCTGGAGGGCAATGGCGCAGTCTTGGCTCACTGCAAACTCTGCCTCCCAATTCAAGCTATTCTCCTGCCTCAGCCTCCCTAGTAGTTGGGATTTCAGGTGCCCACCACCATGCCTGGCTAATTTTTGTATTTTTAGTAGAGACGGGGTTTCGCCATCTTGGTCAGGCTGGTCTCAAACTCCTGACCTCAGGTGATCCACCCCCCTTAGCCTCCTAAAGTGCTGGGATTACAGGCATGAGCCACCGCGCCCGGCATGAAAGATATTTTAAACTCTCCTTTTCCACCTCCCAATCTTCCTCCTGCAAGGTAGTTTCCTTCCATATTCTCTCCTCTTCCACTCCAAATTCCCTCAAACTCTACCTTAATATGACCAACACTATTACTATATAATATCACTAATACTATATATTAGTGAATATATAGATTTCTCTCTACCTTAATAGATGTTAGTATCCTTGAGTTTGATAATAGGATGGGTATATTTTTAATGGACAAATTGAATTACAACTATAAAGTGTCCATTGGATGCTAATTTCTTAACATAGTAGTAACTGAAAATGTAGGGATAAGGCAGCATGTCAGGTTTTGATAATGTGCTGAATATTGTAATATACTGAATATCATAACTCTAGATTTTTAATAAAATGTAAATATTATATATTAGTGATATTATAATACCATAGCATGTAATATTATTATAATATAATAGTATATATACTAATACCAGTCTCAGGTCTGTTTCTTTTTCCTCAGGTCTCTCACTGAGGCTGTTGGCCTATTTTCTTCCTGTAGTAACTCTTGGCCATTTTCAATGTAATCAATGTGCTCTCTAAACCTTCTCCGGTTGTCTCTTGATCAGCATAATAAATAAGCTCAAGAACCAAATATGCTAAGTATGTAGGGAGAGAAATGAGACTTAAGACTTCTGCCCTCCCTCCCCCCAACATAAGAGACTGAGCAAATGTTATTTGATATAATTGATAAACAACTGTTTCAACAACTGTTTGTGAATATTTGTGGTTGATGCTGACTTGGTTGATAAATCTTCCCCTGGGAGAGTCTGTCTCTGGATATAATCAAACTTATAACTACTGTAAAAGCCATTCCCATGTTCAAAGAAAAAACAGCTGTACTTGCTCCTCATTTGACTTCTTAGAAGAGGAAAATCTTAACATTTAAGTGAAAATTTAAGGAGGAAAATGATGCTTTCAGTTCAAACTATTGTTTTCTTTTAAAATTTTTATTAATGTACAAATTGTTTTACCACTAAATATAAATTGGGGACTTTGAACATTACTTTCATCACCCCACTCTGGCTTTCTTTCAAACAGACATAAAAGACACACAAATTATAGGTTTTCATCAGTATTTAGAGATTTCTATTGGGTTCTTTTGACTGAATTACTAAGTGACTATCTAATTTTTATGTTGCCCCATCCCGTGTTCACTGAGAATATTTTTGCTAAATCTTGTGTACTTTATTTAACGCTCATTTTACTATCTAGTAGAGTCTTGGTCAAAAAACTGAACAGAATTAAAAAAATAAAAACCATTGTTGGGTAGTCAATGGGTAATTAACTTATTATTCTTATTTTGATACTAAAAACATGCTATTATATCGATGTGACTAATACAAAGTTCAGGGCTTCTAAAATGTTATATATAAACTGTGTTTGAAAGCAAACACAATTTTTTGGTTGCTCGTGATTAAAGAAAATATTTATTAAAAGGTATGTAAACATTTTACTGGAGCTGGCATTATTTTATACACAACCAGAAAACACAACTAGCAGCATTTTATAAGATGTCTTTTTTCCTTAAGAGATGTCAGTATCCTTTAGTTTGATAACATATGGGTATATTTTAAATGGACAAATTTATTTACAACTATAAAATGTCCGTTGGATGCTAATTTCTTATTAACATAGTAGTTACTGAAAATGTAGTGATAAAGCAGCAAGTCAGGTTTTGATAACGTACCAAATACCGTAATTCTAGAATTTTAATAATGTTGACACTGATTATTTTGTTTATATGAGCAATATCTATGACTTATCTTCTTGACAAAATGATGCATGAGACTGTCAGCATTAATTTGCTCTTAAAGTTTTTATATGTAATTAAATTCACATACTTGAGTGGTTGGCATAGTATTGTGATTTCTCATATATGCTGTTTTTCTCAAAGCTCAACTTATTTTATATAGATTTTTATTTCTTTATCAATGAACTTATAAGGATGATAAAGAGTAAGTATATTTTTAGGAAATGAATCAAAATATTTGGGTAAAAAATACATAGTGACTCAAAAAAATGGTAAGCATAATCTTTTTGGCATATATCTTATTGTGCTCAGGATGTAGAGAAGATAGTACACATGATTTGATAATATTTATTGCTTTGTCTGGCCATTAATCACTCTTTGATTCTTTATACATGGTTTGGTTTGCTGAATTTTCATTCACATAAATGCTGGATATCCATTAGATATAGCAACTTGATCACATTTGTTCATCTTTATAGAAAGAAACCCTTGAAATTATGTTTTTCACATATATATAGAAGGAAGAATTTTCTTTTTTTAATTAGAACTTTTATTCCACTAATGTACAATCTTATAAAGTGTAAGGCAGTAAATGCTCTTTGACATGCAAATTGCTTAAATTACCTTAAGTCTTTAAGATAATTTTAAATCTTAGTATTCAATGAAGAAACTTCAATTTTTTTCATTAGATACCTTTAGAACTACAGTATATGCCTTTCTGTTTTGGGGTGATTGTTCCCAAACTCTTTTCATCCTGTACTCTTGAAGGGATGGAAGGAACAAGAGAAAAGAAACTAAAGTATCTACTGAGGGATGATCCATCTGTGTGTGCCGTGCTGCAAATGCGTTAAACTCCAGGAGACACTGCATGTGAGGTGCACTAAATTATAACTGTGGGTCCATGTGATGCCTTTAGCTTTTGTTCTCCTCAGCTTAACTCTCCATAATTTATTCATTTCTGCTTGTTTGGTGTCTCATGGGCCTGAAATGTAAGTGGGATCTCACTTTCCCCACCTTGCCCCAGTCCATTTGCCAAGCTTACTCCAATACTTTCTCCCATTTCTCAACTACTTATTCACAAATCATAATTCTGTGTCTGTTGCTCTTCAAGACTCAGGTCTTTAGGACAAATGTTAGTTTTCTTTTATTCATATTTGAACTGAAGTTAAGGAGTAAAGAGAATGTTAGCTGATTCTGTAAATTCTCTTGAGCTTCTGTCTTTTCATTTTATCCCCTTGTTTAAGCCTAAAAGTAAAAAGATCCAAGGCACACATGTATTGTTTGGTCAAAGAATTACGGCAAGTGAAACTTTACTCTCTGCATATGCCAATGAATTGTCCTGACATTTGTGGTCCTTATCAGATGCTGGGATTCCTAGTTTTGCCACTGGATGTGGAACACACAACAGTAAAAGTTATTGAAGATGATGAGATACAAATCTGCAGCTGAAATACAAATCTAGATCAATTAGATGAAAGTAATTCACTGAAAGTCTTTTAATGGACAGCAACAGTCATGCAGTTTCTACTTGTGTAGCTTAGGAAAACACAATAAAGAAATTTTAAAACAGAAAGGTATAAAATGATAAATAGAGATAGAGGTGTACATCTGGGAGTGTGTGTGTGTGTGTGTGTGTGTGTTGCCCAAACTCGTCTGGTTCAAACGCAATATTTGTCCTAGGTGTATGCCTTATTTTAAGACCTTGGAAGCATCAGCTCGTTTCCCAGGGTGAAATCCCTCTCCCTGTGTGGCAGTTTCAGACAGATCCAGAGAAATTGTAGAGCCAGACTGCAGTTTGACTGGTTGATTTTTAAAGAGGATCAAAAATCCTGTCTTATAAAAAGACAAAAAGTACCTCCACATTGTAGTGGCCCTTTTAAGGACCTCCCACTTGGCTGCTCCAACTGACAGGTCTGACATCCTCAATATTACCATAGTATTCCAGCTAATTACATAGAAACCTACCCACTCAAGGCCAACCAATAAATAGGAATGTATGTGAAGAGAGATCTCATCCTGGGATTCTTAAGGAGACAAGATAGACATGGAAAAAAAAGAGGCAAAAATAGTAATTAATGTTTTTTCTTCCAACTATCTTCCTTCTTCCTTCCATGCTCCTCTGTGTTGATCTTCAGTGTTTCACAACAAATGGACACTCTGTGAAAGAACATTATTGCATACTCCCTGTATAGGCGTTTGATTGCTTTCCTCTTTTTTTTTTTTTTGAGACAGAGTTCCACTCTTGTTGCCTAGGCTGGAGTGCAGTGGCGCGATGCCTAGGCTGGAGTGCGATGGTGTGAATTCGGCTCACTGCAACCTCCATCACCTTGGTTCAAGTGATTCTCCTGTCTCAGCCTCCTGAGTAGCTGGGATTACAGGCATGCGCCACCACGCCTGGCTACTTTTTTGTCTTTTTAGTAGAGACAGGGTTTCACCATGTTGGTCAGGCTGGTCTTGAACTCCTGACCTCAGATGATCTGCCCGCCTTGGCCTCTCAAAGTGCTGGGATTACAGGTGTGAGCCACTGCGCTCGTCCAGGTATTTGGCTTTATTAAATGAAAAACTTTATCAGAAACTAAAACACTGTAATTTTAGTAGGCATTATCTTGGAATGATATGTATACTATTGGAATGACTTTGGAAAAATTAAAAATCTTGATTGTAGGCAGTTGGTTAGGAAAATACGTTATGAAGTCTGTGGATTTCAAGGCTTTTTAACATGAAAGTTTAAACAAATCAATCTTTCTCTTTTTTGTGCCTTAAGAAATTATCTCCTGTCTAGATGTGTCATAAATCTTATAATATCTTCTAGAATTTTGAGCTTTAATTTTTTATATTTATATAGTCAAAATCTAGAATTTATTTTTGTGTATGGAGTGAGATAGTGTTATTTTTATTTTTTCAATAAAGTAATGTATATTTTTACTATCAAAAATGATGTAATCTGCATCTTTGCTTTAATGATTTGTTATGCCAAAGCCACATGTCGTAAGCAATGCCTCCATGGATATGTGGTTCTATTTCTGAGCTATTATGTATCTAGTTATAAACCTGCAGTCAGGCAACCAGGATTCACATTTTGCCACTGCCACTCACTAGTGGTGTAATCTGCTGGATTGTTAGATTGTGGCAATTTTCAGTGTCCTATAGTAGAGAGGATCACAAGTAGATTCTTCTGTATTGCGTTTACAGGCTGAGTGAGGCTGGTGAAACTGACTGGGGTCTGATTTGATGCCTTCTGTCCTCTCAAGAACAGGTGCACCCTGGCCGGGGCACAGTAGCTCACACCTGTAATCCCAGCCCTTTGGGACGCTGAGGCAGGTGGGTCACTTGAGGTCAGGAGTTCGAGACCAGCCTGGCCAACGTGGCAAAACCCCGTCTCTACTAAAAATACAAAAATCAGCTGAGTGTGATGGTGCACACTTGCAGTCCCAGCTACTGGGGAGGCTGAGGCAGGAGAATCACTTGAACCTGGGAGGCAGAGGTTGCAGTGAGCCAAGATTGCACCACTGCACTCCAGCCTGGGCAACAGTGTTAGGCTCCATCAGAAAAAAAAAAAGAGAGAGAGAGCAGGCGCGCCCTTTGAGTATCAGTGAGTATCAGTTGGGACCCTTGCTGATGTTAACCCACAGAGACCTCGTGAGGGACTTCAGCTCTGGAAGGACTATCTCCCAGGCTGCTGAGATCTAGTCTCTACTACTTCAATTACAAAGATACTGCATATTCCTGGCATCTTCTTCCCCAAATTTATGTTTAAATTTCCCCATCCCCCCCCAAAATATTTTGTATAGTTGTTTTTATTTTTATATTTTAATTATACATTGTATGTCTCTGTCTTTTAAAATATAGAACAGTCTCCCATGATTTTGGAGGTCAAAATGAATTTGCTCTATTCTTACCTGTCAGAGTTCACATTTAAGACAACATCTCTCATTTCAAGGTTGCCATCTCTAAATTGAACCGTGTTTGTATTTACACCGGTGAAAATGAGTATACTGTCATTAAAATAGAACTCTGTATCCTACCAACAAGCCAAAACCGAAAAACAAACAGAATACCCCCAAAAAAGACACAAGTGAGATTGATTTCTACCATTACAAAAATTCTTCAGACAGATAAGTATTCTAATATTTGTGGTCATTTTGCTTATTCAAATTTTATTAATTTTATATTTGCGTACTTCTATCAAAGTGTGCAAATCCTGGATGATTTTAAAGATTGTACAATAATAACTTTTTTTTTTGTTCTGCAGTTGGAAGGGGCTGAGTGGCCCACTGTTGATGACATTTGTCAGTTTCCACATATATGCCATAGCATATGGAAAAACATC
This sequence comes from Homo sapiens, assembly GCF_000001405.40. NCBI lineage: Eukaryota > Metazoa > Chordata > Mammalia > Primates > Hominidae > Homo > Homo sapiens. The sequence continues at coordinate 174,168,157 of NC_000004.12, read as the reverse complement.
AGAAAATAGTAAATATAGTCATTCTCCTTCACAACTTTTGCTAGCTTTGGTCTATTTGCTCACCTGTTTAAGAGCTTGAGGTCATTACATATCTTGTATTGTTTTGGGGATAGTTACTTATCTTCTCTGGGTATTAGTTTCTCTGTCTCTAAAATAGTGACAATAATGACTTTGCAGGGTTCCAATAGATCCAATGTTTTACTATATAAAGAGTTAACAGTACCAGAATTGCCAATTCTGCCAACTGGCTAAAAATTGAAAGTATTATTAGTATTATAGTTTCCCACTTTGTTGCAAATAGTAGGGTTTGAAACATTTGTGTATTATATTCCTATATATTTCCATTAGACGTTTATTTAATGAGAAATATTTATAAATGCCATATACACATTTCAATATTTTAAATTATTAAACATTAGGAGTTCAAAATCTCTGTTAGTCGTGTTTCTTCTACTAAGTACATTATTCAAGTTACTAATCATGATATTGAGTTTTTGAAGAGAACAGGCAAATTGCCTTGTAGAATGGCTTGACTTTTCAATCACTGAAAATGACTAAAGAATTTCATACAATAGGTTAGAATAGGGTGGGTTGAATGGGAAAGTTTGAAGAAAGAATAAAGTAGTGTTCTGTTTTCTGTTTACCCCTTTCTGACTCCAGCTCTTTTGATAAATTGTGTCTAATGATATCTCACAAAAATATATTATTTTCTTAATTTCTATAAGGTATTTAGCTAGTAATTATTCTTATATACGGTTAAGGAGGTAAATTTACAATTAACCCTCACTCAATTTGAGCATTTTGTGCTTGCTGATTTTATAGAAGGCAAGTATGAAGCTCTTTCCAGAAGTATACTTTAGGCCACATGGATTCAACCTTCTCCTCTGAAACAGAACTCGAGTATCATCTTGTAATAGGGTGGAACTGGATTGAGGTCAGAAGGAGGGAAGAAGATAAACTTACTCAAGGACAAATTTTTCATTGAGATGAAAAGGTGAGCATGAGGTTTTTTAAAATTTCAAAGAAATGTAAATTTTTAGTGAAGATACTTGGAGAGCATGGAACGATGGCAACATCTCAGAAGCTGTAGAGTGAGTCTAAGCCCTAGGCCTTGTGGAAAATTGGAATAATCCTAATTTTGCATTCACTAGAAGCTCTAGTGACCCAGACATTTTGTCTTTCTGTAGCTTTCTATTACTGTCCTTTTAGGCTCCTGTGTGAATCTTATGTTTATACTCCACCATGACAAAGGACTTTCAAAGGGAAAGAAAAGAGAAAAAGGGAAGCAAGTAACTTTCAAAGCACAGAAAAAATATTCAAATATGATTTTACATTATACTTCACTTTGAAAAGGCAAAGGTGGAGAAAAAACTTTAATGGAAAAGAACACATTGAAAGGTAAAATCATGTGGTGAAAATCAAGTCCTCATCAAACCAAAGCTTGAAGATACTGAAAATAACTAGGTTACCATGAATATGTGGTTGATGAGGTAGCAAAAGAAAAATTGAGGAGAAAAGTGTGGAAGAATTATGGGCAAGGTCTGATGGAAATGAAATATCTAGATGCCATAAAGTAATATGATGGGGTTAGCTTGTTCTATCAAAGTGGGCAGAGCACTTCATGAGGACACCATTTTGATCGGTAAACTTTCTATGTTCAGCCTCTTCAGGGCTATGTTTTAGATCAGCCAGTCCTTTGTCAGATTAACATGGTAACAGTTAATACAGCACGAGGAATGACATCTTTATGTGAGCATTATCCAAAGAATGAGGTTGTAAATAAGACACTTAGAATTTCATGGATTATCCAGAACAGCTATAGTATCACTCAGAGATAACTGCAATCAATTGAGTTGAAAATACATTCAATGAGGCAACCATGCTGCTGAAAAAAAGAAATAAGATAGCATTAAAAGAGACATCAGACTAAAGGCTGAATTTGATTCGAGCTAAGCCAAAGAGACAGAAAGCTGTGCCGAAAAAATATTAGATAAACTTCCTTTCTTTTGTGATAATTTCTTCCAACTTTCTATTGGTATCATCTGGAAAGAAGCTCAGTATATTAGGCATTAGTCTGACACAAATATCTGTATGAAAAAAATAATAAAATATTTCTTAGGAGAAAGTCAAGGAACAAAGGGAAGAAAGAATCTTTTGCAGCAGAGACAAAAATATTCAAATAAGATTTTTTTTTTTTTTGAGATGGAGTCTCGCTGTGTCGCCCAGGATGGAGTGCAGTGGCACGATCTCTGCTCACTGCAGCCTCCATCTCCCAGGTTCAAGAGATTCTCCTGCCTCAGCCTCCTGGGTAGCTGGGATTACAGGTGCATGCCCAGCTAATTTTTGTATTTTCAGTAGAGACGGGGTTTCACCATGTTGGTCAGGGTGGTCTTGAACTCCTGACTGTGATCTGCCCGCCTTGGCCTCCCGAAGTACTGGGATTACAGGCGTGAGCCACCGCGCCCGGCCCTCAGATAAGATTTTACATCAGTTTTCTCCATTCTGAAAGATAGAGAAGGACAAAAACATAAAGGTAACATTGGATGGAGAAAGTCAAGTCCCTTTCAATGCCAAAGGCTGAAGGATTGGGAATAACTTGAATAATTATCATACGGTTGGAAATGAAGCAAGAGAAATATTGGGGAGAAAAAGGGTAGAAGAGTTATGAGCAATGTCTGAAGGAAAGAAAGAGCCAGATGTCACTAATTTTAATAAATACTCAGTGTCTTCAGCCAATGTCAAATACATTTTTGAATATATATTTTTCCTTAAGAAAAATATAGCAAATTAAAAAATAAGTCCTTCCTTCCAGTTTGGACAGCTTCTACTATAGTTATGAGAAAACTTGCCATTACTTTGCTCTGTACATTGTCATTTAAGATATTTATTTAAAAAAACCTTTTTAATGCTGACTTCTACAAATATCTTAGGTGCAGGATTTTTTTTTCTTTTTTTAATGAGAAAAGTCATGTTGTTGAACATGCACAAACCACTTTCTAATGTTCTTTAACCTCATACCATTTAGACTTGCCTCTCCAAAGAGATATAGTTCAGTAAGTGGCCCATTAACATTACATAGAGGAAGAGCCTCATTTTTTTTTCATAACCACTATGTCCCTTGTTAGACATCCCTGGAGTTTGTACTGATAGAACAACCAGAAGCTCTTTAGCAAATGGTAACTTCAAATCAGTGCCAGTTCCAACGCTCAATCATGCAACCCAAGCTCGCAGAAGACATTGTTTACACAATGGTAATCAACAGAGCAAATTTAGAATATCCTAGAATAAATTATGATAAATGTCCTGCTTTAGGATGATAACTTAATGGATCAGACACTGACTATCTCCTACAGGGAGGGTGAATTGATGAGCTCTCTTTTCAGAGAGCAATTATGATCCAACTTTCTGAAGCTATAAAATTCAAATTGGATATTTTCAACCAGTTTTCCTTTAACTCAAAGTTTATGTTTTAAAAGTTAAGAATAATTGTGGTCTCTTGTGGATCAAGGAATAAACTGCTTACAGCAAAAGAGTAGCAAGGTCTTCCTGGCAAGATGATGCCTTTCTGGTGTTCTTCCTACCAACAGAGTAACCTCCTGATCTCTAGAAGGAATCCTGAAGCATGTGCCAGAGACGCAGTTCCTAAAGTCTTTTTTTCTCTATGGTTAGAGTGACTGGCCAACATCCCCACAAATCTATTAAAGCAGGTTTTTGTGTGTGTGTGTGTCTTGTTCCTTGAGATTTCATTTCCACATGTGAGCCTGAGTAGTCTGTACGGAATCCATGGTTCACCTTTGACTCAAAATCTGCTGCCTGTAGTATACAAAAACAGCATCCTAACAGACAGATCTAGTTCATTTCAATTTCCATGCATCTCTGACCCTTTTCAGTTCTCATCACTTCAGCTTAACAACTTCATTTTTCACTCTTATGCCTTTATCCATTTGATTATAGATTACGTTTCTCAAAGTGGACCTTTTCTACAGCTGAGTTTTTTTTAAGACTGAAATCATGGAGCAAGGCTTTTCTTATTTTCAGTTCTTGGTTCCCCAAATCTGAGTTGTTGGATCAGAAACTGGAAGGGATAAAGTCAGTATTAATTAAACATATCTGTTGTGATAACATATGTATTCATCCAGTTTGAAAAGTACATTACTACCATTGGTGTTTCTTTAAGGAGTTCCATGAGCATGATGTGTTTCTTATTTGTTTGTTTTTGCTTTTGTGACTGAGCCAGCAGTTGAACATATTGGTTAAACAATCTGTTTCTGGACTCAGGTAGAACTGAGTTTTTATCACAACTCTACCACTTAACAATCTTGGTTGAGTTACTTTGTGATCTTGGTTGAGTTATGTAATATCTTTAAACTGTGTCTCCAGATAGATCGATAACATTGACTTTGAACAAATGCTAGCAGTATAAATGAGAACCACAAACTTAAAGAATTTGGTGTTAGTGGGCAGTCAATAAATATTAAATATATTGACCATTCTTCTGTTTTTAATCCATGATGACCATGTTCCTCTGAGATTCACGTTTCTTAAACTGTTTCCAATAATTGTGAGTTGGTTATAAGAAAAGTTTGGTAGGAGAAAGCAAAAGGGTACAAGACAGGGGTTTCTAATGTGAAAGGCCTTGTAAACCATAAAGCACTATATAAATATTATAAAAATTAGAATGTATGTTTTCTTACCAAATAATAAAGGCAGTGGCCCATCTTGAAATGTACATGACATGCGGCACCAACCCAGCACCTCCTACAGTAATAGGAGGACTAGTAATGTCAGAATGGAAGTGGCAAAATGATCCCAGAAGAAAAATGAACATAGGCCAGTGTAGCAGGTTTGCTCTTTTGCTTGCAAATGGCAGAAATCTAACTCACAGGGACTTTGTGATGCTCTGATTCACCAGGACTGGGTCAAATATTCACTCCTGAAGTAAGGGGTAGAATCAGCTTCACCAGAACTACATAGGTTTTGTGTTTTTTTCTAGATGGGGTTCTCCCCCTGTTTCCCAGGCTGGCTTCAAACTCCTGGGGTCTAGTGATCCTCCTACCTTGGCCTCTCAAGTCGCTGGGGCTACAAGCATGTGCAACCATGCTAAGCAGAACTACATAGATTGACAGTAGAATAGCCATGCTTTCCCAAGGAAGATTGGGGTGCCCTTACTGAAAAAAGGAGGAATGGAAGACCCTCTAAAGATCCTTCCATTTCATAGAGGGTCCTTAGAATCAACAGTAGTATCCTTCAACAGCAAAACATTTCTATGGTTCAAGATCTTCTTTATTCTGTAAAACAGTATGGTGCTGCGTTCAGGCATGACAAGCCTGCTTGCAATATCAATCGCATTTTATTTATTTAAAAACTCACAATAATAAAACATTTTCAGGTTTAAAAATCACTGTTCAGATACTGAATACATACATTAAGAAAATTAGCATGTTAGGAGTTGCTAATGAAGAAAATTAGGATTATATTTCACATTTATATGGAAAGATGCAACTTCTAATTGATGAAAAAAATCTTATTGCTAAAATGGAAACTTCTTCCTTCAATGGAATATAATATATGCTACAACTTGCTGGGTCAGAAAATTTGTTAAATGCAAATTATTTTATATAGGGAGCTTCAATCACCATAGAAATTTTATAAATATTTGTTGACATTCGTTGTTACTCATATTTACCAAGTACCATTATTTCACAACTCATAGGATAATTATCATGTATTTATAAATTACACTCATTATTTAGCTTTCTTTCAAATTATATATGCATTTTAAGTTTAATTGAATTTTAACTACATATTCACATTGAGTTTTAACATATACTTTGAATTTACAGCTTTCTCACTCTTTCCCTGAGACCACTTTCTGTATTACATATGTTTAGTATGTAACTACAGCTCTTTAAAAACATCAGAATGGTTTTCCCAAACAGTTCCTGATCTGTAAGCTATTTATGTGGATAATTGTGAATTGTTGTGAGATGGTATTGACGAATAAAACATGGCTTCCATTGAAGTGTAATACTGTGGTGCTATTTGCTGGGAGGGCCATATATTGCCTGGCAGAACTACATAGATTGAAATGTATGTAGAATAGAGTCTTGGGCCAGGCCTATGGTAGTAGTTCTTAATATTTTGGGTATTACAAACTCTTTTGAAAATCTAATGAGAGCTATGAATCTTTACCTTTAAAATATTCGCATGCACACAGCTTTACAAATACTTGCTTAGAATTTTGAGACCACATGAAGCTATTTATGTAACCTGAGGAGTCCCTAGGATCTGACAAGACTTGAGCCCCTCTAGGTTTTACCTCCATATTCTGGAGAAGGTCTGTGAGACTTTCACAAACACAAGAAATTTTACAGTCTTGGGCTAAGTTCTAGTCACTCATCTATTTTATTCATTTATTTATCTATTCACTTAGTCATTTATTTTTTCTGCAAGTTGATGAATGACACTGCTGTGAAAAGTGCTGTAGTAAAGCATAGCATGTTCAGGAAGAGCCATTCATTCAATAGTAAGCATTTACTAGAGTCATACCCTCAAATGTCATAGTTTTGGAAGAGAACTAAATGAATACCAGCCTTCCTCAGGAAATGACACAGAAAGGAAGAAAACCTGATAAACAGCAATAAGCTATCAGATGAGGCCCTAGGTAACCTACCTACATTTTCTCTTTTGATTCTACAACAACTTTGGAAGCTCAACATTATTTTCACCATTTATCAATGAGTAAATTTAGTTTAACGGAGTTTTAATAACCTGCTTAAGGTCGTAAGTAGCAGAGCCAGGGTATTAATCCAATCAACTGCATTTCCAAATCCTCGGATACTCTGCTGTCTTCCTAGGGTAGCATACAAGCAGATTTGCTAACATGGCAGAGTCAAGTCAGAACTCCTTGCCTGGTGGTATGTAATGCATCCATTTCATTGAAAAATACTATGCATATCACCTACCTTCTGAAACATGGAAAAAAAAATAAAACATATTATGCAGAGACAGCCTGCCCAGGGAAAAATATATTTGGCTCACCAATCAGAGGACTTTGAATTAAGTTTTTTCATTGGCTATTTGCATTTATGTGACTTTGATTAGTAACTGACCCTCCAACGGCTTTAGTATCTGAATCTACAACTGGAATTAAACCAGATGATCTTCCAGGTCTTTTGAGCTTTAGGCTTTTGTGATAGCTGCACTCAGATTATCCAACTATTAATAAAGTTCAATAATTTAAAGATTGATTAGTAGATTATATCTGTACACATATTTTTCATCAACCTAATTAAAAAGAGAACTATTTATATTAGTGGACCTTCTCATATCAAAAACACTAGAGACAAATAAAAGGCAGAGAGACTACTCACATGTAATTTATCAATCTCCCGAAGAATTCACTACTTAAGTGTCCTTCATTTCTCTCTTTACAAATGAAAAGATTAAATGTTGAAGAGGAAGAAAGAGTTGCCCAAATTTACAATCTAGTTAGTGACCCTTATATGAAACTCAAGCCCAAAATTCTGCTTTTTTAATATCACATTGCAGGAGCTCTTTCCTAGGCCACTACCCAGGGCCAGATCTTTCCTTTCACTCCAGTAGATTTCTTTCCTGGTGATATGGTTTGGCTGTGTGCCCACCCAAATCCCACCTTGAATTATAATAATCCCCACATGTCAAAGGCAGGGCCAGGTGGAGATAATTGAATCGTGGGGGTGGTTTCCTCCATACTGTTCTCATGGTAGTGAATAAGTCTCACGAAACCTAATGGTTTTATAGATGTGAGTTCCCCTGCACAAGCTCTCTCGTCTGCCACCATGTAAGGTGTGACTTTGCTTCTCCTTTGCCTTCTGCCATGATTATGAGGCCTCCCCAGCCATGTGGAACTGTGAGTCCATTAAACCTCTTTCCTTTAAAATTACCCAGTCTCAAGTATGTCTTTATTAGCAGCATGAGAACAGAATAATACACCTCGTTTGCCTGAAGGAAGGCTCTCCAACAGATTTATTCTGCTCCTCAGCACCCAATTACCATCCAGAAAACGTAACTTCCATACCTCTGCTCTACTGCTTTACATCTCTAATGCCCCTCACTGAACACAGAAAATCATTTAAGCCCATTCTATTATATTTAAAGCCCATTGAGTCTGGCTCTATCTCTCTCTTTTGGGACATCTCTCTCTTTGGGGACATCACTCCGTCTTCAATCCCACACGAGTTTCAGTCCTGACAATCGTGCCTCCTCCTCTGTTGAGTTTTCCTTATTTCTCCTAGCTTGAGGAGCATCTCTGTGCTTGGAGTTTTCTAACATTATGACTCTCATACAGCAACTCTCCTCCTTTACCCAGTGCTGTAGTTATTGGTATGCTTTGTGTTTGTTTCACTACAGACTTCTGGAGTAGGAACTCAAGGGTAAAGTGATTAGCATGGGGTCTGGTGCTTTGAAGAGAGCCATAAGCATGAATTCTCCTTCTCAAACATTTTCTTCCCTCACACCTCTTCCCACAGTGTCTCTCAGACAGAAAGAACACACTAGGTGTTTATTTTTGGAACAGGTGGGTGTAGTTGGTCAGTTCTGGAATCAAGGCCATCTCTGAACCCCATCCTCTGTGCCTGCTGCTCCCCTGCCTGTCCTGACTTTCCTACTGACACCCACTGGTGTATGTCCCAATGTCTCTTCAAGGTCAGCCTGGATGCTGACTCCTTTCCATCCATACTGCTATTCCCGCCACCGTTTCTCCTCCTTCTGAACTCTGTCAGTGTAGATGGTCTGTTTTAGTGAATTGGCATTTAATCCTGCATTATTTCTGCTTTTATAAAGTTTTCATTTGTCCGGTTTCTCCAACTTTAGGACATGAGACCTTCCTTATATGTACCTTTTGATATATTTTCACACATGGAATTTGTCAAAATTCAATAATTCAGAGAATTTTAATAATACTTTTGAACCTACTGGCACACAATATTTTATAAACTTGCTAATACTCTGGTCTCCAGAAATAGTTACTGAAGCTTGCCAAAGTTGCTTGATTTCTCTTTGTACACAAAGGATTTGAAAAATTGTTTTCCTCCTCAGTATTAATTAAGTCCCAACATATGTCCCTTAAAATACAGGACACTGGGATATAAAGCCACCACCTAATTAAGGGAAACAAACATGAATTACCATTGCTGGACCTCCCTTCTCCCTGCTTTTCCATAGCTGTGGCCCGTTGGGATCTCCTAACAATGTGGAAAAGAGACCGACTGATATTGCTCATAGAAATATCGAGAATTTTGTTGCTATCATGACACATGGCTGGACACCATAAAATTTGGGCATGAACCTTTTCACCTGGTTCCAAATACTCTTTAAGTCTCTGTCCCCTTCTCTGACTAGAATAGCCACAGTCATAAAGAAGCGTGCAGCCTTCCATGGTCACTTGTGTCCCTAATCGTGGTCTATTTTGCCTGGAAAGTCTCTGTCCAGCAGCCTGCAATGAACTTAACATTAGTGCCCCCTGCCCCCAATTCGAGTGTTGAAATCCTAACTCCCAATGTGCTGGTATTAGGAGGTGGGGACTTTGGGAGGTCATTAGGTCATGAGAGTGGATCCGTCATGAATGGTAGTGCCTTTATAAAAGAGACCCGAGAGCTCTCTCACTCTCTTTCTACCCTGTGAAGATACAGCAAGAAATATGACCATCCACAACCTGCATGAGGGCCCTCACCACAACCCAGTCATGCTGGTAACCTGGTCTCAGACTTCCAGCCTCCAGAACTGTGAGAAAATGAATTTCTCTTGTTTAAGCCTCCCAAGTCTAGGGTAATTTAAGAACTCTAACTAAGACAGAGCTTGTCCCTTGTATGGATTTTCAAGCCTAAAACTGCTGACTTTGAGAGAGGTGATGAAAGGAAAATAGCTTTCTATATGGTTTGGGAGACTGGGGACATATGGGTGATGTTGGTGAGTTAGTGACTGCAGGGATCTGTGTGTGGTGGGGTGCTTGATGAAAAAAACTTGGAAAAGAATTGCTTTGTTACTAAATAGAACTGAGATGATACAATTTTTAGGTATAATTATGAAGCTTAATTATTACCAGGAAATCCTAGCTGCAATGTTTTATTCCTGCCTTTAAGAACATATTTGTAGATATTTTCTTTTCCCCTTTTTGAGTGAAGAATTAGCATGGGTCAAATTTTCTTCAGTTTCATCTTTCAGTAACACTTTTTTTTTCATTTTTCTGCTACTATTTACATGCACTTATTAAAAAGTCACCTAGTCCATTTTATTGTCATATTTTAATCAGTGCCTTTGCAATATGGACGTACATGGCCAAAGAAGCAATGACTCAAATATGAGTTTGTGAATACACCCTCAAGAATAGGCACTCCATGTAAAGATACAAAATGATAAAATATGTGGCTTATATGATTGCAAGTTAGTCTCAAGAAAATAAATACCATCTTTTGTATTTTTAAAGGCTCTGATTCTCGCTTTGCATGATTGATTGAAAAAACTAAAGAGAATTTACTCATTCACAGAGTTAACATTATTCATACACATATGTATTTCGCTCTATAAAATAGTCTCCAACTCTCCTGTTGCTATTTTTTTCCATTCCACAGACCTCATTACACTAAGTAAAAAAATAAATGGAGTAAGCACGTACGTGAGGGAGAACTTTACAAGCAGATAAGTCTTCCACCGTTGAAACCCTGCCAAAGTCAAACTGTGCAGTTTATTTTCAAAGAAAGAGTGGTTATCACTTGCATACACCACTCCAGCTCGCCTCATGCCAGATAAAATTAATGCCTAAAAACTTCAACTTGACTTTAAAACAAAACCTTAAATACTAAAACCTGATCTTTATCAGGCTGTTATAGGAGAAGATGACATCTCTACGCCAACCGCAGATATCTATTTATAAAAGAAAGGAGTTGTACTTTGGCAATCATGTTGCAGACCAATAAAACAATCTAAACCACTCCTCAGACAGCATAATCTACATGACTGCATTATGCTCACAACATGAAAAGGATGAAAAATAACTGACTATTCAAATATGTATTGATTTGGATCATTAGATTACAGTTATGTTGGGGCATATCTCCAGTAACTTTTCACTAGCATATTTTCATTGCACAGTTGAAGCTAGTTAAATCTGCTCCATTGATTTCTTATTTCAGTGAACTGCTGGACATTTTTGCGGGGAGGGAGATTAAGTAGTTTATACAGTGACACAATAACCAATTCAATTTCTAAAATTAGAGTCTAATTATAAGGTGGCAAAAGCCTTGAGGACATAAAATGTGTTAGCCAAACTAAATAGATTGCTTTACATAAAGTAAAAAAAAAAGTGAAAAAATTTCGTAGTAATATTTTAAGTAAATATCAATGGAGTAAGTGTGACAGATAACTATTTCTTGTTTCATCAGGAATTATACTTTCTAAATAGTTATACTGATCCAAAATAATAATGGAATTAATTTCAAATGTACATGTATATATCATGATATATACACAAATCACCATCTTCATAAATATCACTCTTTAATATGTGAAATTTTTGGTATTTTTATATATATAGACCAGTTATACAGTGACAGGAGGTTGACCATAAGAAAAAAAGACTGAAATTCTTTGGCTGGAAAGTGCCGTAATTACCTTTCCCGTTTCAGAGTCTGTTTCACATTGTGTGACTGCTGTCATGTTCAAAAATAAGTCCCTTATAAAGTTAGACACTAGGTGGCAATAGAAACCCCCCTTTGCTGCCTTTGTCCATTACCTTGCATTTGAAATCCACTCTCTCTTATTGACTTTTAAGTTTCACATAAAAATCAAAAACAGGAAAACAGCCACATTTCTATCACTCCTCTCTCATCATAATATTCCCTTTCTTATGATGAAAGATTATGTTTCAGGTGAACCAAAGTATTTCATGTGCCTATGATGCAGGATTTGGAAAATAAGTTCATCATGTTTGTTACATTTGTCATTTGCGTATTTAGCACTGAAGATGGTACGTTTGTTTATAAATGCTAAACAATGTATTAACATTTTATTGAACCAAAATAAGTTGTATGCTTTAATGCAAGCATCTGTGTATGATACATCAAATTCAATTCATGAAATACCATAATATTGATGACTTAGGTACCTTTTTAGCACTGCATTTCTAATAAGGATTTTCTCCTAAAGTGAATAACAAGAGGCGAGCTTATTGCCAATAAAGATTAAAGATGTGCTTTTCCCAAAATAATGTAAACTGGGAGGAAGAGAAGTATTCAGAGAACGAACAGAAATTTAATATGATAGTATTCATTAGTATTATCCATAAAACCACTGTCAGAATATGTTTAAATTTTTATATAAAATGGCATTGAGGGTTTCAGGGGGAAAGAAGGGCAGAGTATTTGAATAGTGAAGTATCAGTCAAAATGAACATTTATTTTGTCGGCTGGCTCTACTGTATTGCCAGCACATTTACCTTGTTGTACTACACAAAGTAGGCTGACCACCAATTCAATTCAAACTGCTGAACTTGATGTATGGGGTTTGTATGGTTTAAGCCCCTGGTTACTTTCAAGTTTGCTTCTCTTGTTCTTTACCTGGCCGAGGTTTACATGGGTTGAATTGGGAAGGAATTTTTTTTCCAGTGAAATGATTATAGATTTTTTTTTTAAGTTTGGTATCTGGCCAGGTTTCTAAGATTGTCTTCCTGATTATTTGCTGACAGTATTAATTGATGATACTCTAGAGACTGAGTAATTTTGAAAATAAGCATTTTCACTGTATCAAATTAAAAACTCATTCCAGATTAAAGGAGTCGAAAGAGACAACCAAATTCACTGTGTAATTTTTTATTGGATCCTGGATCAGAAACAATAAAGCATTGAGGAACAACTGTCTACTAGATAATATGTTTCTTGGGTATGTTATATTATGGTTTTATAGGAGAATATTCTTGTTCTTAAGGTGATATATGCTAAAGTATTTGGGGCTAAAATGTTATGTTGACTGCAACTAACTTTCAAGTGAATAAGCACAAAAAATATACATAGAGATGAAGAAAGAAAAAAGCAAATGAAGCAAGTTGTTAAAAAAAGGATGACCCTAAGATATGTTGGTGTTCATTATATAATTCTTCACATCTTTCAAAATAAAAAATTGGGAAAAAAATCAATCAACTTTATCTCTGGAAGTACACAATAGAAAATATGTATTACTATTCTTTTATTTCCTACTTGTCCAGAATGAATCTATCATTTTCTCTAGATGAACTGTACTCCAGATATTCTAAGGTTAATATTTACTTGATTTTTTGTGGCTGACAAAAATTTTGTCTTAAGGGTAAGATAAGAATGATATTTGTTTCTTGAACAGATTGTAAGGCATGAAGAAGGAAAAAAACCACTTGTTTTTATAAGAAAATCTGTTCCTTCTTCTATAATCCCAACTGTCCCAAGCTGAATCACTAGGCATTGGATACACAGTGTGCTATCGGAGGCTGAGTCATCCCTGCTGCAAATCGAAACTGTGGATCTGAAAAGAATTTTCTCATCTAAACCAGAGCTTCAGTCTCCCAGGTGATGTAGTTTTTATGGTGTTATCAGTTTAAAAAATTTCCTCATAGAACGTATGCTTATAATAATCTAAATTCCAGTAAATAATATGACAGAAAAAGCATTTGGAAATATGGAATAGGAATTTTGATGACCACGTCTTGCTATGGAAAGTTAAACCAGCTCCTGGGCGAGCATGTTAATGAAGAAAGCTGTTAACTGTTATATTTTTATTCAGCAAAACAGCCATTAAATATTGTTTGTTTATAGTACTCCACCTTATTCAAAAAGGAATTTGAGGCCAAACATGTAGTAAAAGAGCATTTAAGATATGAGTAGTTTGAAAAAGGAAATTATATTTATCACATTAGCACAGGGTAGGGACATAAAAAATATCAAAATCCATGTGTCAGGCTTTTAATAAACAAATAAAAATTCAGTTTCGAGGTGTATCACATGTCTTCTGAATGGAATCCTAGAAATAAAATACGTATTTTGCTTTCTTTGTTGAAATAGAAAAGTTTAAGCTATATGGTTAAAAAGAATAAATATATGTCATTTACATATAAAATATATGCAATGTAATATGCATAACATAATTATTATATGTAGATATATAATTGTAGTACATATAAATATTGTACTATATTTAATTTATGTATGAAATATATATTTTAAATAATATATTTAATTAATATAATTAATATATTAATATATTTTCATTACTCATTTGCTTATCATATATCTATAAATGTAGCATTTTGAAATTAATTTGGCTTATAAACATATTTATAACTATTTAAATAATATAGGACTTTATTTTAGACAAAATATTAATTTTTCCAGAGTGACCTTATACAACTGCCATTCTCAAACCCTGATATTTGTGCTTATAACTTTTTTCATGACTTTATAATTTTTTCATTAGGTTTCTTAAAAATTGAATGTAGCTCCCCTGTTTCAAAGTATGGCCACATCATGGGGTCTCCTGGGCTTTAAATCACTTTCTGAATGTGGATGGGGTGTGTCTACTTATTCGTAGTTGGATTTATCTGAGAAAAACCTTTGTAGGAGCTAAACATATATATATTTTTTACATACCATATACAGATGATCATATTACATAGGACACATGTGATAAATTAATAAGGAGAACAAAACTTTAGGACAAAAGTTTAAATAATCTTATGAACATATTTCAGTCATATTTAAAAGCTGGCATAGAGGTGACTAAGTAAAAAAACTTGAATATTTTACAAACCACAATGTATATCTTACATGATCATGCTTATTCTTTAAGACACTTCCACTATGTATAAATGACAGTGAGAAAGGGGGGGAAATATCATATTACCTCTAAGGAGGGAAACCCTCTGTATTATAGTTAGCTGTTTGTTAAGCAAAGAGAGGAGGTTACAATTTATATCTTCCTGATGAAAAGATAAACTCAAGATTCCAAGGGAAAGAAGCTTAATTTTTATTCTTTTACATTTTGAAACTACATGTTGGAAGAAGTGCAGTGGGGTTTTTTTTTCTTCTGTTTTTGTTTTTGTTTTTGTTTTCTCCAATTTTAAGCAGGCTGTCTTCAGTGGCCAAAGATCAACGCCCTCACCCATTATTCCCAGGCTCCAATTGCTGCTTCCTGCTAGGTTTGCTGTAAAACCAGAAGGATGGACAAGTAGGATTGGCAGCACCCTGGTGTCCTCTTGTTGCTCCTCTATCTGGGGCTGAGCCACATTATTCTTAGAGACTTCCTACAGGAAATGCTCAAAATTTTAGGAGAGCCAAGACATCCACACATAACTCTGCCCTCTGTTTTGATTATATAGAATTTGTTTTCTGAACTTCAGAACCTAGTTCAAGAGATTGCTTCAAGTCATGCACGTAAAGGCTGAATTCTCTTCATAAAAGCCTTTTCAGTTTTTCTTTGTGAAGCTTTAGGCTAGGGATTACCATTCAGGCCACACTCTCTCTCTCCATGTGCTCATTTTTCCTACTCACAGAGCAGAAGCAAATTTTCCTGCATTAAGAGCAGAAAAGAAAACAAGATTTTGGAGATTCTGACTTATTAAAATCTTGAACTCTTCAAACTGTCTCTTCTGAATTGTTCATCAGGCTGAAAAATACTGATTATGGATAAGAAAATCAAAAGAGGAAACTGGAGCTTGAGGGCTGGTTTTGAGGAGTGTGGTTTGGGCATGGCTATGCCCATTTTAGCATTTCATTTTCACCTTCAGCACTTGCCTTGTTTCTAAGCTTGCCACTTCCGTGGGTCAACATTTATTGTGCAGTTACTATGTGCACATTTATATGACATTCTGGGCACAAGTTTTGTCAAGCAGCAATCTGTCTGACCTTTCCTTAATCCTTTACACTACCAAAGTTTTTCTATATTAAATGCCTACTATGGATTGCTCCTCAAGCAAAAAAGTATTTTGATAAACGTGATCATTTTCATGAGGACTGTGGTACCGTAAACCAAAGGAATGATCCAAATGGTAGAAGTTTATGATATTGAGGGTGATAACTAATTTAAGCTAAGTCAAACTTCAGCTTTTTTCCTGTTGAAATACTCAGAGAACTTTCTATCAAGCCCCTCTTGATTTTGACCAAGGAAAGTACAAATTATTAACCAGTCAAAGAACACTGGGTCTTTGTCCCATGTTCCTAATTATTCCTTGGTTAAGGTATCCTCTTCTATCATTGTTATCAATTGGACAGGAAGGTAACATTTAAAAAAATAGTGCCTTTAATAAAATTAATTAAATTAATCCTCATGCTAGTGCTTCTCCAACTTATTGAGGTGAAAATCTATCCCAAAGTTCTGATGCCCTTTATAGCACACCAGAAAATATTACATCATATGAAGTAGGAACATTTTTATCACAGCAGAAGTCTGACTATATATGAGTTTTACATCTATAGCCTTGAACTTATGAGTCCATGGTAACAAATATTCTTGTGCTAAGTTTTTAAGTTAATGTCTTCCTGCTGGTTATTTATTCTGTCCTTTGCTAGCAGTTGCTGGCAGCTAGGCAGTTGCACGTTCCATAGGTTAAAGAAAAATTTATATGAGTAAAATTTAAAATTGAAAACATATTATCCATGGATGATACATCTTTCCTGAGAAATAGAAAAAGACGGCAGCTATTTTATCAGTAGGAAACCTGTGTCACCTTTGGGATGCTTGTGTCCTGCAGCGGCTTTCTTGAGCGTCTCTCACCTGGCTGGTTGTTAGACTGTGGAAAAGAAGCAGATGTGAGTGCCACAGAGGTGACAGCTCTGTGCTGCTTCTCAATGTATCTTGATCTTTGTTTATTTTTTTTCACATTAATTGTTTTCAAGTTTTTTTTTTTTTTGCCGTGGGAGAAATCAGTAATTCCCTTTCCCATTATGCCTCTTCCTATATTATTACTTTAAATATTTTAAATTTTGTTTTGTATTTTATTTACAACAACCCTGGCATCCCACATTAAAGAAATGAAAAATCACATTTTCAAAAGATGAGAAATGTGGTAAAATGAGGAACTAAATGTATCTCAGCTATGTATTTATATTTTTTTATATTCATTTAAATGACTTTTAATTTCACTCTCTATTCTTCCATGCATGTATTTTACTTTTTTGTATAATTTTTCTTCTTCCAGTTTCATCCCAGTAGCCCACCCCACTCCTGCCCAAATCCTATTGGTTATCACAAGCTAGTGCAGTTAAAAGAATTGCACTGTAGAACTTTCAGTTATCTGACATTAAGTGCCTGTTCCTCTACCTCATAACCAATGGTCATTTGTATCTTTCTAAAGGGAGAAAAACGGGTGTTTTAGCAAAACTGAGGAAAAAGTCTGACATGTTCAATGGATGGCCAAGCTCAATTTCTATCTTTCACCTCTTGTTCAGGAAAGAAATATTGAGTGCATTGAGGGACCAGTTTAGCCTTCAAACAAAATGCAAAAATGTCACAGAGCTTGTTTGCAAAGTTTCTATTGAAAGCAGTAAGTGGGCTGTTGCCAGTGTAATGAACCCTGATCCAAAAGTATTCAAGAAGGTTTAAAAAATGAGCTTCACTTTCAAAGACAATAAAAGTAGGATAGATGGAGGTTGCACGGTGAGGGAGGAAATGGGCGAGAAAGGAAAATATTTCAACTTTTATGCCTTTTGATCCTTTGCTTTACCTTACCCATCATTGTATCAGTATTTGGAAGTGAGAGAAAGCTGTCACTCAGATTTTTGTCATGGTTTCTCCTTTTGTTTTACTAGGAATGTTCTGCTGTTACACACTGGAAATATTTATAGTAGAAAAACATTCCGACATGTAATTTGAAGTATAAATAGAATTAAAATAAAAGAGTAAAATCTAACATATGTCCTGGTTGAACACAGATTTACTTTTCACTTGCTTTTCATCCTACCATTTTTTGGGTTCACTTTATCTTTTTTATATTGTCTTTTAATGTTATAAAGGCCCTGTCCTTCACACCCACCTTTCCAGTTTATTCTGTAACAAACTGATAATATTCCATTAAAATTAGTTATTATAAGAAAATGACTTTCATAGGCTTTAAATTTTAGTTTTTTTTTCCCGTCCAGAGAGAGAAAAAACTAACAAACTATTCATTAATGGAATTCTAATTTGTTCATCTGTCTGGTAATGAAAAGCAGTTGTTTTGTTTGCCTTTGTATCCCTCCAAGAGATTTTCTTTCTCTGTCATTGCAAATGTTGCTTACATTTTGGGTTCAGAGACTGCCTGCAGGATCTGTGGTATCTAAACCATCCCTAAGCAGCAAGTACAGGCGATTTTGGTGGAGCTGATTTCCATAATGTACAACTGGAGAGGTGCTTTTGAAAAATAGTTGCAATGAGTGGTTAAGTGTTTGTTGTCTAGTGGGCATGGAGAGATTTCTGTCACTCACATCTAGGCCTGCTCTAGGACTTGAGGAATAGGTCTCTTGTTTCCACCTCTAAGATCTTACATTTGACCATTGGATGAAGTTTCAAGAGAGTTTAAAAACAAGTAAATTTTACCAAAAGTTTATATTATAAAAAAGAAAAAAAAATGATGGCCCCCCAGAGAGGCCCTTAACAGAAGTGATGGCTCAGATTTATTTTGATGTAAGTTCGCTATTAAATAAAAAATAATTAAAAGAAAGGTTTGTGGCCAAGAAAGCATGACATGTCATTCAGATTATGACTCTTGATGGCTATAGTTTACAGCTGCATTTATTGTCAAATAAAGCAGATGATTCCTCAGTGTATTATCAGGAACAATCAACAAAATAAATTTAAAATATACTATTTAAATGTTAATCAAAAGCATCCCCACTTACTAGATAAAGAATAGCCCAGAGAAGAAAGGCAGTGTTTATATGGTCACTAAAGTTTGAAACAAGCTTGTTGGATTTTGAACAAGTGAACTTTCCAGATATCACTTTGGATACATGAACCATAAATTTTTATCTGAGCAGAACATACTTGTTTGAGTTTTGCATTATAGTTCATTTTCCACTGGACTAAAATGAGATACAGTTATAACGTTAGCATGCATTGCTCAAATCATGAGGAATTTTAGTCTTTACAAACACAGACTGATTGGCACTTAGCAAACAACTTAATAGTATTTTTCCAGTTTCCCTATAGAAAATAATAATATTTCATCTCCTTCCCTGTGCAATCCTTATCAATTTAGGCATTCCCTGGAGATATTTAGCCATTGATAGCACCTTCCGTGAAAGTTTGGAAAACTTATATTATAGATCTCAGGTACACATAATACTTTCAATAATTGTTTTAAGTACCTTTTATTTTAGATTTATAAAATCTACATTTATCGCATGCTTCTGTAGTCCAGCTGCTTCTGAAATAGCACAGTATCAGCCTATGTGACATCCTAACATATGTTAAATGAATCACCCTGAAGTGACAGTATTTGTCAATCTGAAATATAGCTTTTGTTTTTGTCTTAAAAAATAGATAAACTAGCATGAGAGTATCAGAACATCATGGAACCCATTTTCTGAGGAGCAATGTAGTTGGAGGAAGCCAGTCATTGATATTTGTCTTTGAGGCATCCTCCAAAATGTGATTTGCCAAAGAGCTCTGTGAATGAATGGCGTAAATTTATTTATTTCACTTAACGTGCAAAATAAAAAAACAGTGACACAGAAGATAGGAAGAAGAATGGTTAAAAAAATTCCTCACTCAAATCTATGAACAATATTTTAATATTCAAATCAAAATGGTAGTATAAATGAATACATAAAACCTGCTATTTGTTAGTCATTTCAGAAAATAAATGCCATGTTGAACTAAGTCCATCATTGTCCAATAAATGTGCAAGAGAGAAAGAATCAATTGACAGTATTTTAATTAGTGAAAAATGTATACTACTTATTGCTTTGTTTGCAACTTAAAAAAATGACCAAAGCAAGGAAACTCTGTAAAAGAAAATGCTAAAAATATTTTTTAAAAAGCACAGGGCGAAAGCTGACATCTCAGATTTCAAAAGAAAGTTACATTTGGCAAGAGCCTCACTCCCATGATGTGTTAGTTATATTTAACTCTTTTTTTTTTTTTTTTTAACAAATGACTAAACCTGGACCCTGCATTGCTTGGGCCAAGACATCATCTTTTATGACACATTTCTACACAAACGTACTCCCACCAAGGTCATCACTCACCTTCTTAAACACCAGGGGAGCACAAGCCAACATTTTAATTTACAGAACAAATTTATACATGGGACTAAAAGATATGGTGCTCCTATTGAGGGCTGCCACTGAGCACCAGGAACATATGGAGCGGCTCAAGGCAGTTTGGAAATTCTTTATATTCTGCCCATGCGCTTTACACTCGGATTCTCACTCTCTGTTAACCTCTTCTCTTTCTGTATAACCTCTTCTCTTTCTGTAATGGTTGTAACCAGTGCCGGCACTTTGCTTGAAAAAGCACAAGGAGTTTATTTCAAAAATAAACTAGTGGAATAGTGGGTTCTTGCTGTATATGAAGCAAAAAGGGAAAACCTGCATAAGGAATATGAACAAATGAATTAGTTTTAATTGGTGTACTCCACCAAGTCTATTCTGGGCCACATCTAGATGTAGGGCCCTATTAAATTAGGAAGAAGACAGCATTTACAGCTGCTAGTTTAAAATGTTCCATGACTTAAGAATATTGCTGGTGTAACTTTATGCCACATACCATTTTTCGCTTCTAATGTTCATCTGAAAAGCTCTTTTACTGGAAATATCTCTGATTAATTTCCCTGCTTTTCTGATTTCTTTCTTTCTCTTCTCTTTTAAAAACCTCTAACCCTACTTTTAAGGGCATCTTAGTAAGAAAACGCAGACCAAGTTAAGAAATAACCAGAACAGATCATGGAGAAAAACAGAGTAGGAGGCAGAGAAGAAAAGATTTGTGGAGAAATGAAGAAACAGAGGTGTATTAGAAAACAATTATTCATGAGCCAAATTATCAATTGTTTTTTCCCATTTGCCTTTCTCTTCTACCAACCTTGTGGTCCAACACAAACTTGAGATATTTGTGGTTGGATAATTCAAAATCATATCAAAAGCTCCTCATGTGATGTATGTTCTCTTGCTTCCAGAGATTTCTGTTTCATAGAAATGGATAGTGAAAATACTCAAATGTTTGCCTTGGGAGAGTGAGAAAATTTGTTTGAAGGATGCCAGGGATTGTGTGTGTGTGTGTGCACATGCATGTGTGATCTTTCTTCTCAAGGGACTGCTCTTGGTTTTGCACCAGTGTCCCCTTAGCCACACAATCCTCCTTCCTCTTACTCTGGGTAAACAACCTTTTAAATTTTTTTGCCTAAGTAACAATATTAATAGAGACACTAACATTTTGATGTCTTTTGTCACTTCTTCCTCCTTCCTTTCTGTAATTTTGATTCCACATAGGATGAGAAAAAGAATAGAGCAATGCATTTTCTTTAAACAGAATAACTGGCTTGTATTCATTCATCATTTAATATATATCCATTGAGTTTCTATGCGGTGTGGGTCTAGCTACTGGCTTGTGAAAGCTACATTGTAAGTGTCTCTATTAAAATGCTGTTCTTTGGTGTCTAGATTCTTCTTGAGAGTTTGATATTTGTGTTAACTTGTTCTCAACTTTTATGTGCTTCCTCATTGTGTCTGGTCTTTTTTTGGAAAAGGCAGAATTTTCTAAACCATGGTCTATTGAATGCCATTAACTTGTGAGATGTTAATGGGTAAAATTAAAAAAAATCCTGTAGTAAAATAAACTTGGCACTGTAGCATACCCTCTAATCCTCAAGGAAATATATGACAATATTAGAATATTCAAATTTCTGAGAAGTTATGCAGCAAGCAACCAATTTAACATTGTCTAATCTCGCATTTATCAAATATTTTTTGACCTCAGAACTGAGTTTTGGAGAACATCTATGATATATCCAGTTGGATTCCCAGTTTCAAAAATGCTACTTTAGATCCCTATAGCTAACAAGTGCCAGTGGGTTCACACTCAGCATAACACAAAGTCTGACACTTATGATAAGAAGGCGTCCTTAGAAAGAAAGGACATAGGTAGGTAGATAGGTAGATAGACAGATGGATGCTATGCACTAAGTTGAGGGTGCCACAGCTATCAGTGCTGTTACTTAGTTTTAGTACATTTCAGATGTAGAAATTACGCAAAGCCAGATTTGGTAATGACCAAAAGCATGTAAAAGGCAAAATCTTTTAAAATTATTTTTTCAGCCACTGCTATGCCTGGTTGTCAAGAAACTTATATTTGATCTTATTTTCTCATTTTTGAAGTGAGAAGTAATACCCAGGGATAATCATACCCAACTCATATAGTCTTTGGAAGATTAGATGGCAAAATTTATTTTAAAAACATCAGTACAGTGCTCAGATTATTGGAACTATTCAATAAAAGATCATTTCTTTTCTTCCTTCTAGCCTGCTTTCCTGAATGAAACACAAATATCTATGGCATAGTATTTTCTCCTAAGAAAACATTGTTAAGAAAAGAAATCCAAATATAAAAACTAAATTACAAAACAAAATAGATTTATTTTGTTTCACAAATATTTACATTGTTCTTATTATGTGCTAGGCATTGTTCTAAGAATTTTAGAAAAATTAGCTCATTTAACTCTTGCAGCAACGCTGTGAAGAAGGGATTATTATCATTTGCATTTTAAAGATGAGGAAACTGATGAATATTATTTGCTTAAGACTGCACCAGAGATTTCACAAGAAAAAAATGTTATTGTGGGGAACATAAAGCATAGCTTAAAAGAGCAAGCATCATATGTGGAAGCAGATATATATTGCTAAAAATTGTAATGGAGGATCAAACTATAAAGAAGCTTGGACTTTAAATATCTCTAAACAGGGCAGGAAGTTAGGAGACCAGGTGGCATACTGCATATTCATGTGTGTGTGTTTGTGTGTGTAAACTCCTTCAATGTGTAATGCACTTAACACATGGCAACCACTTTATACATATGATCCAATATTATTTCATTATCTGTGTGTCCTGGTTTGTCAATAGCTGCTACCTGGGGAAATTTGGGAAGATTTATTAAGCAAGAGGCTTTCTCTTTTCCCCTTCCATTTGAATATATCTTATTTCTCTCCCGACAATTTCCTGCAACTCTCCAAAGATTACTCTTACATTGAAAGAGATCCTTGAATGGTTAATTGTCCATAATCACCCGGCTAGAAAGAGGCAGACTGAGGATTGTATATCCAGATACACATGACTAAAAAGCAAAACTAGCAAATCACCCCCCTTCATTACACTTGCCGTTTCATGTTCAGGACTTTTTTCTCCCCAGGTCCTTACCCTGGCATGCTTCCCCCAAATTGGAAACAATAGGACTATCTATTGGAAGAGATAGGGCTTTTCATTGAAAGAGATACTAGAGATACAGTGTCTATCCTCCTCATTTATGGCTAAAGGCGCAGGCAGGAGAGAGGTGAAATCTCATGAGGACTAGAAGTCATTATATCTTTCCAAGTTCAGGGCAATTCATTCCTCATTGTGAGCTTCGGATTAGTTTATATTAAAAAAATAGTAAAATGTTTCAACGACACAGTATGAACCTCATAGAATGTTTACCATATGAATGTGTGTATAGTTTTAAAAGCCAGAAAAGCCATTAAGCAACTTAAAATTCTGGCCTCCAATTTTGACAATTTGTCTCTTGGGTACTGACCATGTCTCTGTGCATACAGCAGAATTCAGAATGCTCTGTTGGCTCCACAAATGGAACTGTTTTGCTCTATCTTGATAGTAAGCTGGGAGACCAGTTTGAATCATGTTCAAAGTAGACAGCACAATTATTACAATAATGTGCATAATAAAATTCTATAACTAGGCAATCTCTTAACAGACCATCATATATCTGGCCTGTCAACTGTTCCCACTCATATGACATGACAGATTTCCTTTCTGCCTTTTCTCTGTTTCTCAATTTAAATATTGTCTAAACTGAAAGAAGGTCTTATGTGTTTGAAATGTACGAAGAGACCCAAGAAACCTAGATGAACAATTTAATTCTATTCAATTGAATTCATCAGAAGAAGTATGCGGGTAAAATGTGAAGTTGAAGCTTTGTGTTGCTAACTTTAACTTAGTGATGTAGAAATGTCAAATGCAGTAATTACTCAAACGTCTGTGGAAAGGATTAGTAACAGTGTAAGTAGATATGGCTAAGGACCCCTTGGTTTTGATTGTAGTAATTCTACTCTGATTTTATGAGTTGCCTGGCTGAAACCTTACTATCATGTATAATGTGTCTCCTTTCCTTAGTAGGGTTATTAATTGTACTAAGGACCTGTGAGAATAAATGCAAATATACTTGTCACATTTTTTTCTTTTAAATATTCTTTAGTATATATCATTGGTTAGTCCTTTGCTCATGACAGCGTTGCCTAGATTCAATATTCCAAGTGGAAAGATGATCAACTTAAAGAAAACGTTGGGTTTAAATTCTAGCTCTGGAAATTATGAGCTGTGTTACCTTGGATTAGTGATTTACCCTCTCTGAGACTCAGTATTCTCGCCGACAGATGAAGAAGGGTAAGTGGGGCCTATCCGATAGAGGTGTGAGGACTGAGTGAGCAATTATGTGGTTTGGCACAGGACTCTTCTGAGTTGGTTCTACAGATATAAATTTTTTACCTTAAAGGAGAGAAAAGTGAAATAATTTCAGCAAAACTAAACTATGAAAAGACTAGAACAAATATGTCACAAAGGAGGCTATTCAAATGGACAATCTACCTGTGAAGAGCTATACAACCTCCTTAATCACTGCAAAAAACCCGCAATGGTATAACACTATATACCCATTAAAACTGCTAAAATGAGAAATACAAATTCAAGTACTAGTAAAGATGTGAAGCAAACTGCTGGTGGGAGTATCATTTGTTGTGACAACTTTAAAAACTTTTTAGTATTGTTTATTAAAGTTGAAGATATGTATCTTTCATGACCTAAAAACTCTACTTGTATGTATACCTGTAACAGAAATGCTTAAAAATGTGCACCAAAATACAAGCATAATTGTATTTAGAACAATATTGTTTGCAATAGTATAAAACTGGAAATTACCCATGTGTTTGACAGCAGTAGAATATGTTGTGGTATCCATTATATAATATTGTGGTATCCATTATATAATATTCAATATATTGAATATTATATAACAATGAAAAAGAATGAAGATCTTTGACATGCACCAACCTAGACAAATGTCACAAATGTAATGTTGAGCAAAAGAAGACAAAGGTAAAAGAGTGCATATTGTATAATTGCACTTATAAAAGTTTCCAGAATAGACAATTTAGGCTCTTTGAAGTTAAGCTACTAATTATCTTGTGATGAGGATGAGGTTGTGACTTGGAGGGCTCATGGGGGTGTCATCTAAGTTACAGGTAATTATTTCTTGATTTGAATGTGCTACTTAAGTGTATTTATGCTGTAAAAATTTATTGTGCTGTGTATTTATAATTTGCATTGTTTATGTATGTTATACTTCCAGAAAAGAGTTTAATTAAAAAAAATCCCACTATCTAAATCCTGCTAATGACCTTCAAATTATACTAGATGGAGTTACTAATTATGACTCAGTGCACCAGTGGTCAGTAGACTATCAATATTGATTTCACTTCCTTCATTGTTTACATTCTCAATAAGAGAGTACTTTTTCTATTGCTTATTGTAAAAAGACCTTTTTTGGGTGATGTTATGTTCATCCATAATAGATTTCTAATACTCCCAGGGTCTCTGTTTTTTTTCTTCTTTCTGTAATTATCTTCTGTAAGATTAACCAGTCCTTATCAAAGGTAATGCAGTGAGGCTTCTGTGGTGGATATTACTGGCACCCAGGAAGAGTTTAGATGTTTTGGAAGCAAAACCTGCTGCACTGTGTGATTTACAGGCCCTGTTTTTGGAAAGCAGTTTGTTTTATTCTTTATATCATTCTATTATTTATATATGGCTGCAGAACAAGTGAAACGTATAGTCTGGTTATTGTCAGGATATG
Organism: Homo sapiens; assembly: GCF_000001405.40. Lineage (NCBI taxonomy): Eukaryota > Metazoa > Chordata > Mammalia > Primates > Hominidae > Homo > Homo sapiens. The sequence continues at coordinate 174,142,071 of NC_000004.12, read as the reverse complement.
AAGGAAGCCAAAACAGTGTGGAAATGTAATTTTGTAAATTCTTTCATGTGACAGTTGTAAGCATCATTTTTTCAGAGTATGTATACAGTGTGCTTGGATATCCTGTCTTGGAGAAGAGGCGCTGTCACCTTCTAAAGGAAGAAGAAATAAAATCAGCTCTGGAATTACGCCAAATTATGTTAGGTCCACTTCTTGGTAGTGCCAATTTATTCAGTTTACAATCTCCAGTGATTCTTAAGACAAAATGTCAGGAAATTTGACCCTGGTGTTCTGAAAGATAATTCCACTTGCAGAAAACTCATGATTTATTTTCCCTCTTTGATTATTAGTTATGTATTTCATAACACAGTAGAAAATATGGATTTTACCAGGCCAGTTTGCCAATGTGGCAGCCAGTCAGACACTCTACCAGTTCTAAAATACTCCAAGTTCAAAAACTTCTTTGGAAATTGGCATTCTTAATTAAATTAAATGTTAAATTTAAATTGTGGTTCATTAGGCATGTGCTTTAGGAGCAACTTATAGTTAGTAATATTTAACTTTATTAATATTCCTTGTCATATTGTAAACAACTATCTTTCCAAAAACATTTTTAACAAAATGGTATTTCATTACATAGAAACATTACAATCACAGAAATCTAAAACAAGCTAGAAAAATTAGTTTGTGCATTGACTTAGTCTCAAAATTCCATGCAGGCATAAAAAAAGACTCAGATTGTGCGAATACTGAAGTTGAAAACAAAACTCCCTCCACACAGCCTGGCAAAAGTGCAGCATTGTGTTTTTTTCCCTATTGCCAGATGAACCATGGCTATGGGCTTAATGTAAACATTCAGTTTCCTTACAAAAATCATTTCATCATATCGTCAATGTTCCCAATAGATGTAATGCGTTTCCATTTCATTGTGAATTCTAAATAATGAGCGCAGGTAAACCTTTGAGGTTCAGCTTGGCTTGAACCAGGATACACATGATTAAATGCTTATTCAAAACTCTTTCATCTGGAAGTCTTACAAGAAGGCTTGTTTTTGTTTTACTGCCTTTCTTAAAGTGTTTCAGTATTTCCAGTTTGACTTCCATCTCATACCAGAAGGTGAAAAGACATTGGAAATGATTGCTCTTTCAGTGAATTTCGAAAGAAGTTCTGGGTTTGATTTTGGGTAAATATTTGGCTTTGTTTTCAATTTCTGACCTGGATGGCTCAGCCTTTTGAGGTATCTTTATAATAGATATAATTTTATTATTCTGATGGTGACTATATTTGCAAAATAAATTAGAGAATTGAGCCAATTATCCACATAGTTCAAGCTGGAAAGTCATTTCGTCTTAATATTGCATGAAATTGAGCATTTGGGGAGGACATTTCTTTTAATGATTGCTTGAGTTCTTCACTTTGTATGAAAACAACTTTCGTTGCTGATAAAATTATTTCATATAGTTTTATTTTCTCATATATGGACTGAAGTCATTATGTATAAAAAAGCTTAGAAAATCTCCAATGAACCATTCTTCTACTTTAATGTATTCTCCCTCAGAGATCATTAAAATGTTGGAGAAGGTTATCATTAACTCGTTTCTTTCTTTCAGGTGGAATGATTTCATATAGCTTTTTTTTTTTTTTAACACAATGTAAGAACATTCTAAGGAGTGATCTATATGCTATGAATAAAAGGATGTATTGTAACAAATGCGGTGTCTCAGGTGATCAATTGCATAGCAACAGATAATGGTGAAACAAGTAATTTTTTTTTTTTTTTTTTTGAGACGGAGTCTCGCTCTGTGCCCAGGCTGGAGTGCAGTGGCGCGATCTCGGTTCACTGCAAGCTCCGCCTCCTGGGTTCACGCCATTCTCCTGCCTCAGCCTCCCGAGTAGCTGGGACTACAGGCGCCTGCCACCACGCCTGGCTAATTTTTTGTATTTTTGGTAGAGACGGGGTTTCACCATGTTAGCCAGGATGGTCTGGATCTCCCGATTTCGTGATCCGCCCTCCTCGGCCTCCCAAAGTGCTGGGATTACAGGCGTGAACCACCGCACCCGGCGGAAACAAGTAATTTCTTACAAGTTTCAGAAAGCTCTCACCAGCAAGAAATTTCAGCATTTACTATTAATTTGGAATTGTCGATTGTTAAGGAATCACCCCCTTAACTCTTGGAAATGGTAACACATGAAAACATAGACTCATACAATATTTAAACTAGATATTCCCTTAACCACCTCATCAGCTAGTCACACTAATCATGAATGAACTGTCAGATAGTTTTCCAGGCAGTGGTGAGCAGCTTTCAATAGTAAGATTCACAGGGAATATATTTTGGTGGAGGGAACTCTGCCCTGCGTAGTGTGCCGCAGAGCATCAGAGGATAAAATGGGGTTGCCGCACACCAGGGGACACACATGACCGAAAATAAAGAGGAGGGATTAGAGGAAGTCGTGGGTACCAGATTTGGTAACATCTTAGCTGGCTCTACATCAAGGAATGTAAATCTAGCTTTACTTTAAGTAGTTCGATTACCCAAAATAAAATTACCCCAATGATAATGCCCTGGTATGCTTCTTTTATGTGTTTCTATGCTGTTATAATGTGTATATTGATTATACTGCATGGATAACTTTTGGAGTGTTACACAACCTTTATCAATACTCCTTTAGAAATACCTCAATCAATATTCCCCTTTAAAAGGACATGAAATAGAATTTATTCAAATCAATGCTAATATGCTCTTATTTTAGGGAGATTTTTTTCCTTTTCTGGTTATTTCATTGGGTGTCTTTTAAATAAAGTTTTTGCCAATTATTTTCTTGTCGTAGTATATATTATTATTTTGGGTTTCAGGAGTTCGAATACATGCTTTGTTAATATTTCAGTTGTCCATAATTTCCCCCGTTCAGTATTCAGGCCTCTGATATTTCAATATTTCAAAATACTGCCTTCAAGTTTGTGCAACGTTGGCTATAAAAATACACAAAATAATATAAATTTATTTTCAAAAAAATAAAATGTATTAGATGCCAATAAAATATTATTTCAAGGAAAATAACTAAGAGAAATGTCTTGATTAATAATATGAAGAAAAGATGAAGAATAAATGTTTGCATCATGTAACATTTAAAATAGAATTCTTAGTTTGGTTCTGAGAAGTCCAGTCATAAAATGCTTGCATGTATTTCCTTAGTGTTGAAACCCAGCTATTTCACTATGATGGAAAAAATTCCACTGGTGATATGAATTCCTGAGCTTAAGGATAAACTATTAGATATGAAACCTCTAGAGATGATGAACTAGTTAGGCTTTTAGACTAAATAAATACTTTCATGATGGTTTGTGGAATGCGGCAATCAAAGGATTTCCATTGCTTTCCTTGGGAGATGGGTATCTCTTTAGGAATTCCAAAGGCAGCCTCTTACAACTTCATATCAATCAACCAAAAAGTAAATTTTTCTTCTTTTCCAATTTTGGTTTCTAAAAGTTATTTATTATTTTGGAGTCATATTCATTTTTGTTCAGGAAAGCAACAAGAGCTGTCTATTTAGGGTGAATGCAAACTGGAGATACGGAATAATAATATCACCCTATAATTAATAATCTTTATTTTGTAGCTTTAATGCTATTCTCTCACAGACCTGAATGCTATTTATGGTGAGGTGATAATAATAATATGTTATGCTTATTGAGCAATTACTATATACTAAGTACTGTGCTAAGCACCCTTTACATGCTTCCTCATTTAATTCTCACAGCAATCCTACAGGCAAGTATTTAAGTACTTGTATTAGAGAACTTAAGTAACATCTCAAAGGCACACCCTTAGACAGTGGCTAAGCCACGATTGGAATTCTGGCAGTGCATGTGATTCTAGCGTCCATGCTTTCAATTGCCGGGTTATACTGCCTCATAACTGTACCATTTATGGCTGTCTGAAAACTCAAGAATTAAGTGGGTCATCAAATTAAAAATTTTATCAAGAGGGCTGAAGGCTTGGAGAAAAAGGAAAGGGGAGAAAACAGAATAAAAAAAAAAAAACAAGAAGTAGTTTCCAGATCTCCTGAGCTGGGTTAGAGACTCCTATTCATCCATTGCTGTGCTGTGGTAGCATGGTCTTCAGGTAGAAGTCCTTTTGAACTTTCCTTACGGCACTTATGAAATGTGTCAGCACCTGAAATATGGACAGAGGCAGAAGTTTCCTCCTGCACTGGAAGGTGTGAAAGTGGCATAGCTGTGATTTGCGGATCTCTCCTACATCTTTCTATGGTTAGCCCATGGGGTTGGTTGGGGTAGGAGGTTCCAGACCCTGTTTACTCTTAGAAGGAGACTCAATGGCACCTGCCTTTCCTGGCAGTTGGCACTCTTTCTAATGGGAGTGGAAAAAAAGAGGTGCTCATCCATCTGGTGTCTTTAATTTCTTCTATTCTGTATTTCCTCATGTTTTGGGTTTTCATTTATAAAACCCCTCTGGATGATGAAAGACAATGGAAATTAAGTGAATCTCTCCAATAAACATTAAAAGCCTTCACCACTGTCTGTATAATATAAATTCTAACTGAAAAAGTTTAATTTAGCAGAGAGGACTTTCTTAAGATTCTATAGATTTATAAAATGCTATCTTCTGTTATATATTTTAAGTAAGAAAATTATAATCTACATTAATTTTTTTCTTTCTACATCTCTAACAAATAATGTAAGAGATTTTATAAAATGTTGATAGCAAGAGATACTGGAATTATAGGACCAAAGTAAATATTTTTAAATTCTTATCTAATACTGTAGCAAAGTAATTTATTAAAACTTTAAAAATTATTTTGTGTTGTTGCATTCAGTAATCAGCACAAAGTGGGCAATGACTCATAATAAACTATCAACAAAGGTGAACTACTCAAAATCAATAAAAATATTATACAGTATGAACATCTTCTTCAATCACTTGCATTATTAATGATATTATTTTGAACCAAATTTAACTAAGCAAAGCCATTGTATTAGTTGATTATAATTCAAAGTAGCAGAAATTGTACCTATATCTACCTAATTGTACCTACTTACTACATACATTTTTGAAGTGATGATCATTGATTAACTTTATATGTTGTAGCTTAATATTCTTTTGTATAAAACTGAAGTGATAAACTGGATAAAGGTCCTGGATCATTATCTTTTTTAAAGAATTAGCTTGTAGGGGGAAAAATGCCTTTGTAGTTTTCCTCGAGGTTAAGTAAGATGAGGGTTACAGCTGTCATGAGACCAAAACAAAGGTAAAAGATATAGGGCACAGGGGTCTACATTTTAAAGAGGAACAGAGAAGGCATGACGAAATATCAAGTGGTTAATAACAACCAATAAGACAATAACACAGGCCTTGTGTCTTGTACAAACCACAAAATGATGTAGCGAATGGAGACTTTATATTTTTTAGCCTAAAATATTTGGATAATTTATGTAAAGTCTTGTTTTGATCTATTTTGTTTTGTTGCTTAAATTATCTGTATAATTGATAAAATTATTAGCTCAGCTTTTGTGGGAAGATGCAGTCCATAAGCTGAGACAGAAATGCTAATTTGGGACACTAAATTAGAAATAAAAGTTCCAAGTTGAAAAATATTGAAGTAACATGCAACATTAAGAAGTTTATATTTTGGCAGAGGGACCTGGTTGTAATCTGTTTTAAAATAAATAGATTGTGTACAGCTGTCCCTATATCCCTGGCGAAATGATGATTTAATGTTGATTAAGAGAGAAAGCCTTTGAAGTGAGTGAGGCAGCAGCCCCGAGTATGTCTTTAGTGATCATTATCAGTCTTTTCCTGAAGGATGACTTGGTGCCAAAAGCTCTTTTCTCGCAACTGGTTAAGGTGGATTCAGGAGCGAAGGCTTTGTTAAGTCTGAAAAGGCCCTCTTATTCACAGGCCTCTGGTGTCTTATTCCTTTAGGATCGTGAATGTCTGAGAATAAGCAGATGCAGCCCTTTTCACAGAAGGGCAAGGTCCGCAGCTCCTCGGCATCATGGCATTATTTATTCATCATGAGAGCCGCGAGTGAACATGTACCCTGCAGAAAAATCAAATCAGTGTTCGGTTTCTCGAGCAGCTGCGTTTGGCAGAGAAAAAGCATTTGGATCTAACTTTGGTAACTGGACAATTATAGGCGTTATTAAATTGGAGATGCAAATGAGTAACCATGTTTTCTTCCGAGTTTGTTCTATTTCACTTGTAGTGCTTAAATTAAAACCAGCTCAGCATTTGTAAAAGCTGATTCCTGAAAGCTTAGAAAAGTTCTGTGCTTGTCTATATACCAGTAGTTTCACTAAAAACATTTACATATTAGTTAACCCCAAAGGACCAAATTTGCATTTATTCATGTTTACAGGTTTCAATGGTTTTAGCCCTGAAGTCATTGTGTCCTTAGATACCTAACACTGAAGATTTGCTCACAGGTGGAGATTCAGATAGAAAAAAACACACAAGCTTAGAAATGTTAATAAGTATCTCTATGCATTATAAAAATACCTACAGATAATTTAAAGCCTGAGTAATTTGTTTATATATTTCCCGATTTGTGGAATAGACTAATATTACATCATAGTCCGAGAACTTTTTATAAATTGCCTAGTTTTTAATTTCAATTCTTCCATTTACAAACTCTGGGACCTTGAACAAATTATTTTACCTCAGTCTCCTCACTATAAAATGGAGACAATAATAGTGGTACCTCTTAAGTTGTTGAAAGCGTTAAACAAATCAGTACATGTTAAATAAATTAATATACATGCTTAGGATAATGCCTGACAGTAATTGCAATTCTGTAGATGTGTGTGCATATGTATAGATTGAATGTAGTTTTATCAAACAGTAAATTGGCATATAATAATAATCCCTCATTATCTGTCTACCTTTCCCTCCATATTTCAGTTCAATAGAATTATTGTTTTATTCACTTTGTAGTCCACAACGCTTATCGATTTGTGTTGCTGCAACATGCTAGTGTACATTTTATAATAAATATTGTGGCTTTTAGACTGTTCAATGTCTATCCTGATTTGATGTGTCCAAAATTCAAAGCTTGCGAATTTTTTGGCTAGTATTTTATCCACACATCTTCATTATTGGAAGTCTACTACAAGACATGAAAAACAATCAAAAATTACTTAATGTAGGTGAAATCATAGCAAAGTAAAACTGCCAAGCCAGACAGCAGGAGAGCAGCCCCAGGCTTCCTGTCTTCTGCCATGGACATCCACCGTCACACACGCCACACATGCCACACACACCGTCTTCACCAAATTCAAATAATCAATCCCCACTAAATTCCTTGAAGTGATTGGCTCTTTTATTCAGGCTCTGTCCATGGGGCATAAATCTCTCCTATACATTTTAAGTATTTTTCAATGTCTTTACTTTTATATAGTTTATTTCTTGTCCACAACAACTAACCCCCCTACTTAATTTTTTCCCATTTGCAGCATTTTTGGCCTCCTCTCTAAATTTGTCATAACTCCATTTTACTTTCACTTTGAGATTAAGCTTGAAGCATATTACTATGTAAAATCCCATCCAAGAAAGTGTGTATTGCTGAGCTGTCTACAAGATGTGCTTAAATTGTGGAATGCTGAGCATTTTATTATGTACAAATGGAAACATTTTAGAATTACACGCAAATTAAAATATTAGCGCATCTGGAGTCCCTTTGTGGGCAAGTGAAGAGAGGCTGCAGTTTAAATCTGTGCGGCACTGGTGGCAAATGTGATGTTCTATGAACAGCTCTTAAAATTGCTGTCTGTAATATTATTAACATTTTGTATGATTCTTGGATTTCTCTTAATGATATCACATACTTTTGTGTTTTCATATGGCCTCATAAAATTTGATTTCATTTGATTTCTGTTTTATTTAGCATTTTAAAAATTAATTTAAAATGGAAGCTATTTTATCCTTATTAACCCCTTTTACATTTTTACATGTTCTAAAGAAAACCCAAATTATTATTTAAAAAATACATGCAATATGGAATTGAGGCTTATTACCTCAACAAATACATTTTATTTAAGAGATATACATTGGAAGATGATTCAGACCTTCTTTGTTTTAACTAGATATAAAGGATAAATGATTTTTTAACTATCCAATGATTTAAAAAAAAAGTTCAGCAATACAAATTCCACATCTGCTTCAACTGCAGACATATAAAACCAGTGTGACACAAAAAGGATCATTAAACAATCTGATTTTCTTGTTGGGAGGGTTTAATGCTGTTGGGCATAGTATTAAAATGTAGAATTTGATAGCATGTCTTAAACTTTTAATGATGTGTTCATGAATATAAAACATGCTTCTCCCAGTGACTTTATGGCTTCTTCTCTGCATAATTAGTGGTATCTGTTTTATGAGCTTACTGTTGTTTCCTTGATCCCATGAAAATGTGAAACCACTGTAATGATTTACACCATTCCAGAGCTTTAAAGATACGAGCTGTTTCTTAAAATAAATAACAAAAAAAAATCCAAAAGTATAATCCTAGAATTAAAGTCATAGTGGGATCTTTGAATGTTAAAAAACAAACAAAGAGGATTTGTACATAAATACATTTTCAACATTTTGTTTGGTAATATCTGATTTTCAATAAACACTAATATAGAATATATTCACCATTTATTACTTACACAAAGCTCTCCTCTTATTATATATATATATATATTTTTTTCTTCCTCATGGTTGAAACATTTGGGAAAAATCTCTTTGGAAAAATGTACAAATAATTGTTTGGATCATTTGCAATTTGGGGGAGTTACTAATTGAAGTAACAAAGAGACATTCATTACTAAACATTAAAGATCCACAAAATTCCAAGTAAATTATATTATTAATTCTTTTAAAATTGTCATTAGTAGAAGCACAAAAGAGTGTCTGTACTGTTGACTTTTAGACTTAAACTGATTATTTTACTTGTCATAATAGAGTGTATATTATTTAACCAAATATAACTTTGTCATATTGCCTCAATAACTGAAATAACCTTGATCTTTTTTATGATTTCCATTATTTGGTATCCTGAAATGTAACTTTCTCAATGATCCTCAATTATTTTATGTTTTTTTTTTCTTAGTTTGATTACTGGTAGGAAAATTTTATACACGAATAAATTATATGTTATATATTCATGTAAAAATTGTATCCAAAACAGGAAAATAACAAATAATTGGCATAAGTTGCATGTATGTTTGGATTATTGCTAAGCTTTTTCTGTTGCTGTCGAAATGGAGCTGTGGCTGTATGTCTCAGAAGAGTGTCTATAATCAGCCAGGTTTCCCACCGTAAAACAATTGGTTTGGATTCTCTTCTTTGATTGGATTGACTTTTAAAGTATAAAGTGTCAGTTATTTGATGCCTCATGCAACCTATGTAAGCTTAAAAAAGTTTTTGTGGCTAAGGTAAGTAGTTACTTCTTAAGGTAACACTGACTTAGTAAGATGATACTTAACAGACTTAAAATGTTGTGTTTTCATTATATCCACTAAATAAATATAGCATTCTAATTATTAAATTTTAAAATAGAGATATTTCACCATCAGTGATTCTTATAATTTGAGGACTTGCATTACTTTCCTTCTGTTTTAGTAAATAATTTGTTTTAAAGTTATCTTGAAGTTGTTTGGTAGAAACAATCACAATTGTAAGAAGTGGAGCAAACGTCACTTTAAACAACACAAACATGTTAATGACTGTAAAGCAAATATTGGAAATGCGAATCCATTTTCTATTTGGATTCTAGTGAAGATGATTTCCAGTGGAAAAAATCATTTCCAATAAATTGAGTTAAAAACTTTTTGATGTACAGGCCATTAAGATAGAAGTATGGCCCACCCATTCTAGCTGTCTATTCCTGGAAGTATTTTAAAACATTTTTTTTTGCAACATTTCTCTAGTTTTTGTGCTGTATCAACCAAAGGCAATATTCCAGTGCCCAAAGCCAAAAAGATGTCTTGCTTTTACACTAACAGCTTGATTTCCACCCATCATTTATTTGGAGTTTTACTATAATAGCACATTTACTAATAGCACATCTGAAAGTTTCCCTTTTGAAATTTAAAGAGATTAGTGTCCTACATTTATTTAAAGGAAACATACTCCAAATTTAGTGACATTAAGATCAAACAAATGTGTATGAGCTTTTATTTTTTGGCCCCAACCTACAAGAATTTATTTTACTACTCTTTAACCCCCTTCTATATGAACATTTAGTAGTCATTGTTCACGTTCACTGCAATACTCCTTCAATCCATCCAGTTCCTGATCTTAGATCCTAAATTAGCAGTTTTAACTGTGATTTGAGAATCAATAAGGAGAAAGACAAATGCATTGCAAGTGAAATTTGGGTTCAGTTGTAGTTGAAGTGGTAGAATTCTATAATAAAAAATTATCCTCAGGTCACTCACACCTTGGGTTCAAATGCAAATTTAAATGATAGAAATGACTTACATTTAGTACCTTATGAGGTTTTAATTTTAGCCAGTCCTTTTTTTTTTTGAGACAGAGTTTCACTCTTTTTGCCCAGACTGGAGGGCAATGGTGCAATCTCGGCTCTCTGCAGCTTCCGCCTCCTGGGTTAAGTATTCTCCTGCCTCAGCCTCCTGAGCAGCTGGAATTACAGGCACGCAACACCATGCCTGGCTATTTTTTTTTTGTATTTTCAGTAGAGACAGGGTTTCACCAAGTAGTCAGGCTGGTCTTGAACTCCTGACTTCCGGTGATCCGCCCACGTCAGCCTCCCAAAGTCCTGAGATTACAGGCGTGAGCCACCGCGCCCTAGCCAGTCTTTTCTTGTTAAACTACCATATTATCTCATTTTCTAATATGTACTAGTTTTCTCTCATACAAAGTTCATATATATTAAAAACATAATCTTCCATCACACATATGCTTTTTAACTTTTCTAATCCAGTAATTATTTTTGGAACAGCTCTTATATTCAATTTTTTAAGCACCAAAAAAGATGTTGAAAAAAATTACGAAAGTTAACTTCTTGTCAACACTGATATGAGGTCATAAACCTGAGCATGGACCTCCTGTTCCCCAAGCAGCAGCCTAATGAACAAAGCACCAAAATTTCCCAATAGTAAGTCAGAGAAGTAGAACCATGTCTTATTCAGCATCTATTGCAGTGTCTGGCACATGGTACATTTTCTTTTCTTTTGAGATGGAGTCTCACTCTGTCTCCCAGGCTGGAGGGCAGTGGCGCCATCTCAGCTCACTGCAACTTCCACCTCCTGGGTTCAAGTGATTCTCCTGCCTCAGCCTCCTGAGTAGCTGGGATTACAGGCGCGCACCACCATGCCTGGCTAATTTTTGTATTTTTAGTAGAGATGGGGTTTCACCATGTTGGTCAGGCTAGTCTTGAACTCCTGACCTCGTGATCTGCCTGCCTCAGCCTCCCAAAGTGCTGGGATTACAGACTTGAGCCACCACACCCGGCCACATGGTACATTTTCAATATGTTTCTGGCTCATTAGTGTATGAATAACGTAATTTCTTCATCTTTGTATCCCTTGAACGAGCTTAGTGCCCATAAGGGCTTATGTGAGATAATCAATATAACCACCTGTTAGACCCTCAGAACTATATGCAGTTCTCTTGGACCTCATGCTGTCCCACCTGTGTGCATTTTATTCCCCCTACCTGGAAGAAAGCAACTTTCCATGCCACCTTAACTTCTAAACATTATCCTACTCTCTGCTTCAGAAATTGCCCCCAAATTCACACTTTTTGAAACCTTATATTTTATTTGAAGGAAAATTAGAAAAATACACTTATTAATTAAGAAAATATTCCTAGACTGAGAATCACATGAAAGCAAGGACAAACCATTCAAATGGCCATTCGAGGTGGTGGCTCATGGCACTGCTAGCCCATGATGGGATGGCTGTGGTTGATCCATCCTTGCAGAGACACTATACTCTCCAGCTGCACAGAATGAAGATCTCGCTCACATCCCTCAAAACCCATGATGAGAACCAGAGGTTGATGGTAGACTCCTATGAGCACCTAATATTTGGTGAATGAGAAGAGTATACATCAGAAAAGAGGCCATGATACATGAAAATGGCCCATACTCCCCTAGACTTGGCATCTAGTGAACCCCAAAAGCCCTACATCATTAGAACCTCTTGAATTCTGCATATTTTCTCATTTATCTGGTCTTTCCTCTCTTAATTGTGTGACCTGTCTTATAGGACTGTTTCCCGATTGCTGCTTCAGCACCTTTGGTTGGTGCCTGGCTAGGGCCAAAGGCACACCACATGGATGATGGGCTTTGAGTAAGGAAGGACAATTAAAAGGAGGGTATTTCATTTGCTGAAGCAAGAGATAAAAGTCCAAGGACATTAGTGGGAATGGAGAGAAGTGGGCAGATTTGAGAGCATTTAGGAAGTGGTATCTACCTGGCACGGTATATTTTAGACCCAAATACACTGGTGTTAACTGAAACTTTAAAAAGCAAATGTTTCTTTTACAAAATTTTTGTTTTGAAATATTTTCAACTGAAGACAAAAGTAGAGAGAGTAGAACAATGAATCACATTTAATACCTTTTCCAGATTATGCAGTTAAGATTTTGCTACATTTGTTTTATCTATTTTTTTTAGTTGACGTTTAAAAAGAACTCAGTAATTATATCACTTTACCCCTCCATACTAATGCATATGGGTATAAGCACAATCTAACCAAATAAAAAGAAGAGTAATATCATATCTTTTAATATGCAGTCCATAATCAAATTTACCTGTCTGAAAAATGGCTGGAAATACAATTCATACAAGAACGGTGCAAAGGTAATTTATACATTTAAGTCAGCTTAAATCTTGATTTTCATATTTTAACAATGAAGATTTGGTGCTCTAGTTATTTCCTATGCTGCCTACAGGTTGTTTTGAGTTGTTTGGTTTTTCATTTATTTGCAGTATTACAGAAACATAAACTTTTAAAATGTATATGTATTCAATGTGTATTAATTGATTTCATTTACTTTTTTGATGCCCATGTTGTCCCAATTTTGGCCATTGGAAGCAGTTTTTCTTAATTAATGCTTATTATCTGAATATTTTCCTTTAATACAGATGGTGTGAATGTAAAATACAAAGCATTGTATATGACTACCATAGAACTTGGTTAAAGAAGAAACAGTGGGCTGGGCGCAGTGGCTCACGGCTGTAATCCCAGCGCTTTGGGAGGCCGAGGCAGGCGGATCACGAGGTCAGGAGTTCGAAACCAGCCTGGCCAGCATGGTGAAACCCCATCTCTACTAAAAATATAAAAATTAGCTGGGCGTGACGGCACACGCCTATAGTTCCAGATACTCCAGGGGCTGAGGCAGGAAAATCACTTGAACCCAGGAGGCGGAGTTTGTGGTGAGCCGAGATGGCACCACTGGCTCTCCAGCCTGGGCGACAGAGTGAGACTCCATCTCCAAAAAAAAAAAAAAAAATAAAAGAAGAAACAAGAAACAGTATGTTCCCCATGATCCACACATGATCCCAAACAATTTGTGATCATTATTTCAGCTTCAAAACTTTGTTAAGATTTTGATTAAAATTAAATAGTTCGGGCAGATAAAATAACCAATTTAAAATACTTTTGGATATTGTTACATTTGACAGTTCTAAGCTTTGTTAAGAAAATTTCCTACAAGATCTGATGTTCAATTTTTCCTAAAAAAAAATGGTGAGCTTCTATGTCTACAATCATGTCAGATGTTCTATACGAATCCCTTCTTTTGACCAAAGCTGCTAGTCTAGATATTCATTTTAGATAATCATTGTTTGATAAATCTATAAGAAGTAGAACGTGAAACCAAATTAAGCACAAAGGCCTGTGTAACTGGAGCCTCACCTTGCACTCTAAAAGTATAATTCATTTACTCCAAACAGTCCTCCTAATTCAGATACGCAAGATCCCCACTTTCTAAGTAACAGAAAGTTCATAAATCCACTCAAATCCCATCCCAGTTTCCAAGCCTTCCCTGTTAGCTGCCGAGTTCCATCGTAACTCTGATTGTCAATGGCAGTGGAGGGTAAAGGGCAGCTTAGTGGAGGTGTGTCTAAATCATGAGAGCCGGGTGTGGCTCCCAACTCCCCACATTGCCAGCATTCTGCCGCTCCCTGTAGAAACTCATCTTCAGAAGGTGAGATGCTCATTTCTTAACCTGATGTTCCATGAAAGGCATGCTAGGTTATGAGGCTAGGGCCCTGTGGTGTAAAGCTTTTTCAATTTCCTCTTGGCTGACAGTACAGATTTTGATGGGGGCAGGCCAGTGGCCCTAGGCACTGAGACACCTTTCTTGGTAGAAAGGATCACCTCCGCAGTTGTGGGGCTCCTCAGAGATCAGCAGCAGCTGAGTGTCTCCAGCAGGAGGTGTGGGTTACAGGAAAGTGGAAGGGGTGCTGCCAGCAGGGCAGCGTGTTCTCTGAGGTTTGGGAATGGAACTGTAGAGGCTGGGGGTGAGAGTGGACTGTGCTGGCTCTCTGATCTCTCGGCTCCTGATGGAACCAGAACAGCCCCAATTGCCATGGGTCTTCCAATAAGGTTATTTCCTTAGTTGCAAGTTCAGGTGAAGGGCTAATGCTTTCTGTGAGGCATGAATCCAAAAGGTTACAACTCCTGGTGATCAGCTTAAATTCACGACCATATTTCAGGTCACAAACTGGGCTCAGGGGTGCAGTGACTCCATATACTAATCTACGTCAGTCCCCCACAGACCCAAAGCCAACATCCCTGATGTCTCCTTGCTGATCAACTTAAAAAGTGGTGAGGAAGCATGGATTTTAAATGAGCATGATATAAAGTAGCTTGTTACACACTGCTTGAGGCTACTTGCCTTATACCTATTTTTCTAAGGAAGGTGAACCATCAGTACTGCAAACTGGAAAAACAGAACTATGAAAATTAAACTTCAAGGCAACATATTACAGCTATAATGCATGCTTTTCCCTTCACTAATTGAAATTTGACAAGCAATAGCAGATTTAGGGGGTAGATAGTGCTGCCTTTGTAACATTCTTTTATATCATTTCAGAGAATCATAAAGACTAAAGGTTAAAATGGAGAATTTAAAGGTTCTTTTCCATTTAAAATACTGGGGCAAAATGATATTTGTTCTTCAGGTCTAACATACACTCCATTTTATTTATTCAAAGATTAAAAATAGCTTTTCTAAATCAGGTAGTTGAATCATATGAAATTGCTGTTTTTGTAAGGCAAAAATAGTTAAATTGTGGCAATTTCATAGTTCAACTCACATATGGACACCATATTTATTTACTAGCCCAAAAGTTATGAATACATGGTTTGATGCCATCTTTTTCTTAATAAAGCTTACTTGAATTTATTTAATTAAATGAAAGTTTAAAATAAAACATTTTATTAAAAGATGACATTATATAAAAATAAAAGAAAAATACATCTGATATATATCAGCCATAATATGTGACTCATTTAGGTGCTGTTGAAATTGATGGCCTATTGTGCTGTTTTTCATTATTTGGAGGACTCGGCAGCTCAGTGAAGCTCCATTCTTTTCAGTGATTTCAAATATTTCTTGGCATGTCTCTGCAAAACTCATTTTTACGGTTCTATCAGGCCCTGGTGACTTTTTGACCCTTCTCACTACCTCTGATTGTAAAATTAATGAGCAATTACTTTTGATCATTGGATTCTTAACAGGCACTGAAAGGGAAAGGTGTCTATTTTTTCATGTTTGGGATCTTGATTTTCTCTCAATGAAAATTGTTGATTATCTTCAACCATACCAACCATAGATGCTTATACTTTGTTTCATTCAGAAAACAATTTTTCATGATGTCATGATTTGGAGGAGTAGCATTTCTTAAAAAGGGTATTGTATGGCTAAGGTTTCCAAAGTTTCTATTCCTTCTCTTAATTACTCCATTCAAGGCTGTTTTTTTTCCTACCTGAATCTAGGCCAGGAGGTATTGTGGTCAGTTTTACAGAGCACTAGATGAGTGTTGCCCAATGTAGCTGTGTGCGGTGATGAAAATGTTCTTCATCTTTGCTGCCCAGTACAGTAGCCATGAGCCACATGTGGCTACTAAGCACTTGAAATATGGCTTGAGTGAATGAGGAACTAAATTTTTCATTTCATTTCATTAATTTAAATTTATATTCATATAGTCACATGTAACACAGCAAAATGCACAAGGCAAAAAAGTGAGGATCCCTCTAAGTGCAATCAACTACGTCCACTGGCTTCGGAATTGACTGTATGTGAAAAAATACAGTGGGAGAAGTAAGTACCCTCTGATCTATTGTCAGAGGGGCTTATGCTCCCAGTTTTCTACTCAGTTTATTTACCTTCAAAACGTTTCTGACTATGAAGGATTCATTTTAATATCTGGTCAGAAAAGGGCATGATTCATTTGACTGGAACATGTGAAACTCAACAGAATGTAAGAGCGTAAATTGTAAAGGAGTAGTACTGACTTAGAAAAGAGATGTTATGCATATCATCGGCCTTGATTTCATTATCTAAAATGCAATGGTTGGCTTAAATGGCTTTTAATGTTTCTTCTAACTGTAAGATATAGTGTATTAGAATGAGATAGTAGAGTCAGTTACCTGCCTGTTCTCTTCCTTAGTATACTCTCTGCATGCTCCAGCAACTCTACCCCAAATAGAGAATAGATTGAAAGGATCTATTCCTTTCAAGCCTGGAGGCAAGAGGACCATCTAAGGTGCTGGGCAATAACATGTGTGAAAGAATTTTGGGGATGGGGGCGTTGAACTAGGAAACTGTGGCAAAGGGGATGGTATTAAGTGGAAAGACTCAGGAAATGTTTAGGAGATGGGTAAGCAGGACTTGTGAAGGGTTTGGTGTTTAGGCAGGGATGGGAAGAGTAAAGAGGAGAGATAAATATGCCACTATGTTTCTGGCTTGTTCAATTTTATGAATGGTAATGCCATTTAAATATTGGAGGAAGTGCAGATTCTGAGGAGGGAAATAACAAAATTTTGCTTTAGAGATCTTAATTTTTGGGTATCTGTTGAAGATAGAGAAAGAGAAAATTCTAGGATGGAGACACAGATTTAGGATTTATTAGCATGTTAAGATGGTATGCAAAGCATTAAGCATCAGTGGACTTACATAAGGAGAGAAGAGAGAGACAAGTGAGAAGAAAGCTGAGTGCAGGAACACTAGCAAGGAAGAGATGCATGCAGAAGGAAACTCCTAAAAAGGAGCTGAGAAGAAGGGGATGGAGAAATAGGAGGCAGAAAAGTGAGATTGGTGAGGAGTCCATCGTAGTCAGGAGTTAAATAACATTCTCAAGCTTCTGTCTTGGAGGCTTCATTTTTGTTCCCCCAACCAAGATTAAGAATAAGCGGGGGAGGAAGGGGACATGGATGGGATGTAGAAAATTAGTGCTTTGTTTTGGACTCATCAAGCTCCAGGTTTGTGAGACATACAAATAGAGCCATGAATATTTGGATCCCCAGATAAAATGAATCTTGGTCCTATAGTAAAAAATATGGCGAAATATACCCTTGATTTAAAAATATTTTGTTGGGACCTTACCATGACATTCTTTACATTGTCTGGAATATCGTATCTATCTCTATTGTCACATTTCTTAAGTTATCTTGAGTAAAACTACAATCCCTCTCACATAAATAGATACACATACTAACAAACAAACAACCAAAACACACTCCTGGTGAAGCACAGAAAATGTTTTTCTTTGTAGAAGCTGAAATCAGGAACTTGGGGTCTGACAGATCCAGGTTTGAGTACCAGCTCTGCCACTTACATACAGAGTGACCTTGGGCAAGTCAGTCCCTCCAGTCCAGGCTAGTAATATTCAATATTACAGGGTGTTTGTGAGAATGAAATTAGGTGACATATGAAAATGATCTAGCATGGTAATTTGCACCTGATCAATGCTCGGTAAATAGTGACTATTATTATTATTTAAAAATCATCAGGCACAAAATTGTAATTCTTTACACTTGCCTTAATTACCTCCACATTTCATCATGACAGTTATATTTTCTACCACCCTGCTGCACTCTTTAAACTCCTTCCAGTATTAGCATCATTCTGTGCACAACAAACTCAAGAGTTTATCCACATGTACAATTTGTTTTGGGGAGAAATACTATCTGTGGATGACAGTGGAAGGTTAAGATTGCAGAGGAGATAGAAGGAAACAATAAATATCACCATGTCTTCGGCTTGTCTTCAAGCTGTGGACAATCCAATTGAGGAATCAACAAGTGCTCTTTCCTTTAAAGTTCTAAAAATATTTGACAAAGCAATGCATCCACAAGCAACCTAATGTCAGACAAGCTAGCTACTAGTTGGATAGAAAAGTGTGAAATGGCTCCCTTCCTTCCATATTAAACTTGCTGATGCCTTAATAAACACCACCCCCCAAGATTGCTGTTCATTCAGCTTTGTCTAGAAATCCAGTGACTGTAATCACTTCATTATTTCCTCCAACATCTGGAAGGATATGTGGATATAGACCATTATCAGAAAGATGATTTTACTGAAAAATAATCTTAATGTTTGCTTATTATAAAGATGCATAGAATCTGGAAAGTGCTGCCAAGTGTTTTTCCATCACAGCACCTTTTAGTTCAGAGAGTTCACTTCAAACAGAAGTCAAGGGGCCATTCTCCTGTTTTTTTCTACCCATCTGCCTACTCCATCCCTTGCTCCAAGGTCCTGGCTTCTGTTTAGTAACATGCTAAGGTCAAAGGCTCTGAGACTTTTATTCTTGGCTCCATTTATAGGAATAGATAAATTCATCCTAGGAACAAGCTCAGGTTGTCTTTGGAGATTTTTCCAGAGTGAACTATTCGAACAGTAAAAATATCAATGACAATGAAACAAACATCTTTCTCTAAATTTTACCATGTCTAATTGTTTAACTTCAGTGTGTCATTATGCTAAAAGTTCTTCCTTACTATGGGTGAAGAAGGGAAGGAATGAAGTGTTTGAAGGAAATTTAAAATTTTGTCCTGCCACATAATACGCTGGAAATGAAGGGAATAACATCCTCTGATTCTTGCCTCTGGCCTCACTGAAGAGACTTCCTAGCTGTTGCCCAGCTATCAGAAGTGTTTCATAACAGTATGAAAAGAATTTTGTTGTCCATACTCTAAAAAAAGCATGAGGAAAGCAATGTTTTGTAATAGTTCCAAATGAAGTAGAGGCTGCTCCCTTTGTGACACTCTACTATTGAGAATCCACAGCTCCTTAGCAATGAGACATAGGAGGAAGATAGACTCATCTGGTCCCAGTATTAATAATGCACTGTTTAAATTAACACAGTACATTCAGTTCAATCAAGGGTGTTAAAGTGCCTACTATATGCTAGTCATAGTAGTAAGTCCTAAGTTTAACAAAGAAAAGGTCCCTGCCTGCTGTAATTAACAGTCTAGTGAGATAGAAAGACAAGTAAACATATCATTTAAAGGCTTAAATAGAGGTGTTATAAGGTACTGCGTGAAAAAATGAAGTGTTTGGATATGTTTGTATGCATGTCTTTGGGGGAGGTTGGAGGCTTAAAGGATGTCTGGACAATGTTAAGAAGGGAGTTGAACAAAGAAACAAATACATTGATAAGCATGTTCTAGAAAATTCTCTCTCTTATATTTGTGAGTTTGCATCAGGGGAATGTCAGCAATATTTACCATGAATCTAATTGCCAGTCCCTCTGTGTGTTCATAGAATGCTAATGTGTGTACTATCCCATTCCTATGCTTGACCCATTTATTTTCTAATCTCCAGTTTGGAGAAGGAAATACTAATTTTACCCCAAGCATAATTTCATCTGTGACACACTGTGTTGTCAACAGTGAAGATGCAATCTGGGTAGAGAATATAACCTTAAGACAGTCTTCTTAGAGCAAATAAACATGTTCTTGCATTAACCACTTATTCTCTTTGGAGAGCTAATTACTCTTCCCTCAGCTGGCTGGGGCTGAGGGTGAGGGGCAAGGCTTTGCTGCAGAGAAAGTCAAATATCTGACTAAAAAGACTTTTCATCTATGTATCTGATACTTTTTAAACAATTTGCATCAGCTAAGTGTTATGGGTTTTCCATCACATTTGGAATAATGAAAATATTATGGCTGGGCACGGTGGCTTACACCTGTAATCCCAGCACTTTTGGAGGCCGAGGTGGGTGGATCACGAGGTCAGGAGTTCGAGACCAGCCTGGCCAACATGGTGAAACCCAGTCTCCACTAAAAATACAAAAAATTAGCCGGGCGTGGTGGTGGGCACCTGTAATTCCAGCCACTCGGGAGGCTGAGGCAGGGGAATCACTTGAAGCCAGGAGGCAGAGGTGGAAGTGAGCCAAGACTGCACCATTGCACTCCAGCCTAGGCAACAGTGTGAGACTCCATCTCAAAAAGTAAATAAATAAATACATAAAATAAAATAAATAAAAAAGAAAATCTTATATTTTAAGAAAATTTTATTTCTTTTTGAATTAAAACAAAATGTTCACACTTTAGTCGCTAAGTTACAAGGACAGATTAGTTAGTAGGAGATTATGTATTCTGGATAGCCCAGATTAATTGTTGCTTTTAATGCCCTTTCTAAATCTGATTCACAGATGTATATCATTATGGATGTATATTATTAGTGAGAGTGGGAGAAAGGGGCAATTATACTTCACAATGTCTGAAAAATATTGCTACATAATTCCAAACTATTTCTTTTTCTCTTGGAGGAATACTTTACTTGATTTCAAAGGGGAATTTGTGGACATTCACGTAAGTTAGAAAAATACATCACAAATATGCACCACTGCAGTTCACAGAAGTTAAGAATTGTAATCTAGGGACTCTCAGCAGCAGACATCCAATAATGCAAAGCAGTAATAAAGAAAGGCTTGCAATGAAGCACGGACTCTGTAAAATGTGACTGGAATGAGGCTGAAAGTGTAGAAGGCATGTTGTGTCATCCGGCGTTTAATCAGTGAAGATGGTGGCCTGACTTTGTCACAAGGAACTGCATTAGATAAGAGTACCCTGATTATGTGGTCTATTGCATACTTTGAAACATGGAATTGAAGAGCTAAGAGTTCATCTATTCTGGCCCTTTATGGAGGAAACTGAGCTCCAGGGTGGTTAAGTGACCTGGTCGAAAGAGAAGGAAAGATATCCTGCTTCTGACTTCAGGGCTCTTTAAAGTTCATCATATTTCTTAATGCCATTGGTGGATGAAAAATTAAAACATAGACCTGGTATTTACATTTTAACTACTGTGTAGTTTGCCAAATCAAGATTCCACTATGTTAATGAATTCATCTGATTTTCTAAAGAAAGGCAAAGTCGCTTTGTCGAGTTAAAAGGAATCAACTTAATTTCCGCCACTAGGTGGCATGATGCATTTTTTTTCCCCCTCTGGACACTTTTTGAAAAGGAATCTATCCCTCTCCCTACACCACACACACACACGCACGCACGCACACACACGCACGCACGCGCACACACACACGCGCACACACACGCACACGCCCGCGCACACACTCTCTCACACACACACAGAGATTGGAGAGAGACAGGAGAGAGACATGTTTTCATCTATCCTTTGTGGACTTCTGTTGTTTTTACTGCTGTGAAATTTGACTTGCGATATCTGCTTGTAAAACATCATCAAATCCAAATTCATTATATTCCACTTTTTCTATTACATGGTTTCTGCTTCACTGATTCATATCTGTTTTACCTATTCTGTAAGGGAGGAGAAGCTGCGTTAGGTTTCATCTCTTGTTTAAGTTCAGTTTAATAAATAGTAGATAATGCCTCTTCTCTTTTTTCCTTTTGAAGAGGAGAAAAAGGAAAGAATTGTAGTTGATTCTTATGTAGCAACTTATTCATTCATTCAGTAGCTATAGAAGCGAATTGTTTTGTAGGTAATTATTAACGATGCTTTGGATAATTCCCTAGCTAACTATTCCTTCTTTTCCATCCCAGAAAGCAATGAAGAGAAAAGCTGAAGTCAGTGATTAGGAGTGTCTGTGTAAGTAAAAGCAACAGGCAATTACTGAGTGTGGTGTGAGAGGCACGGAAAGATTGGGAATTCAGCAAGAAGAGGAATTGAAGTCAAACCTCACCTACTTCCCAGAGTCTTCTGGATTTTCTGTTAGAAGCTTCAGTATCTGAGGTAAGGAAAAGAAACTGCAGGACTTACAGAATATACCCTTTCCTTTCCATCCTCTGTATTACTTAATAGGTATTTTGCTTTGTTTTCATTTTTTCATTCCTCCTCTTATCTTCTGCCTTAATTTTCAACTCCATATTACTAAGTGGCATGGTTTTCAAGTTTTCTGTACAGTGTTTTACTATTTTAAATAAAAAAAAATTTTTAGTTTTAAATTGATTTATTTTTCTTTTAAAATTTTAGATTCAGGGGCTACACATGCAGGTTTCTGACATTGAACCCATCACCCAAATAGTGAACATAGTACCCAAAGGAAGTTTTGCAACCCTTGCCCTCTTCCTCCCTCCACACTTTTGAAGTCCCCAGAGTCTACTAAGAAACATCTTTTAGAAAGTAAACAAGCAAATACTTTTGTGGAAGAGCCAGACACTTCAAATGAATTTTGTTCTCAATCCCATCAACATGGGTTTTTAAAAACACTAATACACAGAATCACTCCTGACCAATGGATTCATCATCTCTGGGGCTGAAGGAGGGGCAATTGTATCTTTTCAAAGATCTCCAAAATATCTTGATGTACCCTGAGAATGGAGACTTTCTGAAATGCAGCAATATGCCATGTGTCATTTTTTTCCCTTTAACCAGCATCCTGGTCTTGCGCCATTTTCCTAGTGACTCATGCTTGAAACACAGCCATCTTGGTTCTCCCCTCTGTTGTTCTTGTGTGTAGTTAGTTCCTAAGTTCCGCGTCTTTCATCTCACTAATGTTTTATATCTTTCCACTTTGTCACATCGCCATTACCATCACCCCAATTCAAAGTTTCCCACCTTTCTCTTTTCAACACAGATGTATTTGACTTCTTTTTCCGATGTTTAAATTTACAATTTTTGTTACACTTTGGAATCGCAAAATAACAAGAGAAAAAACATTAGGAGAGGAGAAAGTGATATTATCATGAATAATAAAACTCTTGTTTCATGTGTAGCACAAATGAAAATCACCCCCAAATCTTTTTCTTCAAAAGGAAGGAAAATCAGCATCTGAGAGGGTTGAAAAATAAGTTCATTTTTTTCCCTTGCAAAGTTACTGAATTGCCACCTACTGGTTTTACTATAAGAGTAAGAGCTATATATCTCTTGTTCATCATTGTATCCCTGGGAAAAGCAAAATGTCTTGTTTTATTAATTAAAATTTTATTAGTTGCAAGTAACAGGAGCCATCCTGACATAGCTTATACAAAACAGGTAATGTATAGTTAAGCTATAGAGCACAGTGGTAGAATTCAGGCTGGTCTAAGGAAATAATTGCAGACAGGCCATGGAGAGGCTTCAGGGTTTTACGTTTTGGGGGTGCTTATTTTATTTTTCCTCTTTGCTCTATACTTTTTTGGGCTTCTTAGGTCAATGTGGCATTACATAGCTGCCAATGCTTTCAAGTAGGTAGAGTACAATTTCAGTCATGAGCTAGGATGAACTAGCTATTTCCTAGCAACTTGCCTGGGGACCGGATCTAACTGGCCCAGCTTGAGTGAGATAATGTACTCTGGTCAAGTCAGCCACAAGCTTAGGCACTGAGACTATTGTCGAAGGTCACCCCTTACGAATGGGGAGTTAATGTGAGCTGGGAAGATATCCCAAAGGTGTCTAATGCACTGACAAATGGCAAAGATGCAACAGATATTTTGGATAAATAAATGAATAAAATAATAAATGAATGAACCAAGAGACTGTTAGTTTTGGGTAGCATAATAAACTCAGATTGACAGATAAAGAGCAATTCATTAGGCATCTACTTATTACCAGAGGCTGTAAGGAATAAAAGCTGAAAAAAAAGAGGAGTTCCTGACTTTAAGGAACTTGTCAGAAGAGGTATCATTAACAAATAAGGAGAATATAGGCAGTGACAAGAAAAACACAAAATATTATGTATATTCTGTCAACTGAGAGATCATAATTTTACTTACATTAGTTAAGATATTGTCAGCTGCTGAGGAACTGAGAAATCTCAGTGGATAAACACAGTATAATATTTTATGCTATGTAAAGTTCAATAGGACGGAGGGCTGGGTTTGGGGTTTGGGGTGAACAGGAGGGCAGGATCTACCGCATGGAGCCATCAGGAACCCCAGAACTACCACCTCCAGCACGGACTTCCGCCACGATCATACTGCCAATCAAATGCAGCCAGCACAGTGAAAGGAAATACCCATACAGAGGGTATAACTACTTCTGCGGACAGCCCATTGGTCAGTCTACTTTCACATGGCCATACCTTACTAAAAAAGAAAGCCGGGGACTGTAATCTTGCCGCATCCAGGGAGAAAGGCAGTAGTGTTTTGGGAATTGCTAGCCAGTGACCACTATAGCAGCATTGTAGTTATGGCAGAGTGGGTGGGGGAGGAATAATTTTTAAAAAATTATGGAAGAAATGCTATAGTTAGACCATCTTTGAGGTGTAGGTCTTAACTGTTGGAAAGAGAACAGCAATTTTTGAAAGAAAAAAGTAATGTAGGCAAAGATCTGGAGTTGGGGAATAACTATGTTTTAGGAGTGTTGAATATGAAATAGCTGTCTTGAAAGTATGATAAGAACTGAAAAGGTAGTTATCTTTATTTGGCTATTTCTTTTGAACATATCTTTCTATTAACTTCAGCACATCAGTTTATTTTTCCAGGAAGTGGATTTTGGTTAAAAATTATGCTGATAAATAGTGAGGAGAAACAAAAGTTTGGAGGAAAAGTAATAAAAACTTGATATAAGTATCTATACTATTTCTTGTCTTCCTATTCTGACCTTCTGCATTCTAAATTGAAACAACCACTCTAATTTTCTTTGTAAAATATCAAGTTGGCTTGAAAATTGTGTGTAACAGCAATACAAATGTAGTTTTCAAAAGCGGGGTTTAAATCAATAAATATTAATATATTTTTATTT
Source organism: Homo sapiens (assembly GCF_000001405.40). Lineage (NCBI taxonomy): Eukaryota > Metazoa > Chordata > Mammalia > Primates > Hominidae > Homo > Homo sapiens. Next base: position 174,116,965 of record NC_000004.12, on the reverse strand, counting down.
TTATTCCCTGCATCTCTTCTTTCTTAAATCAAATATATTCAGACTAATGTATTCATATGTTAATATTATTTTTTTCTGGGATGGCATTAATTTCAACTAAATATCTTAAGAGAGTAATGGGAGGGTTTTTTCCTTCTTGTTCAGAATTTCTTTTAAATCCGACATCTGGTATTTGGCACTTGACTTTTACTAGACCAATTGAGCACTTTTAAAGGGGAATAAATCATATGACTTTCATTTTAATTTTTACTGTAATGGTTTAATGCAGCCAACATATGCTGAGTAATAGTATTAAAATAAAATCAGTAAATGAGGGATTAAAATTTGCCTGAGTTCAGTTTTGCAAAGACACTAATTAGAGAAAGGTTTTTCAGATCAGAATTGGATAAGCCAGCAATTTTTTAAAATTGTAATAATATACTGAGAAATATTTGGGTTTGAGCATGCTGTTATTGAGAAGGAAAAATTACAAGGGAAATTAACACCTTTGCTCTAATGCGAGGCTGTGGGGTGAATCTGGGAACCCTTGCATGCCCGTTTCTCCACTGCCAGAAAGTATCCAGACAAACACTGAAGACCAATCCACATTTGCTTATTTTAAACAGAGATACTAACTTGAAAACTGGAAATATTTGAGTTGGACTAAGCAGGATGGAGATTTCTTGACATCATAAGGAGCATTCATTTAAATTTCTCATTTCAGAAACTTGAATACTAGAAAGGCTTTCTATCCCACGCCTTACTTTTTGGCAGCCAGCCAGTTATTTTCTATGGTTCTAGTTATTGGGGTACGAAACAGTTTGCAGAATTAAGTTAGAATTTTATTTATAGCTTTGAAACGTCTAGCTAAATGTTCCTAAATATGGTACTTCTTGGTAAACAAATAAAAGCGAAATTATTTCTACATCAAAATTGAGCAAGGAGAAAATTAATGGGCAGTATTTAGCAGTTTCTTTAAATTTCCTTCAGTTATGAATAGCATAAATAAGAAAATTAAATGGGTTAGTCTTACTACAGAGACCTTAATTCTAAATACTTTGGGTTCATATATATGACCAATTTAATTAAAGGAGGTTTTGACCAGCAACCTAAAACATGCCATATCATACTATAAGAAATGGGTTTTCTGACTTGTTAGATAATCTGGAAAGGTGTTGTTCTGATTAAAAGGATAAAAGGCTTTTCTGTTCTGTGAGGTATAAAAAGGAATTCTTTCAATATCATGAATAGAACCACTCATGTCACGTTCACTTAGTGGTTTTCAATAAATAAGGAACATGATTGGTTGCACTTTGCTATTTTTAGACATTCACTGTAGTATAATTTCTTTATATTACAGAAATCCAGAACAGGATAAATCAAATCACCGGTTCAGTGTGCTAAATTAGCATATTCAGCTCTTGAAGAATTTATGGAAAACGGCTTTCAAAATGCAAGCATGTCTTTGTTCTCTTATATTTCTTCAAACCAGTCTCTCATTCATTTCCAAATATCTAACATTTCAGATTCATTTTTGCTTTCATTTTTTGCTCTCTCCTTTTCTAGACAATGCCAAGCAGACTGGGTAATATAGGAGAAATCTCAAGAAGTACCATGAAGTAATGCTCATCTCAAGACTTCTGCTGTTTGCCAATTTTATTTCTTTTCTTCTTATTGAGATAGTAATTCCCACTATGAGATTCATTAGAAATCAGGCATTAAGGTTGGAGTCTTTCCTTAAAAGATATTAATATACACAATAAGAAAGGAGGTATTGAGGCTGGTGTGTTTCTTCTGTTTTTCAACTTCTTTTTTTTTTTTTTGAGACAGGGTCTCACTCTGTCATCCAGGTTGGAGTGCAGTGGCACAATCTTGGCTCACTGCAGCATCCTCCTCTCAGGCTCAAGCAATCCTCCCATCTCAGCCTCCCAAGTAGCTGGGACCATAGGCCTGCGCCACCACACCTGGCTACATTTTTTGTATTTTTGATAGAGACGGGGTTTCACCATGTTGAGCAGGCTGGTCTCAAACTCCTGAGCTCAAGCGATCCACCTGCCTCGGCCTCCCAAAGTGCTGGGTGTCTTTCAACTTTTCTATTACTTTTTGTTTGTATATTACTCTTGGTGAAACAAAAAAAATTGTAAATTGTAATATATGTTATTTGTCCTCAGGAGTTTATCATGAAACAATCTAGGAACAAACTAAAGCTAATAGTAAGTAGAGAAATTAAATAAAACCACCTAAAATAAATGTGATACAGATACTAGCCAGGACAAGGGGGTTCCGATGGGCAGAAGCGTATAAGTCCAATTTATGTGTAGAAGTCGCTTGAGTTGGGCCTTGGGTTATAGTATAAATCAAGAGTGGGTATCTTCAGATGTAATTGAATGGATGTAACAGAGGTAAAATTTCAAGTACCGTAATGACTAATATGGCAGTGACAAATTTTGGGGAGGCTAGGGTACCACCTTAAGTGTGCCAAGTCATGAAGGAAATGCTTAAGTTTGCTTAGCATCTTTCCGAGACTCACACAAGGAGGATTTGGAAAGATGTCTAATACAACCAAAAGAGGAGAATCAAAAGATCAACAATGATTGCTTTAAAATGTTGGCTTCTGCCAGTGTTGCCCCAAGTATATTTATCCCTCTTCCTTTCTACTCCTCAATTTTCAGACACTTTGATGAAACAGAATAAAACTGTACTTTTTTTTTTAGATATTCCTATGCATTCTACTGCTTTAATCCCACCTAAGTAGAGATGTCCACAACAGAGAGAATGGAGCTGTCACATCGTTTCAACTGCCCAGGTAGTTCCTACTGGATGAATGGGATTGTCACCTTCACACCTGCTAGAGGCTTGGAGCATGCAAGAGTTTTTTTAAATGGCTTCACCTTTCTTATGAAAATGCAACCACTAGTACTCTTCCAATAAAAGCTTTTCTCAAGTGTGAGTATACACTTGGCATGGAATATTTTAGCTATTTTCTCTCTCAGGACTCATGTTTTATTACATAGCATTTAGTCTCAACATATGTGGATACATATTTTCTTTCTGATAGTTATTATGCTTTTGTTTCTTCATATTTGTTTTATTCTTGATTTGAAAAAATTAATTTCAGAGAAACCTCCAGACTACACGCAAGCCAGTGCAGGCATTTGATATCATGAAGCTATGAGAATTCCCAGTTATGGGAAGCCCTGATGTCATAAGAAAATTAGACCAGCTTAGCTCAGAACAGTTTCAATGAAATACATTCATTTCACACTGTATTAATATAATCCTTGTATTACTTCTTTTTATCAGTCTCACAAGTCTTAATTTTTCCAGTCAGATATAAATAAGACACAATGCAAAAGAAAGCTTAAAGAGGGAGAGGTGAGGAGATTCTTTGAGGCCAGGAGTTCTAGACCAGCAGGGCAATATAGTGAGACTCTGTCTCTTAAAAAAAAAAGAAGTAAAAATAACAAGAAAGCTTAAAGAATGGTAAATATCCCTTTAAAGTACATTTCTTCCTATGTCAGTCTCCAGGTTTTCTATCCTAGTTGTCACTTATTAACTCAGAGTGTTCATATTTGTGTTAAATTGAGGAAAGGTGAAATTCATTCTGAGAATAACTATTCAGACATTGATAAAAAGATTTGTTCTCTCTGGGCAACATTCTAGGTCAGTGAATTTAGCATTGAATAAGATGTTATTTTGTATTCAAATAACAGCTGTATCTGGTTTACCCCTTGTGGCGCAGTGAGGAAAATTAGGCAATGTGTAAATATAATTTTTGTTATTTACTATGCTACATATTCAATTAGCTTGAAAACAAAAAACAAACACCAAACCACTCATTCCACCGTATAGCCCAGAGCTACCATTTCCCTCTCTAAGGGGAAGAGAACCTAAGCATTGGCTAGGAGCAGCTGCAATTAGAATTTCTTTCATAGACTTTCCTGAAAACCCAATAAAAGAAGTAGAAAGGAGAGGCTGGGCCTATTACATTTATTGGAGGCCCACAGCCTGGTTTCTATTAAGTTTGACAGTATTTATTTTTGAAGCTAGAATCATGTACTTACCTATGATTGCAAACATTGTTTTCAAAATATCAAATAACGAATGTGCAAAAACTGAATAATAATGAAATGGATGGAAAGTGACAAAACGGAAATTCTTCTCCCCCACAGCAAAGGCTCAAAAATTCCAGAGAGTGGACAAACATGAATACTTCCTGTTTCACTGTAAAGGTTTTTGGTGCTTAAATTTTAAGTCTCCATTTTCAGTCTGTGATTGTCTATCAATTATATTTAATTAATGTTTTTATTACAATAATATTGTGCCATCAGTTACAAAATATTTTATAAAACAATGCATATTCGTGTTATTGCCTTTCAAGAAAATTCCAGAAAATTCATAGGGATATTCCCCTCAAATTTTAATGTTATAACATTTCCCGTGTAATAATGTGTCTTAAAAAGTTGCCACTTATAAAATAGTTTTCCCGTATGACATACCCAAATTCTGGGTCTTGTCCAAACCTTTATGTTTCTGTCCTACAACATTTTCTCATTTGATAGTTGGTCATGTGAAAAAAACATGTTATGTTTTCATGTTATGTTTCTCTAAGTAGAAAGATTTTTCCAGTGAACAAAATCTTAGCTCAATGTTCCCAGTAAGAGTCTGAACAAGCAATCTTGGTATGTTGTAGAACTTCAAGTTCTGTTATGAGCAGAATTTCCTCACAAATGTAGCAAAATTATTGCTCTTACTTTTCAGTTTTTCTTGTCTTTTTTTTTTAATGAAGGACTTGAAACCACCAAATCTTATTTTCTTTCTTATGGATTCTATTAATTATAATGCATATTTGAAAATTGAAGCTTTGTAGTTATTAAACTACCTATTACTTCTGATGTTACCTTTTGGACAAATGGTATTCATTTAATTTTGGGTTCTGTGAATTTTTGATTTTACAAGAACCCTTTGGCTTTAGAAAGAGAATGAGAACATCTCTGGATTCTTTCACCCCTTTTTAACGGTGGGGCTCCGTGTACTTTCCACTGAAGGAGTGAGCATTGTCAACTAGTTAACACAAGCTATTGGAAAAATCCCTGAATTTTGTATGGGAAGAATAATTGCACACAAATGCACTCAGGAATCCTATGGAAAATATAGTGCTGTTAACTGGCATGGTTACAACACAATTTAGCAAGTATGTTAGAACAAATTACCCCCTTTAACCATAAGCCATTCTGTTTCACGCTTCTTAATGAAGGCCTGTGCCACACACTAGAATACTTCTCACCTCATTACTACTCATAAAAAGCAATGATCCATTCAAAGTCTCCTCATATCTCCCATATGAGTGGTAAAGAGCTTCGCCTCTCATTCTGGCAGGAGGACAGGGAGGCTTCTTCCCAGCCTGCCTTTGAAGTAGGTCATTAGAATGTTTACTAGATAAAAGGACTCAAAAATTTATCTGTGTAATCTCACTGTTGTCATGTGTTAATGTTCTATCCTTCCTTTAAAAACAAAACAAAACAAAGCAAACAAAACCCAAAGACATTTCTGTCCCTGTTTAGAGAATACAGGAGATTTGTAACACTCAGTGCAATTTTTCTCCTGCAGTATTCACAAGATATTTTCAAAGAAACTCTAAAAAGCAGGAAGAATTTAATGGGCCACTGAAATACAAAGTATGGATTCAATAAAAAGGCAGGAAGAGAAGCAAGCTGATAGGCCAGTTAAGAAGAAACAGTCCAATTTTAGAATTAAACAACTTTTTCTCTCCACGGAGTGTCATCAAAAGGAAAATAAAGTTGAGTATCCTTGGAAATAACATTGTATCGGTTACTAATGAACACGATTTTCATCTAGACTGAAATATTTTTCCCCTATTAATTTCAGGGACAATATATAATACTACTTAAGATGCATTGTGCGTGCTCAATAAAATTTGAGCTGAATGCATGCTTTTTAGATAATGATGATAAGTGGAGAAGGAGGAATTTTTTCATAATTTTTTTGAAGACATTCTAGGTCTAATCCAACTATAAAATTATGTGTGTATATGCATGTGTGCATATATATATATATATATATATATGCACATATTTTAACATCTGACTGTATAATAAGAATGAAAAAGGCTATAGAAGAGTAAACATATCCGAAAATACTATTTAACAACATTAGAGCATTTCAATTAGCAGGAGACATATTTGTCATCTCCATGACATACGAATTTCCATTTTGGCTATTAGCTTAATAGTATCCAAAAGAATAGCAATGTTTGCAATTCAAGAAAAAGCCCATACTAGGTACCAAAACAGTTTGAAAACAAGGTACTAATATCTAACTTCTGTAATGCAATAAAACACTGAAATCTGACACAGATTATAAATTTAAATGGTGTTTAAAATCAATTTCTTTGTAGGAAAACTACACTTAATATAAACTCTCTGATGACATTTCCAACCTTTCTTTGTGGTATCTCTGAAAATTTATCTCATCACCTGATGCAGTACCGTCAAACCCTACCCAACACTTACGCTGAGCAGTTTCTAAATTAAATTGCTATTCTCCAGGCGCTTTCCCAGAAACGCAAGCTCACGTCAGATCACACTCACAATGCTACAGGAGGGAAATGTTGGTACTGTATTTTAATAGGCCAGGGGAAGCACGTGCTCCTAGAGACCAGTCGGCCCCTGCGATAATAACTGCACAGCTTTGTTTCATTTGAAAACATACATCTGTACACACGTACTTACTCAGACATATATCCATGTATACAGAAAAAAGTTCAGCTAATAACAAAAGAAAGGATGAACATTGGCACTGTAGATGTTGACAGCATTATGCAAACTTTTCAATATTCCCTTGCATGCTCAACTTTAACTTTTGTTTATAAATTCCACTTAGACATAATTTACAACTTCTGTTAACTTAAGCTGGGTTCTGTAAATCTGTCTAAAAAAATCAGGGCAGAGTGCTTTGAGATGTTACAAATATATCTAGATATCAAACATTGAGCTGCACAAATTGTATCCACTTTGGAAACTCTAAGTTTGTATTTATGTCCATAATATATTTTAGTTCTGATGTTTTTAAAATGATGAAGCAAGTCTTACTCTTTTTTTCACCCTGCCTTTTCCAATCCTTGCTGAAATATCTATGAAAGAGACTTATGAGCCCAAGACAAATAAAATGAGAAATTCTGGAGGTTGTCACGATTTAAAAACACTTTGTAAGGTGATTTGAGGAGAAAAAAATACAAAAGTCAGGCAAAATTTCTTGCTAACTACCTGAAATTTGTAACTTTATTCTAGTATAGTTTAAAAACTTCAATACATAAAAATGTTATAAAGCTTTGTATCTGTTATTTCACCCTTGCAGAGCTGTTGCAGAGATCTTACCTTCTCATCTTTTTTTAGAAATAGTTGAAATGTCAGAAAAATCTGGATTAAAAGAAAAGGATAAATCCCACCTCTTTAGTAATTCTTCCTATTTATAAATTGCTTTTGCGATCAAAGACAGAAATTGAAGCTCTTCTGAGAGTTTGAATTTTAAAATAACAGAAAAGCAAAACACTTGGCTTCAGTTTTTTTCATTTTTTTTTCACTTTCCTTGAAAGAAGCAGCTGTACTTTTCACTCTGCAGTTTTGGGAAGAATGGAGAGTCCTGACTGATGCCCCTTTAAACTGAAAAGAGAACACTTAGCCAGCAGCATACATTTACAATAGGCTTTGGTTGGAGTGAATTACTCTAATTTGGGGCAGGAATTAAAAAGATTAAGTGAAAAGCAAAATAATGGAGAATAAAACAACTTGATATACTTTAATAAAATGGTAGTTTTTAACTATGAATATACAGTTGTAAATCAAGTATTAATATTAAAAAGGGGGGCAATTCCATATCAAAATGCAATTGGCTATGCATGTGGAGACTTTCTTAAAGAGAGTGTCAGATTCAATTGCATTATTTTCCAGTGGTGGAAGATAGCGGTTGATAAAAAGGTATAAATTGACAGGTAATTTTATTCAGAAGTAAACTTATGCTTCTATCAAATTTAAATTGCTTAGCAACAACCAGAATAATTTCGACTGATAAGGTTATTGTCTTTTCTTCTGCTGGTATGTTGCTGTCTCTCATATTTCAGTGATAATTCTCCAGTTCACGGCTGTACGTGTGGATGATCAAAGAGAAGCATTTTAGCTCATGTATGGTACAGCTTCCTTTAAAAGTTTGCTCCAGCATTGTCCAAGCCCTCTTTGGTGACCTAAATACCCTCCTAGGCTAGATTACTCATTTCCATGGCTTCAGCTACTATCTGTCCTACCTAAGTTTTCCAAACTATATTTCTAGATCACTTATGTCCCCCAAGCTCTAGCCCCTCTTCCTGCTTGAATGCCTTATAGGCGTCCCAAATTAAACTTCTGTTCTTCAACCCCTCCTTTCTTACTTGGAACCCTGTATTGGTTCATGGCCTTAGCACCCACCTACTTGCTCCGGTGAAATCTATGAGTTGTCCTTGTTCTTTCCCTTTCCTTCCGTTTCCAGTGTAATCCATCACAAATTCTTCAGATTTTATATTACTAAATAACTGCTACACATCACCCCAGTCCAGGTCACTGCCTTCTCTCACCTAGACTAGGGCAACAGCCTCCTGATCTTACAACAGCAGCATAAGGATGAGATGCTGCTGGCAACAACGAGGTAGGGGTGATTGCAGGCTCCTTTGAGTTTTTCCCGAGTATGCAGATCACCCCAGCAGGAGCTCTTCACCCTAATAGCAGTGGGCTCCAGCCTCCCTGCAAAACCCAAAACAGCCTCACTGTGTCCCCACAGATACCATCAGGATCTGTTGGCCAGAGTCCCTTGCTCCGAGGTCTAGGTTCCAGCTCTGGTCCCTCCTCCAAGCTTCTAGGTTCTAGTAACCCTATTCTCTTCTCCTTGTACTCCTAGCCTTAGGGATTCCTGTTTCTTGAAGTTATAGTCTTTTGTTGTCTCATGCCTATGAAGCAATTCTCAATTCTCTTTGTTAGACTTACCAATGTGGTTTTCCTGTTTCTTACAGACTTTGGCCGATAACACCCTCACGGCTCCAGACAGATAGGATTTTTAAATTCCTCAGACTCTTTATCGTTCTGCTTCTTGAGTTTCCCACACTCAGTTCCTTCTGCTAGAAATGTTTTCTGTTCCTGTTCTCCTTTCAGCTCTCTCACCCCTTAACTCACAGCTTTTGCCTAGGCAACCCCTTTTGGAATGCCACTTCCTCAGGGAGACCTCGCCGACCCTCTAGACCAGGTTGAATCTCCACTCATCCTTCCTCCTCCTCTGAAACCAATCACACCACTTTCTTGCCTGATGTCCGTCTTCTCTCCTGATTTAAGCAACAAGAGGGCAGAGAACATATTTTGTTCCTACCCAGTACCAATTTCTATGCCAAACATATTGTAGGCAATCAATGTTGATTATTGATTAAACTTAGTTTCTTATAAGCAGAAAAATATTGGGTAAAGTTTTTCAGCTAAGGATATAATTTTAGATTTTTTTCCCTTCTCATTTTAGCAATTCCAGGTATATGGGCAAAGAAATGTGAGACTTTTTTTTTTTTTTGTCTTGTAGGGACTTTATTTCACTCATAATCTCCGTCAGGGCCCCCTCCAACTCCTGGTACCAAGTTACTCTAAATAAATATATCCTGTAAGCAAAAACTCTGCAAATACTGTATCAAGGAAAATTCCCTAGTTTTCTTTCCACCTAAAAGATGACCCCTATGCCTCTCCTTTGGAAACATTCTGGAACTGCCACTGCTTTTGCTTTTGGACTTTAATTTCCCACTTGGCTGTTGTTTCTGTTACGTGCTATTTCCAAAATTCTAGCTCATACACTTTTTCTAGAGTCCTACAAGCATGAAGAAGTACTATTAATTCAGTTGAAGCATTTCTTTTTTGTTCATTACCTCACAAGATGACTTTTGCAGTTAAAGGTCCCAGTAATTTCTTTAAAATTTACAAAATTGTTATAATATTGCTATATTAATGAGAATAGCCAAGAAAATATTGTGTATCTCAAAGAAAGTGATTTTATGACTGTGGACAGAAGTGTTTTCACAAAAAAACTAGAAAATGAAATCATTTTGTTTGGAGCAGCTCTTCCCTTGTCTTGCCCCCCATTGCTCCCCAGTAGCTGCGGTCAGCCCAAGCCCATCACTGCCTCATGCCGTGAAGACTGCCCTCCCAGGTGGTAGGAGTTTCCCATCCTCACCTAAATCAGTTACCTGTTCTTTGCTCCACCTTCTCTCAGAAAAATGAAATGGAAAAACTAATACAGATTAATAAATTAGTGGCTACTGAGGGCTAAGGAAATCAATTTCAGGTAAAATATGCATCTAAAATGGAATTTTCTAATCTCATCATATCTAAATTGTGCCTTTTGAATGGTTTGTATTTCTTTCAATAGCAGATAGCAGATATTTAACACCTCTGCTTTATTATTGTTTTGTAACAGACTGCAGAGGTTTAGCAGTACTTCCAAATATCTTGTATTTGATGGTGATCAAATACTGTATAGCTTCAGAGTCCCATATTTCATGTGCATTGCCTTAACTCAAAGGACAAACTCCAACTGTGTGTTGTAGATATTTGGGGGCTGAGGTAGCCTTGGAGCTAATGCTAGTATTTGCTTACTTCACCTTTGAATAAAATCTTCCAAGAGAAAGAATCTTGAGTAATTACTCACACGTATTCGCAATGAGGTTCCCACCTGAGTCTTCGCCTTTCTGGTTAGGCAGAAGGGAGTATGTTTTCATGATACTGTCACTTACTGATCTGCTACTATGTGCCAGGTGATGTTCAAATAGTCTCTCATATAATCCTGATAGTACTGCCATCTCTAATTTATCTTTGAGGAAATTGAAGATTAGACTGATTGAATAACTTCCCAAAGTTACATGGTTAGTGTAGCCGCTTGACTGGAATTTCGATTCAGACCCTCTTTGAGGCCACCTTCCTGGCCCTCTTGGTCCTTCTGCTTTGTCACTGTCTCTTCACTTTTTAGAGGCACAGTTTTATTCACAACTAAATATATTACTTATTTTAATGTATCTTTTAGCTTAGCTTTTTGATAGGACTCAAGATCACTTAATGGAATTCTGGCCAAACTCTGGTCTGTACATCCAAGTATCTGTTGCTTACATTCTTAAAGATGGGGCTTTGGGAATTTTATAGGCCTTGGCATTTTATAGTATAAATAAATTTTGCTCTGAATGGCTTCAGCGAGAATAAGCAGACTATTTGCCTGCTACCTCTATTCTGATCACTGTAATCTGTTTTGGAAACAAAGAAACAGAAAGCCCTTAAGCCTATGTAGCATGTCAACCCATGTAAACTACCCTTTATTGTTCTTCAGTGATGTGTAAATACACATTGAGGTAAGAAGTTCATAATGTTAACAAATTAAGTTTCAAAAGCATTTGTCAAATTTAGGACTTATTAAGTGGTATAGTCTTAGTCTTAGATGAAGTTAAACAAAATTCTTTTCTGGTAACTCCAGTAATCTTTTACCTGGACAGGAATTTAGATTCATGAAGCTGTAACAAAATGTTCAGTACTCAAGTTCCCAGTAAACTTTGAACAAGAGGCAGTGAAGTGCCGTAGCTGGTTCACACTGGCTCACAAGAACAGATTATTAAATAGTCAGGTATTTTGTGATCTGGTTGTTAAAGACAGCCAATAATGAAAATTGGAGTGGTTAAACTTACAATTAAATAAATTATACCAAAAGGAAAGGTAATAATCAAAATTCACTAGTTTCTAATTAACTTACATCATAATATTATCTGTGCTCTTGAGATTATTTATAATTATTGTGTCCGTCTGGTGGAAATACTATATAATGCTGTGCTATTGCATATCTCTTCCAAACTCCGTGTTCAGGGATTTTGGTAGCTTAAATTCTGTCATTGTGGGAGTACTTAAACCATGGAAATCAGCAAACACTAAGAATCAAGCCTTTAATATTTATTTATTTATTTTTGGTAGTCTAGACTTGAGGAAGCTATGGAAGAAATGTTAAGAACACAGATCAAACCTAAAAGGATGTGGATGTTGTAGCTGTAGCTGCTACCTTGTGAATAGCACACAATTTGATGACATATCCTTCCAGTACTGTTTTTGCAAACTATTATCTGATTCAGCAAAGGAACACATCCCTGATACATGAATAAAGTTCCAACATACTTTGACGTGTTTACTTTCACCTTGCTTGTTAAGGTAAATGGAATATTAGCCAACATTCACGTTGATACCGCATTCATTAATTGTAAAAAGATTGATTATGGATTTAAGAATCTGGCAAAAATAAACAAAAGCCTTCTGTGAGAATAAATTGGCTATATAAAATGTAAAATAGTTTTAGGTATTTCATTATTACTTATAATTTGTATACTATACATTGTGTATATTAGTAAAATTTATAAGAAATAATAAACACAGGTATATTATATATATATATATATATATAATATATACATATATACATATTTATTTATTTCCCTTTTGGAAAGCCTGGCGTTAAGCCTGGCACACGCACCAGCACACCATTGACAGAAGCCAAGCCTTATTTTGATTCCAATTTATTCTCTGTGAATTGTAAAGTCACTGCCTGCCTTTAGAGGGCTGAGGCTTGTCCTTGCCACTGTTAATTAATGTGTTCATATAATTAGCTGAAGAAATACAAGTGCTATAGAGACTATGGGTAGAATCTCTCATGGCATACTTAAAAGTCTTCTGAGTGTTAATGGATGATTTGCCCAGAATGAACAAACACCTACCTCATTCTACAAATTTTTGGAAAACTTCCTCCCTTTTGGAAAACATGTAGTATGGGCTGTCTATGACATCCAAGAGAGTTTCATATTTCAGTTGAATTTTGTTTCCCTCTGGATATAGTTAGTGAGTTAAAAAAATAAGTGAAATTTTTCGAAAGACTTACTTTGAAAAGCCTTAGAAGTTTTTGTTATCGCGGTCAATGCTGAAAATCTTGAGCAATAGAGTCTAGAAGGGAAGTTTTACCTTTTATTTTAAGAACGTGAAGTTCCTGTCTTTCTTTTTTATTTCTTCTCTCTTCTCTTGTAGCTTCTGTCTCTTTTTCTTGTATTTCAGTCTTTCCATTCTTTGGAGATTTTAATTGAGAACAGAGGCATAGATAATCCAGAGATACAGGAGAATTCGTGGAAAGTTAGAAAAAATCGGGCAGAGAACAAAGTATAACTGTAAACATTTTATTGTTTTAGATATTTAGTGTAATGGGGAATTCTAAAATAACATCTGAGTCATTATCTTCGAAATATTTCTAACTTATTTCTGTACTGAAAACCATTATTACTTTGAAGATTGTAGGTAACATGAAACAGTAGGAGTTATTTCTAACACTAATCAATGACTGATGAGAAGGCTCCATCCTGTTCAAGATTTCACCTTCCACAGGTTCCTATGGTGATTCACCCAAGATTAATGAGGCATTTTCCACAGAAACTGTTAGACTATGTTTTCGCAAATTTCTGAGATAGGTTGTGTGTGGCGGTGGGGTGCAGGAGGGTGCGCACCCCTGTCTGTCTCAGAATGTTTATGCACAAACATTCACAATAACTATCTTGAGAAGCCTCACAAGAATCTGATTTTCTTTCTGGCTATTTGTGAAATGTTTTGTTACATCGTAAGGTGTGAGGAAACTTTTAACGACAGAGAAGCTAGGTGCTCATCATATGGCCAGCAACAAACCCCCCTTTTGTTTATTTGGCTTTATGAATCTAAATACTTATGATTGTCTCAAGACTCGAGTAATCAAATAACAGTCTTCATTTTCTCTCATTGATAAAATTATCCAGCAGATCTAAAGAGATCATCTAAAGCGATAAAAAATACTGTTATTATGCAATTGAACCACCTAGACTAATAGGATGTTTGGTGTGTGAAATCTAACAGCAAAATAGATTTAAATTAAAATGAAGTTTCTCACTACTATAATATTCAGGAAATTTTCTAATATTACGCTAGAAAAAGTTCCTGCTATGAGAATATTTCTGAATATGAAATCTCTTTTTTTAAAAAAATTCCTGTACCTTAAGTTCTAAGAGCAATATTAATCTTTGCTGGAAATTATTTTCATTTTATTTGGAATAATTTTTTCAATACATATTCTCTTTTTGCTTTCTATGAAATAAATCTATTACCTGAAAGTTTGGTACATTTCAAGTTGAGGCATGAAACTGAGATTAATTTCTCTTAAGAAGCCTTTGCCCCCACCCCCACTGCCCAGTTTTGTTGCTCTAATTAATGATAAAAAAAAACAAGTTTCCCATGTTTTCATTGATGTAGATTACATACTTGCTTATTTTTAAATTATTCTACCTATAAACTTTGCTGGCTTGAGATCTGTGACATATGATCTTAACTCATCCTTTTATCTTCTAACCAGGATGGAAAAGTTTTTCTTTTGCTCCTTATAACAGTGGTGGTAAATCCAAAATAAGCAAGAATTCTGGTTTCTAAGAAAACGTTGCTCATGAGCCTTCCTACTGCATCTAACTAGGATAGGCTTTCAGTGTTATAAAGTTACCTCTATTTCTCAATAAGTCTCATCTTTCATAGAGTCAAGAAATTCCATTGTTGCCAGACATCTTAAATACCAACAAATCCAAACATTTTATTCTTCAATTAATGAACTGGGATTTAAAGATCTTAAGTCACTTGCCAGTATCCTACAAATGGGTCAGAACAGAGAACAGAATAGAATATAGATTTTCAAGCTTACATTTCTGTGCTCTTTTCACTACTTCATGTGGCTTCTTTTGAAACCTAAATCATCTTATCTGTGGTTAGTCCTTATAAATGAATTAGAGGTGATTAGGAAATTTTAATATTTTTAATATTTATTTGATTATCTTAGCCATTGAAATGTTACATCTTGTCCCACAATCAATAGGTGCAGGGTAGATTAGGTTATAATCTGTGGCAATGTTTACTGACTTTCTGAGCCCCAAATATCTCTTTTTTAAAAAACAGAGTCAGCCTCTGTCCCCCAGAATGGAGTGCAGTGACGTGATTATGGCTCACTGCAGACTCGACCTCCTAGGCTCAAGTGATCCTCCCACCGCAGTCTCCCCAGTTGCTGGGACTACAGGCACGTGCCACTATGCCCGGCTAATTTTTTATTTATTTTAATTTTTTTGTAGAGGCAGGGCCTCATTATGCTGCATAGGGTGGCCCAAATAATGTCTTGTGGGGAGAAAAGAAATAACTAATTTTCCCTGGGTAGAGTTAATTGTACAAATTTCTACAAATTCCTAGGGTAAAGAAGAATTTTGGTTCACTTTAGTTTCTTTCTCTCCCGCCTTGCCTCCCTTACTCCCTCTCTTTTCATTTCAGTTGACTTTCTGACACCAAAATATTCACTTCTTGAAAGATAAGACACTTTGACCCAAATGGGAGCCAGCTAGCTTGAGTTGATGGCCCCATAAAGACTCTCAGAATACCAGAAACAGAAAGTACCTTGGAGATCATCTGGCACGCACTTTTTACTTTACTGGTGAATTCCAGAGACATGACCTGGTTTGTCAAGGCCACAGGTATTGGGAGCCAGAGCTAGAGCCTGGGATCCCTACTTCTCTTTCTATCACATGATGATATAATGAGGTAGTCAATATGCACTTTTGTCCTAGATAAGAAGAAGAAATAAAGAAAATAAATAATGAACTATACCTATTTTTTTGAGCTTATCTGGAAACATGGATTCAGATATTTATGTGCAGTCAGTCATATTTACACACATGGGTGCAAATGTGGAAACTTTCGAATTTCATTAGATGTCATTTTTATAGCATTTTTTGATGATCATAGCAAAAATTTAATGATCTCCTTCCATAATGGTAAATATAATAAAGTACTATGGAAAGTTTTCATGTACAGAACATCCCTGTTATTGAACTGGTTATAATTTAATGACAAGATGGTTGGGAGTGGTGGCTCACTCCTGTAATCCCAGCACTTTGAGGGGCTGAAGCGGGGGTATCACCTGTGCTCAGAAATTCAAGGCCAGCCTGGTCAACATGGCAAAACCCCATTTCTACCAAAAATACAAAAATTAGCCAGACATGGTGTCACGTGCCGGTAGCCCCCTCTACTTGGGTGGCTGAGGCAGGA
This sequence comes from Homo sapiens, assembly GCF_000001405.40. NCBI lineage: Eukaryota > Metazoa > Chordata > Mammalia > Primates > Hominidae > Homo > Homo sapiens. Next base: position 174,100,799 of record NC_000004.12, on the reverse strand, counting down.
GAATCACTTGAACCCAGGAGGCGGAGGTTGTAGTAAGCTGAAATCACACCACCGCACTCCAGCCTGGGCAACAGAGCCAAGACCCTGTCTCAAAAAATAAATAAATAAATAAAAATAATTTAATGACAAGGAAAGTGTAAGTGATTGATTTATAATCCACTTTGCTCCAAAAAATTTTAGGCAACTAAAATATATGTGGTACTAAAGGAAAATGGTTAAGTATGTGTTCTTCTCATGGTTACTGTAGTAGAGGCAATTGTATATGCTCACTTGCTTCCTTTTCTTCCTGTGCACATGGCTTAACTACATTTCCCTGCCTATGGGTGTGGCCATAGCATTGAGTTCTGGCAATAGAATGCAGGCAGAAGTGATGTACCCCACTTTCAGACCTTGCACTTCAAATCGATCTTGTGATTGCCACACTCTATCTCTGCCAGTCTTCCAGCTAGGTCCAGTGCAATAACACGAGGCCCTATAAAGGTAGCAAAACCACAGGAAGCAAGAAGATGAAATCTTCAAATGACAGCATAGGGCAGAATCATCCCTAGACCCTCTCAAACTGCAATTGACTGTGACAACAGTAAGAAACAAACTTCTATTGCGTTAAAATATTGGGTTATTGGCTTACATAACCAGATTTAATACAGACCATTTAACCACAGAGGAATTACTTGCTTTGGAAGTTTTGGATTAAGAAATAATTGCTTCATTTCACATCTGAATGTGTTTTAGAAAAAGATATAATTGCTTCAATACAAAACAGTTCTCACTGTAAATTTTGTACTTGATTACACTTATCTCCTAAGAAAAGTCAGTTAGGCTGAAATGCTGTTTGAATGAATAACTCATGAGTTAATGAGTCTATGATACTGGAAGATCATCAGTTATGTATTGTGCAAATATTTTCTCTTAATCTGTGGCTTGTCTTTTCATTTCCTTATACTGTCTCTCAAAGATTGGCTGTTTTTGATTTTGACTATGTCCATCTGATAAACTTATTCTTTTATGGTTTGTGCATTTTTGTTATCTCCTCTAAAAAGTTTTTTACCTAGCCTAAGGTCATAATTTTTTTTCCTATGTTTTCTTTTGGAAATTTAGTAGATTTATCTTTGACATTTGGGTCAATAATCCATTTTGAGTTCATTTTTATATCTGGTGTGAAGCAAAGCTTGAAGCTTATTTTTTAATATGCATATCTACTTGTTCTATTATGATTTGTTGAAAATACTATTAATTCACCATTGAATTACCTTAAGCTTATTTTATTTCTGTCCTTTGCTAAGTCCCTGCTTTTACGGTAATTCGTCTTTTATTTATTACATTTCAACTTTTATTTTAGATTCAGGGTGTATATGGGCAGATTTGTTATACGGGTATATTGTGTGAGGCAAGTTTGGGGTGGGATTATTCTGTCACGCATGTAGTGAGCATAGTACCCAATAGGTCCCCATCCTACTTTCCCCCCTTCAGTAGCTTCCAGTGTCTATTGTTCCCATCCTTATGTCCATGTGTACCTAACGTTTAGCTCCCACTTATTCATGAGAACATGGGGTATTTGGTTTTCTGTTTCTATATTAATTCACTTAGGATAATGGCCTCTAGCTGCATCCATGTTGCTGTGAAAAACATAATTTTGTTCTTTTAAAATGATTCCATGATGTATATGTACCATATTTTCTCTATTTGATCCACTATTGATGGATACCTAGGTTAATTTCATGTTTTCGCTATTGTGAATACTGCTGTGATGAACATATGAGTGCATGTGTCTTTTGGCTGAATGATTTGTTTTCTTTTGGCTATATACCCAGTAATGGGATTGCTGGGTAAAAAGGTAGTTCTATTTTTAGTTCTTTGAGAAATCTCCAAACTGCTTTCTATAGCGGCAGAAGTAATTTAGATTCCCAACAGTGTATAAGCATTCTCTTTTCTCTGCAGACTTGCCAGCATATTTTTTTTTACTTCTTAATAATAGCCATTCTGACTGATGTGAGATGGTATCTCACTGTGGCTTTGATTTGTACTTCTCTAATGATTAGTGAGGTTGAGCGTTTTTTCATATGATTGTTGGCTGCATGTAAGTCTTCTTTTGAGAAATGTCTGTTCATATCCTTTGCCCACTTTTTAATGGGTTCTTTGTTTTTGCTTGTTGAATTTTTTTTCTTTTTTCTTTTTTTTTTTGAGACGGAGTCTCACTCTGTCACCCAGGCTGGAGTGCAGTGGCGCAATCTTGGCTCACTGCAACCTCTACCTCCCAGGTTCAAGTAATTCTCCTGCCTCAGCCTCCCAAGTAGCTGGGATTACAGGGGCCCACCACCACGTCTGGCTAATTTTTGTATTTAGTAGAGACGGAGTTTTGCCATGTTGGCCAGGCTGGTCTTAAACTCCTGACCTCAGGTGATCTGCCTGCCTGTCTTGGCCTCCCGAAGTGCCGGGATTACAGGCGTGAGCCACCGCACCTGGCCGAATTGTTTAAGTTCCTCATAGATACTAGATATTGGACCTTTGTCAGATGCATAGTTTGTGAGTATTTTTTCCCATTCTATAGATTCTCTCTTTACTCTCTTGATAGTTTCTTTGCTATGCAGAAACTATATAGTTTAATTAGTTCCCGCTTGTCAATTTTTGTTTTTGTTGCAATTGCTTTTGAGGACTTAGTCATAAATTCTTTGCTGAGGCTTTCCAGAAGAGTACCTACTAGGTTTTCTTCAAGGATTTTTATAGTTTTTGGTCTTACATTTAAGTTTTTAATCCATGTTGAATTAATTTTTGTACATAGTGATAGATAAGGGTCCAGTTTCATTCTTCTGCATATAGATAGGCAGTTATCCCAGCACCTGCTTTATGGTAATTCTTAAAGTCATGGCTTATAAGCCATCTAACATTGTTGTTCTTCAAAAAATTGTATTGGGAGTGATGTCAGCAGGATGGCTGAATACAGACACCTGGTGTTCATCCCCTCCTCCACAGGAAAGGACTCAGGCAACAAATAAACAGCTAAGATTTTACTAGAGTATGAAAGGGAGAGCACTGGAGTGCAGTGCGGGGATGGAGATGCAGCTGTGGTGGCTGGAAGTACAGGAGGGCAGCTGGAGGCACCTGGCCTCTGAAGCCTGTCTTCTTCATCTGGGTGAGATCTGCTGGAGTCAGGAAGGACTTCCTGCTGCAAGGATAAAGGTAAGCAGAAGATCTCCACCAGTGCCCACTGCCATCACAAACACCTACAATCCTTATAGCAGGTGAATCCAGCAGTCCTCACAAGTCCTGAGACAGGTTTGGAGTCTTGCTGGGAATTCACACAGCTGCATTGTCCTAGATTAGGAGAACAAGGTGTGGACCCCCAACCCTCTATTCATCCCCTGTGAGCCATGGTGCTATAGCATGGCACCATACTGAGACCAGAGCTACTTCTGCAGTGTGCCCTGCTCTGAGGGCCAGTAGCCACTTCACCTCTCCAGCACTTGGGCTCCATCTTCATTCCACCAAGCCCATATGGGAAGCTGAACACCTCAATCCCAGATTCGTAAAGCATGGGCCAAGGATGGGCTGTGGCTCTGGTCCTGTTCTGTTCAGGGTGAACCTGCCCTTGAGCTGGCCAAACTGCTGCATACCCTCCCCAAAGCAGGAGAGGCCCCCAAGCCTGTGAGCAGCTGATATGCTCCAGGGCCAGTGAAGTGGCTATGTGCTTGCACCCAGGAACTGAGAAACAGTCCCACAGCACACCTGCACCCTCCAGAGAGAGCCCTGGCCTGCCCCAGTGGCCCTGTATCCCCATTCAGGGCCTGAGAAACAATTCCTCAGGCCACTCTTGGCAGGTATGATACTAAGCTGACCAAATAGCCAAAAACACCTATCCCAGACCTGAGTATCAGCCCTGTGGGCCAATCCAGGTGGACATGCCCCAGGCTGGCCAAGCAGCCATGTACCCACATTCCGGGCCTGAGAAACAGTTTTTTGGGCTGCTGTTGGTGAGGACACCCCTGAGCCAACCAAGCATCCTTGCAATTGTGTTTCAGACCTAAGAAGCATCATGACCTGAGAAACAGTTTCACAGGCCACTCTTGGCAGGTATGATCCCAGGCTGGCCATACAGCCAAAAGCCCACATCCTACATCTGAGTAACAGCCCAGGCTGACATGACCCCAGGGCAGACATGACCCCAGGCTGGCTGCCTATTGAGTAATTTCTTACGTTTTGCCTCCTCACAAATGAAATGCTATCATTTGTGAAAATATAAATAGAATTGGAGGATATTATGTTAAGTGAAATAAACCATGAACAGAAAGTTAAACACTACATGTTCTCATTCATATTTGGAAGGTAAGAAAACGTTGAACTCATAGAAGTAAAATAGAACAGAGGATACCTGATGCTGGGAAAACTTGGGGGAAGGGAAGGATAGGAAGGGATTTGTTAAAGAATATAAAAGTTAAACTGGATGAAAGGAAGTTCTTGTGTTCTCTACCACTGTAGGATGACTATAGTTAACAATAATATATCATGTAGTTTAAATAGCTAGAAGGAGGATATTGAATGTTCCTAATACAAAGAAATGATAAAAATTTGAGATGATGGATATGCTAATTATGCTGATCTGATCACTGTCTATTTATCAACACCTCATTATATATCCTAAGAATATGTACAATAACTATTTGTCAATCTAAAAAATTAGATAAAAATTGTTTTGTCTTTTCTGGGTACTTTACATGTTCATATATATTTTTGAGTCAGCTTGTCAATTTCTACAACAAAAGCTTGTTGGGATTTTGATTGAGATTATGCTGAATTTATAACTTGTGAAGAATTGATTTCTTTACAATATTGGACCTTCCAATACATGAACATAGTATATGTCTCCATTTGTTTAGGTGTTCTTTAATTTTTTTAAACAATGTTTTGAAATTTCCAGGATTTTTCACTGATTTAGTTAAATTGATCCTTAAATATTTAGCTTTTGATGCTGTTATTTTTATTGAAAATTTCTAATTGTTACATTCTAATACATGAAAACAGTATATATCGTGAAATTTCAAATAAAAATTATATATAGAATATATAATATATAAATATACTTTTTATATTATATGTATGTCATATATTTATATATCGTATATATGTATATTTATTTATATATTATCTATATATTTATATATTCCATATATATTTTTATATGTTATCTATTTATATATATTTTACATATATATTTTACTGGTCAGGTGAATTTCTCAGAGGCAGTTTACAATTTGATCTTTTTAATGTCATATATATATATATATATATATATATATATATATATAAAATTTCTTTTGAGACAGGGTTTAGGGGTTTTGCTCTGTCACGCAGGTGAAGTGTGGTGGCGTAATCATGACTCACTGCAGCCTCGAACTCCGGGACTCAAGCTAATCTCTTTCCTCAGCCTTCCCAGCAGCTGGGACTACAGGTATATGCCACCAAACCTAGCTAACATTTTAAAAAATTTTTTCTTTTGTAGAAACGGGGTCTTGCTATGTTGACCAGGCTGGTTTTAAACTCCTTGCCTCAAGTGATCCTCCCATCATTGCCTCCCAAAGTCTTGGGATTACAGGCATGAGCCACTGCGCCCAGCTACAATATATTTTGGATGCTGACTTTATATCCTGTGACTTTGCTATGGTCGCTTATTATTTCTAGACATTTTTGTTTTTGACAGAGTCTCACTGTTTTGCTTAGGCTGGAGTGCAGTGGCACAATCTTCATTCACTGCAACCTCTGCCTCCTGGGTTCAGGCTATTCTCCTGCCACAGCCTTCAGAGTAGCTGGGACTGCAGGCACGCAACACCATGCCCGGCTAATTTTTGTATTTTTAGTAGAGACAGGGGAATCACGATGTTGGTCAGGCTGGTCTCGAACTCCTGACCTCAAGTGATCTGCCTGCCTCGGCCTCCCAAAGTGTTGGAATTACAGGCGTGAGCCACCATGCCTGGCCACGGTTTTTTTGATCCTTTAGGATTTTCTACCAAGACTGTCATGTCATCTATAATCAAGTACTCTTTTATTTCTTTTTTTCCAATTTGTTTGTATTTTATTTCTTTTTTCTCAAAGCTTATTGTACTGACTAAGATCCCCAGAATAATGTTGAATAAAAGTATTGGAAACAGACATCTTTTCTTGATTCTAATATCTAGGGAGAAAGCTTTCACTATCACATACCATTAGTAATAAGATTAACTGTACAGTTTCTGTAGATGCCCTTTACCAAGTTGAGAAAGTTCCCTTTTATTTATACTTTCCTGGGAGTTTCTACCATGCACTAATGACATTGAATTTTGTCAAATGGTTTCTCTACATCTATTGAGATGATCATATGGCTTTTCTTTTGTAGTCAAATTTAATTTATTGATATGATGAATTACACTTATGGATTCTTTTTCAATGCTCAAATAAATGTTTATTCCCTTTTATTCTTGACATTATTATTTGGTCAAACCAGATGAAATTACAACTATTTGAATTTTTAAAGTAACAAAAGAGCAATTATAAGTAGTATAACAACAACAAAAGTATAAGTCTAGTTCATTTAGCAATACCAGAAACAAATTGGTGGTTACATTCTACTCCGCAAACCGCATAAAGATCAGATCTCTCCCCAAACTAGGGTTATGCTTTAGTGGTATCGGTAATAAAATTAGATGGTATCTCTTTTACAGTTAAATCTATAATTCAGGCAGGGGGAATGAAACTCATTCATTTCCAAGTCACCAAAAGCTCTTTTCTGGGGAGAGTGGGCTACAATATTGATTGAGAACAGGAGAGAAAAAGGAAAAGAGCACACCAGAAGCCCAGAAATCCAACATTAGATAGGGTCAGTGCTTCCCAATAATGTAAATACCAGGTCAATTATCCAGTCACTTTCTTCTCTCTTTTTTTTTTTTTTGAAACGGAGTCTCGCTTTGTCATCCAGGCTGGAGTGCAGTGGCCTGATCTCAGCTCACTGCAAGCTCTGCCTCCTGGGTTCACACCATTCTCCCGCCTCAGCCTCCCCAGTAGCTGGAACTACAGGCGCCCACCACCACACCCGTCTAATTTTTTGTATTTTTAGTACAGACAGGGTTTCAACATGTTAGCCAGCATTGTCTCAATCTCCTGACCTCCTGATCCACCTGCCTTGCCCTCCCAAAGTGCTGGGATTACAGGCGTGAGCCACTGCGCCTGGCCTCTTCACTCTTTCTGAGAGACCTGACCACATCCTTTCAAGGATCGGTATATGGTGCCTCCAAACTGAGGCATTTAAAAAACAAATAAACTTAAAACTCTAGAACAGCTTTAGATTTACGGAAAAATTGTAAACATATTATAGATAATTCTTGTGTACCCCACACCTGGTTTCCCTTTTAGCATCTTACATTGGTATGGTATATTTGTTACAATTAAGGAAACAATGCTGACAAATTATTATTAACTAAACTCCATATTTTATTTGGATTTTCTTGGTTTCTATCCAACATCTTTTTCTGTTTCAGAATCCCACCCATCCTAAGGCATTACATTTAGTCATCATAGCTCTTTCTTCACAGAATTAGAAAAAACTACTTTAAATTTCATATGGAACCAAAAAAGAGCCCATATAGCCAAGAAAATCTTAAGCAAAAAGAACAAAGATGGAGGCATCATGCTAACTGACTTCAAACTATACTACAAGGCTACAGTAACCAAAACAGCATGGTACTGGTGCCAAAACAGATATATAGACCAATGGAATAGAACAGAGGCCTCAGAAAAACGTCACCCATCTACAACCATCTGATCTTCAACAAATCTGACAAAAACAAATAATGGGGAAGAAATTCTGTATTTAATAAATGATCTTGGGAAAACTGGCTAGCCACATGCAGAAAACTGAAGCTGGGCTCCTTCCTTACACCTTATACAAAAATTAACTCAAGATGGATTAAAGACTTAAACGTAAGACCTAAAACCATAGAAACCCTAGAAGAATACCTAGGCAATACCATTGAGGACACAGACATGGGCAAATGACTAAAGCAACAAAAGCCAAAATTGACAAATGGGAGCTAATTAAACTAAAGAGCTTCTGAACAGCAAAAGAAACTATCATCAGAGTGAACAGGCAACCTACAGAATGGGAGAAAATTTTTGCAATCTATCCACCTGACAAAGGGCTAATATCCAGAATCTACAAATAACTTAAACAAATTTACAAGAAAAAAAACAAACAACCCCATCAAGAAGTGGGTGAAGGATATGAAAAGACACTTCTCAAAAGAAGACATTTATGTGGCCAACAAACATGAAAAAAAGCTCATCATCACTGGGCATTAGAGAAATGCAAATCAAAACCACAATGAGATACCATCTCACGCCAGTTAGAATGGCGATCTTTAAAAAGTCAGGAAACAACAGATGCTGGAGAGGATGTGGAGAGATAGGAATGCTTTTACACTGTTGGTAGGAGTGTAAATTAGTTCAGCAATTGTGGAAGACTGTGTGGAGATTCCTCAAGGATCTAGAACCAGAAATGCCATTTGACCGAGCAATCCCATTACTGGCTATATACCCAAAGGATTATAAATCATTCTACTATAGAGACACATCCACCTGTATGTTGATTGCAGCACTGTTCACAATAGCAAAGACTTGGAACCAATGCAAATGCCCATCAATGATCGGCTGGATAAAGAAAATGTGGCACATATACACCGTGAAATACTATGTAGCCATAAAAAAGGATGAGTTCATGTCCTTTGCAGGGATATGGATGAAGCTGGAAACCATCATTCTCTGCAAACTAATACAGGAACAGAATGCCAAACACCACATGTTCTCACTCATAAGTGGGAGTTGAACAATGAGAACACATGAATACCGGGAGGGAACATCACACACCAGGGCCTGTCAGAGGGTCGGGGGCTAGGGAAGGGATAGCATTAGGAGAAATACCTAATGTAGATTATGGGTTGATGGGTGCAGCAAACCACCATGGCACATGTATAGCTATGTAACAAACCTGCACGTTCTACACATGTATCCCAGAACTTAAAGCATAAGTAAAATAAAAAAATAATTAAATGAGGAAGAAGAGTCAAATTTTTGTGCAGAAAAATTTGAAAGAATTTATGTAGATACTACTTCCTCAATGAGGAAGAGCATAACTCTATGCTCTTTAAGTCGGACATGAACATACTCATTTCTTTCAAAAGAGTACAATATGAAAAGAGGGAAAAAGAATAACTGTACAGTAAAGAAACCTGACAATTGCTACCTTGGCCAAGTGACCCAGGTCAACATCAACAGTGATAGTGACGTTTATGTCATGTCCACTTGAAATGATGTGATTAAAAAAAGGCACTTTACCTCTGTGTTCTTCTTCCTATTCCCATAATTCCAGACTAATTATTTAAAAATTTTCATATGTATTCCAATTAAAGAACATTCTAAAAAATACCCAACTGGTAATTCTCAAAACTGCCTAGGTCATCGAAACAAGCAAAATTTGAGAAACTGTTACATTTATGGATTTTTAAATATTGAAACAAATCTCATATTTCTGGGATGAAATCTACTTCATTATGAAGCATTATCCTTTTAAATATATTGCTTGAATTAATTTGCTAAAATACTGTGTAGGATTTTGCATCTATACTAATGAGAGATAGTGATCTTTAGTTTTCTTTTTTCTTTTGTTTTGTTTTCTGAAACAGAGTCTTCTTGCTCTATCGCCCAGGCTGGAGTGCAGTAGCATGATCATAGCTCACTGCTGCCTCAAACTGAAGCAATTAAAGACTGCTCAAGTAATCCTCCCGCCTCAGTCTCTTATGTAGCTAGGACTATAGGCATATACCACCATGCCCAGCTAACTTTTAATTACTTTATTTTTTATTTATTTATTTTTTGTAAAGACAGGGTTTTGCTATGTTGCCTAGGCAGGTTTCAAACTTCTGGCCTCAAGCAGCCCAGGCATGTGCCAAAACATCTGGCCCAGTTTTCTTTTCCATAAGGTCTTTGCCTGGTTTTAATATCAGTGTACTAGTGAACTCTTCAATTTTTAGAAGAGTTTGTATAAAATTGGTATCACTTGTTCCTTAAATGTTGAGAAGAGCTCACTAGTGAATAAATCTTTCTTTTTTCTTTTTTCTTTCTTTCTTTCTTTTTTTTGAAACGGAGTTTCACTTTTGTCACCCAGGCTGGAGTGCAATGGCACAATCTCAGCTCACTGCAACCTCCACCTCCTGGGTTCAAGTGATTCTCCTGCCTCAGCCTCCAGAGTAGCTGGGATTACAGGCATGTGCCACCATGCCTAGTTAATTTTTCTATTTTTAGTAGAGTCGGGGTTTCACCATGTTGGCCAGGCTGGTCTTGAACTCCTGACCTCAGGTGATCCACCCGCCTTGGCCTCCCAAAGTGTTGGGATTACAGGCGTGAGTCACTGCGCCCAGCCAACAATCTTTTTTTTTTAAACAAAATTATAGCAAAACAAAATTTTTAAAACTAAATAATATAATATATTAATAAAATACTAATTTTATTTTTCTTGAGAGAGCATTGGTAGTTTGTGTGTTTCATGAAAACCATATGTAATTTTAATTGCTTATTTACTTGTCTTCCCCATTAGAATGTTATAGACTGTTCTTGGGAAGGGAGCCTGTCTTTTATTTTTGAGATTCTAAAGCTTAGTAAATATTCAATAAATAGTTGTTAAGTAAATGAAGAAAAGGATAAATTTTTAGTAGGGCCATCAGGAGTTTCATGGGAGGAAATTCGAGGTGGATTGTGAGGGATTAAGATGAGAGAAGGAGAAAAAGCCCACAAAGAAGGGATAGCACAAACATAGGAGAGGCAAGGGGAGGGCGCGATTAGGGAATGGCTGCACATGCCTCTTGGAGTATTGAAGTAGAAGTTAATCTGCGCTAAGATAAGCCAGAACTAAGTCCAGGGGTTTACTGATACTGGACATCTGTTTACATTGGGAAGCCACTGAAGGTTTTTGAGGAGGAGAGTTTAAGAACTGGTTCTGTGTTTAAAAGGATGCTTCTGGTGATACAATGTGGGACTGATTAGTGAGGACAGAGACAAGAGGCTATGCAAGCAGTTAGGAGGCTGCTGCATTATTACTTTGGTGAGTAACAATGGGGACACAAAATAGGCCATACGATAAGTACAGGAAAAAAAGATTTCTTCAAAGTGGAATTCATGAGACTTTTTTCACCTGAATGAGTGGTGAATGAAAAGATGAAAGATAATCCTAAATTCTGAGTGGATGGTGCACCATCAACTAAGATGCAATTACAAGTGGAAGGGCAGGTTTGCCAGAGAGGACAGAGTCTCGCTCTGTCACCCAGGCTGGAGTGCAGTGGCTCGCTGGGTTCAAGCAATTCTCCTGCCTCAGCATCCTGAGTAGCTGGGACTACAGGCATGCAACACCACGCCTGGCTAATTTTTGTATTTTTAGTAGAGACGGGTTTCACCATGTTGGACAGACCGGTCATAGCCTGGTTGGCTAAGCACAACCACAGCCAAACAGAGCTTTCAGAGACTCAAGAAAAGTGATGAAGATTTTAGAACCACACCCATAGTAGTAAAATTCAAAACTACTGAAATAAATGAGAACAGTGAATTTGAAGAAGCGCATGGAATGGGAAAAGTCTTTCATGTACGTAGAGACAATAATAGAAAGTTGATGAAGTTTTGGCAGAAAGAAGGAGAGCCAGGAAAGCACAGAAATGGGATTGTCTTTCAAGAAAGTAACTTGGGAGGTGGTGTAGTGGAGTGATTTAGAGTCTGGAGCCAGGAGTTAGAAAGACTTCCTGTTGAATCTCTGCTTTCACATTTGTAGGCTGCGTGGCTTTGAGCAAGTTATCTGGCCTTTATCTGTAGAGTGAGGGCAATTTTATAATCTATCTCATAAGACAGTGGCCAAAAATAAATGAGAAATGATGCCCTTAAAGTGCTTCTCATATTGTATGGCATACAGTAAGCAATCTGTATTAGCTACTATTACCAATATTAGTGACAGATCCTTTGGGAAGGTTAAAAAGAATGAGGGGCATGCGGATCTGAGATCTTCTCTGGAGGCAAAGGCAAAGATTGCAGGCCTGTAGGAATTCCTCTTACGCAGATGTAGAGTTTTCAAGTCTTTTTGCAGTAGAGTCATCTTTATACCTGTAGAATGTTTGGATGGGGCGTGTGTGTGTGTGTGTGTGTGTGTGTGTGTGTGTGTGTGTGTACGCACTCATGCATGCACCTGAATAAAAATGGTTAATTCTAAACAGGTCTGATAATTTCTATAAAAAGAGGCTCCAAAGAAAATGTCAGGAAGGCTACTTTTTTCTCTGGAAAGACTGATGAAGAAATGCTTCAAAGAAATGAATCAAAGGCAAATGCATGCTAACTTGGTTTCATTTCTTTGCTGAAAATTACTGAATGTTGTTTTATCACAGTGTATTATGCTTGTTTTTATTTCTTTAAAACAAATAAGTAACTTGGATTTTGATTGTGATTTAAACTTAAGCCCACGTGGCTTATGAAATTAGCCATTTAATCAACAAAGACCAGATGACAGAATTTTAATGTTCAAATAGAATTATAGAATTAAAGATTAAGTCAGTATTGTTTTTAACATTTTTATTTATTTGATAGTCTTATCAAATTAACATTTATAAATGTTTCTGTGGAGTTTGGAAAGGAGACTGTGAAATATCAGATACAATCTCAAAATTTGAGCATGGCTTTGGAAAATGTGTCTTAAACATCATTGACCAACCTGGCCAACATGTTGAAACCCTGTGTTTACTAAAAATACAAAAATCAGCTGGGTGCAGTGGTGGGCGCCTGTAATATCAGCTACTTGGGAGGCTGAGGCAGGAGAATCACTTGAACTCAGTAGGCGGAGGCTGCAGTGAGCTGAGGTTGCACCACTGCACTCCAGCCTGGGTGACAGAGTGAGACTCCGTCACAAAACAAAACAAAATCATTGATATGTTAGGAAAGGCATTTTGATCAGAATATAGTTGCAAACATAATTAGTTATTCCATACAGTGCATACATAATTTACACACATGCCTATGGTAACAAGTTCCTTTTTATAGGGAATGTGCATAGAGTATCCTTAACCAGCAGTGAGCTTTAAACTTTCAAGGCGCACACACAACCGCTGACTTACCTTTCTTTCGACTGGGTCCAAGCTTATCTCAGCAGAACTAAATGATTGACTGACTTCCTCCCACGGCCACCAACATAATGCCTCCAGAACTAAACCCTTAGTTTCACTCTGCCGGATAAAAAACATAGAAACAAAAGCTATTTTAAACTTTCTTCTTTGCTAACCGATCAATGCCCAATAGCGGAGCCTACCTTTGATTACTGATGCGGGCCTACTGTGGTCATCAAATATTGTACAATAAACTGTTTACATAGCAGCCCCCTTTACAGCTTTTTAGATCTTCCCAAGCTGCCAATTTCTGAAGCTCAGCCTGCCAGCTGGCAGACAGAGAGGTGCTTGTGTTCTAGTTGATGGAGGTAATTAACAGCCTAAACTGTCAGAAGGTGACAGCAGGCAAAAAGTTCTTGCCCTGGGGTCACAGCTGGACTCCAACAACTTACTCCTGATTTACCAGTAAAACTAATAATGTAAGTAATATTGGTATTAAATTATAAAATCAAGGGTCAAACTGAAATTCTGGTTTGTACCACACATTTACTGGCAGCAAATTAGTGATAACGTCTTGCAGGGACTTCCCTCCTAAAAAGACCCCTGGAAAAATGAGCACGTGTCTATTTTGGCAACAACATGTGGATTTTGATAATACGAAGAAGTGAAATGGTGTCTTTGATTTATCTCAGCAATTGTAGCTATGACTAGGATAATCTTTTTTTTTAACGTTTAAGAAAACCAAACTCCCATGAAGTAACGGATCATGCTTAGATGATAAGCATCAGCGTATACTTTTACTAAATTTTGCTTTGCAGTTCAAAAGTGAGCAACACTTTTTATTCATAATGTTATATTTTCCTATAGTGAGCCTTAGAGAGTGAGAGAGAGAGAAAGAGAGGTTAGATGGATGGATGGACAGATAAATTCAGATATACGCTTGAATTATTAGCATCCTAAACGTACTTTTTTCATAATCTTGATTTTTAAGGAATAATCATCATTATTAGAAACTTTTCAAAGTTTTAAGAAAAAATTGCTTGGGGCTTGCCAATTTGAAGCGAATCCTGGCTTCCCAAATTTTATTATACCTTCCTAGAAAAGGTCTCATCTGATGTTACAAGGGAAGTAAGCAATTGCCACTTCACATAGAAATTTTCTTTCACATACCCATAAATTCCCGGAGGCTCTGTGCCACCGTAAACTTGTGATCTAACAAATAATTGTTAGAGTTGTTTATTTATAAAATAAATAGGCTGGGTGCGGTAGTTTACACCTGTAATCCAAGCACTTTGGGAAGTTGAAATGGGAGGATCCCTTGAGCTCAGGAGTCTGAGACTGCAGTGAGCTATGATCATGCCACTGCACTACAGCCTGGATGACAGAGTGAGATTGCGTCTCTAAATCAATCAATCAAAAAAAATACATAAATAAAAACAACTTTTTAGGTTTATCAGGAAAATTACATAAGTATGAAAATGTAAGTTTTCTGAAAATGAGTCATGCAATGTGCTTAGTGATCTAACAGTGGATCTATTTAAAACACATTTGCAAACCAATAAGCTCCTTTGAACTACAGTTCAATACCTGGTCTCAGACGTCTAAGAGATGGAGTGTAGAAATCCAGAATAAGAAACCTAACAGGTTATCTTGTTTAACTACCTTATCTTTGGCATCTGAATAAAGTAAAATGTTAAGCTGACTCAAGTGAACAATGGTATTATTGACCATATATTTTCATGTCTTTTTGCAGATTTAAAGGTTTTATTGTGGTCAACTTAATATCTGCATGTTTGTTAAATTTCTGAATACTGTGTAATTAAATTGATTTTTTTGTGATGGTGATTAGCGCATACCAAAAATCCAATGAAACAATTATTTCTCTCTTCTTAACTGGAGATCATATTTGTGAGCTATGGTATCCATTATCAACAGTGTATTCATGATTCCATTCATATTTTGTGTATCTGATTATAAATTTCATATGGCATTTAATTTGACACAATATAAATCCATTTGAATTGACTATAATGGTGTGTGTGTGCATGTGTGTGTGTGTCTATGGTGTATGTGTGCGCTTTAGTTTCATGAGCCTTGGGAAAATGATTCTATAAATATATAGATATAAATGTATCAGGCTAATTTTTTTGCAAAGCAATGTATGCATTCCTTTCACTTATTAAATCACTGGCTTTAGTGTTTATGTAGAGATATCTGTAGACCTCAGAACAGAATTAAAACATTGTGAAAATTATAGCTTGATAAATGTGTACTGTAAAAATAAATCTAATTTGTTGACTACACATTACAACACTGTGTTAAGAATGCTGAGGGAGAAAAATAATTTTAAGATGTAGTTTCTACTGTCTAAGAAGTTTAGTGTCAAGGTGGAGGTAGAAAGAATACAATTATAAAAATAAGTAAAAGCATGATACTCTAAGATGTGGCGCAGGCAATGCACAGCTTTTTGGATAAGGAGTCAGCTGAGAAAAGGCCCCGAGGGAGGTAAGTTTGAAATGTTCTGTGTAGATAAGGGATGAGCTACCTTGAAATTTGCAAAGGTTACAGGTAGATATGTCAGGTAATGTGAAATTGTAAGGAGTTAGCAATTTATTCTATGAGAACAATATTCCATTGAAGGTGTATTAGTAGGGAGTAGTTTGATCACAGGGCTATTTTAGGATGATAATTTTAGGACAAATTTTGTAGGAAGTTGATTGGAGCAGTAATTCTCAAAATGATTTTTTCCCTGAACTTGAGGAGTTGTTACACTCTGATCAGTTAACCGTGGTTTATGGCAGGATGATTGTCATGGGGAATGGTGGCTTCTTGCTGAATGTTGAAATCACTGACATAGAGGAAGAAGAGATTTCCTTTAATAGTAAGCATTCCAGTTCAGGAAGGAAGTGATGAGGCACTTAACTATGGGGTGAGAATAATGGGAAAACTGGAATAAAGGATGGATATGAGTCAGTTGAAAGGGGAATCTAAAGGAATAACTCTGAAGTCTGGAAATAGTATATGAGATGAAATGAACACTTGAAAATTATAGTGATGAGTGGACAAGTAGAAATTGTTATATGTGTTCAATGATTGATAATCTTGTTCCTTTGACACACTAAATGCTCTCACACATTTTGTGCCACTTAAAGAACCATATAGTAGCTTGTGATGGTACCTTCATTGACTTGTCCTGCAAGAATCATATTCCTCACCACAAAATTCTACAGCTTCGACTCTAAGAATCAATCGCTGTTATTGAGTGCCCACTCCTTATCCTAATGCTGGATTCAGGAAATACTGAGAAGAAATCTCAAAAATCTGGATGGGGACATAAGACATTTACTTTTACAAATGTCGAGCATCGTATAATAAGCAGAAAAGCACCTGTTCAGAAGAGGATGCGCTTTAAGTACAGGTTGCCAGTGAGAATAACATAGACTAGGGAGCAAACATTTGAGGGAGGCTTATAGCCACAAAGGTGAGACCAGAATCTTCTCAATTTGCCCGGATTGAGAGCAGTGAATACCACACTGTGAATTTTAATCTACAGCTAAAGATGTATCGTTTTCCAAAAAGGGAATATAGCGATAAAGACCTTCTTGAAAAATAATTTTGCAGTGAAGTGCAGAGTAGACTTTACTGGGAAGCAGTAGGAGATGGTGAGATGGTAAGGATGCATCTGCCACAGTTGTGTAACAGTCATGTGTATATGGTATATATCAATATCCTGGACCTGCCTTGGCTTCAAGGCAGCTCAAATGTGTGGGCCTGGGCCTGTGAGGTGTCTAGCAAGGTCTTGGTTTAGATGATGGCCAGAAGTTCAGCCTAATTGAGTGCAATCATGACAGCTGGGAACCATTCTGACACATTCAAGCTTAAGCTGAGATTTAGGAAGCTCAATCCCTAATTCAGATAGCACGTCCTTGAATGTTGCTGACCCTTCCTGAAACAAAACATGCAAGATAAAATTTCTTAGCTTTTTATAGAGCTTAGCATGTAGTGATTTCAATCCCAAGTGAAAATTATAATATTGATAAAGGCTTTTCCTAGGAAATATATTTTATGAAACTGATAAGTAAGTGTTGGAATTCAACTAGCCTAACCCTTCAGATGATTGCATAATTTTCTTCCAATGCACTTCCAAAGCTTTTTTATTATGGCAAGTTTGCACACAAAAGTAGACAGAACAGCAGAATGAGTATCTATGAATCAATTGCATAATTCCAATGCTATCATTTTGTCAAACTTATTTCACCTATCCCCTTACTTTTGTCGAAAGGGAGGGCTTTTTTTTTTCACAAAACAAATTTCAAACATCATATTATTTCATCTAAAAACACTCCAGGCAGGAAAAACCCACTATTCTTTCACTTTACTTATCATATTTTAAAATAAGCACCTTAGGAATAATAAATCTTTGCCTATTGTATAAGTAAGATTTTCAAAATTGTATTATGATTTGTTTTTTACTTTGCTTGTGCTTTTATTTTTGTCATGCAAAACTTTCAGGTATGAATGTATATATGGGTGTATTTATCTATATGTATTTATATTAACATTTATCCATCTTTTCCCTTACTGATTCTAGATTTTGAATCATAATTGTGAATGTTGTCCCCTTTCTCAGGCCATAAAGGAGTTAGCCCATGTTTTCTTCTTGTACTAGTATGGTTTCATATTCTACATTTGAATATAATTAGTTTGGATTTTATCTGGTGAGAAAAAGATACAGTTCTAAGTACTCGCATATGACCATGCACTTGATGATTGAGACCCTTAGACAGTCTTCTTTTTCTCAGATTCATCTAAGTCTACAGAATCTTTATTCCTGCTACTTCTCCTTTGCTTATCTTCAGTCACTGTGTGATATGGTTTGGGTCTGTGTCCCTGTCAAATCTCATGTTAAATTGTAAACCCCAATGTGGGAGATGGGGCTTGATGGGAGGTGATTGGCTCATGGGAGCAGGTTTCCTCTTTGGTGCTGTTCTGGTGATAGTGAATGAGTTATTTCAAGATCTGGTTGTTTAAAAGTATGTAGCACCTCCCTCCACCTTTGTTGCTCCTGCACTGCCTATATGAAGAGATGCCTGCTTCCCCTTCACCTTCCTCCATGATTGTAAGTTTCCTGAGGCTTCCCCAGCCATGCTTCCTGTACAGCCTGCAGAACCATGAGCCAATTAAACCTCTTTTCTTCATAAATTACCCAGTTTCAGGTATTTCTTTATAGCAGTGCAAAAGTGAGCTAATGAGGCTGGGCGTGGTGGCTCATGCCCGTAATCCCAGCACTTTGGGAGGCAGAGGCCGGTGGATAACTTGAAACCAGGAGTTGGAGACCAGCCTTGCCAACACATTGAAACCCCATCTCTATAAAAGATACAAAAATCAGCCAGGCATGGTTGTGCATGCCTGTAGGCCCAGCTACTTGGGAGGCTGAGGCAGAGAATTGCTTGAACCCAGGAAGTAGAGGTTGCAGTGAGCTGAGATCACCACTACACTCCAGCCTCCTAGACAAAGTGAGACTGTTTCTCAAAAAAACAAAAAATGAACTAATGATACAGAGACAAATAGTTATATTGTTGACCTCCAAAGAGCTTATAACCCACGTGGGGTTATAGGCCATTAGGCAGACAATTGCAATATAATCTATAAGGCCCTAGAGTAGTGTTATGTATGGACTACTCCATGAGTATATGAATTAAACCTAGATGGCAGAAAGTGAGGAAAGGCTTTTAGGAGGACATTCAATCTCCATGATTTTTTAAAGGTTAAATGTGGGAATCAACTAGAGAAAGTGGTGTTGGGGCCATGGGAGAAGACTGGTTTCCTGCCTGAGGAAGCAGCACATGTAAAGATAGCATCCAGAGGCAGAATAATGTCTTCAGAGAGTGCCAGCAGTTTGTTTTAACTGTAGAGAACACAGAACTCAAGACATGATAACAGATTATTTTTATGGAATGTGTACTATGTGTGTGCCAGACACTGGACTAAGGGCTTTATAAGCATTACCTCTTTTAATCCCAACCATATTAATGCAACACTAATATTACATTAATTATTTTACAGAAGGAAAAATTGAGAAGCAGGGACATAAAGTGAATTCCCAGAACCACATCTGGTGTTAGAGCCAAGATTTGTACCTAGACTGTCTGGCTTTAGGGCCCAAGTTCTTGATGGCTCCACTGTATTGCCAGATTATGAATAGCCTTGAAGAATATAGTGGATCATCAAACGGTTTTCAGCAGAACAATGACATATTTATACTATTAGAAGATGCCTCTGGATGCAGAGTGGAGAATGTATTAAAGAGGCATCAGTGGGTGTGTGGAGCTCGCTTAGGAGCTTAATGGAACCTGAATGAGAAATGTGAATTCAAGAGTTGACCTAAGTGGTAACAATGGGGATGGAGACACATGGATGGAGATATTAAATAGCTAAGACTTCTCCACTAGGTGTTTATGGGTTGACTGGGAAAAAACCCTCTGGCTTGGGCAGCTGGCTGGATGGGGCGCATTAATTCTGAATGTTAACTGATGATACTCTATAGAAAAAGCCAGAACGTAAGATATTTGGTATCGTGATAAACAGATTACACTGTTGTATGATCTGTATATGATCATTTGGGCAGCAATGTAGCTCTGTTCATTATAATATATTAATGTTTAGTGCATACATCTATCAGGTAATACTGTTTATTTTGGCCTGAGACATGTTACCCAACAGTTACTTAATAATAGAACATACATGGCAATGACCAAACACAAATGTTCATTGGAATTCCACAGGTTGCTGAGGCTGTCTTTCACAGTTCCAATCTTCTAACACCTTTTAAGTTTGTTATCTCCAATAGTATCTGATCCTCGAAGATATCCAGGGAAGCTTGTTGGGGATTAATTTTGTAGAATTAGAAGTGCCACTCTTTTGTTAATTTACTGTTGGACAAACATGTCAGAATAAATGCCAGCTTTTACCATTAGGTTAAAGAGGGAATTTTCTATTTACAAAGCAAGGCTTTTCAGTTGCTAACCACTTGTACTTACCAAATATGGTATTTGTTTAGCACATGTTTTCTTGTGAACATCCATGTCTTTGTGACTCAGTCTAGGCTGTTGCAATTTGCTCCTTACCAGGCTTTAGGAGAAAATGTAGTAGGTAAAGAGGATAACTGTTCAGTCATTTAATGTGCTTTCATGTAGAGCAGTGGTTCTAAACAGTTCCACAATCAGATTTTTAAATATTAATTTTTGTATTCTCTAGGCACTTCAAGTTTTTAAACTATCTACCAAACTTTATTTTAAAGTTATACATTTTATTTCCACTGTGTATCAGAGAGTATTTCAACATGAAATAACCAGGGTTACCCAATTAGGCAATAAAATTCCAGTCCAAAGCAAAGAAACATAACATTAGAGTTTGTGCAACTCCATTTCGGTAAATGTAATATTTCAATTAAAAATATTCACAGTTATTCACTGTTATCAGTTAGGATTCATTATGATTGAACTCAACAAGGCCCAGAGTAACAGTGGCTTAAAATATGTTTATTTCTCTTCAACCTAGTATCTCAAAGTAAGGATTTCCAAGGCTTGCATGACTGCTTTGCTCCATTAAGTCATAAGGGAACTATATTCACTGTACATTGTGCCCAGGTGTGGTGGGCTGTCCTCAAAAAGATCTTAGGCCTCAAAAGATATCAGGTCCTGAGAATCTGTAAATGCTACCTTATTTGGGAAAAGAGTCTTTGCAGGTGTGATTAAACTAAGGATCTTGAGATGGGAAGGTTATGTTGGATTATTCAGGTGGCCCCTAAATGCCATAACCTATATCCTTATAAATGAAGGCAGAGAGAGATTTTATAAACACACACACACACACACACACACACACACAAACACACTGAAGGCAGAACAAGTTTGAAGATGCTGTACTTGAAGACTGGAGTGATGTGGTCACAAGCCTAGGAGTTCCCGTCTTGAATTCTGAGTTCAAGGAATGGATGGATTCTCCTCTAGGACCTCTGGAAGTAGTGTGGCTCTGGATACCCGGATTTTGGCCCAGCAATCTGATTATTTCTTGCCTCCAGAACTGTGAGATAATAAATTTTTGTTTTTTTAAGTCATCAAGTTTGTGGTAATTTCTTATAGCAGATACAAACGGTAATACCCTAGGGAATGGTATATATTCTCCATGTTCAAGAAAACCAAATGTCTCATTCACCTTCTAAGCAGGACTGTGTAGAAAGAGGAAGGCATTTATTCATTCATTCACTTCTTCATTCAACAGATATATATATGGGGAGCCTGTTATATATTCGACATTGTTGTGGATGTTTGGAATACATCTATGAAAAACACAAAGACCCCTTTCTTCTTGGGACACATATTCTAGTAGTTGAAGGCAAATATAAATAAACCATAAAAATAAGCACATTTTACTTTAGAAGATGAAAAATTCAATAGAAAAAAAAGTAGAGCAGAGTAAGGGAGATTGAGAGGGCCATGCAGAAGTTGGGGTGAGTTGCAGATCTAAATAGATTGATCGTGGTAGGGGTTGTTGAAAAGGTAGGATTTCAGCAATGACTCAAGAGGGTAAAGGTTTGCCAGTAGATTATGAGGAGGAAGAGACTTCCATGCAAAAGAAACAGCTAGAGCGAGGACTTTGAGATGTGGGAATGAAAATGCCTTTTATGTTTAAAAACAGAAAGAGGCTAGTGTGATGGAGCACAGTGAAAATGGTAGAAGATGAAATCAAAGGCAAGGAGGCGATGATCCAGGAGGACCTTGCAAGTTATAGTAAGATCTTTGGCTAGTCTGATGGGCAGGCATTGGGTGGTATAAGCTGATAAGTGGCATAATGTGATTTAACCAGTAAAAGTGTCATTCTAGCTGCACTGTTGAGCATTCTGTGGGGATCAAATATAGACTCAGGGAGACCTATCAGGGAATTATTGTAGCAATCCAGAAAAGATATTATAGTGATTCGGATCAGAGTTGTAACAGTACAGATGGAGGGAAATGGTTGATTTCTGGACAAGTCTTGAAGATAGAGCCAACAGTTTCTGACAGGAATAAAAGATGACTCCAAAATTTGGGGTCAAACAACTAAAAGGTTGGCATTTTCGTCAAGTAAGATGGAAGTGATATGGGTGGAGTGAGATTTTTGTTGTGGAGGGGGAGGGAAGGACCAGGGTTTCAATATGGTTTGAGCTGTTAGACATCTACGTGGAGATGTCCAGCAGGTATTTGAATATATGAATCTGGGAGAAAGGTTTGAGAGGGAGATATTTTGTGAGACTTTTGCTTCCAGCAATATCAGACAAGCTTATTTCAGACCAAAAGTCCTACCAATAATAACTAGAAAATCTAAACAAAAATTTAAAGTAATTGTCTGAAGGTGTTGATTATCTACCAAAGCAGCAAATATTCAGGAGGATTTCTTTAAGCAGAAGTGAAATGATCCAGATGGAACCATGTAGCTGCATTAAGAAAAACAAGCAAAATAAAGGGTAAATATTTGAGTATATAGAAATGAAAATTAATTGTATAAATTGCTTTAGGAGTGTTAAAGCAAACTAAATATGGCCTGAGAAGGACTCTGTACTTTTATATTTGAGTTCTTGTGGACAAACTGCAACCTAACTTAGTAGGTAGACAAGATTGAAACCCTAACTTTGGAGTATGTGCCTGTAACAGTGGCTGAGTCTTGGTCAGTCTTATCAGCCATATTTCAACCATAAGCTGCTGAGTGTTCAAACTGTGTTCAAATAAGGTAAACACCAACCTGCAACCAATCCAGCTGTTTCTGTACCTCACCTCTAATTTCCGTACATCATTTTTATTTTTGTCTATAAATTTATTCTGACCATGAGGCATCCCTTGAGTCTCTGAGAATCTACTGTGATTCTGGGGGCCTGCCTGATTCACAAATCATTCATTGCTCAATTAAACTCCTT
This sequence comes from Homo sapiens, assembly GCF_000001405.40. NCBI lineage: Eukaryota > Metazoa > Chordata > Mammalia > Primates > Hominidae > Homo > Homo sapiens. The sequence goes on along the minus strand of NC_000004.12, from coordinate 174,077,699 downwards.
TAAATTTAATTCAGCTGAAGTTTGTCTTTTAACAGGGGGTTTGAAATATATGTCAATTTAAAATACATAAGAATAATTGTACAACAAGTAAGCTAGGTAATTGCAGTTATATTATTTTCAGCTTCTAGCAATATCTGGAAAGTGGTAAATGCTAATTTATATTAGATTTTAATAAGTCAAGGATTCATGCTGTAATCTCTGACTAATGACTAAAAATATTAATGTTACCAGGAAGAAACAGAATGATAAATAAGATGAGACAAAATATTTAATTAACCATAGAGAAAGTAAGAGAGGAGGAAAATGGAATGTCAGACACGTTGGATGCAGAAAAATAAATAAAAAGCAAGGCATTGATTTAAATCCCAATACAGCAGGAATTATATTAAATATCAATATAATAAAGACTCTAATTAAAAGGCAATAATTGTCAGACTCCTTAAGAAATTCAACTATGTAATACTTAATAGATACATGCCTTAAAAAAGGAAAAAAAAGGATGGAAAGTCACACACAGTACAAACTAACCAAAGGAAATCTGATATATTTAAATGAATGACAAAGTTGATTGTGGGCAAGAGACATTACTAGAACTGAAGAAGGACATTTTGGAATGATAAAATTTTCCATTCAGTAGAATGACTTATGAATTCTGAATTTGCATGTACTTAATACATAGCCTGAAAATTCATAAAGCAAAAATTGATGTAACTAAAAGGACAGCAGAATATCCACAATATATTTGAAGATTTTAGCAAACATCCCTCAATAACTGATAGAACAGGCAAGAAAAAATTATAGGGTTATAAACACAATTAAGTTACTTGATATAATCAATAGATACAGACCACTGTACACAGTAACCAAAGAATGCCTATGCTTTTCAAATGTATTTTAAACATTTGCTAAAATTCATCATAAAAATACTAAATTTAAAAAGATTAACTGGAAAATCTTCAATATAATCCCCAACGTAATTTTGCAGAAATATATGGGGCAGCAAAACATAATTGCAATTAGAAGATATTTAAAACTGAATAATAATGAAGATATGATATATAAGTACAAGCATACTTTATTTTGTGATGCTTTGATTTATTGCACTTTGCAGATATTGTGTTTTTTACAAATTGAAGGTTTGTGGCAACGCTGTGTTGAGCAAGTCTATTGGTGCCATTTTTCCACTGGCTTGTGCTCCCTTTGTGTTTCTGTGTCACATTTTGGTAATTCTTGCAATATTTCAAACTTTATTGTTAGTAGTATTATATCTGTTATGGTGATCTGTGGTCAGTGATCTTTGATGTTTTTATTATAACTGTTTTGGAGTACCACAAACCACACCCCTATAATACAGCGAACTTAATCCATAAGTGTGTGTGCTCTGAATGCTCCACTGACAGGCTGTTCCCCTATCTCTCTCCCTCTCCTCAGGCCTCTCTTCCCTGAGACACAAAGATATTGAAATTAGGCCATTTAATAACCCTACAATGACTTTTGCGTGTTCATGTGAAAGGAAGAGTCACATGTCTTTCACTTTAAATTAAAAGCTACAAATAATTAAGCTTGTGAGGAAGACATGTCCAAACTTGAAATAGGCTGAAAGCTAGGCCAAACAGTCAGCCAATCATAAATGTAAAGGAAAAGTTCTTGAAGGAAATTAAAAGTGCTACTCCCGTGAACACACAAATGATATGAAAGCAAAACAGCCTTATTGCTGATATGGAGGAAATTGAGTGGTCTGGATAGAAGATCAATCCAGTCACAATATTCTCTTAAGCCAAATCCTATACCAGAGCAAAGCCCTAACTCTCTTCAATTCTGTGAAGGCTGAGAAAGGTGAGGAGGCTGCAGAAGAAAAGTTGGAAGCTAGAAGAAGTTGGTTTATGAGGTTTAACGAAAGAAGACGTCTCCATAACCTAAAAGGGCAAGGTGAAGCAGCAAGTGCTGATGGAGAAGTTGTAGCAGGTAATCCAGAAGATCTAACTAAGGTAATTGATGAAGGTGGCTGAACTAAAGAACAAATTTTCATTGTAGATAAAACAGCCTTCTACTGAAAGAAGGTTCTAGTCTGTGGTATGGTGGCTCAGACCTGTAATCCCAGCACTTTGGGAGGCAGGGGTGGGAGGATCGCTTGAAGCCAGGAGTTTGAGACCTGTCTGGGCAACAAAGTGAGACCCTGTCTCTGTGAAAAATACAAAAGTTTCTATGGAAAGTCAAAGAGCCATGAATGTCTAAGACGATCTTAAAATGCTAAATAAAGTTTGAGGAGTCATTTCTCTTCTGTAAGTTAATATAAAGTTAATACGATTGAGACAGTGTAGAATTTAGGCAGACATACACAAATATACCAAAGGCACAGAATAGACAGTTCAGAAACAGACCACACACATAAGGATAATTAATTTATAAAAAATTGACACTGCAGGGCAGTGAAGAATGATTGTACTTGCAGTAAACTGTACTACATCAATTGAATATCAACATGGGAAATAAAGTTATCATTTAATCTCTATCTCACATTCTTTAGTCAGAGTTCTCCAAAGAAATAGAACTAATAGGAGATATATGTATACACACATATGCATGTTTATACATATATATTTATAAATTTATTATAAGAATTGGTTAATACAGTTAAGGAGGCTGAGAAGTCCCATGATCTCCTGTTTGAAAGCTGGAGACCCAGGAAAGCCAGTGTTGTATTAAATAAATGCCAGTCTGAGTCTGAAGGCATGAGAACCAGGAGCATCAATGAAGTAAGTCCCAGTCCAAGGGCAGAAGATCCATGTCTCTCATCAATGAGTCAGGCAGAGAGAGAACTTTTATATCCTATTTTTGACCCAGAAGGCACTGAAGTAATATTGTTAAATAAATAATAAATGCTTAGATGAGAAAAAAATAACTTCTAAAAGTTCGTTAGACAAATAATGTGCTAACCCTTCAGGAAAAAAATTGACAAATCAGACTCCACTAAAATTAGAAAATGTTATTAATCTAAACATACGATTAAGAAGATACTACAGAAATTGCCAGATGACAAAATGTTTTAGGTGTTTCAATATCTTGGTAGAAATTCATATTGCTTTAAGAATTTGGGCAGAGATTGAGATTTAACCTAGCTAAAACATTTAATTAATTGTAAAACAACAGATTCCACTGCAAGGAGGGTATTTATCTTGTCAGAGATTATACATGAAATTGTTCTCTCAGTCAAAAAAGCATAGATTCATTCCTACTGAGACATTAATACTATTTAATTTAAAAATTAATATGCGTTAGAATACTCCCATTGTCATGATCTCTTCTTTCATTGTGCCTTTATTTCAGAATAAATTTTAGTACTAAGGGTAAAAAATATGTTTTAGTTATTTCCTTTGTGATAGAAATTTAGATAATTTATTGGAATTATTGGCTATTACATAACTACATATAACTACGTAGTAACTTATGACCATTTCCATTACAAAGTTTAAGCTTTGCTGTCCTACATAAAATTGTGAGTAAAAGAGTAGCTTAAAGAATTCTAGCATCTATTTTTTCAAATTTTGATGTATGGACTTTATTTGACTTTAACAGAATTGGTTAGTTAACTATATTTTAAATTTTCTGGTGAGTTGGGAAAAGGGGAACAGAAAGAAGGTCTATTGAATCATGGCAAGATCTTTCCAATATATTACTGTGTTGAATCATTCAACCAGTCTGACTGTAGGTGCTATACTCCCATTGCCAAGAAGAAAAATTTGAGGCACAGAAGATTTAAATGTCTTGCCCAAGGTCATATAGCTATTGATAGGGACAGGAGGCAGGGAAATTCTGGGCAGAAGAGGGCAGGTCCCTGGTGAGGGCCCCACCCTTAAGCTGAAAAGCCTGTCAATGCAGCCCAAAGTGAGAACTTACATCCCTGTTTTCCTGCTCGAATGTTGCCTTTCCAAAACCACCCATGGCCTACCCCACCCCCATTCTGTGCCCATAAAAACCCCAGGCTCAGCCAGCAGAAGGAGGGGAAGTAGCTGGATGTCAGAGACTATGGTAGGACGTCAGACAGAAGAGTCTTTACTTCAGAGGGACAGCTTGACAGCGTAGCTTTGGAGAGGAGTCTGGCCATCCACGGGGAATCTTCAGGGGAAGATTACCTTACGGCTCCATCCCCTTTTCAGCTCCCCTTGCTGCTGAGAGCTACTTTCAATGGCAATAAAATCCCCCTTGTTTACCATCTTCAATTTGTTCATGCGATCTCATTCCTTCTGGATACTGGACAAGAACTTGGGTGCCATGAGTGCAGGTGCAAAATGTTGTCACAATGACCCTCCACTGAGCTGTTACCACTTAAGCTGTCCATGGACAGTAAAGCTAAAAGGGCACGGTAACACTCCTTCTGGGGCTTCAGGGGTCATGGGCACCTCCCCAGATGCTGCTGTGGGGCCGCACAGAGTTTTGCTTCTGCCAGTGCTCAAAAGCACTCGCCCCAGCTCCTGCATCCACTCACCTGCACACTCCCCGCCCCCCATGAAGGGTGAAGTGCAGTGGATCCAAGTGAGTGGAATTTGCCCCTGCCAGTGCCAAAGCAGCCAGCTAGTTCCAGCATCCCTGTACTCAAGTTCCCACCTGCAAAGGGGCAGGGAAATATCCTGCTTCGCTATTAAGTTGTAGAGCCTGATTTTTATTTTACTTTTATTATTATTTATTTATTTATTTATTTTTTGAGATGGAGTCTTGCTCTGTCTCCTAGGCTGGAGTGCAGTGATGCAATATCAGCTCACTGCTACCTCTGCCTCCTGGATTCAAGAGATTCTCCTGATTCAGTCTCCTGAGTAGCTGGGACTACAGGCATGCACCACCACACCTGGTTAATTCTTGTATTTTCAGTAGAGATGGAGTTTAACCATGTTGGCCAGGCTGGTCTCGAACTTCTAACCTCAGCCTCTCAAAATGCTGGGATTGTAGGCATGAACCACTACACCCAGCCTGAGCCTGATTTTTAAATCCATAGATGTGTAACCTTACAGTTCATGAAACTACTTTTGTCAAGGTCATTAACTTCTATTTTACCATCATCTGTCATCAGTTTTCTCTACCAGTCAGTAATATTTGGCAAAACTGATCACTCCTTCCTTCTTGAAATTCTTTCTTGTCTTGGCTCCCATAATATCAAATCATGTGGAGTTTCTTCCTCTCAATCACCTTTGTGGATTCCTTTTTCTTTTTTGAACCTTTTAATGTTAAGGTACTTTAGAGTTTAGTCTTAGGACTTCTCTGCATCTCTATTTATAATGTTTTTCTGGATAATTTCATCTAATTCCTCATGGCTTTAAATACCATCTCTGTATCAATAACTCTGGTCCTGATCTGGCTAGTTAGACTTGAATATCCAGCTACCTATTTTATATGCTACTTGGGCATATAATAGATAACTGAAACTTACCATGGCTGAAGCCAAATTTATTCTACCCCAATCAGTAGTCACTACCTCATTAATGCAAACACTATCCACCCAGATGCTCAAGTCCAAAACCTAGGAGTCATTTTGATTTCTCATTTCCTCTCATTTTCTACATCCAACCCAAGAGCAAGTCCTACCAACTGTCTCCAAGGTTCATTATGTTAGTCTTCTCTCCATCTTCACTGCCTAGTCCAAGCCAATATTACTACTGCCATCCACTCCCAATCAGTTGCCATAGCTGCCACTCTTGCTCTCAATTCTCTACCTAGAGGCTGAATTAGTTTTACATATTAAATTAGATTACAGTATAAGCCTACTTAGCTTCAATTACTGCCCATCCAACCTAGAATATACTTCAAATTGCTTATGGTTTTAAAAATGTATGATAACAACTGTACCTACTTCTCTGACCTCATTTAAATACTTTTCCACTACCACACTTGGAAATTACAGCAGCTTACACTGGATTCCTTTCTGTTGCTTAGTCACAACTTATTTATTCCCACTTGAAGTCTTCTATTTCCTATTTCTCCTGGTAATGCTCTATTCTCAGATCTTTGAACAGTGGGCACTTTCTTGTCACTTAAGTCTCAACTCAGATGTTACCTTTTTGGAGAATCCTTCCCTGACCTCCCCTTTCAAGTTGTCCTCCAGTAACTCTCTGTTACTTTCACTTGTTTTATTTTTCTTCTCTCAGCCTATTATGATCATTTATTTGTTTATTTGCTCATTCTCCCCTCCATCATTTTGGTGGATATCAGCAACTGAAAAAGACATTATTATAATCACTGACTTAATGACACACTGTTATCATTGGTCCTGAAGCATATCTACTTTTATCTTGCAGTTGTTAGAGTAGGCTTCATGAGAACAAAGATTTCTCTTACTTGCTGCTGTTCACCACTGTTTTCTCAACACTTAGCACAGTGCAACAGTGCCTGTTTAGTACTCGGTAAAATTTTGTGGAATAATGAAAGAACTAATGAATGCATGCCTTTCATAGTACAGGTTGGTCTATGAGGAAAATGAGACTTAAAGAGGTCAAATGATTTACCCAAGGCTATTAGTTAAGAAAGAGATGACCTTAGAAAAATCCAGATTTCCTGGCAGTCTAATGTGTCTTCTATGTCCCATCTTGCTTTTCAGTCTGACTAGATTCTGAGGATTTTCTGAAAGCCTTGGAAGTATGTTCTATTTTATCTTCTCAAAGGTATACAGTGTCTTGAGAGAATTAACATATAAAATTTTTTAATTAAAAGAATACAAACAGAAATATTTGTCTTATTATATTCAGGTCCTTTGTTTTTAAAGAAACCTAGAACCTATTCTTTTACATGCCAGTGATGCAAATTTCATTTAATTTACCCTGAATTAAGTTATTTTCATTCTTTCAGAAATGTTAACATTATTTTGAGTGAAGTATTTTTATCTTATAGAAGTTCATTGCTTTATTTCAGAGGTTTTAAGAAAATTCTATTTTGAATGTAAGAAAGCTCATAGTTCTGCAAAATAGAACCTATATGCAATTTGAAAGAATGCTTTCTAAAAATATGAAAAGAACAGCTAACACCACTTTCTGTTTGTGGTTGAATGATGGACAGCAAGAAAATTCTCCATGGACTAGAGTTTCCAAGGGGGTTCTGCAATAACCTTTTAACAGGGCTTTGAAAACAAAACCCCACTATTTATCAAGAAAGATATTTTTACTGTATTTTTATAAATATTCATCTGTAACAGTAATGATTCATTTGGCTCTTTTAGAATCATAGATCTTTTGAGAGTAAAAGAATTATCCAAGAGGGAGAACTAAATAAACTTTTGTGCATATGTAAGAAATGAATCCCAATTCTTCCTTGCTTCTGTTTCTTTTTTCCCCAAAAATTGTATAAATGAGGAAATAGTGCCAAGGACCTATTAGTAATAGTTATTTCCTAATTGCAGAGGGAAGCATCCTGCATGTTTAAATAAATATTGTTAACTCTGACCTCTCGCTTTGCCAGGACTGATAAGGCAATTGTTTGACCTATATGAAGTACATACAGTATACACAGAGTGGAGTGCAGCAGGAAAACAGGAAACAATAAATCAGAAATTAGAGCACTGATTGTTGTAGCTAATTACATCAGGCTTCTGCTTAATTTCTCACTCTGTCATGCTAACCTGATTTTCTTGCCAACAGACTTTGCAAATTGCTGGTGTCACGTACATTCAGCAAATAATAATCCTTAGTTACTGTGACTGACAAATGAATGAGCAGGAGAAGATAGTTTATTATGCAAGGATGAACTGAGACATTCACCAGATACCTGCCTGGATGCTTTTTTAATTCACTTACCTAGATGTGCTGCATGATGCATTTCTCCAGGAGCAGAGATTTTGGCATCAAGACAGTTTAATTAGATTTGTAGCTTGGTTTGATAATATTGAGCAGGAAAAAAGATGGTACTGTAGAAGGAAGGAGAGGGAAGGCATTGGTTTGGACAAAGCGATAAAGTAGTAACTTAGCTATTTAAGTCAAATCTGAAAATAATATGTTTAGAGTGAATGAGACTAGTCAGCACATTATTGAATCCTAATCTCGTCTGCGCATAGATTTGGTAGCTAACTTGGTATTTTTAAGCTATTATGGTTTGATTACTGAAATTCTAAACCACATGTATTAAGAAAGAGTGATACAAATGAGATGCTCCTATTCAAAATTAATTGTTTGATTACTTCTGCCTCTAGATAGTACATGCCAATTTAGTTTTCCATGATCCCAGTCCTGGTGTTGTCCATGTAGGCAAAAATCAACTTTCCTTTCCTGTATGATTTTACAAAATTTACACAGATTCCATACTTTAAACAACTTTACTATGGTTTCTAAAGATGGAATAGGAAGGACAGAATTAAGGAGAATTTGCACACTCTTATTATTTAATAAGTTTTCATATTCTGGGTATATTTTCTACTTTATTGTAGTGTTCACTGATTAGATCATCCAATTATAAAGCAGGCCCAGAGCTGGCTACAACTTCACCCAGGCTCTCTGCTTTTCTGGTGCTTAATAAAAACCATATAATTTTGTTTAGCTGAAGATACCATATATGCAAGTTCTTTTTTTTTTTTTTTTTTTTGAGACGGAGTCTCGCTCTGTCACCCAGGCTGCAGTGCGGTGGCGCAATCCCAGCTCACTGCAAGCTCCGCCTCCCGGGTTCACGCCATTCTCCTGCCTCAGCCTCCCGAGTAGCTGGAACTACAGGCGCCCGCCACCACGCCTGGCTAATTTTTTTGTATTTTTAGTAAAGACGGGGTTTCACCGTGTTACCAGGATTGTCTCGGTCTCCTGACCTCGTGATCCGCCCGCCTTGGCCTCCCAAAGTGCTGGGATTGCAGGCGTGAGCCACCGCGCCCGGCCTCAAGTTCTTTAGAATGAAAACTTTTCTCAGTTTAAAATCAAATGTTCTTCATCCTTCCATTTCCAATGAACTCTGCCTTACTTTAGTGTTACCCCTGCCTTACTTTAGTGTTATTTTCAGAGAAGAAGAAAGTAAATTCAGTGTAGGGATGCAAGGAGATTATAACAGAACCTTTCCCAAGTAACGAAGGACATGGCAGAGCTGTGGAGTCCCATTTTTGGAAACCACTGTTCCATTTGGTAAAGCCAGAAGAACGATTTAACTATTTACTTAAGTGTGTAGGTGATAGCTTACATTCCAGTGATGAAGTTGGAATGCAGGCCAATTAAGCAGCCCAGAAAGCTGTGGAAGAAGGGCCAAAAATGAAAGAGTAGAATATTGCCAGCATTGCTGCCAGCCCAAAGGTCAGAGGGAGCAGGATACTTCAGTCCTGTGTCTTTAAACTAATTCTGTGCATAAAATGTTTAAAACTCTCCAAATCCCAAGCTGACTTTCCCAGAGTCCTTTTTAATATAAATTTTTTAAATCTTTGTTCCCAGACAAATTTTATAAATATGTACATTAAGCATCTATTGGGTGTCTACTTTTCCACAGCGTGTTCCCCAAAGGGGAAAAAGCTCAATGCAGGAGAAATGTATCATCAAGACAATGCTCTCAAAAGTTAAAGAGTTAAGGAGGCAAACAGGTTTATAAAACAAGCATTAAGTAACCTCGAGTCAGAACATAATCTTCTAGATAACAGAAATATGAAGTATTGGCAGTTAGAACTATGGAATTGAAAGGGACCCAATTTTTCAGAGAAGACTTAGTGGGGGATAATTTGGCATGAACTTAGATGGATAGCTAGTGTTTGGATAGCTGAGGACGAATGGGGAGACATTTTAAGCAAAGAAAATTGATTAGTAGAAGTGGGGGAAATGGTAAAACTGGAGATAGAGAGATGAGTGATAAGAAAGAGTAGGAGAGAAATGTGATTGGATAGAGAAGGTGGGCCAGATACTGAGAGTGGCAGGAGGAGTGTACACTTAGCATTATAGGCAATGGGACCTCTCAGGAACCCCTGCGCTGGGGATTGATGTGTGAATAGGTCAGGGCTGGAAAGGCTGGAACCAGCACATCTAATGAGAAGAGTTAATGTTAAAACAATCCAGGTTTGATGTGACCAGGGTCTAGACAAGGTGGTGAGAGTGAGAGAGAAAAGAAAAACATAAATTCAGAAGCTCTTCAAAAGAAGATATTGGCAGATTTGATGAGATTCCATGGAAAAAAGAAAGGGGAGGAGGTTGAGTCAAAGATGAGAGATTTGGCTCCTGCAAGAATTATCTTGGCTTAAGCCAGAATGAAAAATTTGGAAGAATAAGTGTTAAGATGGGAAGATGAAAGGGCATCAATTTCCAAAGAGAGGAGGAGAAGGAACAGAGCTCTTTTCTGGTCTTAGCTGCCACAAGTCTTCCAGATGCCTCATTCTTGTCAATTGCAGGTATATAAACATGTATGAGCACAGCTTGGTTTGTCTGAAGCACATAAACTTGTCTGAGGACAGTGGGTGTGATAACTGTGTGAAATGTGTCAAAACTGGAAAGGTGTGTGCAGGACACGACAGCTGATGAAATGTTATCAAATGCTGCTCCAAGCATACCAGAGGCAGCATGGCATTTAGGGATTGGAAAGAAACTCCCACAAAGAACGTCGCCTGGGAGGAGTATTTCTTAGTTTCCTTTCCTCCTCTTTAACTCTAGTCGTTATAACCTTAAATGTGCTCCAGGACTCTGGTTCTTGCACCTGCCCAGCTTTGGTTTGGCATCTTCTGCCAGCTGTCTAGCTTGTGACTGGCCTGGCTCCCACTCTGCTTTTGCTCTAAATGCTAGGATTGGGATCCAGTGTCTGACCTCATCCCATCCCCTAGAGATTTGCTTTGCAGTTTCTACATCATCATTCTCCATTGGAAGGAACTCAACAGTCCAGAATAGTAGATGTATAATCTTCCATTTTCTCCCACTTTTTTCACACCCAAAACTCTCAAAATGGGATATAAAAGGCTAACACATTTGCTTGTCAGTATGCTTACTCCCTTCAACTCACTGCCAAATGGCTTGGAGCTAAAAATCCAAGTGGAAGCACTTTGCACTTTTTTCATGCATTAGCATCTATGACAGTTTCAAACTTTAGTGCAGCAGAAAATGGCATGAGTGTGAATTGTGTGTCTTCATTATGTTGTGTGAGTACAATAAGGAACTCAGGCACATTTCCTTATCCATGACAGTTCATATGAACTCAGATACTGTTTGTGGTGGTGAATAAATTTTAAAGATTCACATCAGTCCCCCAAGAAGAATCATTCATGACTACCTCTGATGGTAAGGGGATCCAAATGAAACCAAGATAACTTCTGAGGTTGACTTTAAATGAGCCAGTTAGAATTTTAAGGAGCCCAAGGCTTGGTTTGCAGTGTCCATTGATGCTAAAACTTGATGTGAGTCATTAATGGAATTTCATTTTTGACCTTGTTTAAGTGCCATTCAATATTAACAGAATTTACATAAAGATCAATGCATTGGACCAATCTTTGGATCTAGAGACAAGGTTGGTCAAGTTTTCCCGACTAGACCAACATTAAAGAAAAATGTTTTCCCCCCTTTTCCATAGAATTGAAAATATTCTTTCTCCGTGTAATTTTCACTGGTAAGTGATTTCCTGTAATTGGGGTACACCACAATAGTTCAAAGAAGTTTTGATTTCAATTATGATTCCCAGAATATTTAAAATTAAAGGAGCCCCAGCATCTTTCCATTTTTAAAAACTTAAACGTGTAATATGGTTGCTTTCTTGGGCCCTGATGACACCATAATGAGAATGTAACTAAAAGCATATGCTGCTCATTAGTGCGGCTCTGCCACACCTGTGCTGGCCATGTCTGTAAAAGGCTGGCTTACTGCCTTAGGAAGCACCATATAAAAGAGGTTGCTTCAGGCAAGGTCCCTCTTAGGAGAAGTATTGTTTTTTTCTCCTTAAAAAAAATTAGTTCTAATAGTTTCTTCCTATAATACCGTGAGAAGAGAAAGAAAGCAGCTAAAAGGGAAAAAGCACAATTCTGCCAAATCCAGTTAGTCCCCCTCATGAAGAAGCATTATTAATAATAGTTGTGAGCGTTGTACTTTACTGATTTACTGCAAGAGCAAAGAAAGCTCGATTTTAAGTGTTTGTGTCTGGAGATTTAAAAGCATATTTATTAGAAGCGGTGGTTCAGCTGAAGACTATAGAGGACTTCGAATTCTCCTCACCCGTCAGCTCCATCAACTACTTCTCTCACGCCCACACCAAGTGCCCCAAATAAACATGCCATTTCAGCAAAAGCCCTGTACTGACATTGCACATAGGCTTAAATAAAACCACTTAAAGAAACTCATTTCCTTCAATATTGTCATCCTAAAATCATTTCTAGGTAGGAATTCTGAAGCCATCACACACCAGAAAAAGAAATCTTGACTCAAAATATGGAGGTCCTGGCCAGGTGCAGTGGCTCATGTTTGTAATCCCAGCACTTTGGCAGGCCAAGGCGGGCAGATCACAAGGTCGGGAGTTCGAGACCAGCCTGGCCAACACAGTGAAACCCTGTCTCAATTAAAAATACAAAAAAATAGCTGGGTGTGGTGGCGGGTCCCTGTAATCCCAGCTACCTGAGAGACTGAGCCAGGAGACTCACTTGAACCCGGGAGGCGAAGGTTGCAGTGAGCCAAGATCGCAGCACTGCACTCCAGCCTGGGTGACAGAGCTAGGCTCTGTCTCAAAAAAAAAAAAAAAAGGAGGTTCTTGTGGAATGCATAAAATGGCAGTCTCTGATGCTGTCTTTGCAATTTCTTCACTTAATACTTTTCATTCTCCTCATTTTCCTTACTAACAGAACCTCATTTTCTTTTTCCAGGGGCACACCCAGCTCCAAGATCACCTTCCCAGGCCTCTCTTGCTATGACAGATGCCATGTGACACAGTTCTAGCCAATGAGAAGTAACCAGAACACCCTGGGTAAGACTTCTTGGAAAATTATTTAAAAAGGGGGAGCTGACTTTGCCCTTTCTCTTTTGCATAGCTAGGCTGAAAATATAATGCTAGATGTGGAACTGTCGTTTCGTGACTAGAAATAAAGGGTGTGAGAGACAAAACTACCTACTGAAGATGGCTGGATAGAAAGAGAGAAGAGATTCAGATCCCTGAAGCCATCATAGAGTCAACACACCATTCCACAGCAAGATATAATTCTTTTTGTGGAGCCGAATATATTCCAGGCTGATATTCACTGCTGAAAAATTCAGCAATGATTTTTTTCAGTAACATTACAGGACATGATAAAAAGCAATTATGCATATGTTCATATTGAAGTAGTAAATTTTCCAGGATAAGATAATTAATATTTATTATTGTGCACTTATTAGAGATATCAGGCACATATTTTTTATACCAACTCATTTACCCTTCAGAATTTCACCAGCCAGCAAGTGTGATTATCCGTCATGTTACAAATGGAGAATCTGATGTTCAGATAGGTTAAAAAATTTCTCAAGGATGCACAGTTCATGTGCCAGATCCCAAAGTCCATTTGCTTTCCACCATACAATATTGAATATATTCACTGTTATTGTGTTTCTTAAATGAATTTTACTTTAAAGATCTTTATGGTGAAAAATCTCAAAATGAAAGAAATTATAGAGGATTATAGTCTAACTAATACCATGAGGTCACTCTCCAACTTTAAAAATGTTTAGGCTGGGCGCAGCGGCTCATGCCTGTAATCCCAGCACTTTGGGAGGCTGAGGCAGGAGAATCACTTGAGCCCAGGAATTTGAGACCAGTCTGGACAACATAGCAAGACCCCATCTCTACAAAAATACAAAAAATTAGCTGAGCATGGTGGTGCATGCCTGTAGTCCCAGCTACTAGAGAGGCTGAGGTGGGAAGAGTGCCTGAGCCCAGGAGAGCTATGATCGTGTCACTGCACTCCAGGCTGGGCAACAGAGCGAGACCTTGTCTCTAAAAAAAAAAAATAGAAAAACAGGATTAGCATTTTGCTAAATTTGCATCAAAAATGTTTAAGAAAAGGAAAATATCTTAGATCTATTAAAAACCCTCTCTGAACTTTTCTAGTTACATTCCCTTCCTTTTCTCCCTTCCATTTCCAACTCTAAATATTGTCTTGAAGTTGCTCTGAGATCCTCCCATCTCAGCCTCCTGAATAGCTAGGACTACAGGCATGCGACACGATGCCCAGCTAATTTTTAAAATTTTTGTAGAGATGATGTCTCACTGTGTTTCCCAGCTGGTCTCGACCTCCTGGCCTCAAGCCACCCTCCTGCCTCAGCCACCCACAGAGTTGGGATCACAGGTGTGAGCCACCAAACCCCAACCAAAACTCTTTTTTTAACAAAAGACATTATAAAATAAAATGACAAGCCAGAATGCAATACATATGCATAACAATGCACAACAAAAAAAGAATTTGTATCTAAAACATTTAAAGAACTCCCAGGATTTAGAACTCCAAACATTTAAAGATACAGATCCCAATGGAAAAATATAAATATGGTGTGAATACATAATAGAAGGGGGAACTCAAATAGTTAATATTAACAAACATTAAACTTTTGTAGTAATTAGGGAAATACAAATAACAACCACAAAGACATAATATTTCCCACTCCATCAGATTTGCAAAACCTTGAAATGTCTAACCCAAACAACTATTGGCAAGAATGTGAAGCAAACTGCTTTTATTTAGAGAGGTATGTAGTAATATCAAGCAGAGTTAAAGATGGTATGTATTTTATGACCCAGTAGTTTTATTTCTAGTGTATATATCCCAGAGAAACACATCTATATGTTTATAATGGAACATATCCAAGATGTTTATTACAGAAATATCTATGGTGGCAGCTTTTAAAACCTTCTGAAATGTCCATCTGTATAAGCAGATGGATAAGTAAATTTTGTTACATTTACATAAGGAAAAATCATACAGTAGATAAAACTCAAGTTTCTTGTATTAACATGGCTAAGTTTCAAAACATAACACTGAGGGAAAATTGATCCATCTAATATATCATTTATAAAATCCTTGAAACTTTTGTAAATGTGTGCAATAAAAGTATAGAATATTGCGGAGATATTCTCTATGCAACCATCAGCACAATCTAATTTTAAAACCATTTTTTTCACCTCAAAAAGAAACCCCATGTCCATTGGCAGTTGCTACCAATTCTCACTACATCCCAGCCCTAGGCAACCATGAACCCTACTTTTGGCTGTGTATTAGTCAAGGCTCTCCAGAGAAACAGAACCAATAGAATATATACAGATATGTAAGTGGATATTTATTCTGGAGACCAAGAAGTTCCATAATATGCTGTCTATAAGCTGGAGAACCAGAAAAGCCAGTGGTGTAATTTAGTCCAAATCCAAAGTCTTAAAAAACAGGGGAGCTGATGGTATAACTCCCAGTCTGAGGCCCAAAGCCTGAGGACCTGGGAAGCTGCTGGTTCAAGTCCCAGGCTCCAAAGGCCCAAGAACCAAAAGCTCCAATGTCCCAGGTCAGGAGAAGAGGGATGTTGTAGCTCAAAAACAGAGAAAGAAAAGTCACCTTCCCTCCACCTTTCTGTTGTACTGGGGCCCTTTGTGAATAGGATATCATCCCACATTGGTGAGGGTGAATCTTCTCTACTCAGTCCATTGACTCAAACTCTAATCTCTTTCAGAAGCACATGATAGGGTTTGGTATAGTTTGTCTTTGCCCAAAGCTCATGTTTAAATATAATCTCTAATGTTGGAGGTGAGCTCTGGTGGGAGGTGTTTGGGTCATGGGGGTATATCCTTCATGAATGGCGTGAGCCATTCCCTTGGTGATAAGTGAACTCTTGCTCTGAGTTCACAGGCCTGAGATCTGGTCATTTAAAAGTTTGTGGCACCTCCCCTAACTGCTCTCTACTTCTCTCTCTTGCCCCTGCTCTGACCATGTGATGTACCTCTCCCCCTTCACCTTCTGCCATGATTGTAAGCTTCCTGAGGCCTCCCCAGAAACAGACGTCACTATGCTTTCTACAGGCTGCAGAATCTTGAGTCAATTAAACCAAATAAATCACCAAGTCTTGAGTATTTATTTAAAAGAATTCCAGAATGGCCTAACACAAAAAAAAAATGGTACCAATTTCTGTTTGGAAAGGAGTGTAACATTGCTATAAAGATACCTGAAAATGTGCAAGAAGCTTTGGAACTGGATAATGGGCAGAGATGGGAAGAGTTTAGAAGGCTCAAAAGAAGACATGAAGCTGAGGGAAAGTTTGGAACTTATTAGGACTAGTTAAATAGTTGTGACCAAAATGCTAATAGCGATATGGACAGTGAAGGCCAGAGTGCTGAAGTCTCAGATGGAAATGAGGAACTTATTGGGAACTGAAACAAAGATCACATATGTTATGCCTTAGTAAAGGGCTTGGCTGCATTCTGTCCCTGTCCTGGGGATCTGTAGAAGTTTAAACGAAACAGTGATGATTTAGGGTATCTGGCAGAGGAAATTTCTAAGCCGCACAGTGCTCAAGAAGTGGCCTGGCTGCTTCTGACACTCAGCTGTGGTAGCAAAGGAATGACCTAAAGTTGAAATTTACATTTAAACAAGAAGCAGAGCACAAAAGTTTGGAAAATTTGGAGCCTGGCCATATGGCAGAGAAAGAAAAAGCTTTCTCAGGAGAGGAATTCAAGCAGGCTGTAAAGTCACCACTTGCTAGAGATATTTGTGTAACTAAAAAGGAGCCAAGTGCTAATAGCCAAGACAATGAGAAAAAGGCCTCAAAGGCATTTCAGAGACCTTCATGGCAGCCCCTCCTGTCACAGGTCCTGAGACCTATGAGGAATGAATGATCCTGTGGGACAGGCCCAGGGCCCCACTGCCCTAAACAGCCTTGAGGGCACTGCTCCCCAAATCCAGGCCACGCCAGCTCCAGCTCCAGCTGGGGCTCTAAGAGGGCCCAGGTACAGCTCAAGCTGCCACTTTGAAGAATGCAAGCTGTGAGCCTTGGTGGCTTACACATGGTGTTAAGCTTGCAGGCACCCAAAATATAAGACTGAATGAGGCTTGGCAGCCTTCACCTAGATTTCAGAGGATGTATGGAAAAGGCTGGGTGTTCAGGCAGAAGCCTGCTTCAGAAGCAGAACCCCCACAGACGACCCCTACTAGGGCAGTGCCAAGGGGAAATGTGAGATTGGAGCTCTCACACAGAGTCCTTACTGGGGCACTCCCTATTGAAGCTGTGAGAAGGGGGCCACTGCCATCCATACCCAAGAATGATAGATTCACTGGCAGCTTGCACCTTGTGCCTTAAAAAAGCACTGCACTCACTGCAGCCCATGAGAGTAGTCACGGGGCTTGCACCCTGAAAAGCCACAGAGATGGAGCTGCCCAATTCCTTGACAGTCCACCCCCTTGCACCAGTGTTACCTGGATGCAGGATATGGAGTCAAAGAATATTATTTTGGACTTTCACAATTTAATGACTGCCCTGCTGGGTTTCAAACTTGCATGGGACCTGTAGCCTCTTTCTTTTGGCTGATTTCTCCCATTTGAAAAAGGAGTATTTACCTAATGCCTATATTCCCATTGTATCTTGAGAGTGACTAATTTGGTTTGATTTTCCAGGCTCATAGATTTTCCTTATCTCAGATCTGACTTTGGACTTTTGAGTTAGTGCTGGACTGAGTTAAGACTTTGGGGGAATTATTGGGAAGGCATAATTGTGTTTTGCAATGTGAGAAGGACATGATATTTGGGAGGGGTCGGGGTGGAATAATATAGCTTGGGTATTGGTCCCCACCCAAATCTCATGTTGAAATGTAATTCTCAATGTTGGATGTGAGGCCTGGTGGGAGGTGTTTGGGTCATGTGGGTGGATTTGTCATGGATAGCTTTGGCCATTCTCTTGGTGATAAATGAGCTCTCACTTTGAGTTCACGTGAGATCTGGTCATTAAAATATGTGTGGCACCTCCTCCCACTATCTCTTCCTCCTTCTCTGGCCATATGATGTGCTTGCTTTCACTTCACATTCTTCCATGATTTTAAGTTTTCCAAGGCCTCCGCAGAAGCAGATGCTGCTATGCTTACTGCACAGCCCGCAGACCCTTAAGCCAATTAAACCTCTTTTTTAAAAAAGGTAAAATAAATAGCCCAGTCTCAGGTATTTTTTTTAAAGCAATGCAAGCATGGCCTAACACACCCCCTCATAGACATATCCAAAAATGTGTTTACCAGATATCTGGTCATTTCTTTACCCAGTCAAGTTGACACAAAAAATTAATCATGACATGTCTATATATTTGCCTTCTCAGACCACTTTAAATAAAAAGGATTGATGCAAAAACTGTTTGTTTTGTGACTGGTTTTTGGACTTTTCGACTTAGCATAAGATTTTTAAGGTTCATCTATGTTGCACATGTATCAGATTTTTATTCCTTTTGATTATACCATACTTTATTCATCCATTCAACAATTAATGGATATTTGGATTGTTTCTACTTTTTGCTTATTGTGAATAATGCTGCTATAAACATGTACAATTTTTCATGTACAATTTTTTTGTGGACATATGTTTCTATTTCTCCTGAGTATACACCCAGGAGTGAAATTTCTGGGTAATATGATAATTCTATGGCTAGTCTTCTAAGGAACTGCTGAACTATTTTCCATAGATGCTATATATGTCTTGTTATGTTTCCACCAGCAATGTATGAAGGTCCCAATTTCTTCATATCCTGTTGTTTTGATTAGTAATCTAGTGTTTTGGAAGTGGTATCTCATTGTGGTTTTGGTTTGCACTTCACAAATGACTAATAATGAACATCTGTTCATGTGATTATTGCCCATTTGTTATCTTTTTTTGAGAAATAACTGTTCAAATCCTTTGCCTATTTTTAAATTGAGTTATTTGCCTCTTTATTGTTGAGTTGTAAGAGTTCTTTATATGTTCTGGATAAAAGCTTTTTATCAAATACATAATTTGGAAATATTTTCTCCTCTCTTTTCACTTTCTTGATGTTATCCTCGGATGCACACACTTTTACAATTTTGAGGAAGCACACTTTATTTTTTCTTTAGGTCTATGATTCATTTTGAATTAATTTTTGTGGATGGTGTGAGGTAGGGGTTTATCTTTATTCATTTACATATGAATATCCAGTTGTTCCAGCACCTTTAGTTGAAAAGATTATTATTCTTTTCCCATTTTATTGTCTTGTCATTGGTGTTGAAAATGAAAGGATCATAAATGTGAAGGTTTACCCTCAATTCTATTCTATTGATCTGGATGTCTATTTATGTCAATATTTGCACTGTGTAGCTTTGTAGTAAGTTTTTTAAATCAGAAAGTGTGAATCCTCTAATGTTGCATTTTTTTTTCAAGATGGTTTTGGTTGTTTGATGTCTCTTGCATTTCTATACTAATTTTAGGGTTATTATATGAAAAGCCAGCTGGGATTTTTTATAGACATTTATGTTTAGTGTGTAGATCAATTTGCGGAGTATTGCACGTTAACAATATTGTCTTCTAATCCATGAACATGAATGTCTTTTCGTTTATTTATATATTCTTTAATTTCTTTTAACAATGCATAGCTTTTATAAAGTTCTTTCCAAGTATTTTATTATTTTTGATGCTACTACAAATACAATTGTTTTCTGAATTTATTTTCCAGATTGTTCATTGCTAGTGAAGAGAAATAAAACTGATTTTGGAATATTGATCTTGTATCCTGCAGCCCCTCTGACCTTATTTATTAATTTCAATAGGCTTTTAGTGGATTGCTCAAAATTTTTTATGTATAAGATTGGTTTATCTTCAAATAGCAGCAGTTTTATTTCTTCATTTCCATTCCAGATGCATTTATTTCTTTTTCTTACCAAATTGCCATAGCTAGAACCTCCATTACAGTGTAAGATAATATGGCAAAAGTAATACCCTTATCTTGTTCTTCTGTTATTGATTTCTAATTTTTTTCCATTGTGGTAAAATAACTTACTTTGTATGATTTTAATTTTTTAAATTTATTGAGGCTTGTTTTATGGCCTACCATATGATCTATTCTGACAAATGTTCCAAAGTGTACTTGAAAAGAATAGGTACAGTATTCTAGATGTCTATTAGGTATAACTGGCTTACAATGTTTTTCAAATCTTTCATACACTTATTAATCTTTTTTGTTCTATACATTTTTGAAAGTGTAATATTAAAATTTCCAGCTATAATTGTTGAATCATGCATTTCTTCTTTTAATTCTGTCAGCTTTTACTTCATGTATTCTGGTCCTCTGTAATTTTATAAATAAATAAATATATATATATTTTAAGATGACTATTTTATCATTATAAAATGTTCATGTTCATCTTTTTCACTAGTGACACTTTATTTTAGTTTATCTTGTCTGATATTAGCAAAGTAATTGCAATAAATATTATTTTCCTTTCTTTTTTAACTTTAAATCTATTTGTATCTTTGAATTTAAAATGTCTCGCCTGCTGGAAGAATTCCCCTTGAAAACTGGAACAAGACAAGGATGCCCTCTCTCACCTCTCCTATTCAATATAGTTATGGAAGTTCTAGCTAGAGCAATCAGGCAAGAGAAACAAATAAAAGGCATTCAAATTGAAATAGAGGAAGTAAAACTAACCGTGTTTGCAGATGATATGATGCTATGTATAGGAAACTCCATAGTCTTTACTTCAAAGCTCCTTGATCTGATAAACAACTTCAGAAAAGTTTCAGTATACAAAATTATTGTACAAAAATCACTAGCATTCCAACAGTCCAACAACAACCAAGCCAAGAGGCGAATCAGGAAGGCAATCCCATTCACAATTGACATAGAAAATATTTAGTAATACAACTAAAAAGGGAGGTAAAAGAACTCTAGACTGTGAATCACAAAATATTGCTTAAAGAAATGAGAGATAACACAAACAAATGGAAAAACACTTCATATTCATGTATTGGAAGAATCAGTATGATTGAAATGGCCATATGGCCAAAGGAATTTACAGACTCAATGCTATTCCTATCAAACTACCAATGACATTCTTCGCAGCACTAGAAAAAACTGTTTAAAAATTCATATGGAACCAAAAAAGAGCCCGAATAGCCAAGGCAATTCTAAGCAAAAAGAACAAAGCTGGAGGCATTATGTTACCCATGTTCAAACTATACTACAAGGCTACAATAACCAAAACAGCATAGTACTGGTACAAAAACAGATGTTTTGCAGCATTATTCACAATAGCAAATGCATGGAATTAACCTAAATGCACATCAACAGTAGACCAATGGAACAGAATAGAGAGCCCAGAAATAGAGCTGCACTCCTACAACTATCTGATATTTGACAAAATAGACAAAAGCAAACAATAGGGAAAGGACTCCCTATTCAATCAATGGTGCTAAGATAA
This sequence comes from Homo sapiens, assembly GCF_000001405.40. NCBI lineage: Eukaryota > Metazoa > Chordata > Mammalia > Primates > Hominidae > Homo > Homo sapiens. The sequence goes on along the minus strand of NC_000004.12, from coordinate 174,056,390 downwards.
GTGGCTAGCCCTATGCAGAAGATCGAAACTAGACCCCTTTCTTACACCATATAAAAAACTCAAGATGGATTAGAGACTTAAACATAAAACCTAAAACTATAACAACCCTGGAAGATAACTTAGAGAATACCATCTGGACATAGGACTTGTCAAGGATTTCATGATGGAGACCCCAAAAGCAATTGCAATAAAACCACAGTTGATAATTGTAACCTAATTAAACTAAACAGCTTCTGCACAGCAAATGAAACTGTCAACAGAGTAAACAGACTATAGAATGCAAGAAAATATTTGCAAACCATGCGTCTGATAAAAGTCTAATATCCAGCATCTATAAGGAACTTAAATCTATAAACAAAAAACAAACAACCCCATTAAAAAGTGGGCAAAGGACATGAACAGACGATTTTTAAAAGAAGACATGCAGCCAACAAGCATATGAAAAAAACGCTCAATATCACTAATCATTAGAGAAATGCAAATCAAAACCACAATGAGATACCATCTCACACAAGTCAAAAAGGCTATTGTTAAAAAGCCAAAAACTAACAGATGCTGGTGAGGTTGTAGATAAAAGGAAATGCTTATACACTGCTGTGGGAATGTAAATTAGTTCAGCCATTGTGGAAAAAAGTTTGGTGATTTCTCAAAGAACTTAAAACAGAACTACCATTTGACCCAGCAGTCCCATTACTGGAAGAAAATGTTCTACCATAAAGACACCTGCACACATACGTTCATTGCAGCATTATTCACAATAGCAAATGCATGGAATCAACCTAAATACACATCAACAATAGACTGGGTTAAAAAAATGTGGTACATATACACCACAGAATACTATACAGCCATAAAAAATAATTACATCATGTTCTTTGCAGCAACATGGATGAAACTGGAGGCCATTATCCTAAAAAACTAACACAGTAACAGAAAACCAAATACTACATGTTGTCACTTATAAGTGGGAACTAAACACTGAGCATACGTGGACACAAAGAAGGGAAGAACAGATACCACGGTTTGCGTGAGGGTGGAAGGTGGGAGGAAATGAGGCTTGAAAAACTACATATTAAGTACTATGCTGATTATGTGAGTGATGAAGTAATCTGTATGCCAAATTCCTGTGACATACAATTTAGCTATATAACAAACCTGCACATGTACCCCTGAACCCAAAATAAAAGTGGAAAATAGATAGATAAATAAATAAATAGAATGTGTCTCCTTTAGACAGCATATATTTGGATCTGGATTTTCCCTCCAGTCTGACAATTTCTACCTTTTGATTGGATTGTTAATACATTCACTTTAATGTTATTATTGGTATGATTGAATTTTTGTTTTTTGTTTCCTCTACATCTCATATTTTTTCTTTGTTCCTGCTTTACTGCCATCTTTTGTATTAACTGAATATTTTCTAGTGTACCATTTAATTTCTTTAATGATTTTAAAATACATTTTTAAAAAAATTTAATGGTCATTCCAAGAGTACAAAAACATCTTATCGGAATCTACTTCTGATTTACACTAACTTAATCATAGGAAAATGCAATTTACTCTTATCAAATTTTATTTCCTTCCCTCATTTCTGCTACTATTTTTGTACATTTTAAGTCTATATGTGTAACCTATCCAAAAATTTAGTTATAATTTTTACTAGAATTTTATATATTTTGAGAGAAGAAAGGAAGACAATTATATATTTATGGAATTTGTTACATTATTTTGCATTTTATTTGCAATTTCTAGTTCCCTTAATTTCTCCTTGTGAATTCTAGTTGCCATCTGGTGTCATTTTTGTGCTGTGACACAGCTTTGTTTTTATCCATGTCTCTTTTGCTGTGGTTGCCAAGTGCATTACATTTTTTATAAGTCCAATAATAGTTGTATACATATTGTCTTATAAAATTTATTTTTAAATGAATTGATTCATAAAGAAAAGAAATATGCAATATACTTTTACAATTATTTTATAATTACCTTTACCAACACTCATTTACATTTCATATAAACCTTACACACTTGCCTGAATTTAGTTTTATATAACATTTTAAATAATTTTGCATATAAAACAAAGTCGTGACTGGCCTATCACGTGAGGTTAGGTGTGAATTTTTCTATAGGTGGCATTATGTTGGTGCTCAAAGTTTCAGATTTTGGAGCATTTTGGATTTCAGGTTTTTGAATTAGAAATGATCAGCTGGTATCAGCCACCTCTTAACTGCTCAGCATCAATATCTTCATTGTTTTCCACAATACCTTTTGGCACGGACTTCCTCATACTCTGTTCCAAGTATAGTCAGTTCTCTTAAGCACAGTTGTGGCATTGTTTGTTCTTATAATCTGTTGTTCCCCTTAGGCACAGACTCTGGAACTCTGGCCAAGAAGAGACCCACTTCTCTCAGAGTAAAACCCCTGCTCTATGAACAGAGCTTTGGGTGGGAACAGTAGACCCTGGTCTTTCTTTTATTATTATTATTATTATTTTTTGAGATGGAGTGTTGTTCTGTTGCCCAGGCTGGAGTGCAGTGGCACTATCTCCACTCACCATAACCTCCGCCTCCTGGGTTCAAGAGATTCTCCTGCCTCAACCTCCCCCAAGTAGCTGGGACTACAGGCGAGAGCTACCACGCCTAGCTAATTTTTGTATTTTTAGTAGAGACGAGGTTTCACCATATTGGCCAGGCTGTTCTTGAACTCTTGACCCCAGGTGATCCACCCTCCTCAGCCTCCCCAAGTGCTGGGATTACAGATGTTAGCCACCATGCCCTGTCTACCCTGGTCTTCTTAAATTGCTCCTACTAGTATGGAATCTTTACACGTGAGTTTATTTTATTTTAATTTTATTTTTATAAAAATACTTTTGTAGCATTCATTGACTTTTCAAAATTTTCAACTTTTATTTTAGGTTGGGTAGTACATACGCAGGTTTGTTACATGAGTATATTGTGTGTCACTGAGGTTTGAGGTACAAATGATCCCGTCACCCAGGTAGTCAACATAGTACCCAATAGGTAGTTTTTCAGCCTTTGCCTCTCTCTCTCGACCCTCTCTAGCTCCAGTGTTTGTTCCCATCTTTATGTCCCTGAGTACCCAATGTTTAGCTCCCACTTATACCTAAGAACATACAGTACTGGTTTTCTGTTTCTGCATTAATTTGCTTAGAATAGTTGCCTCCAGCTCCATCCATGACCCCGCAAAGGACATAATCTAGTTCTTTTTTATGGCTGCACAGTGTTGCATGGTGTATATGTAGCACTTTTTTAACAAAATCTAATCCATCACTGATGGGCACATTTGTTGTTTCCATACCTTTGCTATTGTGAATAGTGCTGCAATTAACATGTGAGTGCCTGTGTATTTATGGCAGAACAATTTATTTTCCCTTGGGTATATACCCAGCAATAGGATTCCTGGGTCAAATGGTAGTTCTGTTTTACGTTCTTCGAAAAATCTTCAAACTACTTTCCACAATGGCTAAACTAATTTACGTTCCCACCATCCACATGTAAGTGTTCCTTTTTCTCCATAGCCTTGTCAGTATCTGTTATTTTTTCACTCTTTAATAATAGCCATTGTGACTGGTGTGAGATGGTGTCTCACTATGGTTTTGATTTGCATTTCACTATTGATTAGTGATGCAGAGCATTTTTTTCATATGCTTATTGGCTGAATTTATATCTTCTTTTGAGAAGTGTCTGTTCATGTCCTTTGCTCACGTTTTAATGGGGTTGTTTTTCGCTTGTTGAATTGTTTAATTTCCTTATAGATGCTGGATAAATTGGACCTTTGTCTATGCATAGCTTGTGGATATTTGTGAATATTTTCTCTCATTTACAAGTGAGTTTTGATGGAAGCATTTAAGGCCTTGTATTCTCAGCCTACGCTCCTTCTGGTAGAGCTTCTCTGTTAGTGGGGGTTGAGAGGAGGAAGGGAGATAGATTCTTTCAGCCATGTCTGTCTGGAATATTGCTTCTGAAATATGGAACAGAAGATAGGGATGAAAAATGCTAGTGGTCTGTCCCTCCCAGCATGAAACCATATCTCTGTGTGGGAAGCAAGGTGGAGAGAGACCCCTACCTTCTTGGCTGCACATGCCAAGAGTAAAACTGTTAACACACTGAGCTGGAGGAAGGAGTTATGAGTGGGTCATGGCTCAAATGCCACAGATTCTCACTGATCATATTAAGATTTATTAAATCTTTTTGAATATATGTTTCTTCATTTGCTATTTGAAGAAGATTTCTCCTTGGCAAATTTACAGAAACTTTAAATATTTGTTTTAAAATAATTTTTAGCCGGTAAATTTTTTGTTCTTGGGAAATTATGTGTCATACTCTCACACCATCATTTCTGAAATGAATTTTACTACAGTTTTTAGATAAGTTTGTTTTGTCTGGTTAGAAAACTGTTCCTGTAGTTTTGACTCAGAACTTTAAAAAGTCAGTAATGAATGTGATTTGAGGATCAATGTTATATTAGTTTTATAAAAAGGGGTCCAGTTTCAATTTTCTGCATATGGCTAGCCAGTTTTCCCAACATCACTTATTACGTAGGGAATCCTTTCCCCATTTCCTGTTTTTGTCCAGTTTGTCAAAGATCAGATGGTTGTAGATGGGTGGCATTATTTCTGAGGCCTCTGTTCTGTTCCATTGGTCTATATATCTGTTTTGGTACTAGTACCATGCTCTTTTGTTTACTGTAGCCTTGTAGTACAGTTTGAAGTCAGGTAGCATGATGCCTCCAGCTTTGTTCTTTTTTCTTAGGATTGTCTTGGCTATATGGGCTCTTTTTTGGTTCCATGTGAAATTTAAAGTAGTTTTTTCTAATTTTGTGAAGAAAGTCAATGGAAGCTTGATGGGGATAGCATTGAATCTATAAATCACTTTGAGCAGTATGGCCATTCACACAATATTGATTCTTCCTATCCATGAGCATGGAGTGTTTTTCCATTTGTTTGTGTCCTCTCTTATTTCCTTGAGCAGTGGTTTGTAGTTCTCCTTGAAGAGGTCCTTCATGCCCCTTGTTAGCTGTATTCCTATTTATTTTATTCTCTTTGTAGCAACTGTGAATTGGAGATCATTCACAATTTGGCTTTCTGCTTGTCTATTGGTGTATAGGAATTCTTGTGATTTTGCACATGATTTCATAGATGAACTCATGAAGGTGAGAAAGAATCAATGGAAAAATGCTGAAAACCCAAAAGGCCAGAGTGCCTTTTCTCCTCCAAATGATAGCAACAACTTTTCAGCAAGGGCACAAAACTGGATGGAGGATGAGATGGATGAATCGACAGAAGTAGGCTTCAGAAGGTGGATAATAACAAACCTCATTGAGGTAAAGGAGTATGTTCTAACACAATGCAAAGAGGCTAAGAAACTTGATAAAGTTTAGAGGAGTGGCTAACTAGAATAACCCATTTAGAGAGGAACATAAATGACCTGATGGAGCTGAAAACACAGCACAAGAACTTTGTGAAGCATACACAAGTATGAATAGCCAAATCGATCAAGGGGAAGAAAGAATATAAAAAATGGAAGACTATCTTGCTGAAATAAGACAATTGGACAAAATTAGAGAGAAAAGAATGAAAAGGAATGGACAAAAAACCTCTGAGAAACATGGGACTATGTAAAAAGAACGAAACTATGACGGATTGGAGTACCTGAAAGAGATGGGGAGAATGGAATCAAGTTGGAAAACACACTTCAAGATATTATCCAGGAGAACTTCCCCAACCTAGCAAGGCAGGCCAACATTCAAATTCAGGAAATACAGAGAACTGGACCCCTTCCTTACGCCTTATACAAAAATTAACTCAAGATGCATTACAGACTTAAACGTAAGACCTAAAACCATAAAAACCCTAGAAGAACTCCTAGGCAATACAATTCAGGACATAGGCATTGGCAATGACTATGACTAAAACACCAAAAGCAATGGCAACAAAAGCCAAAATTGACAAATGGGATCTAATTAAACTAAAAACGGCTTCTGCACAGCGAAAGAAACTATCCTATAATCAGAGTGAACAGGCAATCTACAGAATAGGAGAAAATGTTTGCAATCTATCCATCTGACAAAGGGCTAATATCTAGAATCTACAAAGAACTTAAACAAATTTACAAGAAAAAAAACAAAAACCCCATCCAAAAGTAGGTAAAGGATATGAAGAGACACTTCTCAAAAGAAGACATATATGCAGCCAACAAACATATGAAAAAAAACTCATCATCTCTGGTCATTAGAGAAATGCAAATCAAAACCACAATGAGATACCATCTCACACCAGTTGGAATGGTGATCATTAAAAAGTCAGGAAACAACAGATGCTGGAGAGGATGTGGAGAAATAAGAATGCTTTTAGACTGTTGGTGGGAGTGTAAACTAGTTCAACCATTATGGAAGACTGTGTGGCGATTCCTCAAGGATCTACAACCAGGAATACCATTTGACCAGGCAATCCCATTACTGGATATATACCCCCAAAATTATAAATCATTCTACTATAAAGACACACCCACTCATATGTTTATTGCAGCAGTATTCACAATAGCAAAGAAATAAATGAAATTGAAAATAGGAAATCAATAGAGAAAAATCAATGAAACCAAAAGTTGTTTTTTTAAAAGATCAATAAAATTGATAGGCCTCTAGCCAGCCTAACCGAGAAAAAAGAATACAAATCATTCATAGCTGAAATGAAAGATAGGGTATCATTACAGGTTCTATAGTGATTAACAAAATAATACAGTAATATTATGGATAACTCTATGCCTACAAATTTTATAACATAAATAATATAGACTAATTTGTTGAAACACACAACCTGCCAAAACTCACCCTAGGAGAAATAGACAATCCGAGTGGGCCTATATCTGTTAAATAAATTGAACTTAATTAATAATTAATACTGAATAATTTTCCAAAACAGAAAGCACCAGGCCAGATGGGCTCACTGGTGAATTCTACTAACGATTTTAGGAGGAATTGTACTAATTCTATATAATTTCTTTCAAGAGATAGAAGTAGAGGAAATATTTCCTAACTTAATCTATAGGCCAGCATTATACTAATACACAAAGTAGGCAAAAATATTATTAGAAAACTACAGACCAATTTCTCTCATGAACATAATGCAAAAATCCTTAATAAAATATTAGCAAATTGAATCCAACAATGTATAAAAAGAATTATATATCACAACTAAGTGGGATTTATCCCAAGTATGCAAGGCTGATTTAATATTCAAAAATCAATTAATATAATCTACCACATCAATAGGATAAAGAAGAAAATCACTTGACCATATTAGTAGATGCAGCAAAATCATTTGGCAAAATCCAGCACCTATTAATGATAAAAACTCTCAGTAAACAAAGAACGGGGGGGATCTTTCTCAACTTAATACAAAATATCTACAAAATACCTACAACTAACATCATATTTAATAGTGAGAAACTTGAAGATTTTTCACTAAGATCAGAAACAAGGCAAGAACGTCTCACCACTGCTTTTCAACATCATATTAGAAGTCCTAGTTAATAATCCTAGTCAATAAAACAAGAAAAAGAAACTTGTAATCAAATGCGGTCCAAAAATATTATACATTGAGGGAGAGAGAGAGCACACATTCATATAATTTTTATTACACTATATTGTTATAATTGTTCTTTTATTACTAGTTATTGTTAACCTCTTACTGTGCCTAATTCATAAGTTAAACTTTATCATAGGTATGTACATACAGATAAAACATATTACCTGTAGGGTTAGGTATATCCAGGCTTTCAGGCATCCACTACTGTACATGGGACACCTCTGTACTTTTCATCCAATTTTGCTTTGAACCTAGAATTGCTCTGAAAAACTAAAATCTATTTTTAAAAAAGTCATGTTACCCACTTTTGAAAATGTTTCAAATTGCTGAAATAAATATACCTTTTCCACTTATTGGCTTCAAGGTGCTTTTGTTATTTTTGTTGTTTAAATCATTTATGTCTTATTTTGTCAATTTGTGGGTATAATAAAAACTCTCACTGTGACTATGAACTTGTCAATTTCTCCTTGCAATTCTGACAATTTTTCTTTAAGTAGAAATCTATTTTGGATGATAACATTGTGATTTATTTTTCTTTTTAAAATAATGGAATGCCACTATTCATAGTAATAATTTTTTCATTTTAAGCTTATTTTGTCTGATATTAACATTGCTGTATCAAACTCATCTAATATCTGCATAATATATTTTTCATCACTATATTTGCAAATTTTCTCTGCAGTTTTGTTTTAGTTGCAATTGTGTGTGTATGTACATGTATTCAAGTGTGTGTGTTTTGTAAACATCATGCAGTGGATTTAAAAAAATCCATCTGCTAATCTCTTACGGTATGCCAGATTAATTTACTTGAATTGCTTATATATTTGGACTTCATTGCATCAATTTACATAAACTTCATTATATCAACATCATTATGAATTTATTATATTGACTTCATTATATCATTTAATATATCAACTTGTATCTGTTTATCAATCATTTGCTGCTTCTCTCCCCTCCTTTCCTGCTGTATTAGTTTGCTAGTGTTACCATAACAAAATAACACAGGCTGTGGAGCTTAAACAACCCAAATTTATTTTCTCACAGTTATGGAGGGTAGAAGCCCAAAAGTAAGATGTTAGCTGGTTTGATTTCCTCTGAGGCATATCTCTGTGGTTTGCAGATGGCCACCTTCTCCCTGTGTCCTCACATGATCTTTCCTCTGTGTGTGTGCATTTCTGATATCTCTCTTGCTTGTCCAAGTTTTCTCTTTTTATAAGGGCACCAGTCACACTGCATTAGGACCCCGCTCCCATGATCTCATTTTAACTTAATTAGGGCCCCACCCACACGACCTTATTTTAACTTAATCGGCTCTTCAAAGGCTTTATCTGCAAATACAGTCACATTCTGAGGTACTGTGGCTTAGGTCTTCCGCATATGAATTTTGGGAATCAAAATTTATCTGATAATACCTGACTTATGTTTGCTTGACAGTGTTATACTCAGTTATTTTTTCTGTGTTTGGAAGTTATTGATTGCATTTAATGGGCACACACAAGATTATAAACTTTTCTAACAAGTTAAACAATGCAAAATGTCTCTTATTTGTTCCTTCCTTCAAGATTTACTTTTCATTTTGCTGTTTTGTTCTTTTAAGAAAAAGCCTGTGGTAGATACTTTCCTTTATCCTATTTCAGAAAATATATGGATGTACCTTTAATCTCCAAAGACAGACAACCAGGATAACAGTTTTTAATTGAAGAACTCTATTTTCTTACATCCTTAAACATATTATTGTGTTGTCTTCTGGCATCTATTGATACTGGTGCAATTTGTTTTCCTCCTAACAGTATTTTTTTTTCTATGTGATGGCTTTTAGGATTTTTCTTTTTACCTTTTTGTTTCTACATTTTTACTATAATATGTTTTAATGTACTTATTTTTATTTATCTTGCTTATAGTTCGAGTACATTTGCAGTCATATAATTCATTATTTTATCTATTTCCTTCACTTGGAAAATTTTCAGAGACTGTAAATTATAATGTTGTTTCATACAATTCACTCCATTATACTTTCAAAAACATATAATAGGCACCTATTGCAGCTCTCCATGTCACTTAACTTTTCTATTAAATGTATGTTTATGTATTTTCACCTTTTCTATCTCTCTGAACTAAGTTCTGTGCTTTCACTGAAGTACCATCTAATTCTTTTACTGTGTCCAGTCTAATATTTATCTATACTATTGAGTCATTTCCATTATAATCTTTTATTTCTGTTATTTTGAATTTTATATGTGACTTTTTATTTTTTCCTCATTTCTTTTCTTCTTTTTCTGATTTTTTCTTTCACAAATTTTCCTGTGGTTTCTTTTTTTTTTTTGAAAATTGCATTTTATTTTATTTTTTATTTTTATTTATTTTTTATTATACTTTAAGTTTTAGGGTACATGTGCACAACGTGCATGTTTGTTACATATGTATACATGTGCCATGTTGCTTTGCTGCACCCATTAAGTCATCATTTACATTAGGTATTTCTCCTAATGCTATCTCTCCCCCATCCCCCCACCTCACGACAGGCCCCATTGTGTGATGTTCCCCGCCCTGTCTCCAAGTGTTCTCATTGTTCAATTCCCACCTATGAGTGGGAACATGTGATGTTTGGTTTTCTGCCCTTGTGATAGTTTGCTCAGAATGATGGCTTCCAGCTTCATCCATGTCGCTAAGAAGGACATAAACTCATCCTTTACATGTACCCTAAAACTTAAAGTATAATAAAAAAAAATTTTTAAAAAAACCCCACTCATCCTTTTTTATGGCTGCATAGTATTCCACGGTGTATATGTGCCACATTTTCTTAATCCAGTCTATCATTGATGGTCATCTTGTGGTTTATTTTCTTGTATGTATTTGGAAAGCTTAAATGTACTTAAATCATCTTTTTATGTGATACTATTTTAATTTTTTGTAAAATGAATTTATATTGTTTGTCAACTGTCTTCCCAATCAAAGGATTTCTTTGTGTGTTTTGGAGTTGAAAAACGAAGGAAAATTTGCAGTGTACTCTTTTTCTTTTTCTCCCTGTCTTTTCCTCCCTTTGTAGAGTTAGGTGGCTGCCTCCATATGGTATAGCATCCTGCTTTATATCATTAGGTTAGCATCCCTAGTCATTAGTGATACCAGGGATATATATGTCAAATCGCCAAGGTCAAAGGTGAATGGTCTTGGTTCTTGTCCTGTCCTGACAACATCTGTATTCTCAAGGTCCTCCTACATCTTCTAGTCTCATATCTTCCAATCAGTCTTGATTCCTAAGTGGCTTACTGGGGCTTTTATTCACTTATAGCAAAGCTACACCAAAACCTAATTTTAAGTACATTTTAGACCCTGTTCCCTTCTAGCTGCTACTGGCTGCTGCTAGCCCAGGCCTCAGCCTGACCCACAGCTTTGTGCTTTGGCTATGATTTTAATCAATTTCTGCAATAGTCTGAATGTTGGTGTTCTCTTCAGATTCATACATTGAAACTTAATGCTCAATATGATGGTATTAAGGAATGTGACCTTTTGGGAAGTTATTGTTATAAGGGCTCTGCCCTCATGAATGAGATTAGTTCTGTAAAAGGGGCTTGAGAAAGACTGTTTGCTCCTTTCACCATGTGAAGACACATAGAAGCCATCATCTACGGGGAATGAGTCCTCACCAGACACTGAATCTGCTGGCACCTTTGTCTTGGATTTTTCAGCCTCCAGACTGTGTGATCAAAAAAATTATATTTGTAATGTACGCAGTCTAACGTATTTTTTTATGGCAACCAAAATTATGGATGATTGTCTTGCTTTTGATTCCTTCTTTAACCTTCTAGGAGAGGGTCTTAGTTTTTATATTTTCTATTATTTCTATGTGTCCAGTGAGCGGGATATGATTCACAACTTACCCTGTGGTCTTGACTGGAAGCCTTTCTTGATCTTCTTAAGGAAACTGCTTGTATTTGACCTTCAGCTCCTTAACTAGGAAAATAACTCCTTATTTTTTAAGATATTTGCAAGGCTTATTTTACTTACCCATGTAAATGTATATATATTTGCTATAAATATATTCAAAAATTGGAATTAGGACATGTCGGTTTTTATTTTATATGCATAGCAAAACATTATTAAATTAAATTGATAATAGGCTATCTGCAAGCATGGTACCAGGAAGTTTTATTACTGGGTGGGATCATTCCACTTAATATAGGTCTTGGGAAAATTTAGATGTAAATATAGTTGCTGGGAGAGAGATATAGAAACTTCTCTGAATCAGTTTTTATGGATAATGTTCTAGTAGAATGAGAATGCTGTATTATATGACTTTCTATTTGGATTGGTAAAGAGGACCAAATCAAGGAAGAACATTTAAGTTTACATATATTCATTACTGAGAACACACAGGGAAATTCCTATATCTGTGTGCATAAATTTTCTTTAGACCAATGCATACTAAATTTAATCTAAATGATTAAAAATATGAAATTTATCAGTAGTATTCACTATAATTAAAGTAAGAACTTGAACTAATACCTAACCACACCAAATATTTTATAATACAAATTATTTTGAAGATAGTAGTAGATTATTTTCCACTCTGCTGTCTGTACCCCTTCTTCCAAAGGTCAGCATGTTGAAATATACATAAATGAAATCCACTTTTGAATAAATTGGTAATAGTTGTATTTTATTGAGCAGTTACTATGTGCAAGCCTCCATTTAATTCCTTAAGTGTATTTTCTTATTAAAACCTCACATCCATGTTAAGGAACAGGTGTTATGATTATTCCTTTGTAACTGATGAGGATACTGGGTAACAGGAAAGTGAAGTTGCTTGAGTATGCAAAACTAATAATTAAGGTTGGGCTAGGGATGCAGTGCGAGGACATCTGACTCTAGCACCTACCTTCTGAAACACTGACCTCCAATATCAACACTGAGGTTTTCCTAGGAGAAAAAGGTACATGAATTTTTCAAGACGTGCTTTTCAACAGTTTTTTGAATAAACAAAAGATAATTAAGGGCATAGCATAGAATTGTCATTATATATTTAAGATTAAATAGGTATAAAAACTTTAAAGACTTTGTCCTTTGAGACAAAGGCAAGACAGATGTGAGAATAACAAGAAGAATTTACCAAATGGAAATTTAAAAAGCCAAAGTATGAAAACTGCAGTAATAAACAATTGGTAAACAGAGAGATTTGGGGCATGTCATGTTAATAAGGAAAGACTTCTTGATGGAAGTAGGAGTTCGAGATGAAAGGGCAAGAATTACAATGTGTAGAATGGAATGGAAGAGGCTATGACATGTGTAAGTTGAAATCTAGGGAATGCTCAGAAGGAGTTCTGCCAAGCCCTTAGAGACCAACAAATTGGGCCATGATCGGAGAAAAAGTCACACCCTAAATTGTTTCAGGGAAGACTTAATGTTATATTAGAATGAGGACTGAATGAAGTGGCTTATACAGCCCATTTTGGGGAGATATAAGCCTGAAAGCCATTGAAAAGAGTTTCAGAATGGAGATGATGTGGTATGAATGATGAACATGGGGTAATTATGTTGGTGGCACTTTGGGGAACGTTACTGAGAGATGAAGCTGTTTAGTGGACCTCTAAGGGAGTGGGAAATGTGAGAAACGTTTTATACATAGAAATGTATTGCCTTTCTGTAAATGATATATATTTAAAAAAAAAAAAAGAAGGAGGTCCAGAGACTCAAGAGAATGTTTGTCACTGGCACTGTTGGAGAAGTAAGGCAGCATAAAATAAAACACTGAACCGAGTTGTCAAAGTAGACTTCTGGAGTCATGGGATACATCTAGATGGAAATTTTACATATACAATAGCAGATTCTAGAGTACCCTAATGGTCTTAAGTACAGGTTAAGAAAGACCTAGATGCAACCTGCATGACAATGGAAACAGGTCAGTTACAGTAATCCAGGGAGGACAGAGGAAGAAGAAAACTAACTACTAGATATCCACAAGAGAACTGTCAGTGAGAGAAGGGATTGGGGAAAATTAGAAGAGGGTAATTCCTCTGAATTTTACCTCCTTCTGTTATTAGGTTATATGTCAAATTTTTAGGTTTGTATTAAAATAAATATTTTAATTTCAGCAGATATCCACTAGAAACTGATAAAATATACATTTTTTTCTGATTTTATACTACCTGAAAAAATGAATCATAAACTTTTCAATGTAGCAATTTATCTAAGAGAAAACAGATAAAGTACCTCAACAAAAGTTGAAATTAAAAGTTTTTATCTAATATTTTATTTCTTAAGGTGTAATTGAGTTAGGTTTTAAACGACTGTGTTAAAATATATTAAAATAATGAGGAAATGATTTTACAAAGATTGAATAAGAGCTAATACCTTCATTATGTTTCAATGAATTTGATACATTAGGGAAACGAGGATACTTGTTTCTTTTCAGTTCCTCCTCCATCCTCTTCCCCCAGAAGTGTTTATATGTTAGGAAGAAGCACCACAGCTAGGGATACTTAGTTTGGTCTTTGGGATCAGTTCCCAGATAATAACACTGTGCCCCAGAGACCTGAGAAAAGAACAGTACATATGAAACTCTGAGTTCTAATTGAAGCCTCATCATTCACTCCCATTCTGATTCCTTGAGCAAATTACTTAACCCATCTCTGGGTCTCTGCGTCGCACATGAGGAATGATGCCTGCTTTAAACAATGTGGTAAGTATTAGCAATTTAACGATGGCATAATGCCTCGAAAATACAAAGCTAGACTATATAAATTAAGGTTAAGTAAGAACGTAGAAAACAAAGAAAGAAACAAGCTTAGGAGTACGTGAAGAATAATTCCCAGAAAATCCCCTCGAGAGGCCAGGGCTCCCTGCAGGGCCTTGTTTTGCACAGCAGCTAAGTCAATAGACCACCCTTCATAGGTAAAAGAGGCGGAGGGACCCTGTGAACTTCTCACTGGATAAGCACAAATTAATTTGGTACAGGTGTTTCTTTTATATGCTGAGGGAGAACATTCACAATGTCCTGTAGCCTTCCTACTCCTGAGGTGGTCTGCGCTGAGGAAACACTAGGATGTCATCTAAAACCTGTCAACACACCAGATGGATGTTAAGTGCTTAGAGCCCTGTGTGCTGACTTATTTTTGGTATCCTGAATACACAGAGAAGACGTAAAATACTCAAGAAATATTTCAGAAGGATGGGAAACTATACAGGTCGATGGCTCTTTACTCAAAAATATTCAGGACCCATGGTTTTCAGAATTTTGGTTTCTTTTGGAAGTAGAAGGTGTGCATATGTATATATACACCTACATATGTATCTACACACACACACACACACACACACACACACACACACACAGTACATTATGTAACCTCACAAGGTGATACTGAAGCATCACCTTGTAATCCAACACATCGTTATTTCTGCTATAAAACATAAGCAGCACAAATAAACATTGTAAATAATCTCACATTAGTGCAGGTCAAATTTTGTTGGTAAATGAGTATTAAAATATATTTTTAGCATTAAGAATTTGGCTCTTGAATGTCAAAATTGTAGAAAGGAGATTGTCAAACTGTTGAAAAACAGTACAACTCTGTGGTTGAAACTAGAAATTTAACCTTATAGGGCAGATTGCCTTATGGCCTGGACTATATAATTTTGGGGGTAGAAATTGTTTACTTAGGTGAGTATTATAATTATGATTTAAGGACCACAATTCATTTAGCTCACTGTAAAATAGTTTCTGTGATTTTTTTTTCACCTGAAATCCATGGGCCCATGGGTAGGCTCCAGGGGGAACGTGATCCCAATTAACTCCTGAAATCGTGTGCACATTTCTGTATAAATGTGAATTTTTCCAAGGAAGATGGGTTCATGGCCTCCCCCAACAAATGTCCAAGCATTCTGAGAATCAGAAAAGTTCACAAACTTGTGTTTTATGTCATTAAAACAGAGGTTAATGGCAATAGTCTGAAAGGTCGTTTGACATTAATATTTTAGTAACACATTGCATGCTCTTTCCCATAGCTAAGAAGCCACACAGAGCCCAACCCCCTCCCGTCTACACTCCTTTTGCCTCTCATTCCCGTTCCCCTTCATTGGCTTTATCCCCACTGGCCTTCTTTATGTTTCTTATGCTCAGCCAACTCATCTCTGCCTCAAAGTTTTGCTGCTAGTTATTTGCTCTATCTGGTGTACCTGCCCAAGGCCTTCCCATAGCTAGATGATTTTTGTCATTTAAATCTCAACTCAAATGCACCTCCTCCTAGGAGCCTTCTCTGACTATTAATCTAAAATCAATCTGCATTTCCTCTCTATTGCATCATTCTGCTATATTGCCTTCATAACACTCACAGTCACTGGTTGCAAAGCTAGACATGGCAACCCTCATACCACTTACCTTCTAACTGAAATAATCTTATGTATTTATATATTTACTTATTTTCTTACCCCCCAACCTAGAATGTAACTTCATTGTTTCCTCTATGTCCAGAATAGTCATTGGCATATAGCAGGCCTTCAGTGAATATTTGTTGAATGAATAAATAAAGGAACTCATTAAATTCATTGCAGTAATAATGCAGAGTATTGTGGAAAATTGGAATTGGTAAATAATGGTCAGTTTAAAGCCACTGTGTAAACCAGTGAAGTTACTTCTCTTTTGGCTCATTTTCCTCATTAGTACAGCTTACCCTCCGTGTAAATTTATTGTGAAATTTAAATCAGTGCATTTAAGACACATGGCATACAGGTGGCATAAATGTAATCTAATACATTTGTTAAATATTATTGTTGTTATTATTGTCCTTTTGGAAAATATTTTAAAATTACTTAAATGATACAAAAGACATAATCAAGAAATGAAAATAGATATCCTCTCAAATTTGTGATCTAAGATTTCAGATAAAATTATTTAAAGATATATATATACGCATATCATATATATGACCGCCATGTTAATATAAATTTCATTTCTTTTTTTTTTTTTTTTTTTTTTTTTTTTTTTGAGACGGAGTCTCGCTCTGTCGCCCAGGCTGGAGTGCAGTGGCGGGATCTCGGCTCACTGCAAGCTCCGCCTCCCGGGTTCACGCCATTCTCCTGCCTCAGCCTCCCAAGTAGCTGGGACTACAGGCGCCCGCCACTACGCCCGGCTAATTTTTTGTATTTTTAGTAGAGACGGGTTTTCACCGTTTTAGCCGGGATGGTCTCGATCTCCTGACCTCGTGATCCGCCCGCCTCGGCCTCCCAAAGTGAAATTTCATTTCTTGAATAGGTATTGAAATGGATACATTCTAACTTCTGAATAGGTATGTGGATTTGAAAACAGAACATGAAAGTGTTTTAGTAACTTAAGCACGATTTTGGATTCCAATGTTTGAGAGTTAATACAAGTTTGAAACTAACTACATGCTTTAATTTTTTTATTTTATACTAACACAATACATAAACAGAATACCAAGTAGTCATCATCATATCTAAAACTCTCCAGAATTCAACACCCCCTTATTAGTCATTCTCTAAAAAATGGGGTACTTGAATATTCATTTGTCTTTACAAAAGGAACACTCAGAATATATTGGCTAACTAGATAAATGGAGAATGTGATTTGGGGGATGCGTTCCCAGAAACTAATTTTATTTTGGAGAATTTTGCTAATACCCTGTACCAGTAGCGTTAACAGGGTATTTTTCTATTTAATTTTAGCTAAAAAATTATTTCCAATTCATTGAAGTACTTTATTGTTAACATTTTTGTTGATTAGTTTTCTATATCATTTTGCTGAAAACTGTAATAAATCAACTTCCTAAAACCATTGGATGTGTCCTAATTCCATTTATTAAATATCACACCCTAAACACTTCTTTTCTTCTGTTTTCTTTCAAGCAATGCATGCACCAGCCTTGTTTTCATCAACTGAAGGAACTATTGCATAGCTTTATAATATTTTAGAACTGAAAGAGTCCTTAGAGATCATTTAGTACCATTCTCATCATTTAAAAATGAGGAAACTGCAGTCCGGAAAGGAAAATGTGTCCAAGATCATCCAGTGAATTAACAGATCAGGGGCTAGAACTAATTTCTGATTTCCTTCCTTCAGATATCTAAACGCTAATTCCCAAGTGGCAGTCACCCGCTAACTGGCTCAGCACAGGCTGTGGGCCAAGTCACTTCTTAGTTTAAAAAGTCAGAATCGCAAAAAAGGTTGTCAGCTTTTTTAATGGAGAGGGATTGCCCTAGAAAAGGGAGAGAACCATGAAGGGAGAAATGTTTTCATTTGGAGATAAATTTTCCAAGGTCACTCCCTTCCACCTTTGTTCTCGTGATAATTCTTTGCTGTATTTTTTGTAATTTTTGAGTTCTGGGTTAGATCAATACTAGTGATTCCGTGTCCTTTCCTTAATGTTATTTCTTCTTCTTCGCTCTATGAGATATTTTGTCATCTTTGGATAGAATCTATCAAAGCAGTTAAAAGGCTTAGCAAATACATCCAGTTAAGCAGACTTCCTTTATATAAAATTAAAATTTAAAAATATAGGCAATTATTAGGATAAGAAATGCAAAGAAAATAGCAAAATTTTTTCTCCTAAAGTAGCCAGAAAATTAAACTAAGAAGCATTGTGCAGAAAACCAGTCAGTGGTTTAATTCATTTTACCCACCCAGACATACTCTGTTGTTTGCCTCTTTCTTTCTTTCTTTCTTTCTTTCTTTCTTTCTTTCTTTCTCTCTTTCTTTCTTTCTTTTTTAACGGACCTTTCAACATGTATCTTTAGAGGTCCTAAAAAAATGCTGCGAGAGAAGAGTAGTGAAATACACTCTTGCCATTGTGTAAATTTTCCGTGTTTGTTCTCAGAATTTATGCCATGTTTTAAGCCAGGAATTGTAATCTTAGTTTGCTCACTCTGAAGGCAAGATAAGATTCCAAGCATTTCTTAAATAGTTGGTATAATTTATTGTCATTGCAGTGCAGTCAGATTTAAACCCTTGTGGACCCTGATGCCACAAAGCAGTTATTCAGAGTTCAAAGGGGTAGGCCTACACATGCGATTAAGTTATCACCAATGGAGCTACACTAACCCTTGCTGTGCCCTGGCTGATCCTGGTGTTCCAAAGATTATGTGATTCTCAAAAGCCTTCACATACCTATTGTGCATATTTTGTTGCATAAATCATAGCTGTCAGAGTCAAATACATATTCAATGAATTACTTCCCACCGATAACCCCCAAATAATTTCAAAATCAAAAATCATGTTTCCTCATGAATACAAATTTTTCTTGACAAACCTCCAGTGCCAAATGTGGTTTCCATTTGCTGTTTTTGGATTTATTTGACTGTGCCAAAGTTCAGGTGTGCCAGCTCTTTGTAATAAGCCATTTGGATGAAAGCTTGGCCAGCTCAAAGGATCCTGATGTATTTTATTGCTGCCTTTCAAGATTATTGTTCAGAAATACCGAGTCTAATTTTGAAATCAATTAGCCATTCGGTCTGATGAGGTGTTGGCCCAGCTCGGGTTCACACCCGCTGTCCACAGATTATTGTTCACTTGAGTCAAGTCCTTAGTATCGCGCTGTTGCCCAGCATCTGGTAGACACATGTTTGATGTTCTTGCAGAATGAGCTGATGGTTTAAATAGCAAACCCTAACGAAGAAAGCTTTGTACCTTCGCTGCTGTTAGCCAGCAAAACAAACTTTTTTATGATGCTCTTTAAAAAAAAAAAAAAGAGAGAGAGAGAGAAAATAAAAGAGGAGGAACTTCATTGCTTTCATATTTTATTTTATTTTTTTAGGATCTGTGTCTAGGAAACTTAACTCTTCAAAATAAATGTTAGATTGAATGGATGTAATGAGAAAGGAATTAAATTATCCACTACCTACTAGTACCAGACACACAGTCCTATTTTCTTGGGCCCTCCCCACAACCAGGCTGGAGGTATAATATCTTTCCCAGAAAGCTGCTTCCAGAAGGGGTCTATATCTTTCCCTCACAGTCAATCAGCACTTGTGAAGGTGCAAATTCTGCTTGGCAGGGGCAGTGCTTCTGGGAACAGTGCCAGAGGCCCCAAGCACCACCCATGCTGTTCAAAAGAAGTGGCAGATAGTAAAATATAAAGCTAAACTACCCCTTTCTCAGGTTTCCAACTCGCTGGCCACCTAACTTCTTCGTATAGAAGGGAGATCTAACTTGTCCTTCCACACGACGCCACTGATACCCCAACAGAACTCATTGTGGAGGTCTCATGAGAAGCCAAATGATAACAGGGTAGATACTGGCTGGGCATTTTCCATGATTTTTCTTATCTTTTATAGATAAGAACATTTTCTTATTATTTTCTCAACTCTGTACCAAAGCCATTTATAAATGAAAAATGAATGGATTTAATACATTATTTATATGAATAATGATAATAAGGATTCAGTGGGCTAATGGGAGACCAAATGACATGGAAGACTGCATAGCCCTCATAGCTCCCATTCCCTCCCACTGAGCTGTTAGTGAGTCATTAAGACCAGTGGCATTGGTCGTGTACATTCATCACGTGCATCACTCACTTTCCCTAAAAGCAGGTTCATTTGTTTTTATTCATTGAATCAACAAATATTTATTGAATGCCTGCTTGTGTTTTAGGCACTGGGAAAGCTACAGGGAGAAAAACAGAACTGGTCTCTAATCTCATGAAGCTTATAGTCTGTGCATAAAGAGAGATGTTAAAGAAGTAAAAAAAAAATCATTGAATTTCAGCCTACAAATAAGAAAAATGAGGAAACAAAGTACTAGTTACATATTTAAATTGTTACTTCCATCTTGAACATTCAGACAAGTTTTATTAAAAATTGTCTCATGTTCTGGATGTTTTTGATAAGAAGGGTACAAATTTTCAATGTATAAGAAGTATATCCTGTTAAATAATTTCTATTGTATTTTAACTGTGTATTTAAAAACCTATTTCCTGCCAGGTGCAGTGGCTTATGCTGTAATCCCAGCACTTTGGAAGGCTAACGTGGGAGGATTGCTCGAGACCAGCCTGGGCAACATAGTGAGAGCCTGTTTCTACAAAACATACAAAAATTAGCTAGGCGTGGGGGTGCATGACTGTAGTCCCAGCTACTAGGGAGGCAGAGATGTGAGGATTGCTTGAGTCCAGAAGGTGGAGGCTGCAATGAGGTGGGATCATGCCACTGCACTCCAGCCTGGGAGACAGAGTTTTGCTTGAGACCTTGTCTCAAAACAAAATAAAACAAACCACTCCTACTTACTGAACATACATTATATATGTGTCACTCAATCATACTTTATCACATTTAATATCTGCCCCCATTTTTTAAAAGTAGCTATTTACTGATAAAGACACTGAGGATCACAGTGCCTGTAAATTAGAGCTGAGATGAAATTAAGGTGATATTTAGTTCCAAGCTCCTTGCTATTTCCAACATTACTGATCACCTCTCAACTGCCAAACTCTTAATAAGTGAAAAAAGCTACTTTCATTATCATTGAAGTTGCCAATTAAGCGCTCAACAAATAAGTAGCTCTAAACCTGCAATACCAAATCTCTTCAGGTGTTTCCAGATATAAATGATGGACACACAAGTCTCTACCACCATTACAGATAACAAAAGGCATAGATATGCAGAATAAGTATCTTTAGCAGCCTATGGGTAAACCCTGAGAGGAAAATTTGTTTTCCTTTACTAAAAGAGAGGGAGAAGGCAGTTGAGAGAAGACCTTCTGAATAGGAGGAGCTGTATGATTATCCTTCTGTTGTTTCGTTGTGAAAATATGTTGGTACTCTGATCACTTCGGTCACTTCCTAGGGGAGCTTTTTCTTAGTTTTCAAAGAAACATGAAAAAACATATTGATTTAAAGGGCAGAAGGTTATTATATGGAACCACAGAGTGTGACATTTATTCCTGTTCCTGCAAATTTCTTTATCAAAGAAATATACTTTGAGATAAATGTTATAATAATAAGTCCTAGCTTTCTTAATATTTCTAAAAACAAAGATGACCAACTTACACCAAAGTACCAAAGTAGAATTAAGGTTATAACTACCACGGTAAGTTACTGCCATTAAAAAGTACTGCTGTTCTAAGTTTCTGGCTGGATAACAGACTACCATAAAGGATTATAAAGATGAAATGGCTTATTTTTTGTTCTAACATGGAAAATATTTCAGGTAATTTTTATTATAAATAGAATATGACAAGAAGTTCAACAAAGAGGTAGGTTTTAAGCATTCCTGAACCCTCTGTAACATCTAAGCTTGGTGAATCTTTAACAGTCCAGAAGCTTAGTTTCTATATTGCCATACCTAAAAATGTAAATATCAGTAATTTCTTTGTCTTTGATTTTTTTTATATCCATTAGTAGACCCTTTGACCTCAAGTGTAAGAGGATTCTTGGTAGATTAAAAACATAACTACTGATATTAATAGTTTTCTTCAGATATTAAAAAACACATTGAAACAGATTAACAAAGGGATATCTTTTATAATTTTCAGCATGACTCCATATTGTCAAGGTGACTGAAATTCAGTAGTGTACAATAACGTTGCTTATTGTTATTGTTACTGATATTATTTTTCCGGTGAAGTGCAGCCGTGGATCTTCTGATGCACAGTGATGGTACCTTGCTCTATTTCCATATATCACATTTATCCAATTCACCCAGTCATCTGTCTTACTCTTTTCTTATCACCAACATAACAATTTTAGCCTTCATAATGGCTGGAAATTGGCAAACAGCAATGAGGGACTACCACATATCAAAACCTATCACAACCACCTTTGGTGTATTCTGATTCCTGACTGAGAAACAGAAACAATCACAATCCAATGTTTCAGAAATAATGCATTAATATGAGCAGTGGGCAGAAATCTATTTTCACTTTTTTCTGATACATTTTTCCTCATATTTCATAGTTAGAAAGAAATCAAGAACATTACAAAAAGATGTTTTTGCTTTCACAGTGACACCTTAAATTTTTTTTCAGTTTGGTTTTAGTCTATTAATTGATGGTGGATGTAAATATTTTGCCATCAGCAACTGTAGTATGAAAATGCAATTAAATATACCTTCCAAGAAAATTCTATTGAATATAAAATTTGAACCATTTTTAATATATTTTTTCTAATTTTCAAGAAGACATTGGAGATTAATAATATATGCCCTCTTATTTTTATAAAGCAATTAAAACAAATTTAAATTTGGGTAAACCTTTATTTATGTATTTTCTGAAACAGTTAAACACATTACATATCTAGCTCTGAAAAGTATAGCTGAGTTATTGGGTGTTTTTGTAAATGAAGACAAAAAGAGGAAGGAAGATTTGAATCAAGTGTGTATAGCATTTTATATCCTGATTTTCTTATAAATATTTTGCATGGTCACTAAATATTCTTTGAAGATGTAATTTATAATGGTTACAGGGCATTGCATTTACTGTATGTGTTGTAATTTATTCAGTTCATCTTTTATTATTGAGTTTTGTTATTTTTTCTATTATAAATAAAGCTGTGATGACTATTCTTATACATAAATCTTAGTGTGTATCTCCAAATTCGTTCCATATGATTACTCTCCAGACATGGAACTACTAGACCAAGGTACGTAGACATTTTTAAGGATCTTGATTCATACTGGCAATGTATCCTTTCAAAATGCTCTAATTTACATTCTTGTCTGCAGCATTTGAGAGCATCTGCTTTACCCAAACAACACTAGATATTACTATCATTTGTTTCTAATATTTTTAAAAGGGGAAATAATATTTCGTTTTAATTTCTTAGATTGAAAGTGAAATTCAACCTTATTGGATATATTGAATGACTATTTATATATTTTTTGTGCATTGTCCCTTCCTGTCTTTATATGTAATCTTAGCGATGTGTTTGTATATCTTTGTAGGAGTTTTTTGTTAGTTAGGATTTTGTCCACTAATCTGCAATGAGTGTTATAATGCTTTTCTAATTTGTAATTTTCTTTTAATGTTCTTTTTGTTTCAAATGTTTCATTTGTATGTTGTTAAAATATTCTGCTTTTGCCTTAATGGTCTGCCTTCCCTTTGATGCCTAAGTTCTTCATCTTGAGATCAAGTCATATTCATCTATACTTTCTTCTTGGTCTGTTATGGTTTCTTTTTTCTTTCTTAAATATTAAGATTGTTCAACTATTTAATTGTTTAGATGGCTAAACCATGCTGTTGCTTGTTAGAAGTAAGGGGATAACTTCATTTTCCCCCCAAAGGTTAAATATATTATTTAATGGCTACATTCTTTTCCAAATGCCTTTATGTGCCATCCTTTTTATATGCTATATTCTTATTTTTTTGTAGTGTTTTCTGTTTCTTGGAACTCCAGGTGGTTTTATTTTTGTGTCAATATCACCATTCTTTATTAACTGTGGTGGCTTTAGAACACATTTTCAGATCTTATTGAAAGTCTCCTCCTACAACTCTTTTTTTTCCTACTTATCTTGAACTTTGACATTATACACAAGAAAAATTTAGTTAAAAACATACTTTTGAGATTTTGATTCAAATCCTAGACTTTGGTTTCTTTATCCGTCATTCTATCTTAGACTGTACTTGCCTGAAGTTTTTAAAATTTGTATCCTTATACAGTATTTTCAAATTCTCACACTTCCTTTGCCCCATCGGGTCAGTAAGTCAGAGTAAAAGGAAGACTAAAATCAGAATCAATGTGAGATAGAGACCTGAGAGAATATGCATAACATCTTCCTTCCCTTGCCCCCACCCATAGCATTTATGACATTCAACATAGAGTTCCCAGACCCACCCTCCACCCCCAACTCGCATTAGAACAAAATTCACTTGGTCCAAGTTGTGTAGATACAGAAAAGATGCATGTAAACAGATATAGCAAAATTTCAAGTGGACAAGGGGATTTATTTTCACAGTTTTTTATATCTATAGATCTCTTTGCGAGTTTCAGAGGCTGTATAAAGCTGTAATACAGCCACCTTTCTGAGCAAACTTGTGTGTAAATACAGTTTATTTCGCTTGAAGCCTGTCCCAGTGACTGATGGAAATTGTAGTAAAACTTCCACCTGGGTTGTCAACTACGGGAAACTTTCTTATTTATTTTTATTTGTCACAGCAGGTTAAGCTTACAAAGTCCAGGTGTTACATGGCTTTAAATCTCGACACAGGCACTGGAATAGTCTGTTGAAGGTAGTTTATGTAGGATTCTTAAACATGAAGGGACTTAAAAAAATGGATTTTATCCAACTTTGCGGGTCGGGGTGTAAATTCAATGTACAATGACCAGAAATAGAACACAAAAGTAGTATCAATAGAACAAAATTCTGTGGCGTGTTATATAATAATTCAACATATTTTTTTCTGAACATGATAGGAAAGAAGGGAGCTTGGAGACAGAGAAGCAGCAGGTTTTCTGGTAATTTACCTAATTTTTTACAACATGGCTAGAAGCGGTTATTCCTCTCAGCAATGTTTCTGGTTTTGTGTGAAGTAACATGTTACCAACAGATAAGGTTTTATTTTCTAAATGTTTAAATAGAACCTTTTACATATCTTAATCTTTTATTATTTTATCTTTCTTTCACTTTATTTTTTAAACCTCATTCCCAAGGTTCTAATATATGTATTTACTTAGAAAACACACTGCTTTCACAATTATTTTATTTCATTTTTTAAAACTGTTGTTTTCTTTTCAAATGACTTTGCCCAAACTAACCTGGTGATTCTTTGATTAACATGATAATTCACTGTACAGCAATTGAAATTATATAATTTATGTAATTAGCCTGTCATACTGGCTATATTTTCTTTGTTTCCTTCCTAAAGCAGCTGAAAATAAAATTATCTTCCTGCCTTTGCCTACACATCTAGCAGATGTCCATATCATCCATCCAAATGCTTCTACTTGTGAGTATACAACTAATTTGGATCCAATTAATGCACAAGTAATTAAAGTTGATTTTTGTATGTTATTATAATTTTCCTCACACTGTGCTTGTGTTTCCATACTTTGGTATTTCATAAGCTGTCAGCTCATGAAACATTCCAGTTATAAGAGACTTTAGTTGACTCTCATAGGATGTATATAAGTGCATGTATCAAATTGACCCATCTGGATAGCACAAAATTCCCAGACAAGCCCGTTTGAACTGAGCCACTTGCGTGGTCTGCTGTAATAGTTTACTCTGTCCTGTTTTACATTTGTATTTGACATTTGCTTTCTACTTCCTGTACATCAATACAAGAATTCAGGAATCTTTTTCCGAGTTACCCCTTAGGCTAGGTCTACACTTACCAATCCATACTCTCTCTATCCAAAATTGCAAGGGTTAAAAAAGCAGAGTTAAAATTCCTACTTGATTCCACAGCAAAGATAATTAATCGTAATGCAGTTATTACTTTTCTCAAAACTATTTTGGCCCAATAGCATATTATTTTATTTCAAATAAGCCATTTGATATTGAGGTTAGAATTGGCAGAAAAATCCTATATAAGGGAGCTTTGAAATTCAAGATGTAATTCTGTTTTGTAGTTCTCATCCCAAAAATCTTCAGAAAATTTTAAATAGGGAAAAGCAAGGAGGAATTCAACAACTCTCTAAAAGACAGAGAGGCAAAAGTCATGAGATAATATCAATTTTATCTCACTAGTTACCACTATAAAAATTCTATAATTGACTACCTGTTTTTTAAAACTATATTTTATTTTTCAACTTAACATAGTTACCAGTTCATAACAAAATGAGACAAATAAATATATGAAATTATGTTTCAAATGAATGAATAAATGAGTGAATATTACATCGTATTCTGCAAAATATTTTTTCTCATCTATACTTTACTCACCTCTATCTTATAATTAGCAAATTATATTGGAAAATTGGAATAATTAAGGATATCTGATTTCTTCTGTCACTGCTATTTATTACCTGTATGGCCTTGAATATATCACTTACTCTTTCTGGTTTTCAGTTTTCTTTTTCTCATAATAGTAATACTTACCTCTCACATCTCACAAGATTGTGTCATAATATAGATACGATGAAAGCAATTTATACCTGGAAACCACAATATGGCTATAAGATAAATGTCACTTACCCTTGAGTTAATTTTGTTGTTGTTTTGTTCTTGATATATTTTTAATTTTCAATGTACACTTTGTAGAATTCCTGAATTCTTGTATTGATGACCAATGTAACTTAATCACATAAGAGAGTTTCAGTTAGTTTCTGATTGGCAGATATCGAATTTTGTATTTCATGGCCTTTTGGGCTTTGTACCTTTCTTAAAGTGCTTTGTATTATACATAATTTAAAATAATTGAATTGAAAGCCTTTAAGTTTGAAAATGTTTTGGATGTTTTACAATACCTTCTTAGTTGGGAAATGTGACTAATCTGAGTATTTCATAAAAGCCATGGTTTGGAATTCATGCTCCAGACTTTTTCTATCCTTCCCCAAGCCCTACCTCACCCCTACCCCCAACACGTCTCTGGATGGAACAGAAAGTCGCATTGGTCACTCACTTTGTTAAATCATCTGTCATTTCCTTGGCAAGTTAATTTGGCCAATGCATACAAGGAATTGAAGCGAAGGCAGTTTCTTCTCTTTGAAGCCCCAGGCATTTTGTTTCCAAATAAACTAACTGAATTAGTGAGTCCCCATGTAATTTATGATTTTTCATTTACTTGACTTATTTCCATGATGATTGGAGATTAGTCCATTTTAAAGAAGACAAGAGAAATTGGGTTTAAGAAACATTAAAACTGACCAAAAAAGCATACCAAGATCAAGTGGTTCAAAGTTATGGTGACAGATGGTCCTTAATTCATTCCTCACTCAAGAAAGAGAAAAATACATTTTGTTTTGTTTGTTTTTGTTAAAGCCTGTGCCTGAAGAGTTTTTATTTTTATTTTATGCTTATAGGGATTAAAATCTGAGTTTTATATAAATTCTAAACTCACTACAAAACCCTTGGTTATATGGAGTTTATAGTTTAAATGTGAAAATCTCTGTTTATAGTTGGAGTTGTGCCTGCTGGGGGATTAAGGTCTGAAGGCCATAGTGATGTCACTGGATTAGAGTTAGGAAGATACATTTTGGTAGGACTAAAACCAATGCCAAATTCATGACTCCAAAATTTATGATTGAACTCTAGACTGCCTACAACTTCATGACTCCCAAATTTACGATTGAACTCACGACTTTCCAGCTTACAGATTTAAGTGCATGCACGAATAAATAAAGATTCTTGAACCTCGAAGTAAGTTCAGGGAAAATCAATGTGCAGTTAGTACTTAAAATAGTGATCTAGGAATAGCCAATGCGATAATTGTGTCTTGACTGTGTGTGGGTGAGGAGACTATACCACTTTAGATACCATTTAAAGTGTTAATGTTTATAAAATTATACAAGAGTAGGCACATTTTATGCTATTGGTCTTCCGATCTTTTTGACATTTTGTTAGAATTTATTTTCTTAACTTTGGTCTCTTTTTGTCTGTCTCAAGGGATAGTGGTAAGACTACTCCCCTTGGAACAAAATTCCAAAATCAAATTAAGATATTCCTTGACCTTTACACAAGAATTATGTTTTTTTGATTTTTTTAAAAAATTTAAAATTCCAAGTCAAATCCTGGGATAACGCCAAATACCTGGGTGAAGAGATCAGCCATCCAAATGTTTTATCTATGTAATAACAAACAGCTCTAGACTGGCCTTCAAGGCTCTTTGCCACCTTCACCCAGCTTACACGTTTCTTTGTACTCCCAATAATAATCGTATAGCTCAGCAGATCTGAAAGGTTTATTCTCCGTCTCCTGATTCCTTAGTTCTACTTCCTTTGCACCAGACTACCTTCATTTATTGCTGCCACCAACACAGATGACCTCTTCCCTCATTCTCTGACCTGATGTATAACATTCCTGAGGTATATGTTACATGCCTCCTTCCATAATGACAGCGTGTTTATCGTAGACCTTTCCCAGAGAGCACGAGCCACTATGCCTTCTAAAATCTTATATAACACCTTATATTTAGCATGTAGAATATATTCCATAAATATTTATAAAAATATTACATGTAACAAATGATCCACAAAATGTTGATTGATTGGCCTATTGTTTTATCTGTTTATTTCTTCTGGGAATAAACAATTTCAGGTCTTATACATTCTGTTTTTAGTGTATCTTTAAAATATTAACAAGCAAATTCATATCTATATTTAAAGTATGCAATATAAACAAATACTATACTTGGCAAATTTAAAAATTGAGGTGTCAATAGAAAAAGAGTTCAAAGTTTTTAATTTAATAAAGTTGAAGATAGAATTATTATTGTGTTATCACTACAATTTTATAAATGTCTTAGTCTGTTGTGGCTGCTATAACAAAATGCCATAAACTGGCTGGTTTACAAACAACAAAAATTCATTTTTCAAATAAATAACAAAGATATTTAGTTCTGGAGGCTGGGAAGTCCAAAATGAAGAGGGTTGCAGATTCAGTGTCTGCTGAGGGCCCACTTTATGGTTCATAGAGAGTGTCTTCTTGCTGTGTTCTCACATAGTGGAAAGGGTGAGGGCTCTCTCTAGGGTCCCTTTTATAAGGGCACTAATATCATTTCAGGTGATCTAATTACCTCCCAAAGGCTCTACTTTCTAATACCATCACGTTGGGGGTTGGGATTTCAATATATGAATTTTGAGGGAACCCAAACACTCAAGACTATCGCAATAAGCCAGGGAACAAGTTACAAATTTGTAAAATGAGAAAGAAAATGGTTGCTACATCCTTTAGTCAATTCCAAAGTCATCATCACTAAAAAATATAGAGATGATCAAAGAAACTGTGTGTGCCACTACTGCATAAAAGTGCAGTATGAATGTATATATTTTAGGATGGGCTTTGTGTGTTTAAAAATTTTATTTCTAATTCACGTTAGAATATTTTTTACATTTTCTCAGCTGAACCTAATTTGTTTTAATCCATAAATATTATGTCCCAAAATGGATCATCTATCTTCTAAAAACCTATTTTCCACTTTCAATACTCCTCCCTCTGTTGCAGCACCTGGCCAAAAGCAGGATGTGTTGGACCTTACCCAACTGATTAGAAGTGACACTACGACAAACTCCACACAACAAGGAGCCTTCCACTTATTCTGTACATGACATCTCTCATCTCTAGGCAAGCCTATTTCCCCTCTGAGGGTCTTTGTCCCCTGAGGACTTTCTCAAGCCGAACATTTCAGTTTAATTTTATTTAATAGAGAGATCACGACTGTCTCATTTTCTGAGTCATGTGTGCGCATCACCAGTTAGTCGTTTTGCCTGGGAGTGGAGAGGGACTATAGACTTAAAAATATTTATTTCTTTTAGCTGCATGTCCTTGGGCAAGTTATTTAATCTCTTGGTAGCTCAGCTTTCTTGCTCTCATTTGTCATAAGTGGTGAATAGTAAAATTGTCATGAGAATTAAGTAAATGAATACATGTAAGGTGATTAGAATTCTGCTGAGTGTTTGACAAGGGCTTAATTAGCTTTAGCAATTCTTAAAAATGATTAGCTTGATGAAAGATATCTTGGTGAGATGTAGCCCTTTGTTGTAATCATCTTCACAGGCCAAATAAGAATCCAAGGGTCCACACTTAAGAAGTAAATGGGGAACAAGAAAAAAACATTAACGATCAGCCAAGATTTACATCTTTTCTTTATTTTTGAGTCAACAAATCTGCTAAATCTCATACTCTGTTTTGGAATGAAAATTGACGCTCATTTCATAATTTAAAATTTTAGTATAAAACCATGGTTTGATAGTTATTTTTCCAGAGTGAGGCTATTTTTCCAGAGTTGGGAGAGCAGTAAGCTAAATATAGTGAGGGATGTTTCATTATGTTCTTCTACAGGTAATAAAGCATGGAAACTTCTAAGGCATATTTTATTAAATTTTCTTTTATCTAAATTATTTGTGTAATAGTAGTTTAAATATTGTGTCTATCTCTCTGCATTGTAAGATGAATCTTCATACTTTCAACCATACAGTGTTTATTATAGACAAAGCTCCAGTTTGCAGGACTATGCCCCTTGGACCATTTACCTCACAGTTTCCATTGCATCCATTCATAGATTCCAGTGACTGTCACACACCAGCCATTTTGATGGAACATTGGAAGCCAATGTGTCCTTTGTAATGTCTACCTTTGGTGATTTATCTTTGAGTGATTTGGTTCAAGAGCCTCTTGCAAAGGATACTTTGCCTACAGTTTTATTTTTTTCAGGTGCATCCACTTAAATTTTTAATAAAGCCACTGCTGATCTTACCACTTTATTTTCGGATTCACATTCCATGATAACTAATGGCAGGTCATCACTTAAGTCCCTTGGAGAGAGATAAATCTAATTCTTTAATGTATAATTACTGGCACTCCATCTCCTCCTTCCCACCTTTAATTTAACTTAATCTTTCCCTTTCTCTTCCTTTTTCACCATCTTCCTCCTCCTCTGCCCCTTATTTTTTTTGTAACTGTATCTTTGTTTTTATTTGTGGTTTGTTTAAACATCTATGTTCCTAACACAATGCAGCATATTTTATTTTTACTTTCTTATTTAATTCTTATATTTTAATCCTACTTTTTGGCCATGCTATCTTTCCAGGTGCCACTTGCAAAAGATCTGATTATATATTATTAATGTCATAGAGAGCTATGTTTTAGACACCATCTCTTTTTTATAGATTTAAAAGTAGTAATATTTTCAGCAAATATGTTCTCTGATAAATCATTACTTGCTAAATACTTCAGTTTGTAACTGTCTTGGAGTTCATTCTCACCATATTATTGCAGATGACACTTTGGGATCATAAAGTCATATAGTATATTATGTTTGGGTAGGACTTGAGAGAGAGCCATTATTTTTCCAACAGAACATTTATTCTAGGTTCTTAGTTGAATTTTAGGTTTAGCCATTTTAAGGGCTACTATATATATCCCAAGGAAATTGATTAGGTTCAATTGATTATTCTTTTATTCCTACTTTTAAAGTTACTAAATGTATAGGACATCAATTGGAGAGCGCATCTAGAGTCTTCCATTCCAAGTTCACCTTTTGCAATATGTTACTGGGGATTATCATGTCATTTGAAGATACTCAGGTTGTCAGCATCAACTCATTTACCGTGAGTTAGTGTTTCTCAATTTGTGGAGGTACCGCCCTTAGGAAACATTCCTTAGAATTACTAGGAGCTTGACTGACATTTAAAGGATAAGAATGTAGGATACTAAAAGTCCTGTAATACATGGGCCAATCACACAAATGATGAATTATTTGGAACGAAATGCTAATAGAATCTTCATTAAATACTGAGGGGGCTTGATCCAATGTTGCCGGGATATAGATGTACAAACGTCCTGAAAAAGGACTGTGTATTTGTTACTGATTCATTGAACATATTGGTTTTGTGAGAAACAACCAGAAACCAATTTTATTTTTTTTCTTCCACTGCTCATTCAAATCAGTTCCACAACTTATTTTCCCCATACCTGAGATGACACTCAGGCTTGATTCCTTAACTTCTAGATACTTTCTGAAAATAAAAACACTGGCCCAGTTAAGGGAAATATCAAAATCCCAAATTCTTACCCAATTTAAATTTCTCCTTTCCTGCACCTAGGTTTGACTCAGCTGGGAAGACTTCAGTGAAAGAAGACGTGATTGATTTCTCTTCTTTTTCATCCACTCGCTAGCTGCTTTGTGCAGGTGTGAACAGGCATGGGTGCCCTGTGCTGGTAGAGAATATCCAGAACTGGTATTCCCTCTGGGAATCTGACTGTGGCTCTCCTTATGCTTAACATCTCTTCTCTGGCCAGCTATTTAAGAGACTCCATTCTGCCTCTTGGTTTCCTGTGACTCATCCACTTATTAGATCATATTGGTCTTCCAAAGTGATTTTATTGGGTAGCATAACTCTTAATGCATGTCACATTAGTTTATTGCTACAGGATCCACACCTAGTCCATAAATATCCATGGTCCACTGCAGTTTGAACGCCATTACCCCCCAGTGCAATCCTTTTCTGGTGCTGCCAACTTCAGCCAGGCTCTCACCTATGCAATTCTCTTCTCCTACTCTAGCGAAGACCAGAGTGATTGTCTCAAAGCCCTCTCTCTCACCTGACTTCCCTTCTGGGAAGCTTACAACATTGACACTCTTCCTCAAGCACCCTGTGGTCAATGCCAACTTTAGGGATGGTTATGTGGAGAAACAGTAGTGGCATTTAATTATAGGATAGAGTATGTATGATCCGGCTTTAGGGCTCCTAGCCCAGAGTTGAAGGGCAAGTTTCATTCCCAGGGAAAATATACAAAAAAGGAAAAAGTGCTGTCTTTGACACATGGTTCTCTCTCTCTCTCTCTCTCTCCCTTTTTTTGAGATGGAGTCTTGATCTCTCGCCCAGGCTGGAGTGCAATGGTGCAATCTCTGCTCACTGAAACCTCCACCTCCCGGGTTCAAGTGGTTCTCGTGCCTCAGCCTCTCGAGTAGCTGAGATTATACGTGCCCACCACCACCCCCCAGGCTAATTTTTTGAATTTTTAGACAGGGTTTCATCGTGTTGGCTGGGCTGGTCTCGAACTCCTGACCTCAGGTGATCCACCCATCTCGGCCTCCCAAAGTGTTGGGATTACAGGTATGAGCCAACACACCCGGCCTGGTGCTCTCTTTTTATAGATCAGATAGATGGCTAAGGGTCGGAAGCTCTAGGTTGAGTCAAAAGAGCCACTTCCCAATGTTTGTTTGTGCTATTTTCTGTCTTGTTAGGCCAGCAGAATTGCACTCAAGACTCTCATTTGAGTTTAACTCTAGGATCTAGGTGCAAGAGACCAGATACAAATGTCAGCACAAGCCATGAGATACAGGATTTCTTTGTCAATAATAAACAGAATGGAACACCAGGAGCGCATGCTGTTTCTTCATGAAACAAATAGGCAAATAGGCAGTTGCTAGTAGGGATTCCCAATATTCATAAACCTCAAAAGGTAAAACTGTGGTACTTCTGCATGAAAATATAAAACATAATAGAAAGTCCATAAAGAAAAATATATACAGGAATCTAGCATACAATAAGGATGTCATCACAAGTAAGTGAGAAAAATGAAGCTTTTAATTTTTATATGGTTAAAATGATCAGTGTTAATTTTTTCATGACTACCGGATTTTGTATGACAGTTAGAAAAGTCTTTCCCAATCTGAAGTTATAAAAAAACTAGTCCAGGGTTTCTGTCTCATGT
This sequence comes from Homo sapiens, assembly GCF_000001405.40. Classification (NCBI taxonomy): domain Eukaryota; kingdom Metazoa; phylum Chordata; class Mammalia; order Primates; family Hominidae; genus Homo; species Homo sapiens. The sequence goes on along the minus strand of NC_000004.12, from coordinate 174,022,528 downwards.
TCATTAAAAAAAAATAAATTTATTACTGGTGTTAGAACAATTAGCTAGCATCTGGAGTAAGTTAGCATTGCACATCTTACACCAGAATAAATCCCAAATTGATTAAAGGTTGAATTTAAAAAATAAGACCATGTAAGTACAAGAAAATATCATTGAATTCTTTTATGTCCTTGGAATGAGGAAGACCTTTCTTAATAAAATACAAAATCTAGAAGTCACTAAAGATGAAAAGGATAATTTTAACTACATAAAAATCAAGAAATTCTGCATGGAAAAAATACTACAAGCAAACTCAAAAGATAAACACAAAATCGGTGGTGGTGGTAGAGGGTTGATTGTAATTCATGTCACCAACAAAGGCTAATTCCCAAATATATAAATAACTTTTAGTAATTGAGATAAACTAACAACCTCCCCCAAAACAGTTAAGATCATCCACAGATAACTACATAAACAACCCACAAACATAGCAAAAGAAGCAACACCTTAACAGTAATGTGAGAAATGCAAATGTTACTTAAACAGAGGTATGATATTTTACATATTTTATTAGCAAAAACCCAGAGGTTGACATATTCTTCTGGCAAAACTGTGGGGAAACTAGTATCCTCATGCATTGTTTTTAGGATTCCAAAATGGAACAACTCCAAAGGAAGGAAATTTGATACTATTTACCTAAATGCATTTAACTTTTCTTAGTAATTCCACCACTGGAACATCATCCTACAGATGCACATGGGTATTTAAGAAGTAACGTATATTAAATATTATTAATTGCACGATTGTTTACAGCACTAAGAAGTTGGAAACTGCTTAAGTATCCAACAATAGGCACTGGTCCCAGAGATTCTGGTGTATCCACACTACACAGGCTTAGGCAGCAATAAAAAAAAAAAAGGATCTTTTGGTACTAAAATAGTCAGGTCTCTAACATTTTTTATTAAGTAATTAAAGAAAGCAATAGTACAATATTTATAGTAAGCTATCTTTTGTATAAGAAAGGAGAAGATTATATATATACATTTGCTTATATATTTATAAAGTATTAAAAGAATACACAAAAAAACTAGTAAATCTGCTTATATACAAGGGAGTGGATGGGGACAGATGTAGAGGTCTTCTCTCTGTATGTATTTATGTTGTTCTGATTTTTGAGCCATGTGAGCACACCTCTTCAAAAATAACATACATGTGTATATGTATATACAAAGTATACATAATTTTAAAATTCTAGATTCAGAATGTCTTTCTGGAACTCTGAATACATTTATGAATAAATTCCTCTATTCTCTTCTAAAATCTGGTTGGTAAAAGTCTAATGCAGTCTGATTCTTGATTCTTATTTCTTAGTAGGCAATTCTTTTTCTCATTCTCCATCTCTCCCTCTCTCTTTTCCCTTTCCATTCTCTCTTTTTGGAGGCTTGTCTAATTTTTTCCTTTTTTTAATTACGAAATTTCATCAGGATGAATGTGCTCAGCATTTTGAGTTTTCTCTCAATCTAAATATGAGTGAATGTTTTTTAAGTTTGGAGTGTTTTTTTTTACTCCTAATTATTTGATTTTTTTTTCTCTTTACATTCTGGAAGATTCCCATGCCTTTATCACCTACTTCACCAAAGCATGATTCTTATATGTAAATACAGCTTAAGTATGTGAATGATTCCCAAACAGACTGTACATTGCTGGGAGAAAAAATTAAGAGATCTAAACAAAAGAGGTTGTATTCACATTATGGAATTTATAGCCAAGATATATGTTCTTTTAAACTTCACACTCCCTACTATTTATCATCTCCTCCCCAAAAACCCAAAGATCTCTTTCATTAAAAGGCAATAAAAATGTAGGGAAAGCACCTAAAAATAGCTCTCATGTTTCTTTTGACTGGCTTTCCCAAAGATGTATAAACTAAGAACATATAAGACAAATGTTTTCTACTGAAACTTCACATACAAAAATCCTGCACATTTATCACAAATACGGGAAAAATCTCTAAGTAGGAATGGATAAGAGCAAAGTCAGTTAAGAATTATCTACCATACAACTCCTTTTCTAGCATTTTGGAGGAAATACAGGAAATGTTTTATCTAATATTCTATATAATTATAATAAAATTTTGGAATGTTCCAACGTATTCAAAAAATTAACATAATTGATTTCATATTTGAAGCCAGAAGAAAAGTGGGCAAATGGCAGTGATTTGGCAGTTCCTACTCTTAACACTGAACTGCCTTTGTGCTAGTTTCGGTTAAGTCTATTAAGCTTATTAAACTTAATGCTTATTGTTTTCTTTTAACAGATATGTTAAGAGGCTTCAAGTTTTTACTACAATAGTATCTTCCTTTTAACTTTGGGGTTATATTAGTTTCTTTCAGGTTGACCTGATACTCCGTAAGTGAACATATCATTGAATAGCCGATCCATTCATTTCATATATGTTATTATTTAATAGACTACACAATGCAGTACAGTGCACTGCCTTGACTAATGTATGTACTTTCTCCCTTCCTGGATTATGAAGAAGTTCACAGTCATGCATTTTCACTGAAGGGGACCTAACTTCAGATTTGTTTTCTCTGGTTGGATGGAAGCTTTCTCAGTACGCAGTAGCAGCACACATCTGTATTTATTAACTGCTTTCTTTATCAGAGTCTGTGAGGGAAAATGTATTTATTATATTCATTTATATATTATTTATTGGATTTGATTATATCTCTGAGGCTACTTTTTCATACTCATAATCGTTGAAACTTATTTTGTGCCTCGGAAAGTGAAGAAAGTTGTTGAATCAAAGATGTTCTCTCTCTTTTTTAACCCTAGAGTTTACATTGTCACACTGTAGCATAATTTTTTCTCTCTGAATCACAAAGCTATTTTCTACCTGCTCTACCCCACCTGTCCTATCCAGATCCCTTCAACTCACTATGAGCAGACTGATGCCATACATTTTCTCACCATGTCCTCTGTCTAGAACTCTGTCTCTCTTCTCCATTCATCTGTCCTACCCGCCTACAAAGTGTAGTTCAATCTCCTTCTGAAGCTTCAAAGCCTCTCAATCTCCTCTTTGTCTTTCCTTATAATAATAATAATAATATGGCCATTTATTAAGTACTGGTATCATCAGAACTTGTAAAACTTTTCTACTAAGGTGTCCCTTTTATCAGAGAAGAATGGGTACTATTTCAAGGGTGAGTAGGAGTGAGGAGGTGTCTTACATGTTTCTTAAAAATTGCATATATGTTTTAAAGTAATGTTTCACATGTATTCCCATCAGAGTTAAATCCAGGGGTGGGTCGTTCAGGCACCTGTCTGGGAAACACAGCTATAAGGCATTTTAAGCATCCATAGAGGGAATCAGAAATATACTACTAGATACCTCAGGTTTTCACATGTAACTCCTTCTATGAGTGAGATGTGAATTAGTACCACTTCTCCTGAAGAATGGGCCCTTGATTCAAAAAAGAAAAGAAAAAAAAAAAAGAAATGACAGAGGAACAAAGGAGAGAAGGAAGGAAGAAAGAAAGATGGGCTATTTTCACTGGCCCCAATCTCTAGCAAGGAGCATTTTCTGATACACAATTTCCCCAACGCAACTGCAGGGCTCTCATCAACCCTGAGATCTGACAACTGCCTGAAGTGGGCAGTCACAGGACGTTGAAATTAGGAAAATACGTAACACATAGAATAGCGCTTTTTTACCTGAAAAAAAAGGTAATTTTAAAAATCTATATTTAATATCTCCCAACTATATACCACTCAAGAAAGTTAGTGTAGGAGATCACAAATGAAAGTGAAAAAAATCATAAAAAGGTAGAAAACGTTTTGCTAATACAAAGTGAGAAAAACATCTTATTTAAAACAATGCTTTGCAGCGGGGCATGGTGGCTCATGCCTATAATCCCAGTACTTTGGAAGGCCAAGGCAGGTGGATCACTTGAGGTCAAGAGTTCGAGAGCAGCCTGGCCAACATGATGAAACCTCGTCTCTACTAAAAATACAAAAAGTTATCCGGGCATCATGGTGCATCCTTGCAATCTCAGCTACTCAGGAGGCTGAGGCAGAAGGCGCTTGAACTCAGAAGGCGAAGTTTCCAGTGAGCCACGATTGCGCCACTGCACTCAAGCCTGGGTAACAGAGTGAGACTGTCTCCAAAACAAACAAAAAACAATGTTTTGTGTCATAGTTACATGATTTACCTCTAGGTATAGTTTTAGCTCTGACAATATCCAATTATGAATAAAGAAAATAATGAACAGACTATTCCAAGTAAATTAGAATGTTATGATCAATGTAAGGGATACAGCCCTTCTTTGCAATTTAAAGAAGTATATGATTTTAGTAATATAAAATTAGTTTCTTTACTTTCTCCCTAAATTAATATTGAACAAAGATGTTAAACAAAAATGTTAAGAAAGGAATTTGTGGTGTCCAAATAACCCGGGTTTAGCTATATTCCCTGTAGAGTAACTCACGCAGTAGTTAGAAGTGCAAAGGCTTTATCAGGAAGGCACTAAAAATGTTACATACCAATTTCTCATGTAACAGTCGCAAGACTTCTGTAAAGGAAGTGTATTTAAACCCCTTCAATCAATTCTTCTCCTGCTTAGGTTAAAGTTTAAAATCCTTATTGTCGTTTATCAGGTCCTCTATAATCCAGTGTCTGTCAAAATCACTGGTCTCAGAAAGGTTTTACTTTTTGGTTTACTTTTCGTTTTCATTCCCATATCTCCCTTTCAGAATACTTATCCCAATTTGGATTCTTTGCTGTTTATTGAATAAGGCCTGAGACCATAACTGTCATGATCACCGTTGTATCCCTAGAGCCTAGCCTGAAGAAATTCAATAAGGTGCTGAAATGTATCTATTTTAAGGATGAGATACTTGGAGCTCATGGTATAAGTGACTTATTCAAGGTTGCACAGTTAATAAGTAGAGTCAGGACCCAGCTCTTTCTGACTCCATGGACGCAGGACTTAATCACCACACCATGTAGATTTAGGATTGCCATACCCTTATTGTCTGCTCAGCTTAGGGTCTATCTCACTTGCTGCCTTGTAGTAATTTCCACGCAATTTCTGTCACACTATGCTATTAGGTATTTTTCTACGATCCTTTTTCCGTACAAGAATATTGACTCCTTTCCTTGAAGAGATAAGTCATGTTTGTAGTTATTGTTTTGTTTCTAGTTCATATATTGCTGAAATAGGTGTCTTGGACATTTTAGTTACTCAGCAAATATTTTACTGAATGCTGTATAGGAAGGAACAACTTACTGGGCAGGGAGGCAAGCCTATTAATTTAGAGGATGGAAATAATTCTTTTCATTAGTCACAAACCATAAGTATATATTAGGATTATGAAAAACTCTTTGCTATGCTTCATGAAAAAGGTCAAATAGCAATAGCAATAAGAGAGATTTAATCTATTTACTTGAAGAAAAAGGCCAAGGAAGTTTCTCCCCTTCGGGTGAGAAACGGAGAGCACTCACTATAAGCACTTTGAAAAACAGCGAAGTAGGAATTGTATCTGTTTCATCCTTTCGTTTTCCTTTTCAACACCTCTTTTCACTCGTCTCATTTATCCTGTAGAAATACCTATGTCTCATTTCCACAGAAATTCTGCAGTAAGAAGTGTTAGCTAGTAATAGTTTAAGAACACATCAAACTAGGCACAACACATGTTAGGATTGTGTGAATTTTCAAGGGAACTTGCAATTCCCAAAGGACTATAACCTTGTAATTAGGAAGATATATTTGTAAGGCCTCTAGGGCCAAAATTGTTTCTCATTCTTGATTTCCTGCACAGAACATAGCAGAAGACCTTGCATACAGGAAATGACCATTGCATGCTAAGCTGCAGAAGGCCTTCCACATTCATCCATCCTCTTCCTCTCACCTCCATCTCCTCTTCCCCTAGGATAATGAGGCCTGATTGGAGTCAAACACAAAGTGGACTTTTAGAAATATCAGTTGGGCAGCCATGACTTGCTTTAAATAGAAAAATAGAAGTAGAGATTAGAAATAATGCTAAATGAGAGTATTTTCTCTCACTTTCATTACCTTCTTCTCTTTTTTCTGCTCATGCTGTGACTGAAAAACAGAGCCAGGAGAGTGCTGTGCTAGGTGCCTACTAAGAAGGCCAAGAGGGAGACAAAAATGAAGCCGATGAAAAGCCTGGGCTAGTGGGAAAGAGAGGTTCTAGGGTCCATGCATGCTCTAGGCCAATCAATGCCAAGGCGAGTGATCAGCAGCCAGTGTGGGTAAAGCCTTGGCTAGTGACTAAGGGTAGTTGCATACACACAGACAGGCATTCACAAAACAACAATAACAACTGCAAACCAACCCTGGGCCCCCGCAGGAGTGGCTGTAGTTAGTATCAATCCTCGCTTGATGGGGATGGGTAGATCCTGGTCCCAGCCCTATTTTTTGAAATATGATTAACAATAAGACAAATCTATGTTCAAGTCTCCTCCTATTTTATTTCATATTTATCAAAGTCATGCAAGCACATAGTTTAAAAAATAAATTTTACATTGAAAAACTGATATCTCCTCTACTTTCCTCCTTACCTGTAGTCCTATCCTCCAAAGGTAACTACTTAAACATTGCTTTAAGCTGATTTTTCTGGCACTTATCTTTCCATTTCTAAATAATATGTTTCTGTTTTTTAAAAAAACATATTTTCAATATCATCATTTGACATTCTGCTATGGTAGATGAAGATTTAACTGTTTTCCACTTCCCACTTTCTTGTCCCATCCTTTCTCCTAATTTAAGAGATCACATTTTTGTTGTTGTTGAATCAGTAATCAGCATTTCCACTAGTGTGATCATTAAATATTGTTCCTCGGAGTGGCAGTGTATTATATTTCCTTTTTTAAGTATAACTTTTTGTTTTTTCTTGAATCAATAAAACCCAATTTTCCATTTGTATTGTTTCTTATGTTCTTTTCCTTAGTTTTTGCTCCCAAATGCTCCATTAATTCTCCACATAGCTACAAGTTTTATTTTCCCCAAAGCCCTATCACATCAGTGAATCTACCACTTCCCTACTTTTCCTGGAAAGGGTTCTTCTGGAGTCACTTGCAGCTTTCTAGGCTGCTGAACAGCTGCCCTCCCAAACTGAATTCTCTTCTGTTTGAACATCAAGTCTTCCTTTTTCTTCATTACTCTTTCATTTAGTTGGAGAAGAATCTTAGAAAAAATGCATAGGAGGTGAGATTTTTGATCTTCCAAACTGATTGACAATTTGATTGTTATTACTTTGAAAATAGATTTTCTTCAGAATTATTAAAGGAATTTCTCAACTGACTAACAGCAGATAGTATTTCTGGTTAAAAATAAAAAGGTCTAATGTTAATTTGCTTTTCATTTCTTTATAAATACCTGATTTTTTTCTGTGAAAGCTGTTATTTTTCTCTTTTTCCTCAATATTGCTAAATTTCACAATAATGTGTCTTACTGTGAGTCTTTACTCCTTGAACAAAACACTAGGTAGGTCTTTCAACGTGGAGACTGGGTTTTTTCCAGTTTTGGGAGATGTTCTTATGATTGTATTTGAACCTCCATTTTCTCTTTCTGGAACTCTCTTGTTTGTTATATGTTGGACTACTAGTTTTGACACTCTAAATCTCTCATCTTTTATCTTCTATTTTCTTCTCTTTATATTTTGTTCTTCTTTTGAGGAGATTTTCTTAAGATTATTGTTTAAACTTCCATTGAATTTTAACTTTGACTTTTTAATAGCAAAATTTTTAATTTTTGTTCTTTTAAAATAATAGCATTCAGGTCTAATTTATGAGCCATCTATCTTTTTTCTTAAACTCTCTGAGGGTTTTGGTATACATTTACAATGCTTTCTTCTCCCCCTCCCATTAGAGCTCCATTTCCTTTGGATTTTTTTCATGTTTGATGTTTATTTCTTTCAGTCTTTCTCTTTCATGTTAGAGACTTTCCTCAAATATCTGCTAATCCTGACCTATGTCTAAAAATGAAGTATTAAAACTCATTTAAGCAATATTCGAAACATACTGAATGCCTACCACTCAGGCATTATTCTGGGTTCTTAAAATTCATCAATGAAGAACTGATGGGGAATTCTGTTTGGCTGAAGAACAACTAAAAACCCCTGCATCCTTAAATGTCAATACATTTTCCTTCTGGAGCCAAGCAGCATCTTTAAATAACCCAACTATCTCCTTCCTTTTCAATAAGTAGACTTTCATCTAATCCCAGGCTTTACCTCCAACCCATACTACCTGTTGTTTCCAAATCCTAAAATCTTCCACTTCATTTTTCCAGACAAAAGATCTCCTATTTCCTGCCTCAGAGCAGGTAGTTCTTATCTGCATGGGTGGAGGAGGTAAGCTGAGGTCTGATTGCTCTCTGCATGTGCATCAAACCAATCTCCCAGTTCTCAGGACTTCCTTTTACCCCTCAACCTTCTCAGTACTTGAAACCTCCAAATCTAGGGCTTCTCAGGGAGGTCGAGTGGCTTAATTTACATTACTTCTCATTGATAAAGTATTTTGATGAATAACTTCCTCTGATTTGTCAAATCAATTAACAAAAACATTGTTGAAATATTTCTTCAGATATTTTCTTTTCCCCATCTCTTTATCCCTGTAGGGTTACTTATTTATTTTTTATTGACATTTTAGTGGGATTTCAGGAGGAAGAAGCAGGTTTACACATTTAGTTAAATCACCACCTTTAACTGGAAGGTTTGCTTCTTGAATTTAATATACTATTATATGTAATTATAGAGTGCTGCAGTAAAGATCTCAAATTTGTTCTCTCCTTCTTATATTCAAGTCTTTGTGTCATTCACCTCTACACTGACTCTCGGCATGACGGTGTGACTTGTTTGTCCAGTGGAGCAATTGTAAACAGGAGACAGAGATTTGAGACTTCTTGGAACGCTCTACTTTGTGAATAAGTCTGGGCTAGTTGGTTCCAGTCATCACAGCTCTCTCCATTGGAGACCATTTCATAAAGCATCAATCCCTACTCACCCAACCCACCACTTGACTGTAGACCATGAGTGAGCTCAAATGAATTCAGCTTTGCTGGCCCAGATGAGAACTGAGCCAAGCACATACTTCCAGTTTGTAGAATCATGAATAGGGGGTGGTTTATTACGCAGCAAAAGCTAAGAAATACAACTCATAATTGCTATCTTCTTTTTCTTAACATTTACTGCATGTTAACAATATGTTAGGCACTGTTTTAAGCAACTGACATGTCTTAACTCATTTAATCCTAACAAAAAATTTATGAGGTTTATAGTATCCTCAATTTAAAGATGAGAAAATTGGAAACATAGGAAAACAGTATGATATCATAGAAAGAGTAATGTCCTGGGAGGCAGGAACCTAGTGTTCTACACAGGCTTTGCCATTTATTTAAAGTGCAAATATGGAATACAAGATACTAATCTGCCTTATATTCCCATTACATGCACATATTCTTGACCCAGTTAGGCCACATCCATATTGACTCCCAAATACCTTTTCTAGTTAACAGTTGAGTAAGTACTTATATAGCACTTACTTGTCCCAGACACAATTTTGAGTGTTTTACATGTAACAACTTTACATATATTAGCATATATGCTTTACACACATTAATTTATTAAAACCTCACAGCAGCACTAGGTACTACTATTTCTCCCATTATGCACTTGAGAAAATTTAGATAAAGCCAGTTTCTGTGATGCGGGGGCAGGGTTTGAACCCAGGAAAGCTGACGCCAGAGTCCTCATTTTTATTACTCTGCAGGAGTGACTCAGATATGTGTGCTCCAATATTTATGCATGTGTGTGAGCCATATCCCTCTCAAGTCTCTGCCGTCCTTCCTACCAACCATGTCCTGCTCATTTTCTAAGACCTACTCTCTTCATAAACCCAAATATGAACATGTCTACTCACACTAATTTCCTTATTCCTCAAACATTTATAATCTGCAGCATACATTTTATTACTGGGTCATATAATTGTTTTGTTTTCTAGTTGTTGTGTTTTAAAAAATACATAAATCTGTCCTCCCTAATGAGAGTAAATCCCCAGAGATAAAAACTCCTCAGGAATCCTTATCAAAATGCTAAGTACATAGGAGTCACTTTATAAAAATCTGCTGACTTGAGTCTAACTCGAGCATTTACTGGATTAATATCATGGCTCAGTATTTGGAACATTCCAAACTCATAAGCTCTACTTGACAAAAGTGCCTTGTTACTTCAAACCCTGCTGTAACTGATTTGTCATTATCACACACTGTGCACAGCCTGGAAGTAGCAGAGAAGAGTAAATGACTCTGAACACTGGTTTGAAATAAACAAGGGTGACCTAGATAAGCAAACATCACTTTATAAGCTAAGTCTTTCTGGGAAAAGAGAAGGTGATTCTCCATTGTTCCAATCTGATCAGGTTATAGATAGTTGGATGTTTACTGGGGGGTTTTACAGCTTGACTTAACCTTTTGTTAAACTCCTTCTGGACCAGTGTTATGTATGCTGTAAATATGTATTCTTTATTATCATTAGCAGTAACTGAACACCTCCAAGGCATGCATAGAACTCTCTTTTTGAAATGTATTTAAAATATTTTTCAGCCAACCATTCAATGGAAACATTTATTAAATATTCACTTTGAATGTAGCAGTGTCGAAAAATCTGTGGTAAAATGATGCAAGGAATAATAGCATACTCTCCCTCTGAAAGACCATAAAGTTGAATTTATTTATATTTTATGTTTTTTAAAGTATGGTTTTGAGTCAAAACACTTTTTGAAAAGTTAATGCAAAACATCTTTGTTTCTTAAACAAAATACAAAAAGCTGGCCACTGTTCCTGTGCCTGATTTTATCTTTTATGTATGTATATATATGCGTATATGTGTGTGTGTGTGTGTCTGTCGGTCTTTCGGTCTATATGTAATGATATAGAATTATCTAATATCTGAAAATAACCCACATGAATTTTCATAAAGCAGTTATACATATTTATGTCTTTTGAAATATTGCTTAACACATGTACCTGAAAACCAGAGAAGATTTGAGGCAGTCATTTTGGTTCCTTTGGTAAATATTTTTTCTGATTTACAGTTTTTCATGTATGGAAGGATTTGGGCTGGGAAATTATACGATGAGCAAACGATTGCTTTGAAACATCGGTGAAGAATCAGATAACACACTTTCAATTGGATAATTCAATGTGATAGTGCTGAAGGAACATCTTGCTTCTTAGGCTTACCTAAATCTATATGTAATAAATCCTATATTTTTAAATTTATTGCAAAGCATAAACTGCTTTCCCATATATGATCTCATTTTGATTTTGGCCCCAATGCACAGAAATATATTTCTATTATGAATGTATTTCTCTTATAAATATACTAGAAATGTATATCAACTCAAGATAAAGCAATATATTCATATATCAACAGTCTCATCTGGTAAGATATAACAAACAGAAGCATAGTATTTTAAAATTGTTTTTCACTTGGCATTAGAGGTTTGAGGTATCATAAGGCTTAATCAGTCCCTGAGGTTTAGTGAGTCTCCTTTATTTTTCAACAGAAAAGAATTATAATTTTTAAAGAAATATTTGGTTTTCTCTGTGGTCTAAAAAAGGCAGCCTTCCTCTCTTATCTAGAATGACACTGCCTGTACTAAATGCCACATCAACATTTGGGTTTGCTAATCACAATGGGACCCAGCAAAAAAAGGTGGATCCCCGGTTACCCGCAATCACATCTGGAAAACCCTTCTAGAGGACGTCCTCCCATGGGGGATAATCATCTGCATATCTATCACTATAGTCATCAATAATCATGATCAGCTTAGTTTTCAGAAACCTTCTGAGAAAAGGTGCAGCAGACCTCTAAGCTAAGTTCACAAAATTACACCATAATTTGAAACATTCAAGCTCTAACATCAAACATTAAAGGCATAAGCAATCAGTAATAAAAAATTAAAGAAAAGATTTCCTGACCTGGATAGGGGTATATACAAACTAAGATTTTAAAGTCAGGCACGATATATAGTAAACTGCTTAAAAAGAAACAGGAAGTGCAAACAATTCCTAATTCTGAATCTGTCACATTGGTGAAGGAGACCTGGAATTTCATGCATTATAAAAACGTTTTTCAGCTTAGTTGTTGACACAGGTCTATAAGGCCAGACTTTTACCAACACTGTTTCTTTATAGCTTCCTGATATGCCGTAATACAAATGTTCAAGCAAATTATAAGTGGAAACAGACACAGTTACTCCAGTTACAAACTTATTTTTGGAAATTACAGATCATATTATGCTGCAGTCTCTGCATTCATTGATTTGGCACACAAATCTTTACAGATGAGTTCTTTCCCTTTGGGATTATGTGCTTTATGAACTATAGTGAACATTTATAGTGAAGTGAACAAAATATTAGGGAGTTGAAAGTTGAGGTTTGTTTTCGTCTTGTCTGATGAGCCCTTTTTGTCATTATTTAAGGGATGCAAAGACCATTAGAGAAAGCTAATAGCCTTCACAGCCCTCAGATTATACTGATAACCACTGATGGGAGAGTTAAGCCAAATTGCATTCTCAAAATGGTTCTGGGAACCTATCACTTCCAGTAATGGTCCTATCAACCAGACCTAAAAGCAGAAGGGCAAGATGCACTTAAAGGCAATTATCCATCAACATTGGAAAATATGCTTAGTTGATTAAGAGAGTTGAGTATATGCAATATATCTTGATTGCAGAAAAGCAGTTGATATAGCATTATTCAATTTACCAGCTAAATTAATTTAAATTGGTTTAGGCAGAAGTATAGTCAAATGAACTATCAGCTATCCAGAGGGCCATAAATAATAGATAACAATAAACACATTTGTTTTACATGCTGCTAATTTAGTTATTTCTCCCCAGAACTCTCCTTCAGATCAGAATATGACAGTTATATATTATATGCCACCCTCTGGCTATGATTTCTTAAGATCTTTTTTGGAATTACATCTGTTCTATAAAGTTACAAAGACCAATTATGGACCATTAACAACTCCTATTTTTTCAGGGCTTACTTTATTTATCCATATTCAGTTTTCAGCTCCCTATTATATTCTGTTTGATTCTGGATTTTATCCTAATGTAAAATGTCATGAGCAGAAGCAAAGGGCAGTGAAAGTAGCCTTTGCCTCCATACTCAAAAAGTTACTGACTTTGAATTCTCCTGGGTGCTGTGGTGAAGATGGCAATGACCAGGAAGTCTGGTACAGGCAGAGTTTTCCTTCTCTCTTTGCAATGTCCATCTTAACCAGAGAGTGGATTTTCTTGAACCTGGGATGACCTAACCAAAGGTAAGATGACCAGGTGGAGTTTCCACGTGGTAATTTAATCCTTGAAAATTCAGAGCATGTTGTCCAACAATGATATGAAAAAGAACTTAACATCACTGATTATTAGAGAAATGCAAATCAAAACGACAATGAGATACTGCCTCACACTGGTCAGAATGGCTATTATGAAAAGGTCAAAAAATAACAGATGCTGGTGAGGTTGTAAGGAAAAAGGAATGCTTATACACTATTGGTGGGAGTGTAAATTAGTTCAACTATTCTAGAAGACAGTGTGGCTTTTTCTCAGAGACCTAAAGAAAAAAATACAATTCGACCCAGCAGTCCTGTTGCAGAGTGTATACCCAAAGAAATAGAAATCATTCTATTATAAAGACACATACATGTGTATGTTCACTGCAACACTATTCACAATACCAAAGACATGGAATCAATCTAAATTCCCAATGGTGAGAGACTGGATAAAGGAAATGTGGGACATATACACATGGAATATTATGCAGTCATTAAAAAAAGAATGAGATCATGTCTTTTGCAGGGATATGGAAGGAGCTGGAGGCCATTATGCTTAGAAAACTAATGCATTAACAAAACCCCAAATACCACATGTTTTCACTTATGAGCGGGAGCTAAAGGATGAGAACACATTGACGTATACAAGGTAACAACACACACTGGGGCCTACTGGAGGGTGGCAGGTGGGACAAGAGAGAGGATTAGAAAAAATAACAACTGAGTACTAGGCTTAAAACCTGGATGATGAAATAGTCTCTATAACAAACCCCCGTGACACAAGTTTACCTATGTAACAAACCTTCACATGTACCCCTGAATTAAAAGTTAAAAAAAAGAATTGAGTTTCTTTCCCTTAAAAAAAGAAAATTTGGAACATGCGATTAAGACATACATTTGGAGGTTACATAACCTTATTAAACAAAGGAGAAAATGTAAGAGTCAAGAAGCAATCTCTTCCCCCTGTCTTAAAGAGACAAACCACTTTGTGGTCTACATGGTCTTTATGATATTTTCTAGGACCATGATTGTCAGCTTAGTGATGGTGGCTGTGATGATCCAGGGAAGGGCTGGGAAGAGAAAATACAGGCATCTGAGAGAACTTTTCTGTACCTTAGGAGTACCCTTTGGGGCTGGCGCTTTTTCTAAAAATATTGAATCAATGCTGATTATATCAGAAGGAAGAAAAATCTTTTTTCCCATAATGTAAACTATAGAAAGTAAAACTTGAAAAAATTGTTTTGGGTGTAAATATACAAAATGCAGTGGTTCTCAATATAGACATGTCTCCCATGGCAGAGTGGGAGAGTAGAGATGAGGGGGTTGTGAGAGAAACATAAGAATCCCTGGGCAGTGGGAGGCAGGGCAAGTGTGAGGCTGGGAAACACTGTTGCAGGTACTGCTGCCTCAATTTCCTCACCCGTGCTGAAGCGAGGTCATGCTCGATCTCTATCATATCCCTCCTTTTCTTTTTTATGCTTGTGTCACACAATTGGTTGCCTTCGGAACGTAATACAATAACGTTCTTATATGTTTTGGAATGTTGGAATATCCCCATTAGAGGTCTGAATATCAAACGTACTGTTTCCTTCACCATATGATTTGAAATGGATATGATACAAGATAGGAAAGACAACAAGAACAACAACAACAACAAAGAGGCTACTTGATTCTTCTCTACTCGAGAGGAGAATAATATATTTTTAAAAATATGGCAGAAAGCTTGAGAAAGAGAAACTATTGTGGTTGAGTTTTCAATGTAGCCAAGAAAGAGTAAGCACAGCACAGAAGAAAAATTTGATTTTCTCATTAACTATTGATGTGGTTTTAGGCAAATTACTTAATACAACGCCAAGACCCTACTTTACAGAATTGTCATGAATATAAAGTAAAATAATTTATAGAAAATGCTTTGTTTAATAACTGCATATAACAAGCATTCCAGCTTTATGATTATTATTTTTATTAGATCTAATTTCTTTGGAGCCAAGGCAAAAAATGAGACTAGGCTGTTACCTCATTTTTTTTCCAATTATAGCATGGCAGACAAATAAAAATATGTACTTTTAATTAGTACTGAACTTTAAGAAGAATTTATTGTACAGATCTTTTGAAAAAATATAATAATCTACATAATAAATAGTATTGAAAATAACAGCTTTTCAAAACATATATAAAAATTAACTTTATAAGAATATTTTGAAAATCAGCCTAGCAAGGAGTTGAATTAAAAGTGTTTGAATACATTGTTTTCTATTAATAATATATAATAGCAGGAAAGCCTAGAAAATCTTGAGGAAAGAATAATTTACATTTTAGTTAGTGTGTGTCTCTGATTATTAACTGGCTAACTGGGCTGTGTTTATGTGTGTTCCTTTAAAATTTTGCTTTTAGGTCATGAAAATAAGGCATATTTATTTTAAAAATCTGAAAACACATAAAGCATAAAAATGATAAAATTAATTCTAATATTCATAATTTTGTTACTTTTTCTGCGTATTATTGCCTTGACTTACAATGCTTTTATTTTTATTGTTGCATTTTAAATTTATCATGTATTTTTAACGTTTGGACTTCCTTGCTTTCACTTTCTAAAATAAGTTATTTTGTTCAGGATCTTACCTGATGAATGTTTTTCATGTTTAGTTAGAAGTTTGGTCCCCTAATTCTTGTTCTTAATCTATAATCTATTATACTGCACTTTTTAAGTGTCTATTGAATATTTTAAATGTATTAACATTTTCTGTCACCTCCCTCAATACCTTAATGTTTTTATTTTTGTTTTCATTTTCTCGACTTAAACTCCCTTTTCTTCCGGTTGATTTTTCTCTGTTTGCCTCTCCAAATTCATTCTCTGATGTTTTCTGCCCCATTTTGTGCCCCAAGAGGCATTGGAAGGAAATTGAAGTGGGCAGTGAAAGAGGTCAAGGAGATGTCCCTCTCTGTCTGACCATGTGGTTTCTTTACCTTAGGTTGGAGTTCCATTTGGTAGCCCCTCTTCCATGGCTGTGGCCCTTGCCCGTTCTGGCAACACAGTTTGATAAGAGAGGATGACAGCAGTAGAGAAAGCCCACATCACGAACAGGAGGTTGAAGGACCTTTTCCTTGGTTCTCTCTATAACCTTCTATCCAATCTCCTCGATCAATCTACAGCCACTTTAAAAATTATTTCTCTAAAAAAACTAACCTTGGAATACTCAGGGGCCCAGAGGTTAATGCTCTAGAGGCAACTTATTTTCTTTATGTAAGTTCTATACTTTCCTAACACTATGTATCTCCTGTACTGTCCAAATATCTTTATATTTGCCACTGCTTGTTTTAATAGCTGTGGTCTCTGATACAAGGGACCCGTGCTTTTTATAAGCTGTAGCAATGTGTTACAAACAAGCACACCCTGACATGAACTTTATCCTTAGAACTATAATCTCCAGTGATGCAGGAGGTAGACTGGACAGGGAGTGGCACTTGACATTCCAAGATAGGAACTCAGTTGCAGGAACAGCTGAGCCTGGGAGAGCTGAGAGCGGCTCATGTGGGGATTATGGATTTTGTGATTTGCTGATTCTGGCAAGAGAAGATGTGACGCTGTTTCAGAGTAACCAGAGTGAGCTCTACCACTCACAGTAAGATGACCAGGAGATTCCTACACAAGCCAGCTGAGTCACATGGTAAGAGGGCTATAAGCCTTCAGATAATTGATTACGGGATGCATACATCAAACAGCACTGAAGTAAAAGGAATCAAAGAGAATCCACCCACAACTGGAGAGATTTATTTTTCTTCAAGAATGCATTACAGCAAAATAGAAAAAAAACCTCCCTGGAGATTATTAAACATTTCTCTAGTAGAACAGTGGAAAATACAGTACTCAAGGCAGAGAGGAATAGGACACACTTATAGGAAAGATTGACTAAAGGAATCAGAACTAAATATTTAAAGAATCTGTGTTGTGTTCTCAACAGTCAGCGAAAAATAATTATTGGAAATATAAGACAACGTGTTGAGTAACAATTCTTTTTGTTCCAAGTAGCCAAAAACAGGGTTGACAGGCAGAAAGAATGTTGGATAGCTCGTTGACATAAGGTCTGTGATGGCTCTGAGCAGCCAGGATGACCTGGCTGAAAACAATGGAGGCTCTCCCTTCCCTCTGCTATCTGCTCCTCTGGGTGCACCTGTTCCACTCCACATTCTCATTACAGACTGGTCCATATGGCATTAAAAGGGCTACCAGAAGATTCAGGCTTAACATTTTACAAGTCCACATACCCAGGGAGAGCCTGACTGCTGACTCTTTCTCTTACTTTCAAGGTTAAAGGGGACTGTTTTTCTTCCACCTTGGATCTGGCACAACCCAACCAACAACCCATAACGCAATCCCACGAAGGAGTAGGCAATTCATGGAAAAGAGTGCTGGTCCCACGGTACAGTAGTGTCCACTGTAGGTCCTAGGAAAGGGCACTGAAGTGGGAGGCAGACTTGG
This sequence comes from Homo sapiens, assembly GCF_000001405.40. Taxonomy (NCBI): domain Eukaryota; kingdom Metazoa; phylum Chordata; class Mammalia; order Primates; family Hominidae; genus Homo; species Homo sapiens. The sequence goes on along the minus strand of NC_000004.12, from coordinate 174,004,701 downwards.
TTGAAAAGATGGAAGGGTATCGGGAAAGAATATTAAAGAAATTGCAGCACTGAAATCAATTTTAGAAACAGTTCAGGACAGAATCAATACTTAGAAAAAAATAGTTATGATATAGATGTGAATTTACTCCGAGTGAATTAGAATAGAGAAAAAGAAATAAAATGTAAGAGCAAAACGCTTTAACAATTTGCACCCACTTTAAGATAGTTAAGTTACACATACTTTTGTTTTCCTGAGTTCTTCCTTGCTAGTTTCCCTTAGCTGTATGTATTAGAACTCCTTGAGTTAAATAATTAGCTGATTTATTTCATTCTTTCCTGTTTAATATTCAAAATATTTCAGGCTGTTAATTTGCTTATACTTATAGATTTAACCTCATACCATAAATTTTGATAAGCAATATTCTCATTTGTTTTTTTTCCTGATAATATGTAATTTCAGATGAGGACACATTTCAAATTTCAAAACTTCTATTTGAAAATACTTATTAGCTTCTTTGTATATTAAATTCTAGACAAAGACAGTGACTTGTACAAGATCCTACTTTTGAAATTTAATATTCATTAGTCTTAATATATGAACTATACATATTAATTCCAAGCATATGCCATGTTTGTATGAGAAAAACATAGACATATTTTACCTTGTCTTATTATTTAAATTCTCTGAGCTTTATTTTTAATTTGCTTAGGTTTACAGAAAGTGTTGGCCTTTATTTGCTAAACTCATCAAAGGCTGAAAAGTTCTTTGAAACATATCTGTAATAATTCTAATTCTATTTTTCTCTATAGAACCTAATGCAGTTATTTGGCTCATAGAGGTTCATGACTGTTATTTTTCATGGTGAATATTATCTCAGAGTTATTATGAAGATTAAATAAGACAATACTTGCAAAGCACTTATTCAGTAATTGGCATATGGTAAATGTACTATAAATGTTAACTATTACTATTGTTTCCTAAATCAGTAATTTCTGCTTTTATCTTTATTAATTTCCAGCTCCTGCATTTTTCTTGTTTATTAAATAGAATGGATATTCCATTTGTTTTAAATCTTTCTTATTTAATAGTGAAATACTTTAAAGCTGTGAATTTTCATTAAGCCGTATCCTATAGGCTTTGATATAGAATATTCTTATTCTTATTGATCTTTAAATAGCTTAGAAATTTTCAGTTTTATTTTATTTTAGTCCTAGGATGTGGCCACAAAATATGCATTCTTGGAACCTAGTTACATTTTCTCTGTGATCAAATGTATATAATTTTAAAAACGTATTCCTGGACATAAGGAAAAATGACTATTCTCAGTTTTTACTCTGTTCACAGTTCCTATATCAATTTATGTTATTTATAGTCTATGTTTTTGTATTTTTTTCTACTTAATTACTCAATTTCTGTGAGGTAAGTTTTAAGTTCTCTCCCTCATCCCTGAATTATATCTTGGCTGCCTGTAAGATCCTTGGATCTTTTCCTCTTAGAAAACTATAAATGTTGTTTTACTCTGTTCCAGCTTCATGAGTTGCAGAGAGAAAATTTCTCCCTATTCTGGTCTGTTATTGGTAAGCTTTCCTCTCTATTTGGAAGCTTTCAAGGTTTGCTCTTTTATTTTGGAGGGCAGCAAATTTTCCAGGTTATATAGTATGTCTTTTGGAGACCTGGCAATTAAGAGCGTTTAATCTGAAAACTCAACTCAGAAATATTCTCTTATTCTTTGTTTCTCTTCTTCATATGTTTATCTGTTTCTGAAACTCTTATTACTGGAATATTTGATCTCCTGGCTCTATATTCTATTATCCTTTGTTTTCCTCCTAACTACTGCTCTGTTATTTTTACAATTTTAGGATAATTTCCAGTTCATTTCCTACATGATTGATGAGGTTTTTATCAGCATCTAGTCTATTTTTACTACCTTTATTGAATGTTAAAATTAAACACATCATGGTACATACACACCATGGAATACTACACAGCCATAAAAAAGAATGAAATCATGTTCTTTGCAGCAGCACAGGTGCAGCTGGAGGCCATTATCCGGCGTGAACTGATGCAGGAACAGAAAACCAAATGCTGCATGTTTTCAGTTATAAGTGAGAACTAAACATTGTGTAGTTGTGGACACGAAGATGACAACAATAGACACTGGTGACTACTGAGCAGGGAGGGAAGAGGGTAAGGGTTGAAAAACTATTGGGTACTATGCTCACTACCTGGGTGATGGGATCATTTGTATCCTAAATCTCAGCATCATGCAATATACCCATATAACAAACCTGCACGTGTATCCTCTGAATCTAAAATAAGAGTTGAAATTATTAAAAAGAATTAAACACATTATAATTCTTACTAGCAAGAATGCTTTATTATCCCAAGATGACTTCTCTGTTTTTGTAGGATTTTCCCCTTAGATCTCACTGAATTATTTTAGTTCTCTCACTGAATTATTTTAGTTCTTTTCTGTTGCTATCACTACATTTCACAATTTTTTTCCATTTCAATGGGATCTTTTCTGATGACTTCAACTTCATCTCCATCCTTAAAACTATGGATTTTTTTTTTTTTTTTGAGATAGAGTTTCACTCTGTCCTCCAGGCTGGAGTGCAGTGGCACAATCTCAGCTCACTGCAACCTCCGCCACCTGGGTTCAAGCGATTCTCCAGTCTCAGCCTTCCATGCATCTGGGTTTACAGGCACGCACTACCATGCTCGGCTGATTTTTGTAGTTTTTATAGAGGTGGGGTTTGGCCATGTTGTCCAGGCTGATCTCAAACTCCTGGGCTCAAGTGATCCGCCCAACTCTGCCTCCCAAAGTGCTGGGATTACAGGCGTGAGCCACTGCACCTGGCCAAAACTACAGATCCATCTTGGTGGGGTGCTCTGTATCCTGCCTACAAGCCGAGCACTTTGAGAGGCTGAGGCAGCAGATCACCTGCGGTTAGGAGTTCAAGACCAGCCTGGCCAACATGGTGGAAACCTGTTTCTACTAAAAATACAAAAATTAGCTGGGTGTGGTGGCATGAGCCTGTAATCCCAGCTACTCAGGAGGCTGAGGTGGGTGAATGGTTTGAACCAGGGAGGCAGAGGTTGCAGTGAGCCAAGGTAGTGTCACTGCACTCCAGCCTGGAAAACAGAGTGAGACTCTGTCTCAAAAACAAAACAAAACAAAACAAAAACAAAACAAAACAAAACAAAAACAAACATATAGATCAATCATAAATGTTAGTAATTTTCATTTTCCATTTATCATTGGTACATAACAGATCTCTGAGGAACATCACAGTTACTTATTTCCCCTGAGCCCATTTAGCTTTGTCTGGTAGTGGAGGGTGAGTGGAGGGGGGAATGTAAGTAACAAATCTATTTCCTAATAGGAGGGCAGCATGTAGAGAGCCAATGGGTTGAGGCAAGTCTCTGGAAATTTCAGTTTTAGAGGGTGATTTTCTTCTTCCTGGTTTTTCAAGAACGCAGCAGTCCAGTTCAGTATGAAAGAGTTATCCAAAAGCAGTCAGCATCAGCAGCATGAGAAAGTTTCTCCCTTCGTTTAGCCTGGCAAGTGAGCAGGACACCAGGAGAAATAATTATTGATTATAATAAATATTATTATTTATTGACCATAATATATATTGGATTGCTCAACATAGCTTCAAGAGTCCATTGGTTTAGTTGTTTTCCCCAACAGGCTTTACCAAAAAGGCAGACTGCGACCTCACTTTGGACCTCTCTACAAACTGTGGTGTGCAGCAGGTGAGTCTGATGAACCCTTCCCTGCCTGTTCCACATCACAGAAACCACAACCTGCAGACTGCAGTATTAGGTCAAGCTTTGTCCTTCACATTAACCATCAGACAGATGGGTGCATTACCTCAGTAGACATCAAGAGCACTGTGTATTCCTGTTCCTCCCATCCCACATCATAAGACAATGAAGAACTATAAGGATGATATGGTTGCTTTATAATAAACTAAGACTAGCCTCAAAAGATAACTGGCCCTGCTAGCATATTTCTTTATGAAAGAAAACTTCTGGATCAACTCTTTCAAAACCAGAGTCATAATTTTTCTTCAATGGCCCCTAACATTTAACTGGCCTATTGCTAGCATCTCTAAGAAACTATTTAGCACACAGTCTTGATGATGTTGGCAAGGCAAATGCAAGGTGACCGAGACGCTGTTTTCAGGAAAAGGAAGATGTTCTCCTGGACTGTAGAATGGGGATCTGGAATTTGGAGGTTCTGTTATCTAGCAATACATTTTACAACCAATTTATTTTGAAGGATTTAATGGAAAGTTATATTTCAATAGGTGGTTTATGGGTCTTATGGAAAAAAAATCTTTATAGTCACAGTGAGCCCAAATGTTCATTAATACCTCATCTATGGCTTGCCACTGGAGTTTGGTTGCTTTCCTCAGGAGGCCAAAGCTCCCTTATAACAGCTAAGACTCACTGCAAAAACAAACAAAGAACAACTGAGATCTTTCACTTTACTTTCTGAAAAGATGTGAGGCTGGCCTGTTAGACTCCAAAAGGAGTTGAGCCATAAGATGACCCAGCTGTTGCCAGTCTTCCTTGAATGTTATATATCGCCTCCCTCATACTCCACATGCACCACCAAAGTTCTAAGACCTGCCTGGCTTCTGCCCTTAGTGGTTATGAACTTTCCTCATTTTACAATGATTGTAAGTGCTTATCTATGTAACTGTTGTCTGTTGGCAGGTGGACACTTCTGCCCACCTAAGATGACTAGTTCTAGTCTTTGCAATAGGGCAAATCCGTGGCACACAGATAGCTTGGTGGTGAGTTTCAGCCTTCTCCATGAAGGGGAGTTAACAACAACTATGGCACCACACGGATACCATCTTTAAACCTACTTCCCAGTACTCAATCCATAGCCACCTCCCCAATTCCTCCTCATTAACAAGCAATGACGAGGAAGATACCATTTATTGCCAAGTTAACCATACAATTTGGTCAACATGTTCACTACGGATTCCCACGGACATCCTTCAATTCCTACTAATAAGCCTGAGAAACCTTCGTCTTCATTTTTCTAGAAAGTCATGTCTGTCAGGTCATTCCTGTTGCCAAAGCTATCAAGAACTGTGAAGGATATGAGACTTGACTTGACTTGTAAGCTAACAAGTTTGCCTACCACAGTTTCATGGAAGCTGGAAAAATACAAAATTTTGTGGTGTTGGAAACCAAAGACTTCATTAGAGCTATAGCAGTAGTCAGAAAATGCTCTGGTTTCCTGAGCTCTGAGTCCCACAGTGTTACTTGAAGAGTGTCAGGTAATGACTATAACATGCAGGGTGTTTTGTTACAGGAGAGGAACACTTGCTCTAGAAGAGGACAGTATCTCTTCCTCTGTCTGTCACCCAAGTTGTTCACTATACAAACATCCTTAGAACAGATAACTGCAACACAAGCAGCATGTCCTTCTGCTTGTAAGGTGTATAGAAATGCAAAAGAATCACAGTAAATTTTCTCCCACAAAGGAATTGATCAAGAAGGGTTGTAGGATTCAAAAGGACACTTTGTGGTCTTTTTAAACGTAAGTCACTTCTCTGCTCCAACAACTAGCTGTCACACTTAGAATAAAATCCAAATTCCTTACTGTGGCCCACGAGAACCACCATGACCTGGCCCTGGCTATCTCTTGGGCCTCATCTTTCTGAATTCCAGCACACTGGCTTCCTTGCAATTCTTGAACACCAAAGCACTTCTCCATCTTGACATCTGCTGTTATGGGGTACAGGACTTCCCCTTTTCCTTCACTCAAGTCGCAGCTCAAATGTGACTTCCTTGGAGTGGAATTACTTGAATACTCCCACATATGTACCAGTTGTTTAATCTCTCCTGCGTTATTTTTTTTTTTTAGCACACTTACCACTTCCTGCCAAAGCTATGTCTATTAGCATATTTCTTTATTGTCATTTCTCCCTTTAGACTAAGTCCTCTCTGAAGCTAGAGAGACAGTCTAATATGTTCCCAGCCTTAGGTCAAAGCCTGCCTGTTACTCGTCAGTCTCTCAATTAGTATTTGTTGAATGAAATATGATGATGTCAGTTGCTTCTTTAGTTATTAAAGGGACTATTCATTTGCTTGCTATTCATAAACAAGCATGTAGTGAATCGGGCTCTGACATACCCCGAAATGAAGTTATTTACCAAGATTGATTCCTTATAAAAAATGATACTTTCAGTACTATACTATACTATAGTTTTTGTCTTGAAATCTGTTTATCTGATATAAGTATAGCTATTCTGGCTCTTTTTTGTTTTCCATTTGCATGGAATATCTTTATTCATCCCTTTATGTGTGTCTACGTGTGTTTTTAGTCTATGTCTTTATAGGTGAAGTGTGCCTCTTGTAGGCAACAGACAGTTGGTAGAAAGCCGTCTTGACCCTCTTATGTTTTAAAACTTTTAAAATAAAATTCAGCCCAGGAAATGTGTTATCTTTCACTTCCAAGGCTAAGGAAAGTGTCCTCTGTTGCTTTAATTTTTTGTTATAACAACAACAACAAAAATAACAGCAGAAGAAATATGTTTTCTTTAGTAGTGTTTTAGGGTGGATGGGCAAGCCTCATTTCATTGGGGCCATGGTCTTGATGATATTATTTTTACATGTCCTCACCACTCTATTCCATCTATCCTTTGCTACATGTCTCATTGTTTAACTTTTATGCTTATATTTAAAAATTTTGAGGTCATAAATGATCACACATTGTAATCCTACCTTATGTGTACTTCCCTTTTTATTCTGCGTCACCTAGAATTGCACTGATGAGATCTTCATGGCTTCTAAAATGTTTTAGACTCTCTTCCAGAAATTCATGTTTTGATATCAAGTCTATTTTCTTCTCTGAATTCTTTTGGAACTCTGCTTTCCTAAAACTTTGGATACCGTATGAGTCTGTTCTGGCTGTCGCAACAAAATATCATGACTAAGTGGCTTAAAGGTTAGAAATTTATTTCTTACAGTTCTGGAGGTTGGGACTTACAACATTAATGGATCTTGGCATCTGAAGAAGGCCTGTTTCTTTTTCCTAGATATGCCTTCTAGCTGAGTTCGCAAATGATGGAATGGGAGAGCTAGCTCTCTGGGGTCTCTTGTATATGGGCACTAATCTCAGCCATGAGGCTCTGCTCTCATGACCTAATCATCTCTCAAAGGCCCTACCTCTCAATACCATCATCTTGAGTGTCAGGATTTTAATGTATGAATTTTAGGGGAACTCAAACATTCAGACCATAGCAGACACCAAGTTTAACTACCTTCACATTTTCACTTACTGGCTATCAAACACTCTAAGATAACCTTATTGTTTTTATTTTTCAGAGATTTTAACATTTCCTTTTTGATAACCAGGCAAGTTTTGTTGTTGGTAAGAATAAGTCCAAAATTTTATTTCTGTTGGTTTTGTGTTCTAATTTCCCAGATATATAATTGATATCAAGAGAAACTTAGCCTAGTTCACACATCTGCCTATATCCAAGGCTACACTGGATGTGGACTCCAGGTAGGCCAATATTTGGGTATCCCTCAGACTAACATTTGCTGAATATTTGTCCAATATTTGTTTAGTGGAAGGGGAAATAAACCAAGTTTTGTTAATTAAAATTTTCAGATGTTTATATTCAAAATAATGTATTTATATTTATTACACATACGGTCTATAGATGCTTTGTTTTCTAAAAACTTTTAATTTGGAAATAATTCAAACTTCAAGAAAAGTTGCAAGAGAAAGAATCATATACAGAATGCTTATTTAGTCTTTACCCACATTTACTCATTCTTAACACTTAGCCTTATTTGCTTTTACTTTATCATTTGCTTACTACCTACCTACCTAAATACCTACCCACCTATCTAATCTATCTAATCTACCTATCTAATCCATCCATCTTTCTATTTACATATTTTTTCTGAACTATTTGAGAGTAAATTTCATACATTATGACCCTTTACCCCTAATACTTCAGAGCATATTTTTTAAGAATAAAAATATCCTTTTAAGAATAGGGATATTTATTTACATAACCATGTATATTTATCAACTTCAATACATTTAACTTTAATCTCTCATCTATATTCCAATTCCATCAATTGATCTAATTATGTTCTATATAACGTTATCTTTGTTCTAGTTTGGGATCCACTCTAGGATCTGGATGGCATGTAGTTGTCATATTCCTTTAACATCTTTAAATTGGAACATTTCCACATTGTTTTTTTGTCCTTTATGACATCGACAGTTTTGAAAACTAGTCCCTCAGTTTTATTTGTTTGTTTGTTTGTTTTTAATGGAGCTCTCTGGCCAGGTGTGGTGGCTCACACCTGTAATCCCAGCAATTTGGGAGGCTGAAGTGGGCAGATAGCTGGAGCTCAGCAGTTTGAGACCAGCCAGGGCAGCGTGGCAAGACCCTGTCTTTATAAAAAAAAAAAAAAATACAAAAATTAGGTAGGCATGCTGGCAGCCATCTGTGGTCCCTGCCACTAGGGAGGCTAAATGGGAGAATTGCTGGAACCTGTGAGGTCGAAGCTACAGTGAACCGAGATTGCGGCACTGCACTCCAGCCTGGGCGAGAGTGAGACTGTTTCAAAAGAAAGAAAGAAAGAAAAAGAAAGAAAGAAAGAGAGAGAGAGAGAAAGAAGGAAGGAAGGAAGGAAGGAAGGAAGGAAGGAAGGAAGGAAGGAAGGAAGGGAGAGAGAAAGAAAGAAAGAAAGAAAAGAAAAGAAAAAAGAAAGATTGAGAGTGAGACTGTCTCAAAAGAAAGAAAGAAAGAGAAGAAAAGAAAGATTGAGAGTGAGACTGTCTCAAAAGAAAGAAAGAAAGAAAGAAAAGAAAGATTGAGAACTCCTCATTTTGTACCTGTCTAATGTTTCTTCATTATTTAACTGAAGTTAGAGAAGCCTCAGTCAGAATACTGCGTAGAAGCCATATTCCTCTCAGGGCATCATGTCCATCTGCCTCCCATTGATACTGTTAACTTTTATCATCCGATCAGGGTGTTGCCTGCCCTCTCCATTGTATAGCTATTACTTTTTCTCCTTTCAAGAAGTAGAAATTTATAAGTCACACTTTCAAGTCCATGCAAATATCCTGCTCTTTATCAAATTTGCCCCTTTGATTTAGCTCCCATTGGTGATTTTTGCCCGACCTAGTCTTTACAATAATAATTTTCTCACCCTGCCTCAGTTCTGGAATCAAACATTTCTCAAGAGGCATTAGAGACAAAGTTTGCTCATTCCTTCTAGGAAAATTAAGAGATTTGCATTTATTTACACATATACATATACAGGCATACCTATTCATATGTATTTACACACATATGTTTACACACGTAGGCATAGATATGTGTGCATTATGTGTGTATATGTGTGTATATGTGTGTATATGTGTATGTGTATATGTGTGTACATATATATATGCACATACACATAATAGCTATATGCATATGTAAATGTTTTAGAAATCATGAATCCTCACAAGGTTCTTGCCATCCCCTGTTTCTTGTTTGTATGTCCCTTCTTCCATTTGAGATCTCTGGCTCCCAACATAAACACATTTGCTTATTTGCTTAATTCTTTAACATATCCAATAGTTTCAGAATTGCTTCTCTTATATCACTACAAATAACCAAAAATTTCTACTAAAAGGAACTCAGAATCTGTTTGTAGTTGTCTCTCCTACCTTGACTCTGCCCAAGACTGAGGGTATATAGTCAAATACCATTAATTACTTAGATTAGTTTTTCACACCCCCCCATAAAGTGAGTATGTCATTCATTTGAAATACATTCTAGTCCATTTGTTTCTATTTGCTTTGATACTAGGAATTTTCTTCTCACCCTTGCTGACTTAATTTTACTTTTTGATTTCCAAAAACATTAGCATGCTCCAAAAAATTCAAAATTATTTTAAAAATGTATACCCAAAGAATTATCACACCTTTCCTTTCTGTAGCCCCTTAATCTCATTTCTTCCCTGACCCTATAGATAATAAAAGCTTTTGTTTGTTGGTTTACACTTCGTGTGTGTGTGTGTGTGTGTTGTTTTTAAAGATAAATGATATATGTATCTTACTTTCTCTTGTTTCTTCTACAAAAGGTAGCATACTACATACGCTTGTTTGCACTTTTCACTTTGCACTTCACAATGTCTTCTAGTAATCACTACATATAAGTTCATGAAGATCTTTTTTGCTTTTCACAACTGCATAGTACTCCTTTGAGTGTTTGTAATATGGTTAATTAAACCAACTCCTAGGCTTGGAGGACATCTATGTAATTTCCAGTGTTTCACAATTACAATTGCTACAATAGATAACCATATATATATGCATATACATATGCATACACATATTTCATATAATTAGAGGTTTGTCTTTATGGTAAATTCCTAGAATGTTAAATGAATGAGTAATTTTGCAAATTCCACTTTATAAAGATTGAGCCATTTTGAGTTCCCACTGGCAATGTATGAGAACTTCAGTTTCCCAATGTCATCATCAAAAAAGTATACAGTCAGGTTTTGACTTTTTGCCAAACTAACAGGTGAGAAATAGTGTTTCACTGAAGTTTAATATGAATTTTTCTAACATGAGTAAAGTTGAACATCTTTTCATATATTTAAGGGCTATTTTTATATCTCTTTCTGTGACTTCTATGTTCATGACAATTTGATCTTTTTTTCCCCTATAGGATTTTTGTTGTTCTTTTCTTCAAATTTTGTAAGTTCTTTGAATATTACAGAAATTGGCCTTCTCTGTCATATATACTGTAGGTATTTTTTCCTAGTTTGTTATTTGTCTTTTGAATTTGTTTATAATATTTAGCTTTCTTATTTTTTGCCATGAAATTTATAAATTTATATAGTACAACTTATCGTAGTTTCCTTTGGTGAATCTGGATTTTCAATTATACTTAGAAAGTTTTTCTTCACCCAGAGAAGAATTTACTGATGCTCTCTTGTAGTGCCTGTATAATTCATGTTTACTTCCACATCTCTGATTTATTTGATGCAAAAGCTGAATCTAATTTTATTTTTTCCCAAGTGGCCATCTAGTTGTCCCAATAAATTTATTAAAAATGAGACAAAAAATTTTTTACCTCAGTCACTTGAAAAGCACCGTTACCATACACTAGATCTCCATATATAGCGGGACTATCTCTGGATTATTATTCTGTTGTGTTGGTCTTTTAGCCGTTCACACACAAGCATCACACTGTTTTGATTAAAATGCTTTGTAGTATGTTCTCTTATTTTGTAGGCCTAGCCCCTGCTAATTAATTGCCTTTCTTCTCAGTGTTTTTCTAGCTAGTCATCTGTGTTTATTGTTTCACATGAATTTAAGTACCAAATTGCCTAGCTCTGTTAAAAAGAAAGTCACTGGTATTTTTATTGGGATTACAGTAAATGTATAAATTAATTAATGGAGAACTGGCATCATCCTATTGAGACATCCAATGCTAGAATAGGGAATGTCTTTCCTGTTGTCATGAATACTTTTACTTCCAATAGTATAGTTTTCTTCTGTGAATATTTATTGTTAAATATATTCCTATGATTGCTTTTTGCCGTTGCTGCTGTAATTGGTTTTTGTTACTCCATTAAAAAGATATTTTAAGAGTTGGGAAGTTGTCTTTTATTTACACTTTTCCATCATTTGCTACAGCTTGCATAGGTGTAATTAGAAAGTTTAGTTCAAAATAATGTAAATGCTTGTTTTCTCCCGGCTTTCATGCCCGTTAAATCATCTCATTTATCTGCATTTCTTTATTTTTCAATTTGCATTTGCAATGCTTTGGGATAAACAATTTTTTAAGGAGTATATTAAACAATTGAAATTTTAAATAATTATTTCAATAATGTAATAAATCACTTTTCCAGTAAAGTCTTGTATTGTTTCTGAATTTTAGTGAACTCTCCCTGGAACTCTACGCTGTCTTGCGAATCACAGCCAAAATTAAATACTCATCAAGAAATAGACTGTTGTGGACAAAGGCAAGAAATGTTTTTTATTTTCATTATGAGAGGGACCAAGTTACAGTTTATCAGTTATGTACAAAGTGTTCTGCAGAAAACCTAGTTTCCTGGCATCATATTTATTATTTATTCTAGTGATTTATGTAGCTCAGTGACCTGGACAGATTGCTTCATTTGCCTATTTTTTAATCTAGCTCTTCCCACAACCCTATTTGGCTATGTTTTAACCATGACATGATGTTCGTACATGCCCACAAAGTGAGCCTACTTCCTTTGATCAACAGAACAACATCAAATGAACCTATTTTGGCTGACACGCAGGAAATATATTTTTCTCAGATGAAGTATGAATTATAGTGCTATATAATATGCTATTCAAAGTAGGAATTCCAATCTTTATTATTAAACAAGTCTTTCATTATTGTTTAAAAGATATGTAAAACAGCTCTTCATTGCTGTATTCACTTCCTGTTAAGTATGAAATACGCATATTTTTCCAGAAGGAGATTTTAAACATTATTTTTATTATTCTTAATTAATAACCATTGTGGACCTCAAAGTGTGAGACGTCTTGGCTGTAGCAACCCAGCAACTTTTCGCACATAAGCAACCTCATGTTCTGCACAGACAAAACTAAGAGAATAATCAGCTTTTGCCAAAACACAGTGCCCTGTCACAGGAAAGAATCATCTCTGATCACTGTCTGATCTTATTTCAGAGCACCAGGCATTGCAGATTACCGGAGAGATAGTTTATTTTTTCCCATAAGTCCCATTGCTAGAATTTTAAAACCCAAATTAAATTATTAGAACATCACAGCAAAATCCTGTTGTTGTATATTTTGAAAGGAAAAACAACAGAAATAGAAAAAGCAACCAGGAAGAGTGCTGTTAATTTCCTGAATATATATTAAATATTAATTTACTTAGATTCCCACTTTGAAAAACAAAGTAATGTTAGCCTACAGTTATAGCACTAAAATTATCTGTAAACATTTAAGAAAGTTTTTACTTTTGCCCCTTCAGCTTTGAGAAAACACATTATCAGCTATCTAAATGCAGACGATGTTGTATCACCAACATAAAAAGCAACACTCTGCCATTGGCATTTAGAGTTCTGACCTAGGTTATGGGCTTATAACACCATCTCCTTCCAGGAAGATTGGCTACATGCCACCAAGTATTTAGATACATATTACAAAAACAGGCTATCTGTACATCTCTCCCTGGAACTCTGCTCACTTGTGAACAACAGCCATATCTGGAGATATGGCATAATGTCAACAAAATATGCAAATACATGAATAAATGATTCCTTCTTTATCTGGCTATTTGGTGTTATTTATCACAGGCCATTGTAGCATGAGAAACTCCAAGAAATTCTGTTTGGAATTTCAAAGTTTTCCTAGGTTCAGCTAAGGATGGTGTGGGATTCCCGCTTTGGTTCCATTTTAATGACATTTTTGTGTCTCAAAAGTACTGAAACAGGAAGGTTTTCTGGGAAGGAAAGTATTTGACCAGGAGAATTTGTCTTTTGCTGTCACAATCTTCAGCTACCATTCAGCTAAATGTTGTTTGGAATAATACGGCCTTAATGCCCCTATCTCCTGCTGAATTGCTCAGACGGGTAGGAGATTAGAGTGAAAAGAGGTGCCGGTATTATCTGTGCGAATGCGCCAGGGGTCACGCTACACTAACAGGGCCGCCCCAGTCAGGGTGACAGAACCCAGCTGCTGGCTCCAGGCTCCATCGTCAGAAGGTTCCACTTACTGCAGAACTCTGTCTCCAGAGAGCGTGGATTCTAACTAGTTTTTTTCCACCTCTAAAAAAGTGGCTAGCTCATCATTATTGTCCTCATTTTTTAGGAAGGAACCACATGTGAAACCACTTACCTGTTTAACCCTATGAACTTGAAGAGAACATGTAATGCCACTTAAAATACCTAAGCTCGGGTTCTGCCTTCAGCGACTCCTGGTAGTAGTGCCCTTATGAGCCATTTATCAAGAAGGTAAGGTATTTGATTTTTTAAAAAATGTACACACATTCTCCACCATCAGATTTGATGTGACTGCATTCTACAAATTGTTTAGTTCTTTTTTATTTATCCTGGAAAAAAAGTCACATTCTCTGCACACGGATCATTGTGCACTTGCATTTTAACCTCCAAGAATCTTCTTGGTACTTTTTTTAATGTTTAAGGAAAATAGTTCCCATTTTTCCTCTGAACACTGCTTATTCATGGTAATCCTTTTTCTTTGTAAGATGGGAAGAAAATTCCCAGTCTTGTCTGGCTTAGGGCTAATTGTGGAAGCAGCTCTCGTTTGTTTTCTTGTTTGTTTCTGGGGGTGACATTCTTTGGGTCAAGGAACTCAGAATCTGGGATGCTGACTTTGCCAGTAGAGGGAGATAGAGCTATCTAACAGCTTTACAGGGCACAACCTAAGGCCAGACTAATTGTTTTGCATGAAGTTGTTTCTTAATGCTCTATCGATAATAAAAATTTTTTACATTGTTTTTCCTATAAAAGTGAAGAAGTAAATGAAACCATCCAGACCCTTCGAGGAGAACAAGTCAGGAGAAGCTTACTGGTTTACAAAGTAGTCTTGAAAAGTGAGTCCTTTTTGAAGGACAATTTTTAAAATTATGTTTATTAGACAACCATAATTTAAAAACATTATTAAAACAAAATTACATTTACACAGGGCCAAAAAGGGTGGGGAAAAATTCATCCTGGAGCTAAAAGCCCAAGGGAGCCCTCGGATTTGATTACTTATTACATGATAGGTATTTAAATGGTCTTGCTGTGTTACCGCATGGCATAGATTCTTCTCATCAGTGAATGCACTTGCACTGGGGAAGAAAACGCCTATGAAAGCATTTTTGGTGACCTATTTTTTCATTTATCAGCATTTGCAATTATAGTTAAGTGCTTCCAAAACAGGGTTTCCATCTAAGAAAGGTCCTGCTTTTATGTGATGCTTTTAACTTTTCAAAGTATTTTTATATGTACTATCTCATTTTAAAGTAGATCTGACACAACCCCAATCTATTAAGGAAGTGACCCTTTAAACCTAAAACACTCTGGCATTTTCTGAGCTAGACTTATCTTAGCTACCATTATAAAACTTAATGAAAGTAATGGTGATACTAAAACTTCCATATTCAGAACAAAATTTATCTAGGTAGAAGATTTGCAAGGAGCCATTCAGTTATTCTTTTAACATCCAGGGAGCTTTTACATTTTTATTTCAATCAGTTGAAGTTATCTGTTGTTTGCGTTAAAAGTAATACTGTCAAGAATTTTATTATGGCCACCACTGTGGCCGATAAACTGAAAATTTTGTAGAAAAAGGTTTTGTGAGTGTGTCCAGACTCATCCATAAAATAACAGGAAGTTTGAGTTGTCCATTTTTAAAGGTATTTTTTAGAATATGATACATTTTATCCTCTTGAAGAATTGCACCATGCCCTTTTTGAAGCATGTGCTCCCTCCATGGTATCTTAAGAAACACTGGATATTCCAACACTGTTTTTGATTGTCTAAATTTCTGTAGCTAGGAAACTGGGATGTCTAATCTGGTTCTTGTCCATCTTCTGGAATAACAAGGCCATTTTGTTACAGGCCAGCAGAGATATTGACTCTGTCAAAGTTGTTGATTCAATTCTGAATAACCATCCGAATGTGTATGGCTGAGTGGTTGTGCATTGAGTAGCGCTGAAAAATGAGGATGCTGGGTACAAGCAGTAAAAATCAATTGCTTCAGCTGGGCTAAAATTTCCTGGGGAAATGTTTTTCCCCAAGCTTGAGCCAAGTCTGAGATAAAAAAGCACTATTCTCATGTCCCGAAACTAAATTAGCAGAGAATCTGGGCTGGTTCCTTGATATTTCCAAACTCTGTCATTTTCTCTATGATTTGCTTAATTTTTCTAAGTTCGCTGCGCTTATAAATTCTATACAAAAAATTATTAATGGGGCTATGTGTAGTTAACATGCACAGAAATACATGTTCTTTTTTTTTCTAATTTAGGCAGGACACTGGAGCAGTTAATTTTGATTTAGTAATGTTTCCCATGCACTTTTATCATAGTGTAAGAGAGGGAATTATTTTGAAAGAAATTGCTTTTTACTTTTAAAATTTATGACATTCTTTGTTGGTTGAACTTGAGGAAATAATAGATTAATGGAGAAAAGTTACCATGTAAGTAACCACCCATTTCAGGAAAAAAATACTGATTTTATGTTTAAACAATTTTTTTTAATTGTACCTTAGTGCCAACATTGAAGTATTTTTAAATTTCATTTTATTATAATTGTAATTAATAAAGCCTGCAACAATCATATGTTTCTGTAGGTACTTATAGGGCTTTTATGAAGATTTAATGCAATAACTTATATGAAAATACTTAACTACATACAGAAAGTTTCTAGTTACTATTACTGTAGTTATTTTACTAAATATATTCAAGGCATCTTTGAGGTTCAACACAACCTTAGGGTTAGAATCTGAAACATAAAACAGAAAAAGACTGTTTTATCCAAAGGACCCAGATGAACTTCTTGAAATTAGTAAATCCCATGATATTCCTATTTTAATAAATGTTGTAAACTTAAGAATAAATATATGCGACCACTTTCAGATATGGCATTGTCTTTTTCACATCTTTCAGCTTCCAAATACCTCTGAAGTGCATATTTATGCTTTACTTAGCTGAGAAAACTGAGGCCGAAAGAGAGGAAGCTAATCGTTAAATTTCATAAATAGGTTAGTCTCAAAATGGCAATTAAATTTAAATCTTCCAATTTCAAGTCTGAGATTTCTTCCATAGCTCATTCATAGTTCCTGGTCTTATAGCTTCACATTAATTATTATTATCAGATTGTTTCCTTAATTTCCAGATATCTATACCAAGGTTGTGCTTTAAATGGAAAATCAGATGGCTGAGGTTTACTGACACATTTATTCTCTCTATAATTTCCTTAAATGTATTTATTGAGCAACTACTATGGGGTCAGATGCTATATAAGATGCTAAGAACAAAACAGGCAAAAACATCTGCTATCTTGGAGTGAACCTTCTGGGGTTGGGGAGTAAACTGGCGGTGGCAGGGGAGAAGAAACAAGACAAATAAGTAAAATATACAGTATGACAGAAGGAGCCAAGGAGAAAAATAAAACAGGCAAAGGAGCTAGAGTCTCAAGTGATGGAAGAGCTGCAGTTTTAAATAGGGTGTCCAGGCAAGGCCTTGCCAGGAAGGAGCCATTTGAATCAGGACCTGAAGCTGAGGAGTGAGCCTGGGGGAGAGCTGGAAGAAGAGGATGTTAGATTGCATGGCTGTGAGTTCCGGGAGGAAGAAGCATAACAGGACATGTTGGAACCAACAAGCAGCCCCTGGTATGAGTAGAAGTTCAGGTCAAGAAGTAGCAGAGGCTAGACCATGAGCTCTTACTCATAATGAGATGAGAAGTTATTGCAGGACTAAGGGCAGAAAAAATGTCTTGGTCAGATGTGTTTTAACATCATCACAGGCAGTTGTGAATACATTTAGGGAAGCAAGAACAGAAGCAGAAACGCCAGTTAGGAGGATATTGCAATGGTGAACAATTGGGGCTTCTAGTAGTGTGATGATGGGGGTGATGAGGTGATAAGTAATTAGAGACTAGATATATTTTGGAAATACAAACCTGTGACAGAGATCATAGGCTGTCTTCCATAATCTGTTCACCCCTTCCTCTTGGTCATATGGGTGCCCAGCTAGAGACTACATTTCCAAGCGTCCTTTGTAGCAAAGATTGTCCATATGACTAGGTTCTCACCAGTGAGATGTAAGTAGAAGAGATGTGTGCAGACTCCAAGCTATCTTCCTAATGATAATTGCCCTGCATTTGCTTCTCCTTTTTCCTTCTTTCTTTCTAGAAACCAGGGCACTTGGAATGTTTTGAGGGAGGCAGATCTGTCCCCGTCATGGAGCACTGACTACCATCTTCCCTGAACTCTTACGTGAGGAAGAACAAACCTCTAAGGTTGTTAGCCTCTATTTTGTGATCTCCTTATTAGAGCAACTGAGCCTATACCCTAACAAATAGACATTCATAAGATTTGCTGATGGATCAGATGTGGATGGGAGACAAAAAGAAGAGTTAAGGATGGTTCTAAGGCTTTTGGCCTGAGCAAAATGTGTCATTTACTAAGATGTAGAAGACTATGGGAAGAACATATTTGGCAAGAAGATCAAGAATACAATCTTGGGCATGGCACACTGGAGATGTCTAGTTGACATATCTTTTAAAAATAATTTTTCATTAGCCAAACTAGTACTTGCTTTAAAAAAAAACCCACTAAGATCTCTAGGTGCACTAAGCATTGCACAAAACTAAAAGGAGATACTCTCCTATTTTCTAGTGGTTCACAATTTAATGTAAATCCTACAATGGGCTGAATGTCAGATCAAAATTATACCCCATATTTAGAAATTTCTGTAGAGGAACCCATTCAAGGTTTAATTGAAATGCCATTATTACTTAAGCTACTTTATACAAATTATTCTGCTAGAATACCTTTATAATTGTAAAGATCTCAAAATATAGTTATTTACTATATACAAATATTATAACCCATCTCTTCTTTATGCACAAGCCAATTTTATGTGAACGTACGATTGTACCTTTTAAAACTGAGCAGAGAGGGTTTTATTGAAAATCATTTTGCATAGCTTCAATCTAGTCCAAAGGAGTGATGTTGCTCTTAGCTACTTTTCCCATTGTTGTCTTCTCTATAATCCACTCTGCCCAATTAATAACAAGGTCAAGGCCAGAAATTAAGAGGCAATATAGGGACAGTGAAGGAAAATGTTTCTGATCACTAGAGGATCACTTACTTTATGCATTTATCTATCTTCTTCATGTACATTCTTTGCATTCCATCTCTGCACAGAGTTCTCTTAAAGTCCAAGACTGACACCCAAGGCCTATACATTCGTCCGACAGATCTTGTTTGGGGCCTGTCTCGGGGACCTGTGAATGCCAACTTCTTTTTCTATCACTTTCTCAGATCACTTAGGTCACATGCTCCATCACCTCAATACCATCTTTTCTGTTACTTCCAACATTATACAATTTGAGAAACTATTCTCCAAACAGAAGAAGGCTAGAATACCAACCCTAGTCTCCTCCTGCACTTAGTCTGGACATTTTAATAGTGACATTGTACAGACTTCACAATATGGATCATTAGCAGTGAGTGTAGGAATTTCAGAGAAGAAGTTAATAACACATACTTTAGAAATCAATTGCTACTTTTGCACAAAAAAGATGACAATATAGCATACTGGTTAAGAGGGTTCTCTGGACTCAGAAAAACCTAGGTTTTGAACACTTCCC
This sequence comes from Homo sapiens, assembly GCF_000001405.40. NCBI lineage: Eukaryota > Metazoa > Chordata > Mammalia > Primates > Hominidae > Homo > Homo sapiens. The sequence goes on along the minus strand of NC_000004.12, from coordinate 173,985,336 downwards.
CTTACTACAGTGGGATATTGGCATGTTTCACTTAACTTCCTTAAGCTTCGGTTTCCTCATCTTTTAGACAGGAAAAATACTGAGGTTTATGCACAATATGTAAGATTCAAAAGATTTTCTTGAATATGGATGGCACAACATCTGCTAATCACTTAGCACACCGCCTTGTACGTAGCAAACAAAACTAGGCTCCAAATTAAGCTATATGATTAAAAATAAAAATCATTTTTACATGTGTTATTTCACCTTTTAATCTCACCATAAATTTTATGTATGAGAGAAGATATCATTTCCATTTAGCTGCTAAGGAAATGGACATCAAGAGAATGTTGAATGATTTGCATGAAGAAACCAGTGTTAAATGGAGATTTAAGCTAAATGGAGTTCAAGTTCATCCCATTTCATCAACGCCAACTGGTAGAGGGATGTTATCCTATGGTGTCCCCCAAAACACAGTTAGCAGATAGAAGCCAATTCATCTTATCCTTCAAGCAATCTTTTATCACATGAATTTTTTCAGGTTATGTATTTCCTTGGTGGGATTGAAAACTTTTTAGGGACAAGGACCACATAATCTAGCTTTGCATTATTTTGTAATCTTTAAAGCGGGATTAGACATAGCCAATTCTTGGTAAATATATGTTGGCTGAATATTTGTCAAATGACTATTAAATCTGTAAATACTTTTCCTGAGCTGATGCTTAACTTCCGTTTTTTTAAAAAATTTCTCCTAATGAGCTGAATGGGAAAAAAAGAAATACTTTATGAAATCAGTCAATACACAAAGTAACATATTTTTTTCCTATGTACACAGCATTTAGGGGAAAACCTAAAATAACTGCTAAAATAAAATTAAATGAGCTTGAGACTATGGTCAACCCAGTTAATGTTATTTACCCAGGGTGACTATTGGAAACTGAGAGCCCTACAGTATATTCCAGCAACACCCAATTCACCTTTTGAACTATTTTAATGTTCAACTTTCCATTGGCACTATTCTTCCTTGGCTAGTGAATTTTTACAGAATGTAATCTCCATTGCATCGTGGGTACTTTTTTCCTGTGCCTTGATGCAGAGGGGTGTTTAATTGTGTTATGGGCTGGGAACAAAATTGTTTTGGATCAGAAATCTGCATGGTCTGGAAGCATGGTACGATTAAACTCAAGTTTAGCCAGGCAGAAGGTTCTCCTTAGGAAGAATTTAATGGGCTCTGCATAATGGTTTTCAATGAAAAGAACACAGTGCCAGCATTCCACTCTGTTCTTTCCATAGCCCATTCAGCTGCCTCATAGGATTTGTTGTTGTTGTTGTTAACACAAGGAGATAAATTTATTTCCCACGGGGAGCTCTTGGTATGTTTCTCTTTCTCCAATCTAGCTTGTTGAACTCAGTGACACTGTCAGAAACATTTTATATCCATTTGTCTAACGACCTTAAAGATATAAAATGTTGCTATTTTCTGTGAACTGGCATTGCCATTTGGCCATACATATGCATTAATGAAAAAGTATATTATACTTAACAATTCTCTGGAAGCTCTTCCTTCCTTCCTTCCTTCCTTCCTTCCTTCCTTCCTTCCTTCCTTCCTTCCTTCTTTCTCTTTCTCTTTCCTTCTCTTTCTTTCTCTCTCTCTTTCTCTCTTTCTTTCTTTCTTTCTTTCTTTCTTTCTTTCCTTCTTTCTTTCTTTCCTTTCTTTCTTCCTTTGATGGAGTTTGTCTCTTGAGCCACCACACCCAGCCTCTTTCTTTATTATTACTATACAGTTTACACAGGTTAGCAGAAATAGTGTATTCTGAGAGAGCAGGAAATACCAAATCTGAGCAAATTTTAAAAAATAAGCTTCACATTTTAGCAGATATTATACTAGAAGGAAAAATCTTGGTGTAAAATAACAGATTGTAAAACTATTATAATAAAATGAGAAACCAGAATTCAAAAGTGAGGTCTATAGACTGTTGAGTGGGGGAGAAAGATGTGGAATCCATGAAAGCAGCCATGATCCTTTTCTGCTGAATCCTCACATCCCCTGCTTCTCTCCCCTTCTGTTTGCTATCTTCTCTCCAATCCCTGGGTTCCACACCCGTCTTATGCCCAAAAATGATTTGCTAAATGTTGGGAATTGGTCTCACTCCTCTTCACCATTAACATTTCAGGGAATTTGGTTTAAATAGCCCAAACGTTTGACAAGTATAATATAAGTAAAGTAAATCATTCACATTCAGAATTGCTTTGGGTGGTGGGGAGTTATAGTTAACCCTTGAACAATGTGAATCTGAGCTGTCTATGTCCATTTATATGTGGATTTTCTTTTGCCTCTGCCACACTGAAGAAAGCAAGACTAGTCCCTTCTCTTCCTCCTCCACCTCAGCCTTCTCAATGTGAAGATGACAAGGATGAAGACCTTTCTGATGATTCACTTTCACTTAATGAATAGTAAATATATTTTCTCTTCCTTATGATTTTCTTAATAACATTTTCTTTTCTAGCTTATTTTACGGTAAGAATACAGCATATAATGCATGCAACATACAAAATATGTGTTAATCAACTGTTTATATTATCATTGAGGCTTCCAGTCAACAGTAGAGTCCATTTGTGTTGCTATGAATATGTGAGACTGGGTGATTTATACAGAAAAGAAGTTTATCTGGCTCATGGTTTTGCAGGTTGTACAAGAAGCATGGTACCAGCACCTGCTTCTGGTGAGGCCTCAGGCTGCTATGAAGCAGAGTCAGCATGTGCAGAGATCGCTTGGCAAGAGAGGAAACAAGTAGGTGAGGAGAAGTGCCAGGCTCTTTGTAACAACCAGCTCCTGCAGGAACTGAAGAGTGAGAACACTCACCTCCACCCCACTGCGTTAATCTATTAATAAGGCATCCATCCCCATGACCCAAATTAGGCCCCACCTCTAACATTGGAAGTCAAATTTTAGCATGAGATTTAGATGGGTCAAATGTCCAAACTATAGCAGAGAGTCAAAAGTTATATGCAAGGTTTCCTTGCATTGTGTGGGGCCTTGGCTCCCCTAACCCCCTTGTGTTCAAGGGTCAACAGTATTATTACTAAAATGTTTGGGAACACGCTCAGGAAGAGCAGTTTCTTAATGTTTTTTTGTCAATAAGATACTCAACACTACAACAGACCAAACACAAGACTAGGCTGATGTGGGAAGATGTGCAAAATGTATATACAGCATACATGGATGTGTTTGCATGCATGGATGCATATATATACATTTTCTAACTACAAGAAAAAATTTATACAATCCACTACCTGAAATCATGGTGTAGTCAAGATAAGTCATGTGAATAGATCACTAAGAATGTATGCAAAAAAGGAAATATATGTCAACAAATATTTGATGTTTGTATTAAATTCTGAATGTGGTCTGAGGAAACAAAGTATTGAAGCTGGGTGGAACTACTTGGAGGATGTTTTGAATTTTGCAAGTGGAAGTTAAGTTTGGAAGGGTCAGTTCCATATGAGGGAGCCCCATTTAGAAAATAATTAAGAGAGCTACGGATATATTTACATAAGATTTTGTAACTAGCTTATGCTTAGATAGTGTGGACTAGTGTTTTCAAATCTGATTGTACTTCAGAATTATCAGGAGAGGTTTTAAAAAATATATATGCTCAGTTTTTACCCCCCAAAAGTGCTTAACCGGTGGGTCCAGGAAAGTACTAATTTCAATTTTTATAAAGATTTTCCTAGCTATTTCTCATGTGTGGCCTGGCCTGGGAATCACTGGTCTGAGGATACTTTCAGAACTTATCTTTTTTATTGTTCTCCCAGCACTTTTTTAAAAAGTATTTTCACACTGTACCTTGTGTAGATTATTTCTATAGTTTATCTCCTCACTTCTTGTATGTTCCCTAAGGATTGAGTGACTATTTGCAATTATTATATCCTTTAGAGTGCCTAGCAATTTTTACAATAGGTATTTTTAAATTAAGTGGAATTGAATTCCTACCACTATTAATTTTGGTGCATCTTGGTATTCCCTGCTCACTTACCACTCGATCTCGATCCCTGAATTCAGAAGAATGTTCAGTTGTTGAAAAGAGACATCAAATCAAGATGAAGTTAAGAGTAAAGTGAGTTCTCCACACCACTACTTAGAGAACTGATACAGAAGAAATAACAAAGCCTCACTTGAAGATGTTTTAATATCATGATAGTTGATTTATTTCCTTTTCTGAATAAAAACAACAAGGTTCAGTAAATTTGAATCTACCTATGCGAATGGAGTACTTGACAATGTGGGTCTTGGAAAGTGTTAGATATGCGGTTACCAAGCTCAAATCACATGAAGGCAAGTTCTTTCTCTCATGTACACACGCATGCAGAGAGAAAGTCTAAGTCTCAACGATTTTCTGAAATATAATTAGTACAACCTTCCTTGAATAACAGTTAAAAATCTGTTACTATTTTATGACACAAACATTCTGTAGCCAAAAGCATTTTGATAATTTTTTATTATCTTCACAAGTCATCTAAATGTAGGAAAGTAATATTATAATTTCAAAATTATTGACAAAATGTTTTCATTTCAGAGCCTACTGAAGTGTAATTCTATCAATTTTTATGAGTTTTTAAAAATCTCTTAGTTATGAAATTAAGAAAAATTATCTATAAATGCACCCTACTTTTGACATGTAAACTATATCATCCATTACATGTGTAAATATAACCAAATTTGATTAACGTCTTTGAGGAAAGGTAACACATAGTGGAATTACAGCTCCAAATTTATTTCAGTAATTTGTGCAATTTTTGTAAAACAGAAAAATATTAAAAAATAAGCATGTCAAATCAGCAGTGTTTTCAAAGTTTAAATACTTGAATTATGTTGCAATGGTACCACGGTCTACTTTGGTATTACAAAACACAGGCTAGAGAGATTTGGATTTTCTAATCACTAATCGTGATTCAAACAAACATTGCTATTTTTTTTTCAACTTTAAAGCACAATATAAAACTTGTAGGGGAGGAAGGAAAAGTAATAATTTTAAACATGCTTACCTCAACTAAGTCTGCTTTACAAAATGTAGCATTTCTTTGATTTTTAATTGTTTCTGCATTACTTGTGAATGTGACCACATGACTATAGTTTATGCTATTATGTTGTCAGGCTTCTGATAATGGGAAGGAATGTTTGTTTAGACTGTGTAGCTCTTCAGTTTAATTCACTCTGGCTCCAGTGTGACATGTTAAAACTGCTATCAATGGAAAATCCAATTTTCCCAGAAACACTTAAAACAACAGCAACCCCTGTGAACCGAAATTATCTCCTGTTGAGGCTAATTACCTTAGTACTCTTAGGAAAAGACTGCTATAGGAAATCTGTTGCCTTGGAGTCTCTTCTCTTGTGTAAAGTACCTTTAGTTGATATGAAGTTGTATATTTGCTGATGACTCTGTTGCATCCTTTCAGTACCAGTATAGGTGTGAGGAGAAACACAAAAACTGAAATGACATATTGAGCCCTAAACAAACATATTACATTATGTATGTACCTTTTCTGTGATTATTAAGTCTATGCCTAGAGAATTTACACCAGTACACTGTGATTTTGAGGCAAAAAAGAGGAAGGCTTAAGATACAAGGAAAAAATTAGAATGACTAAGTTAAAAAATTTATTAATCTGAAAGTTTACATATGGCAAATAACTTACATGACTTAACAAATAAAAAAGTATATTTCATAACATTTTCTACTGTGTTTGGCATACCACTACTCAATCCTCTAAAAAACCTAGTTCTATAGGCACATTATTTCCTGTATAAAATGATGGTTATTCTATTAGTCATTTATAAATGAAAAGAACAGTCATAAAGGGAAATGTAAAGACTCAATATTATTCTACATGTCATTTTAACAAGGTAGTTCTTGATAGCTCTGTTCAACTATATTGTTTACTTGAGGTTGGGGTGAAATTGAGTGTTACTGAAATCAACATTAAATGGATATCTAAATCAATTATTTCTGTAACCTAAATGGAAACGTTTTTCACACTTCATTTACCACTATCCTTACTGCAAATGAATGTTTGCAAATTCAGCAAACAGGGTCTTCCCCATATGCCAGTTTAGAGCTCAAATATGGCACCTAAAGCCACAATATAGGGTTATTGTTTATTTTTTAAAATTTGACTTGTCAATTTTTCTCTCTACAATTACAATTATTTAATAATAATAATGCTATAAGTAATAATAATTATCCTACAATTATCTAATCCTCTCATCACTTTTCTACGTTCAAAATATTGTTATTTTTAAAAATTTATATGGCAAACTGCAACATTATTTGGCCTTCAGTTAGTGTCAATGGGACTGTAGACACGTACAAACATGGGAATTGAACTTGAGTGGCCACACTCAGGTTAACATGGTCAGCTATATGATTCAATGTATGCATGTCTTAATTTTCTAGATTATCATTGTAACAGAAACCCAAAATTAAATTTTCTTTCAGAGAATTAAATGATGCTAGTTTAAAGGAAAAAATTTAACACAGGGGCTCCAGGAATGGTTGCTATTGAAGTCCTTGGTTTATAATAACTTCACTTGAAATGTCTATGATGTGATTTTTAAATTCTTTTATTATTTTTATTACTAGAATTTATATTCTATTCCAATGACATATCAACTGCTATGTGCTTTTGGCACTAAGTTTGTACAATCAAAGTAAAAACTAATTAAAGCAAATATCTGTTATAGTAAGAGGAAGCAAAATTGTGACAATGTTTCTCAAGCATTTCTAACATTAAATTAAATGTTTTGAGTAAATTAATGAAAATAATATGTCTGTAACTGATACTCTGGTTAGAAATATAAAATATGATTAAAGCAAATACATGAGCAGAAGTCAAAATGATAATAAGCTTATAATCCAAAGTTCCTGAAATGTGCACTACACTTCTTCCACATTCTTTGCTTGAATATGAAAAAGGAAACTCAACAGAAGCTCCATTGCAAAGCCCATCTCTGTCTCAGTGTAGGCTTTATCCAAAGTCATCTTAGACTCATTGCTCTGTCTTATGTTCTATAACCGGTCACTGATGTTTAGGAAGTTGTTCTCATGCTTCTATAAGAGATTTCTCTTAGAATATACTAGCAAACTTCATACCTAAGGTCTTCATGAGAGGGCTGACTTATTGCAGCAATGTGAATAGTGAAATTTTAAAGTTCACTGGTCCACATATCTTGACTGTATGGAATGAATACGGTCAAAAGTCATGTAGATGTCTGTCTTGTTTCCTTACATCTTTGGATGAAGGATCAGCTGTCTAAGAAACAACTCCCTACATCTATTGGTGCAAAAAATTTACTCCACAACTTAGCAGTTTAAAACAATAAACATTTATAATATTACACGGTTTATATGGGGTCAGAATTATAGGGATAGCTTAACTAGGTATCTTGGCTCATATTCTGTTTCAGTGTTTATCATAAGATTACAGTCAAGATGTCAGCCAGGGCTGCAGTCATCTGAAGGCTTGGCTGGGGCTGGGGAATCTGTTTCCAACTCCTTGGAGTTTACACATGCTGGTTAAGTTCATAGTTGTTGCTGGTGGGGGCCTTCTTGCCATGTCAGTTTCTCCTTAGGGCTGAGTGGCCTTGCTATATGGCTGGCTTCCACAAGAGTGATTGATCCAAGCAGGAGAAAAATGGAAGCTTTAACGTCCATTCTGACTTTGCCAGATTAGAATTAACACAATTATTTCCATGACATTTTACTGGTTACACAGGTCAGCTCTATTCAAAGAGGAAGAGGGCTAAGCAAGTGTGGATACCATGAAGGAAGAATCACTGGGGACCACCACGGAGGTTACCTACCACACTCCCCTAGATTTGCAATTTTTTTTCTTGCAGCTTCCAAAATATAGAATTAGAATACAGGCATTAAAAATATGATTGTGACACCAGATTAAAGCCACATTTCCCAATTCCCCTATTTTAGTAATTTAGAAAATATTTTGTTCTGAATCTTATATCTGTTTCTTAAATAAGTACTCTTAAAGAGGATAGGCATATGAATTAAATTTCACTATTAGCCCCCAATCACCTTTAAGTTATAAATTGATTTTGCCTCTGTCTACTCAGTTTCTATTCCCATTACCACTCCTCCTATAGCAGGGCTTCATTATCTTTTGGGGTGACTGTGAAAATACTCGCCCCTTAATTAGTTTTATTCCCTCTAATGCCTGATGTCGCTGGTCCATTCTCTACATATGCACTGTTTAATAGAACTTTCTACAATGACAAAAATGCTCTATATCTGCCCTGAGCACTTAAATTGTGGCTACTACAACTTAGGAACTGAGTTTTTGATTTTATTTAAATTTAATTAACTTAAATTTAGGTTTAAATAGCCACAAGCAGCTCATCACTACCATATTGGAGAGTGCAGTTGATTTTTCCCCAAACACAGATCTGATTATGCCATGACTTTGCCTAAAATACTTCTATTACTTTCCATTGCCCACCAGATAAAAGTCCAAACTCCAAACTCATTATGAACATGGTGTTTAGGATATTTATCAATTGCTTTCAAAGGTTATGACCATCGTTTATGTAGCCATATCAAAATGTGAGACTGCTCATAATTCCTTGAATCTATCATGTATTTTCACACCTTTATTTTATTTTATTTTTTGCTTACGTTGCTCCCACATTATCTTTCTTCCCAAATTACTATGTGCTTTTTAAAACCACTCAAATGCCACCTTCTCATTTCAGCTTTCTCTGAAACTCCAAACGCCCATGCCTCCAAGTAGAATGACTTTTCAATGTTCTTGTGCCATGTTTATACTTTCATGTTATATATTTATGTTTTAATATTATACTATCATAGGCTGACTTGTATTGGAGTTGTACAAAGTCTACCTGTAAGCATCTTGAGGGCAGAAACAGACTTTTTCAAATTTTTGTTTTCCTCACTGTCTACCACTTAGTAGGTTCTGACTAACTATAGAATCAGAAATAAATTTGGGCCAAATTTTGTTACTCCATTCATTATTATATAAAATAATTTCAGGCTGAAGAATCAATTTGCACATTCGATGTTACTGGCTTCTGGATCTTGAACATTTCCGTTTAAACCTGCAGTTGTGTAATGCCTTCAGGTTGGCTTCCTTCTTCCCAGACTGAGCTCCTGTAGAGGGGGAGGGAGTAGTGGGGAGGTGTCTTTATGGTCATCTTGGATTTGGGAACAAAGTAATAACATCCAGGTTTTAAAAGACTCCGCGTTTTTGCCTTCATTCCTAAGTCATAGCAAGGATTTTCCCTAGCTGTTGTAGTATGCATAAGCTGGCTGCTTAACCATTTCTTGCTCAGTGCATGTGGGCTATCTTTTCCTTCTTGTTTGATTTAGCAATCAAACATGTCATCAGAATGCAAAATAGTGTTAACAAATGTTTATGGTAAATTTAATATAATATTGATTACCTGAAGTAGTCCTGTCATGATTAGTGATATACCTGGAGTTTAAATGTTTTACCTCTAAAGATTCCAAATATTGAAAAAAAGGCATATTAGGATTATTACATATATACCTTTTTTTACCTTATTGTTTAAAGTAGTTGTAGCCTATGATATATAAAGAACCGAGAACTGTCTCAACTTGCACGTTATCAGTCAGAGCTCCTAATGCCACACCAGTCAGCCATTCTGTTTTATCTACATCTTGCCTGGGCTCAGCGGCTCCTCTGATTATTTTCCAACTTTCAGACCTTCATTACAAACATACACCATCATTCATTATAATGGTGTACTGAGAAAAATGGGTTAATATTTTACAATCTTTTAGAACGATTCTCTTGTTGGATGCTTGTGGTATTTAGGTTCCTGGATAAATACGTTCAAAATAATGTTTACAAGGGTATAGCTCAATTCAAAACCATTTCAAATGGAGTATTACTTCCATTCTGAGCCATTGTTTCCTACTCTGATATTTTAGCGGCAGTCTTTTGTGTTACTTACCATTCTCCTCTCACATTTTATCATAGAGAGGCCAGAAGGTACCTTCACCACACTACCTGGAAATCTCCCTAGATAGATCTAAAAATTCATTGAGTACATTTTCTATTGTCCAAGTTACTGCGGGTGATAGTGCTGCCAAACATTCTGGCACTACGTACATAACTAAGGTCTCCTTTCCTCCAGCATCCAGTGACATTTTTCTTACTTTCCTGAACACTTTCCCCAACAGTCTGCTCAAAGCCCAAATGCTCTCCTCGAAGACTCTGAGCTTCAATAACAGTCCCTGTGATGTCCTTTGGCTTCCATCTGCTACTTTGCCCCAAGGGCAATCCTGCTCTAGGATTTTGTGAGAGTAGCATCCCTCTCTTCTACCGTATTTTCTGAATCATCTAAACAGCTACATATATAAATTGTGAGATGTTGATGAATAGATTACCAGAGAATAATTTTAATAGAAAGTGTAATTTGTTTAAATGTGATTTCTTATTAATTATGAAAGCTCATATTTGTTTTCTTCTTTTCTGATGACTTAAAGAGATAAATGAAGAAATAAACGAGTTTACTTCTCTCTTCCCTACTTTCATGCTGAAAAACATGTTTGCATTTACGTTTTGAAGCATTTCTTGGCACCTAACCCATAAATTCTTACTTCTTTGACTCTATTGTCTTCCAATTAGTATTTAAACCGTGTAAAAAAGCAAGTGTTAATTTGCCTTTCTAACATCTGCCTGCAGAAATATTTTTCTCATTTTTATTTTTTATGAAACAAAGCAAAATAATCAATAAATAGTTAGAAAATACATAAGAAAAAACAATGCTGTTAAATGTTTACAAATTCCTCAGGAAAACAATCACTAAAATTATAGTTTATTTCTCTCAAGAGTATTACCTCTTCTCTCATTATTCATGGTAAGAGAAGTTAAATCATCTTCCCTATTCTCAGGCATATGATAAGAATAGGAAATAAACTATTTTCACTTGCTATAAACTGATTATCCACAAAAAACGTAGTGATTAACTATGTTTCTAACAAGGCAGGAACTCATAAATAAGCTATTAAATGAGCATATCAAATTTATTTGATATCAAGTAAATTGAACAAATTCAAATTTTAAATAATCTCATACTGAGTGATATCAGCAAAATGGTAGACTAGGAGGCCATGATGCCTGTCTCCCTCCCACAAAATAAATAAATAAATAAATATACAAACAACTGGCCGGGAGCGGTGGCTCACGCTTGTAATCCTAGCACTTTGGGAGGGGCGGATCACGAGGTCAGGATATCGAGACCATCCTGGCTAACACGGTGAAACCCCGTCTCTACTAAAAAAATACAAAAAAATTAGCCGGGCGTAGTGGCGGGCGCCTGTATTCCCAGCTACTCGGGAGGCTGAAGCAGGAGAATGGCGTGAACCCGGGAGGCAGAGCTTGCAGTGAGCCGAGATAGCGCCACTGCACTCCAGCCTGGGCGACTGAGCGAGACTCCGCCTCAAAAATAAATAAAGAAATAAATAAAAACAACTGCGCACCAACGAAAATTTCTTTAAGAAAGTTCTAGACTATAAGGAAGGAGCAGTAGAAACCCACGGGTGCAAAAAAACTGGGGCCAGCTGCATATTAGAGTCCAGGAAGCATTTTACCTGCCTCACTCCATCCCCTAGCTTAGTGGAGCAGATCAACACCAAGAGGGACCCCCCTCAGAGGATTTGCACCTTGTGAAAAAAAGCGGAGCAGAAGGACCTCAGCAATCTACATCAATACCATAGAAACCTGCAACCTTTGCTACTGAGGATTCCCCCAGTCTTCACTTAGGCTGAGCCCAGCTCACAGAGCTTCCCAGAGTCCATACTGCATTGCTGTCCCAGAGAAGGAGCCACTGCTGCATCCCCTGCTGCTGCACTGAGCATTAACTCGGGGCCTGAGTCACTAGCTGATATGCTTTGCCCTTTGGGATCAAGATACCATAACTCCTTGACATCTACAGAGTTGGAGCTGCCACCATTCTGTTCTCTGCCCCTTGGGTTCTAAGTCACTACTTTGACTTGCTGAAACAGGGACTGTGTTTCTGCTGTTCTGTGCCTCATTCTATGGGGTCTGAGTCTTGGCTGTGACAAACCATTACTGAGGTTGCCCTGCCAACCTGAGTTCTAATTTGTGGCTTTGGCTCACCATCACTAGGGCTGCACTGCCACTGCTCTGTGTCCCAAACCCTTGGGCCTGTCTTGTGGTGGCAACCTACCATCTCCTTAGCTGTGTTGCCACTGTATCGTGCCCCTGAGGCCCAGGCTGTGTCCTATCATAACTGGGTTTGTGCTGCTGCTGAGTCCTGACCCCTGGAGCCAAGTCACCCTGTAGCTCAAGACCCCAAACCCCAGCTTCATGAATAATCTGCATAAAACTCTGCCTCAGACACCAGCATCACCAATGCAGCAAGTGCATCTGCACCCCAGGCCCTAGGTGACACAATAGTTCCTCATGTCCAGCTCTGTTGCCACTCTGAGCATCTATACCCTAAACCCAGGTGCCATTACCACCATGAGTGCCCCTGCGCCTAGGACCTTGGTTATGATGTCTGCACCCTACACACACAGGCACTATTGTTGCCACAGTATGTCTATGCCCTGGATTCTAGCAACACCACAGCTGCATGCATATCAGCACGACAGATCCAACACCAAGAGAGACTCCCTCAGCTAGAATTATTTCCCATAAGGGAGAGGAGAACAGAAAAATCCCAGCAGACTTTGCCAAGGACCCCAACAACTCTTGCAGCTGCAACCACCACCGACATCTGCAACCTTGGTTGCCAAGGACCTTCACAGCCTTTGCTCACATTGACATTGATGGAATTGCGAGGCGGCTGCACTGCTGTCCCCAACCCAGAAATGGAAGTGGTGCACCTCATTTAGTTGGCACCCTTGTGGCCATCCAAAGATGACAGTCTTTTTCCACTGAAGCCAACCCAAAAGGAAGAGGTGACTGCTGCTTCAAATGTGAAGATATCAATGCAAAGCCACTAGAAGCATAGAAAAAAATGAAAACATGACATTATCAAAGGAACACAATAATTTTTCAGTAACTGACTCCAAAGAAATGGGGATATATGAAATGTTATTCCTTTGTTATTAACTGAAAATAACTCAAAACAATTATTATAACCAAGCTCAGCAAGATAAAAGAGAACACAGACAACTCAATAAACTCAGGGAAAAAAATTATATAGCAGATGCACAAAAGATACAGAGAAAGGAATCAAAGTATACCACTACAAAAAAATAATCAATTCACGAAAGAAGACAGCAAGAGATGAAGAAAGGGACAAAGGAACTACAAAATAATTAGAAAATAATTAACAAAATTGCAGAAATAAGTTCTTACCTATGAATAATTACTTAAAATGTATATGGAATAAATTAATCAAAATACAAGAGCGGCCGAGTGGATTAAATAAATGAGACTCAACTATATGCTGCTTACAATCATTTTAGCTTTAAGAATACTGACAGGTTAAAAATGAAGGAATGGAAAAAGATATTCCATGTAAATGGAAACCCAAACAGAGCAGAGCTAGCTATGCTTATGACAGCCCAAATAGACTGTAAGTCAAAAACTGTCACAAGACACAAAAAAGCTTATTATATAATTATAAAGAGGTCAATCCATCAAGAAGATAAAACAATTGTAAATCAGTATGTACCCACCATGGAGCACCTAAATATATAAAACAAATAATAATAGAAATGAAGAGAGAAATAGAAAGCAATGCAAGTATAATAGGAAACTTCAACACACCACTTTGAACAATGGATAGATTACTCAGACAGAAAACCAAAAAAAGAAAAATGAAACATTGAGCTTGAACTACACTTTAGACCAGATGGACCTAACAGACATATACAAAACATATGTAAATATCCAACAGCAGCTGAACAAACATCTCAAGTGAACATGGAACATTAGGATAAATAAGTTAAGTCACAAAACAAGTCTCAACAAATTTAAGAAGATTGAAATCGTATCAAGTATCTTTTATAATCACAGTGGTATGCCACTAGAAATCAAGAATAGGAAGACAATTGAAATATGGAGAAATATGTGGAAATTAAACAACAACCTCTTGAACAACTAATGTGTCAAGGAAGGCAGAAAAAGGTAAATCAAAAAATATGTTAAGACAAAAATGGAAATACAACATGCCAAAAAGTATAAGAAACAGCATAAGCAGTCCAAGAGGGAAGTCTATAGTGATAAATGTTTACAGTAAGAAAAAGAAATATCTTAAATAAACAATTATACTTTACACCTCAAGGAACCAGAAGAAGAAGATCATACTAAGCCCAAAGTTAACAGAAAGAAGTAAATAATAAAGATTAGAGCAGAAGTAAATGAAATTGAAATTTAAAAAGATAGAAAATATGAATGAAAATTGATCGACCAGATTTTAAAAATTGACAAAATTTTAGCTAGACTAACCAAGAATAAAAGAGATATGACTCAAAAAAGAAAGAAATAAAATTATTTATTTATTTATTTTATTATTATTTTTTGAGATGGAATCTCATTCTGTCACCCAGGCTGGAATGCAGTGGTGTGATCTTGGCTTACTGCAACCTCCACCTCCTGGGTTCGGGCAATTCCCCTGCCTCAGCTTCCAAAGTAGCTGGGACTAAAGACATGTGCCACCACGTCTGGCTAATTTTTTGCATTTTTTCAGTAGAGACGGGGTTTCACCATGTTGACCAGGGTGGTCTAGAACTCCTGACCTCAAGTGACCTGCCCACCTCAGCCTCCCAAAGTGCTGGGATTACAGGTGTGAGCCAATGTGCCCAACTGTAAATTTATAAATAAAAGGAGACATTACAATGATAACACAGAAATACAAGGGATTATAAGAGACTACTATGAGAATTTTTATGCCAAAAAATTGTTTAACCAAAAAATCGATAAACTTCTGGAAACATACAACTTACCAAGACTGAATCATGAAAAGATGGAAAATCTGAACAGCCCTATAACAAAGAGACTGAATCAGTAATCAAATACCTCCCAAAAATGAAAAACCCAGGACAAAATGGTTTCACTGGGAAATTCTACCAAACATTTAAAAAATTAACACCACCTAAAACTTTTTAAAAATTGAAGAGAAAGGACCATATTCAAACTCATTTTATGAGGCCAACATTATTCTGATACAAAAGCCAAATAAGAGCACTACAAGAAAAAAAAAATTAAAGGCCAATATGTCAGATGAACATAGACGCAAAATCCTCAAGAAAATATTAACAAAAGTCAAGTGGAATTTACCCCAGGATGAAAAGATGATTTAACATATGCAAATCAGTAAAGGTTATGCATGTTGTTAACAGAATAAAGGATAAAATCATGTAATCATCCCAATAGATGTAGAAAAAACTTTAAAACATTTGGCAAAATTCAATATTACTTCATGAATAAAAACTCTCAGCAAATTAGGGATAGAAGGAATGTACCCCAACTCAATAAAGGCCATCTATGGCAAGCCTACAGCTAATACCATCTTCAATAGTAAAAGCTGAAAGCTTTTCTTCTAAGATCAGGAACAAGACAAAGATGTGACTCTTACCATTTCTATTTAGCATCATGCTGAAAAAGTCCAGCCAGAGCAATTAGTCAAGAAAAAGAAGAAATAAAAAGCAGCCAAATTTGAAAAGTAAAAGTAACATTGTCTCTATTTGCAGATGGCAATATCTTATACACATAAAACCCAAAAGTTCTACCAAACTTTTAGAACTACTGAACAAATTCAGTAAAGGGACAGAATACAGAAATCAGTTGCATTTATTATGCACTAACAACAAACTGACTAAAAATGAAATTAAGAAAACAATCCCATTTACAATAGAATCGAAAAGAATAAAATAGGCGGAAGTTTAACCAAGGAGTTAAAAGACCTGTACACTGAAAACTAAAACATTGATGAAAAACATTGAAGTAAACACAAATAAAGATATTCCATGTCCATGGATTGAAAGAATTAACGTTGTCGAAATGTTGATACTGCACAAACTGCTTTACAGACTCGATGTAATCACTGTCAAAATACCAATGACATTTTTCACAGAAATAGAGAAAACAATCTTAAAATGTATGTGAAGCCACAAAAGAATTAAAGTAGCTAAAGTAATCTTGAGACGGAAGAACAAAGCTAGAGGCATCACACTTCTTGATTTTAAACTGCAGTTGACACCTAAACAACACAAAGATTGGGGTGCTGACTCCCCTGCACAGTTGAAAATCCATATATAACTTTTGACTCCTCAAAAATTTAACTACTAGGGGGTTCCAAGGTGGCTGAATATAAACAGCTCCAGTCTACAGCTCCCAGCGTGAGTGATGCAGAAGACAGGTGATTTCTGCATTTCCAACTGAGGTTCATCTCCCTGGGGCTCATCAGACAGTGGGGGCTGGACTGTGGGTGCAGCCCACCAGTGTGAGCTGAAGCAGGGCAAGGCATCGCCTCACCCGGGAAATGCAAGGGGTCAGGGAATTCCCTTTCCTACCCAAGGGAAGGGGTGACAGATGGCACCTGGAAAATCGGGTCACTCCCACCCTAATACTGCGCTTTTCCAAGGGTCTTTGCAAACGGCACACCAGGAGATTATATCCCGTGCCTGGCTCAGAGGGTCCCATGCCCACAGAGCCTTGCTCATTGCTAGCATAGCAGTCAGAGATTGAACTGCAAGGTGGCAGCGAGGCTGGGGGAGGGGTGCCCGCCATTGCTGAGGATTGAGTAGGTAAACAAAGCAGCCAGGAAGCTCGAACTGGGTGGAGCCCACCATAGCTCAAGGAGGCCTGCCTGCCTCTGTGGACTCCACCTCTGGGGGCAGGGCATAGCCCAACAAAAGGCAGTAAAAACCTCTGCAAACTTAAATGTCCCTGTCTGACAGCTTTGAAGAGGGTAGTGGTTCTCCCAGCATGAAGCTTGAGATCTAAGAATGGACAGACTGCCTCCTCAAGTGGGTCCCTGACCCCCAAGTAGCCTAACTGGGAGGCACCGCCCCCCCGAATAGAGGCAGACTGACACCTCACACAGCTGGGTACCCCTCTGAGACAAAGCTTCCAGAAGAACGATCAGGCAGGAACATTTGCTGTTCAGCAATATTCGCAGTTCTGCAGCCTCTGCTGCTGATACCCAGGCAAACAGGGTCTGGAGTGGACCTCCAACAAACTCCAACAGACCTGCAGCTGAGGGTCCTGACTGTTAGAAGGAAAACTTACAAGCAGAAAGGACATCCACACCAAAACCCCATCTGTATGTCACCATCATCAAAGACCAAAGGTAGATAAAACCACAAAGATGGGGAAAAAATAGAGAAGAAAAGCTGAAAATTCTAAAAATCAGAGCACCTCTGCCCCTCCAAAGGAATGCAGCTCCTCACCAGCAATGGAACAAAGCTGGAAGGAGAATGACTTTGATGAGTTGAGAGAAGAAAGCTTCAGATGATCAAACTTCTCTGAACTAAAGGAGGAAGTTCGAACCCAACGCAAAGAAGCTAAAAAGCTTGAAAAAATATTAGATGAATGGCTAACTAGAATAACCAGTGTAGAGAAGTCCTTAAATGACCTGATGGAGCTGAAAACTATGGCACGAGAACTAGGTGACAAATGCACAAGCTTCAGTAGGTGATTCGATCAACTGGAAGAAAGGGTATCAGTAATTGGAGATGAAATGAATGAAATGAAGCAAGAAGAGAAGTTTAGAGAAAAAAGAGTAAAAAGAAACGAACAAAGCCTCCAAGAAATATGGGACTACGTGAAAAGACCAAATCTACATCTGATTGGTGTACCTGAAAGTGACAGGGAGAATGGAACCAATTTGGAAAACACTCTTCAGGGTATGATCCAGGAGAACTTCCCCAACCTAGCAATGCAGGCCAACATTCAAATTCAGGAAATACAGAGAATGCCATAAAGATACTCCTCAAGAAGAGCAACTCCAAAACACATAATTGTCAGATTCACCAAAGTTGAAATGAAGGAAAAAATATTAAGGGCAGCCAGAGACAAAAGTCGGGTTACCCATAAAGAGAAACCCATCAGACTAACAGCGGATCTCTCGGCAGAAACTCTACAAGCCAGAAGAGACTGGGGGACAATATCCAACATTCTTAAAGAAAAGAATTTTCAACCCAGAATTTCATATCCAGCTAAACTAAGCTTCATAAGTGAAGGAGAAATAAAATACTTTACAGATAAGCAAATGCTGAGAGATTTTGTCACCACCAGGCCTGCATTACAAGAGCTCCTCAAGGAAACACTAAACATGGAAAGGAAAAACCAGTACCAGCCACTGCAAAAACATGCCAAATTGTAAAGACCATTGATGCAAGAAACTGCATCAACTAATGAGCAAAATAACCAGCTAACATCATAATGACAGGATGAAATTCACACATAACAATATGAACCTACACAGACTGTCAAATTGGATAGAGTCAAGACCCATCAGTGTGCTATATTCAGGAGACCCATCTCACGTGCAGAGAAACACATAGGCTTAAAATAAAGGGATGGAGTAAGATCTACCAAGCAAATGGAAAACAAAAAAAGGCAGGGGTTGCAATCCTAGTCTCTGATAAAATAGACTTTAAACCAACAAAGATCAAAAGAGACAAAGAAGGCCATTACATAATGGTAAAGGGATCAATTCAACAAGAAGAGCTAACTATCTTAAATATATATGCACCCAATACAGGAGCACCCAGATTCATAAAGCAAGTCCTTAGAGATCTACTAAGAGACTTAGACTCCCACACAATAATAATGGGAGACTTTAACACCCCACTGTCAACATTAGACAGATCAACAAGACAGAAAGTTAACAAAGATATCCAGGAATTGAACTCAGCTTTGCACCAAGCCGACCTAATAGACATCTACAGAACTCTCCATCCCAAATCAACAGAATATACATTCTTCTCAGCACCACATCACACCTATTCCAAAACTGACCACATACTTGGAAGTAAAGCACTCCTCAGCAAATGTAAAAGAACAGAAATTATAACAAACTGTCTCTCAGACCACAGTGCAATCAAACTAGAACTCAGGATTAAGAAACTCACTCAAAACTGCTCAACTACATGGAAACTGAAGAACCTGCTCCGGAATGACTACTGGGTACATAACGAAATGAAGGCAGAAATAAAGATGTTCTTTGAAACCAATGAGAACAAAGACACAACATACTAGAATCTCTGGGACACATTTAAAGCAGTGTGTAGAGGGAAATTTATAGCACTAAATGCCCACAAGAGAAAGCAGGAAAGATCTAAAATTGACACCCTGACATCACAATTAAAAGAGCTAAAGAAGCAAGAGCAAACACATTCAAAAGCTAGCAGAAGGCAAGAAATAGCTAAGATCAGAGAAGAACTGAAGGAGATAGAGACACAAAAAACCTTTCAAAAAATCAATGAATCCAGGAGCTGGTTTTTTGAAAAGATCAGCAAAATTGATAGACCTCTAGCAAGACTAATAAAGAAGAAAAGAGAGAAGTATTAAACAGACGCAATAAAAAATGATAAAGGGGATATCACCACTGATCCCACAGAAATACAAACTGCCATCAGAGAATACTATAAACACCTCTATAAAAATAAACTAGAAAACATAGAAGAAATGGATAAATTCCTGGACACATACACCCTCCCAAGACTAAACCAGGAAGAAATTGAATCCCTGAATAGACCAATAGCAGACTCTGAAGTTGAGGCAATAATTAATAGCCTACCAACCAAAAAAAGTCCAGGACCAGATGGATTCACAGCCAAATTCTACCAGAGGTACAAGGAGAAGCTGGTACCATTCCTTCTGAAACTATTCCAACCAATTCAAAAAGAGGGAATCCTCCCTAACTCATTTTATGGGCCAGCATCATCCTGATACCAAAGCCTGGCAGAGACACAACAAAAAAAGAGAATTTTAGACTAGTATACCTGATGGACATCCATGCAAAAATCCTCAATAAAATACTGGCAAACTGAATCCAGCAGCACATCAGAAAGCTTATCCACCATGATCAAGTGGGCTTCATCCCTGTGATGCAAGGCTGGTTCAACATACGAAAATCAATAAACGTAATCTAGCATACAAACAGAACCAAAGACAAAAACCACATGATTATCTCAATACATGCAGAAAAGGCCTTTGACAAAATTCAACAACCCTTCATGCTAAAAACTCTCAATAAATTAGATATTGATGGGATGTATCTCAAAATAATAAGAGCTATTTATGACAAACCCACAGCCAGTATCATACTGAATGGGCAAATACTGGAAGCATTCCCTTTGAAAACTGGTACAAGACAGGGATGCCCTCACTCACCACTCCTATTCAACATAGTGTTGGAAGTTCTGGCCAGGACATCAGGCAGGAGAAAGAAATAAAGGGTATTCAATTAGGAAAAGAGGAAGTCAAATTGTCCCTGTCTGCAGACAAAATGATTGTATATTTAGAAAACCCCATCATCTCAGCCCCAAATCTCCTTAAGCTGATAAGCAACTTCAGCAAAGTCTCAGGATACAAAATCAACGTGCAAAAATCACAAGCTTTCTTATACACCAATAACAGACAAACAGAGAGCCAAATCATGAGTGAACTCCCATTCACAATTGCTTCAAAGAGAATAAAATATCTAGGAATCCAACTTACAAGGGATGTGAAGGACCTCTTCAAGGAGAACTACAAACCACTGCTCAATGAGGATACAAACAAATGGAAGAACATTCCATGCTCATGGGTAGGAAGAATCAATATCATGAAAATGGCCATACTGCCCAAGGTAATTTATAGATTCAATGCCATCCCCATCAAGCTACCAACGACTTTCTTCACAGAATTGGAAAGAACTACTTTAAAGTTCATATGGAACCAAAAAAGAGCCCACATTGCCAAGTCAATCCTAAGTCAAAAGAACAAAGCTGGAGGCATCACACTACCTGACTTCAAACTATACTACAAGGCTACAGTAACCAAAACAGCATGGTACTGGTACCAAAACAGAGATATAGACCAATGGAATAGAACAGAGCCCTCAGAAATAATACCACATATCTACAACCATCTTATCTTTGACAAACCCAACAAAAACAAGAAATGGGGAAAGGATTCCCTATTTAATAAATGATGCTGGGAAAACTGACTAGCCATATGTAGAAAGCTGAAACTGGATCCCTTCCTTACACCTTATACAAGTATTAATTCAAGATGGATTAAAGACTTAAATGTTAGACCTAAAACCATAAAAACCCTAGAAGAAAACCTAGGCAGTACCATTCAGGACATAGGCATGGGCAAGGACTTCATGTCTAAAACACCAAAAGCAATGGCAACAAAAGCCAAAACTGACAAATGGGATCTAATTAAACTAAAGAGCTTCTGCACAGCAAAAGAAACTGCCATCAGAGTGAACAGGCAACCTACAGAATGGGAGAAAAGTTTTGCAGTCTACTCATCTGACAAAGGGCTAATATCCAGAATCTACAATGAACTCCAACAAATTTACAAGAAAAAAACAACCCCATCAACAAGTGGGCAAAGGATATGAACAGACACTTCTCAAACGAAGACGTTTATGCAACCAACAGACACATGAAAGAATGCTCATCATCACTGGCCATCAGAGAAATGCAAATCAAAACCACAATGAGATACCATCTCACACCAGTTAGAATGGCGATCATTAAAAAGTCAGGAAACAACAGGTGCTGGAGAGGATGTGGAGAAATACGAACACTTTTACACTGTTGGTGGGACTGTAAACTAGTTCAACCATTGTGGAAGACAGTGTGGTGATTCCTCAAGGATCTAGAACTAGAAATACCATTTGACCCAGCCATCCCATTACTGGGTATATACCCAAAGGATTATAAATCATGCTGCTATAAAGGCACATGCACACGTATGTTTATTGCAGCACTATTCACAACAGCAAAGACTTGGAACCAACCCAAATGTCCATCAACAGTAGACTGGATTAAGAAAATGTGGTACATATACACCATGGAATACTATGCAGCCATAAAAAGGATGAGTTCATGTCCTTTGTAGGGACATGGATAAAGCTGGAAACCGTCATTCTCAGCAAACTATCGCAAGAACAAAAACCAAACACCGCATGTTCTCACTCATAGGTGGGAATTGAACAATGAGAATACTTGGACACAGGAAGGGGAACATCACACACCAGGGCCTGTCGTGGGGTGGGGAAAGGGGGGAGGGAAAACATTAGGAGATATACCTAATGTAAATGACGAGTTAATGGGTGCAGCACACCAACATGGCACATCTATACATATGTAACAAACCTGCACGTTGTGCACATGTACCCTAGAACTTCAAGTATAATAATAATAACAAAAAAATTTAACTACTAATAGCCCACTGTTGACCAGAAGCCTTACTCATAAAAAGAGTTGCTTAATGCATGTTTTATATATGTATTTATATACTGTATTCTTATAATAAGTAAACAAGAGAAAAGAAAGTTATCTTTAAAAAATCATAAGGAAGAGAGAATATATTTTCTATTCATTAAGTAAAAGTGGATCTTCAGAAAGACCCTCATCTTTGTTGTCTTCATGTTCAGTAGGCTAAGGAGGAGGAAAGGTTGTTCTTGATGTCTTGGGGTGGCAAGAGGCAGAAGAGGTGGAGGAGGTGGAAGGGGAGACAGAAGAGGCATTCATGCTTGGTGTAAATTTTATTGAAAAAAACTCACGTATAAGTGGACTTGTGCAACTCAAACATGTGTTCTTCAAGAGTCAACAGCACATTACAGAGTTATAGTAATCAAAACAGTATGATGCTGGCATAAAAACAGACATATAGACCAATGGAACAGAGCAGAGAGCCCAGAAATAAACTCACCTATATCCAGTCAGCTAGTCTTCAACAAGGATGCCAAAAATATACAATGGAAAAAGGATAGTCTCTTCAATAAACGATATTGGGAAAATTGGCTATTCATATACAAAAGAATTAAATTAGAATCTTATCTTAAGCCATACACAGAAAACAACTCAAAATGCACTAAAGGCTTAAATGTAGGACATGAAACTGTAAATGCAAGACAAAAATATAGCAATTAAGCTTCCTGCACAGCAAATAATACAGTCAACAAGATAAAAGATCAATGGATTGGGAAAAATATTTGGAAACTATATATCTGATAAGGAGTTATAGCCAAAATATATAAGGAACTCATACAACTTAATAGCAAAAAATAAACAATAACTTGATTTAAAAATCGGCAAAAGGCCTGAACAGACATTTTCCAAAGAAGACATATAAAATGGCCAACAGTTGGTTTCCATAGTGTAGTTGTTACCACGTTCGCCTGACCAAATGGCCATGAGGTGTATGAAAGGGTGCTGGACATCGCTAATCATACAAGAAATACAAATCAAAACTACAAAGATATATTTTCTTACACCTGTTAGTTTGGTCTTTGTCAAAAAGAGAAGAGATAATGTGTTGGTGAGGGGTGGATATAAGAGAACTTTTGCACACTATTGATGCAAATGTAAATTGGTATAGCCATTATGAAAAATGGCATTTTGAAGTTCCTCAAAAATTAGAACTAGAACTACTATACGATCTAGCAGTCTCACTTATGTATATGTTCAAAGAAAATAAAATCCATATGTTAAAGAGGTATGTGCATTCCTATGTTCATTGCTGCATTATTCATAGTCGCCAAGATACGGAAACAACCAAAATGTCTATTGACAGATGAATGGATAAAGAATATGTCATGTATATCTATACAATAGAGTACAATTTAGCCTTTAAAAATAAGAAAATCCTGCCATTTGCTACAAGGCAGATGAACTCGGAGGAGGTTATGCTAAGGGAAATAAGCCAGACATGGAGAGACAAATATTGTATGGTATAAATTAAGTGGGATCTAAAAATAGTTGAACTTAGAGAAACAGAATAGAATAGTGGTAGCCGGAGGCTGGGGGTGGTGGAAATGGGGAGGTGTTGGTCAAAGTGTAAAAGCTTTCAGTTGCAAGATGAATAAGTTCTAGAGATCTAATTTACATCATAGTAACTACAGTTTAATAATAATACATTGTATACTTGAAATTTAGTAGAAGAGTAGATCTTAAAAATAAATAAATAAATAAATTCATACTACATATCAAAGGAGGAGAAAATAGCTCTGAAAAACCATCAATAGGTAATGCACAGATTATTATCTTCTAATAAATTTCAGTGAGAAAGGAAAGAAAGGACACTCATGGATTTCAATGCCATAACATTTTGAATATATTTTATTTTGTGCTTTGGGAATCATGTGTTAAAGGGATTTTATTTTCTCTAAGGCCTCATAACACAGTCAAGACTTTTCCAATTACTTTCATTTCATCTGGATCACTTACACTCAGGAAGGATTTAATGTTTCAATAATAATAATTGGAAACAAAACATGTCACCTAAAATTTGATCTTCTTTTTTGGTTCTGTGTTGACTTTATATACTATTCTCTACTCCTTCTCTGATTATCTATTACTGCATAACAAACTGCATTCAAAATTTGAGAATTTAAAATAGTCTTGTTTACAATCTTGTGTGCCAGAATTTGGGAAGGACTCAGCTGGGCAGCTCATTTCTGCTTCTCATGGAATGAGCTGGTGTAGCTCTACAGGTCTGGAGAATTCACTTCCAAGGTGGCTCACTTCCACGGTGCAGGCTGCTGGGTAAGAGCCCTGCTGGGGCTATCGTCTGGGGCGTTGGTTCCTTTTCACGTTGGCCTCTCCTATGGCAGCCAGGTGTCTAGAGCAAGTGTTCCAAGCAGACAGGCCAGAAACCGTGTGTCCTTTTTGACCTATGATCTATAATATCAGAAGTCTCAAAATATCACTTGTACTGCATTCTGTTGTTCAAGCAAGGCTTACAAAACTCAGCCAACACTCAGGGAGAGGGGAACTAAACTGTACTTCTCAATGGCAGATGCAGCAAAGACTTTGCAGGCATCTTTAATCTATCACAACCGCAGAACATAAAAGAAAAAATTTTAGATGAGGACTTGAAGGAAATTGTCTTGCTGAGTGGAGGATAAATATTCCTTGAATATATCTTTAACACTCGCCCCTTTTCAACATTTCTACTGCTTTCCATATATGTCCTAATTGTAACTACATGTTTTCACTATTTTAGTTTTCTTGCCTCTATTGTCTTTCCCACCAATACACCGCAGATATTAACCTTTCCAAAACACTGCATTCCTCAGGTCTTTTAGAATCTTCAGGGTTTACAGGATAGAAACCAATTTTACTAGCTAAGTCTGG
Organism: Homo sapiens; assembly: GCF_000001405.40. Classification (NCBI taxonomy): domain Eukaryota; kingdom Metazoa; phylum Chordata; class Mammalia; order Primates; family Hominidae; genus Homo; species Homo sapiens. The sequence goes on along the minus strand of NC_000004.12, from coordinate 173,960,014 downwards.
AATATAAAAATTATTCTATTATGAAAGTATTTAAAGTCCTCCAAATCTGATACTAGATTTTTCTTTCCATGCTTATTTCCCACTAATTCCTTCTTATTCAAGCAAATTAGCTCTTCATTTTAACTTTTTAAGCAACTTCTTTTCAGTCTGGTCTTGGCATCTTTTCTCATTCCACAAACTAAAATGTCCATACTTTTCCAGATTAAAGCCTGCATTGTCCATGACAACCTAAACACTGGAGGCTACATTATAGTTTTCTCTTCCAAAGTTTCGATATACCAATCTCTCAACAACTGCACTCAACCTTGTACTATTATAAATAAACATTATTCACAAGAGCATAACTTCTATTTTACTAAATTATAAGGTCCTTGATAACATGAGCCACTTATACTTATTTTTGTATTCTACATTTAGAATAGTTATTGCTACATGGTAGAAACTTACTAAATATTTGCTGAATTGAATGTATACTTCCTTTTTGTTATTTTTTCTATATTCATGAAAATATGCCTAACATATTTTAATATGGAAATGATATTCATAAAAACATTTATAGTGTTTCTAATTTCTAAATTAAAAATTCCAAATTATAACTCTTAAAATCAGTCTGTGTTTTTGTTGGAAATTAATGTTATTGATACAATAACAAAACAGGCATAGATGCCATCTGAACAGATCCTTTATGGTAAAATATTTTTATGACTATATAGACATGTTTTCAAAGTTTCTCTCCTACTTTAAATGCATCAAAGGCAATATGGATTCATAGTTTCCATTTTCCTTTTGTTAATTTATTAAATTAACAAATTGACTTTCACAATCTACCGTTACACAGGAGCCCATTGGTCTCATTAATTTGGTAGTGTTATAGAAATATTTCCAGAATTCAGTGATTAAGTTGGAAAAACTACAAAGTGTAAAAAAGAAAAGGAGGCAATTTTAAGATAAACTGAAAAGTTAGACAGGAATCTGTTCGTTGTAAAATGTCTTTAAAAATAATATTTTAAAATCTGTTTCTTTACTGATTGTTCTTTCTCAGTTGCTTTGTTTTTCAGTTACAATATAAACTTATTTAATTTTACAAACCTTTTGCCAGATAATCCTATATCAACATATCTTATATAAGCCATGAAACCATTTCATAAATACTATTGTAAAGTTATGTTTATGTCCAAATATCTTAGAATAGATTTTTTTTCCTCCTTGGAATTAGCAATGTGCCTTGTTAGCAAAACCTCAAAGTAGGAGCATGATTTTGCATTTGGCACATCATAAATAACTGTGCCGACTGTCAGGTTTCCCACTGATTGAGTTTATGCTAACTTAGTAATCTATTTTAGTTAAGTAAACCACAACTCTGAATCATCATTCCTCTGAGAAACAGAAAGTGTAATGAGGAAATAAATGATGTGCCACAATTTTTATAAAATGATGTAATTCATTTTTTAACATATCAGGATTGTAGCTTTGCTTCCTATGCTGTGAGTACACAAATTGTAATTGAGATGAGATTTTATTTTTGCTGAGATAGGTAGTTTAAAATTGTACTCAATGTGAAATCTGAAGAGTAAGAAGCAGAAATAGGTATCAAGACATAATCATGGTGGTTACGTCTATAAACATCAGCATCATTTGAGATAATGTTTTACGTATGTTTAATTCTAGGTTTACATATATGTGTGAAAAAGCTAGTAAAGCTAATAATTCTCTTTGATAAGCTCCATAAACCCTAAAATGAAATATTCATTCATTAAAGATACCTCCCTGATTATGTGGCTTCATTAACTAATGTTATCAGATGCTACTTTGCATTCATGTTATTGTGCTTGAAAATGTTTTATTTCTAGTATTTTTATCAAAACTATACAAAAAGACGGTAATGCTGTCAAAAATTATTCACTCAGAGTATATTTCTCTAACTAATAATGCTTTTGCTTGTATTATGCTGGTCTTTTTTGAAGAAAAGTTAAATATTTTTGTGCATTTTGTAGAAAGATAAGTATTATTTAGAAATGCAGCTATCTAAATTTCATTTAAAAAAAGCAAAACTACGTTTCTCAGACAGATATATATACATACGTATAAATGTATATACATATATGTATGTATATATATGTATGTGTGTGTATATATATGTATGTATGTGTGTGTGTTTCTCTGTAATGGGGTTTCTGTAAAAGCAACCAAATTGCGAGAAGCGTAGTTTTGCTTTTTTGAAATGAAATTTAAATAGTTGCATTTCTAAATAATATTCGTCTTTGTATAAAATGTACAAAAATGTTTAACTTCTTCAAAAAAGAGCATGCATAATATAAGCAAAAGCATTATTAGAGAAATATACTCTGAGCAAATAACTTTTGACAGCATTACCATCTTTTTGACAGTTTTGATAAAAAATACTAGAAATAAAAATTTCAAACACAGTAACATGAATGCAAAGTAGCATCTGATAACATTAATTAACGAAGCCACATAATCAGAAAGGTATCTTTAATGAATGAATATTTCATTTTAGGATTTATGGAGCTTATCGAAGATAATTAGTAGCTTTATTAGCTTTTTTGCATATGTATATAAACCTAAAATTAAACATATATAAAACATCTCAAATGATGCTGATGTTTATAGACGTAACCGCCATGATTATGTCTTGATACCTATTTCCTATTATCACTCTTCAGATTTCCCCTTGATTAAAATTTCACCTAGACTACAAATTATATATATATATATAGAGAGAGAGAGAGAGAGAGAGGTATACATATGTGTGTTTCTGTATATGTATGTGTGTTTGTGTGTGTGTGTATGCGTATAGAGAGAGAGTCTTGCCCTCTTGCCCAGGCTGGAGTGCAGTAGCACAGTCACGGCTCACAGCTTAAAAGATTAACAACTCCAGCGGGGCGCCGTGGCTCACTCCTGTAATCTCAGCACTTTGGGAGGCCAAGGCGGGCGGATCACGAGTTCAAGAGATCGAGACCATCCTGGCCAACATGGTGAAACCCCGTCTCTACTAAAAATACAAAAATTAGCTGGGCGTGGTGGCACATGCCTGTAGTCCCAGCTACTCGGGAGGCTGAGGCAGGAGAATCGCTTGAACCCGGGAAGCAGAGGTTGCAGTGAGCCAAGATTGTGCCACTGCACTCCAGCCTGGCAACAGAGTGAGACTCCATCCCCTGCTCCGCCAAAAACAAAACAAAAAAAACATTAACAACTCCTTGTATAACATGCATAACCAATAGCAGAGAAAGGCTCTGAAGGGGACGGTAGGAATAGGATTCAAATTCTTTTGGACAGTATGTGTGATAATTTAAACTTAAGATATAACATCCTATTTCTGGAGAGAGAACATTATTATTTGTTAAAAGTTATGAATCTGAAAATAAGAAAAATTATTCAGTCATGGCTAGGAAGGATTCACATATGAATGCCTTCTAACCTCTGACCCAAATTTGTCATGTCTGATAATAAAAACATAATTCCAACAATGCGGAATATTGATCGGACTGCAAGGCCCCCAACATGCAGACCTAGCACGTCCCACAGCTATATTCTTACCACCAGCAGGAGCCAGTTGTAGCATGAATTCAACAGGGCAATCGTAAAAAGTATCTACCTAAAACATTGATTACTACATGCCACAACACATGTGTGTAATTTTTCCATCCCTTTTATTTTTCTCCTCAATGAATTGAAAGTAGAGCTAATGACAGGGTCGATGAAGTGAAAAAGGAAGTCAGAGACAGAAAGAGCGAACCACTGGAAGGCTACAGGAATTTACCATTTTTATGAATTTCTTTTCGCCCCAACATTGACCCAGAGGTGATTCATGGAGGATTTGAATCATAGTTATTGAACACATGGTAGGCAGATTATTTGACTGGTAGGTGATAGAGTCAGACTCAATAAACTTGAAAATGAAAAAGAGCTGTTCTATTCAACTTATGTGTAGAGAAACAACATACCTGATTACTGTACAAGAATAATGCAATACATTATCATGGCTCTCCTCTTACATGAAGCCCGCAGTGGAGAGCTGGGCATGCTCCTGATCTCATCGAATACCTGTGATACAGATTCCACATATAAAACTAGCCAAAATGCAATAAAGAATTATGTAAAAACAAAGTTCACACATCTGTGTGTTGTCTTCACTAATATCCCAAATCCCAGACTTCTGCTTGGGCACGTAGTATAGGCACGCAATAAATGTTGAATGATGGAAAGAAAGAATATCCTTGTAAATAATCATCAAAATTAAGTTGGATAAAACAGATGAAAAATTTTTAAAGCCACTTTAAAACCAGACAAGTGGGGGACTTGGGCAGTCTTTGTAACTGCCACAAAAAACTGAATTAGAAACTCTGTAAACTGGTTCTGACGTTCATTGCAGTGCAGAGCCTCATTCTGCGACACTTGGGAGTTTAAATTGACCTCATGATTCAGATCATTGGAAGGATGTATCATTTTTAAGACGCTCAGTTCATATGTTATTTATTTATTTATTTTAACTTTTACTTTAGGTTCAGGGGTACATGTGCACGTTTGTTATATAGGAGAACTGTGTCTCATGGGGGTTCAGTGTACAGATTATTTTGTCACTCTGATAGTAAGCAGAGTACCCAATAGGTATTTTTTTCTGATCCTCTCCCTCCTACCACCCTCCACCCTCGAGTAGACTGTAGTTTATTTTTAAAAAGATGAAAAAGGATGAGCTGCATTGGAGGTCTAGAATAATTAGACTTTTGAAAGCAAAGGAGATGCCTCTCTTTGCCACCTATTTAAATGGAAGTTAGAAAGAAATACCTTGAGATTTGCTTGTGAAAATGTTCAAAGCCTTACGCTGTGAATTGATGGGGTGTGGTATTCAGAAGAAAAGACATGTGTGGATAAATTATGAGGCTTTCCCAGCCCAAGTACCACTGATTAAGAGTTTATGATCTGCCCACCAAGCGGCCAGATATAGTCTCTACGACCTTCACCACACACTTGGTTATTGGCATTTTGACACCTTTTTTGCACAGCTGGGGTCGTTCCTGACACTGTCAATGTAATATCCCTGTTTCAGATCACAAACATTACTCGTTAACCTTAGGGCAGAAATCTAACGTAATCAAATATCCTTTTGCCACCTAATTCAAATCAATAGGGGCCTGGAGAGATAGGAAAAGATAATGTAAACAATATACAGGGAAATGATCAAGAATTGATCATAGGGCTTTTCTGTTTTCAGAGTCCACAATCTGTCAGTTTCTAGGTATTAATTATTTTGTGAACAATGTGTTAAAAAGTGCAAAATATAGGTGCTGTGATTTAGGGGAATTATAGTCTTTAGCAAAATGGTTTTCCTTGTTTTCTTGTTTGATGGAAAAAATATTCATGATCTCAAGTATGGCAGAGAAAAGTTTTCAAGAATTACACATTCTTTTTTATTTATTCTCTCTGACTTCCTATAAGTTACCTCTTACAGTCACTTTGAAACATAATGTTCTTTATTTTGATCACATCATTCTTCTCTCTAAAACCTATATCTTTGTCTTTGTATATTTCAGCTGGCTAGATTTTGCAATAATTGCCTTAAAAGTTTGGGAGAGATCACTTCTCGGCCTTTTGTCTAAGATCAAGTGTAAAAGTTTAGGAGAGAGAAGGCTGTTCCTAACCTGTCTAATTTCTTGATAACCAGGGCCAGGACCAGGATGTCTCACTCCACCTTATTCCCCGCCTTGCTCATAACCAGATGCTAATTATGTCCCCAGGCAGTAAAAACCGCACAGATTTTAAAAAACAAAGTGTGATGAGAATTACTGATAGTAGATTTTTAAATTTGAAAACACAATTTTATCATTATGTTGTCCCAAATGATGCCTCCTCCCTTTTAATAAGGTGAAAAAAGTCTAATTTAACATTTTAGTAAGCTTGTTACCCAAAACTTTAATGGAACTTAGCCTAGATGAGAGCTCACACTGGATTCTTAACATAGTTCTTACTCTTTGAATCATGTTTAAAGAACAATTTCTGGACGAGCGTGGTGGCTGATGCCTGTAATCCCAGCACTTTGGGAGGCCGAAGCGGGTGGTTTACCTGAGGTCGCGAGTTTGAGGCCAGCTTCACCAACAGGGAGAAACCCCGTCTCTACTACAAAATCCAAAATTAGCCGGGCGTGGTGGCACATGCCTGTAATCCTAGCTACTTGGGAGGCTGAGGCAGGAGAATTGCTTGAACCTGGGAGACGGAGGTTGCCGGGAGCCGAGATCGCGCCATTGCACTCCAGTCTGGACAACAAGGGTGAAACTCCATCTCAAACAAAAACAAACAAACAAACAAAAACTTCCATAATGCAAATGCTGCTCTTACAGGTAGACTGAAATTACTTTTATATGCAGAGACGACAAAGAAAAAACATTATGTTATGGTCCCAATGCAAGCATCATTTTCTTATCTCGAAATTTTAATTATTAAAGAGATATCTTGCTTTGGGGGCTACTCAGAAATAACGTTTATTATGTTCATTATATGTTATCATAATATTATTGTTTAAATGTTATTAAGTCACTCTGAAGGATGATTCAATCACCTTTCTAATGAGATATAAGACACAGCAGCTAGTCTCTTTTGTGAGCAAGGAGCAAAAGAGAAAGGAGATGGGAGAGGCCAAGAAAATCTAGGGCAGCACATAAAAAAGCCTCATCCATTCCTCATTCTCCATCTAGCTCCCTGCTAGGCGTTTCACTCCTGACTCCTTCTGTGGAATCACCTCACCTTTACCTGAGGCAGGTCCAATGACAGGTCCATTCGTTGGCAACTCATCCACCTTCCCAGCCCCACCCAGGGACCTGTGGGAACTTCTTGGTGTCATCCAGATTATTTATTAGGTGCAATCTAAAGCAGCCCAAGAAAGCGTTGCATCAAGGTTTTCTTCTGCCTGATTGCATGGAGCCACCAAATTTGAGGTGGTCATGTTTCAGAGTGGCACAGGGCAGTCTAAAAGGCAATCTTTCTCCAAGAGTTTGAATGGGAAACAGGAAAAAGTACCTTTTCTCTGTGTCTTAATACCCGTAAGTGCTCTTGAGAGACCAGTTGGGAGACAAAATAAGTTAACTACATTTTTTCTTTATATCTAAGTTGTAGTGTCAATAAATTTGTGTAATCGTAGTGTGAGTAAATTTACTGCAATAGTAATATAATTGGTCTTTGGGTCTGAGTGCAGAAACACATTGGAGTTTTCCCGTAAAGGCCATCCTCATTCCCAGATAGATTCCATGTGGCTCACACATCCTCCTTGGTGGCAGTTTACCTCTTTATGCTGCTGCCCATGGCACTTATCTTCACTCAACCACTTGTCAGCCCTGATGGGGAGCTAATGTTACTCATCATCCCGTCTAGATCCCCTTGGTGAGTGACACTATCTTCATCTCAATCCCAGGTATAGGGACTGTGATTAGGAATGTCATGCCCAACCCTCAGGGCCAGTCCTATCGCAAAGATGTGTAGCTAGGGTGGATCTCCAGGCTCTCCTCTGCCCTTACAACTTGTTGTCAAAGTCCCAAAGTGCTTTCCAGTTGACTTTTTCCCCCCAGATTTTCAAGTCTGTTGGAAAAAGCTATCTCTTTCTTTCGGTTTTCTAATGCCCCTCACTCAAGGAACTTGTCACAACCTTTCCCAAGGCTGAGTCAGAGGACATTTGAGTGGTACCAAAAAAGCACTCACCTAACAGGGTAGTGCACTCTGCCTTCAACTCAATCAGCAGCCTAGGATAAAACTCAGACATCTCATTATTTCTTATTTCTAAATGAGCTTCCTGTCTATCTGAGATACTCCTGGAAAGCTCCTTCTGTCATCTTTTCAATCTTAATTCCTGCATTCCAGGGCCTGATCATTCCTTCCAAAACCCTCTTTGATCCTGTTCCTAGTGGGATCATTTAGCCCTCATGCAAGTTAGACTCCTGTTTCTGCCCACATGTTTTGAGCACGTGCTCTGTGCTAAGCATCATACTAGACATTTAGGATTTCATCTCTAACCTGAAGGACTTCATAGGTCCTAATGGGGGGCAAACACAGAACACTAAAACTCCCAAAGTAATTTATATTCCCACAAAGTTAATGTAAGAAACATACATGAATTCTTAATCCAGTGACCATAGAACATCCTTATGTTAATCTTGTTAAATCTGACAATATTTTCCCTTATAGAAATTGGAATTATTAACCCAAACGTCTCACTGGTTCTACTCAAACTGTCAACAATTTATCCAGCTTTTAAAAATTCTGAGCTAAAGTTTAAGTTAGTCATCTCGAAGCACACCTGCGATGTCTATATTCAGCCCATGTTCAGAACCACTGTGATGCGAAGGAATGATGAAATATGCATGGCATCTCTTGCCTCCTGGATTATCAACTAATGGTAGCATAGTCGACATAACAAAATTAATTTTACTTAAGGAATCAGAGGCAGCCAAAACTGAGATCTGAGAGGAGGTGAAAAATGAATGCTTTATCGGCTAAAGTACTCAGCAACAAACTCCCTTGCTTCTTAAGTACAGTGTCATCAAAGTAATGAATTGCTATTTTTTGGTGTTACATTGCATGCCTATCCATCCTGCCATAATTAAAAATTTCTGAGCAACCAAAGAGTTGTTTAATGGTCATCCCAATGCTTGTAAAATGAAACATACCCAATAAAGTGGATTTTTGAAAATCTCTCAAAAGACTAAATGTGACATGGATATCACATATAGGGGCTTAAAAGATAAAATCGTAGAGAATAATCTTTAATGATTAATGCACTTGAGTTTTCTTATGTTGTTTTTGATATTTAGATAATTTGATCTTTGTTAAATTTGATTATATTTTAAAATCGGGAGCTAAGATATTCACACTTATATCCTTAACCCTTAAAAAATGATTCATTTTGATATGTGATAGCATGAGCTGATTACTGGCTGTTGTGTACAATTATTATAAACTATAATTTTAAGACCCTATGCTTGGGAACTTTTAAATATTTGAGGTCTGAAATGCCCATGTAGAGCAAGAAATTAGCTTAACCAGCCTGTCATTGTAGCTAGAGAGCCAGCACATGACCAAGGCTCAGTCATTCAGATATATCCATGGAAGACTTAGATTTAAAAGAGAGTGAGATGACATAGTAGATATAGAAGCATCAAGTCAAAGACGAAACTTTGGGATATTATGCTTTATGATAGCCTTTGCTTTTGTGGACCTTTAGGGTGACTTCGAGGAAATACAGTGCATGGTAACTTTTTGGCTCCACTTCACTTCTTTAGGAAACTAGAATACCCAGCACATTTGTGTTTTTGATAGTTGTAAAAAATTCCTAAAGTAGGTTTCACAAATTAATATTTTATAATTTTATAAGAACTGAGAAAACATACTTTTTAAAAAACAAGTAGATGTTCCTTTGGGGTAATCTGTAAAGAATATGGGAAATGAGGCCGGGCGTGGTGGCTCACGCCTATATTCCCAGCACTTTGGGAGGCCGAGGCGGGCGGATCACGAGGTCAGGAGATCGAGACCATCCTGGATAACACGGTAAAACCCCGTCTCTACTAAAAATACAAAAAATTAGCTGGGCGTGGTGGCGGGTGCCTGTAGTCCCAGCTACTCTGGGGCTGAGGCAGGAGAATGGCGTGAACCTGGGAGGCGGAGCTTGCAGTGAGCCGAGATCGCGCCTGCGATGAACCTGGGCGATGGAGCGAGACTCCGTCTCAAAAACAAAAACAAAAACAAAAACAAAATAAGAATATGGGAAATGAGTGCAACTATGACTTAAATATACTTTTTAAACTTATTACCTTATAATAGCACATTCTAATTATTTCTTATCTGCTTACAGCCCTGGTTTTGCTGTAAGTTTAGGAATTGTTAGGTTTGTTCTTTGTTGTGTTTTAAACTAACAATTCCCCCAGAGAAAATATGAAGCGTTTATATTTTTAAAGTCAAGCTGTTCTCTTATAATGAAATGAGAAACACTTCATGTCAAGTTCCATTTTAATGCACACAATAACTACCATAAATATCAATTACCTTTAACTTTTAGGAATGTGTTTTCTGTGGAGCAATATAAGCTCTTCACCAGTCTCTGTTTTGCTGGATTGCTGCATGAACTAGTGCTTCCATTCTATGAATACAACACAGTGACTGCTGCTTGGCGGCCATTGAGGGTTCCCACCCCACCTACAAGCTTTTGCTCTAGGATCCCATGCACTCCCGTGGTCACTGCTTGAATCATCTTCAAATCGAGAGTCAATTGCATTTTTCTAAACTTATTTATGCCAGTTGTACTTGTTATTATACATATATAATTAGAAATTATATAAATCAATGAAATAGTGCAAAAAGATATTTTTTCTATGAAAAATAAAAGGAGTGCTTTGGAAAGAGTTAGTAAAGCAAGTCACTGAATTGACTGCTGTAGAATGTGATACAGGTGATATAACTTGAGAGGTTGGAAAAAACAAAATGTAGATAAATTTTTAAAATCATATTGTTTTGGAATTGTTTTTAAGTTTTGAATTCACTTAAAGAAGCACTTGGAATTGTAAATCGTGCTGTAAGTGTGTGATTTACACACACAAAAAAGGATGATTTAGACCCCCAATAAACATATTCATGAAAGGAAATCTTGGAATTGGATTAAATATTGGTAAAGGCATGAGCATTTATTATTTTCAAAATAACTAAAAATGCTTAATCTACATTTATATATTATTTTTTCTAGTAATTTCCTTTTTTAACTTACTCACTTATACAACCAAATACCAGTATCAATTTTATCAGATAAGATAGCTTCTCCTGTGTAATCAAATACATTGTAAAACTATTTCTTCAAATCAAACAATTATCACTGAACATTTCCCCTAGATCTCATACATCTAATGAGTCCTCAGGTTCTGTTTTCCCCCTTTATATGTGTACTATCACCTTGGGCCAGACTTCATCACCTCAAGCCTAAATTGTCCTAATTATCCTCCAAACTGTATAGTCAATTACAGTCCTTTTTGGTCCCATAAATATTTTTAAATACTGCCATCATTATGACTCTTTAGTGTTCATAAAATTCTGATATTATCTTCTTTGCTTATGTCATTAAGTCCAGACTCTCCAACTGGAATTTCAAGCCTAGTCAATCTGGTCATCCCTCTACTTGTCACTACTCTTCTATCAGAGCACATTGTTAGTGCTGGGGAGCTTCCCTGTCGTCACCTGAATGCACAGTACAGAGCTCCAACCCCAGGTTGGTGATAGCTTCTGCCTTCTTCTCATACATTGCTGCCCATCCTTGGGACCTGGTTTGATTGCCTTTCCTCCAAGAGGTTTTCCACAGATGCATACTGACCTAGTTTTCTTTACTCCTATTTGCCCCACTTATTTGGACAAACAACCACATTCTGGTTTACAGAGTGACATGATTATTGAGAGTATGAGTTGTGTGCCTTCTCTCTCCAACCAAATTATAAAATCTTTAAAAATGAGAATCCTATTTTTCATTATGCACAGTACATACTAAGCCCTTAATAAATCTAGATTTAAAAAATAATGATACTAAAAATAAGTAGCATGCTTAAAATATTCATAAAGTATTTCTATATTAGAAAAGCAGAATATTTAGTTGCTTCAATCTAGAAAAAAATCTCATCTCTTACACATATAATGAATGACCTTAGATAATTCCTTTGTTTCCTTATCCTTAACAACTTGTAACTCACTTACAGGCTTGTTGTAGGGATTAAGTAAAATAATCTAAATAAAGAATAATACCTGATAAGTAGTAGATTATTTAAAAAATTATTTCCATTCTTATCATTTATTCCTATTTATATACTTTGTTAAGTTTTGTTTAAATATAACTGTTTAATTGTAATTTATTCAAAACTCTAAACCTTTTCCAAAAATAATTTATATCAAATATTTTTGGAGGCAGGGTATCTCAAAGAAAGAAATGGTTAATTGGGTAAATATAGGCATTATTATATTTATCTGAAAACTTCAAGCAGTTCACACTCTTTTAAAAAAATGGGAAGCAGGTGATGAGTTGCTAAAGTGACTAGAGACTTCTAGCTGCGGGAAAGCCAGTACCTCAGCTGCAGGCTCTCCATGGCTCCCTAGGAAGAGTGAAGGGGTATGAACTCTTATGAAACTGCTTCAATAGCAGGTTTTAGAAGAGCGAAGACACAGATATAGTTTTCTATCTAAGATGTAAAGCTGCAAGGATGTACTTATTCAACTGTCATGTAGACCTGAAGTAACCTAGGTCAAAGGGTATTTTTTACAAAAGAAAGTTTCACTCGAGTTGATGAAAGATCTCTTTTCAAGCCTGCTGGAAATCAAGGTTACAGTAGGCTGTAATGCTGAGTAATTCAGAATTAATAACCAAAAATGTTAATTTGGGAGTTAGTATTTCTTTAAATCTTGCTTACTTATGTTACTCAACTCATGCCTTTCTCTTCTTTTCACATCCCATAAGGCTGATTGTTCAGTCCCAGAATTCCAAATTCAGGCACTATTTATCTCTCTAAAGTGCATCATAATTGTATAAAAAGAACGTGCAAGAAAATAAACATTTTAGTATAGTTTTTATTAACTCAAAGCAACTCTAATTATAAAACAAAATGATATAGCTATGTAAGAGTTTTTGGTAGGAGGGAAATAGAGTACTAACAAGTATGATGAGTATGTATATCACTCAAGAGAATAGATATTAAACATGGACTCTATATCCTTTCAGGTTTAGTGCCCCACCCAGTCTCTAAGATTTCTGAGAGGGCAGATACTTGCCTATCATTGTACTTTTAGAATTAGAGCTTAAAATGAACCTTGAGGCAATTAGAGGCTGTTAATAGGGCTGCAGACTCTCATCTCCTGAAGAGTTTGAGCCTAAGATGCTCATGTCTTCTGAAAGACACTTGAGCACAGACCTGACCCTCTCTGTGGATAAACCAGCAAAGCCCAAAATTTATTAAACTATACATCTTTGTCATGTGTAGTATTAAGATGACCTGATCTGAATGTTTGTTATTTCACATGAAATACATTTCATTTACACATAGAAATTGCATTCAAGGCTGTGTTGGAACAGAAATCTTCCTTCTAGCTGTGCTGAGTTTCATTCCTTAATATTAATAGCAAATAAATACATGCACTTACTATGTGCCAAGCACTTTTCTGAATGGCTTATTCCTGATTTGTAAGTCGGGAATAATAATAGTATCTATCTCAATCTTGTGAGATAAATTCCCGATTTACAAATGAGGAGAGAGAGATACACAAGCTTAGTAATTTATCCAAGGTCACACAGCTACTGTGTAGTGGAGGTGGGATTTAAACTCAATCTTCTAGCTGCAAATTGATGTTGTTGGCCTTTAAACTAAGAGAAAAAGCTTCCTGTGCTATATAAAAGATTTAAAATAAAGTGTCCTTCTGGAGAGCACAGAATCATGCTCAAGTATAGCTGCAGAACTGCTGGTCATACGTAACTGCAAAGAATAAGTGAATTGTGTGTTTAAGCTTCAGGTATATAATGAGTGTCCATGAATATACATGTGTGTGAGCATGTATGAGTGAGCATCTATTTGAACATATGCATGAGGAGTGTGTGACTGTACTCATGCATGCATGTGTCAATGTCTGTGTATGTGAATGCATACATGCATGCTTGAGCTGTACATATGTGTGAGTAAATGGCAGAGCCAGGATTTGAGACCAGATCTGTCTGATCCAAAGCATGTATTCTTATGCTATATTTTCTAAAACAAAAAAAGATAATAGCAACTGATATTTCTGGCTGACTTTAAGATTTATAGATTTCTTTTGTGTACATTGCTTCAGTTGAAGAAAGAAAATATGCACCACAGAATCTTCCATCCACAGTTCCCATAGTTTTCCCAGAAAGTGGAAGTGAAGAGGGCTGGGAATTGGGATAAGTTTTATGTGTATACCTAGGCCAAGAGGGTGAGAAGGGATGGAAAGGAACACATTACAGAGTTAATACTTTTAAGTATACCTCATCTTTTCATCAAAAAGTTTCAAAGCACATTATGGGTATTTCTATCCAATATTCTCATGCATCAGTGAAGTACGCAGCATTTCACTTATATTTTAAGGGAAATACATTGACATCAAGAGGGCATATACGATTCTCCAGAACAAAGCAGCGGGTGCAGGGTGCATCATGAAAATTCAGCCTTGAGGAAAATGGCTACTTCACTTGCCAGGAGACCCCAAGGCATCCTCTAAACAAGTCAGTAATTTGACCACTTTTGTCTAGAAATATCGTTGCACATCTGCACGCTTGACTTTTGATGCTAGCTGAGTTTCCTGTTGGTAGCTCATCTTCACCTATTACCAAGCTCCATAAATAGCTTCAAAAGATTCTCTTGGAAAGAATCAAAGGCAATTCCAGCTGAAGCTTTCCAAAGGAAACTTGAAGCAAACACTCTCGCCTCCTGGTAACTCTGACACATTAATTTCCCTCAGCCACCTCACTTAAAGTAGTAAGTCTGGCACCACTGTGGCGGGGAGTCCTAATCAGATACCAAACCAGCGCTGGCTGTGTCAGAAATGATGTCAGATGAACGGCAGTCCCCGGACCACTGCCTCATTTGGAGCAAACACTGAAACACTTGTGTTTTAGGCTACTTTATGACTTGCTTGAAAAATGACTTTGTTCACCATGGAAGGCCACTAATGTATGAGGTGTTACCCCAGGATTTTAGCACTTCTACTATGTGCACAGCATTCTTTTTATACGCAGAGCTACACAAACAGTGGAAGTATCATTGAACTACTTATATTATCAATGCCATATATCAGGGAGAAACTACATGGCAAAAGGTGGGTTAATACTTTCCTGTATATAAAATCCAGTAAGAAACCATTTTGCCAAAGGTAGAGGGAGAAAATGTATTCATTTTATACCATATGGTTTGGCTTATATAGGATTTACACATTTGGAGTTTCTTACTTATTTTTAATGGTGGTCTTTCACCTCAGGTACACGAATGTGGTTTTCACCTCTCTTCTTTGGGGACTGTGCCTGTCAGTGGCTTTATTGAACGGGGTCCTGGGAATTTGCTGGTCCGTCAGTTGGTGGATCCTCATTGCCTCCTATCTCCTGCCAATAAGCCTCTTTCCTCTGAGGAGCAGCCAGGAGCACTGCAATTTATCCTGTGACTAGGGCCGGGGGAGAGTGGCCTTTTTTCCTGACACTACTCTTGTTCTCACAATCAGTCACTGAGAACAGCAGTCCTCCTTTCCAAACTCTTTTTCTCCCCTGCACAGCTACTGGAAAATCAGGCTCAAGCCTGATCTCCTTCTGGAAATTATTTGGTAATAAGAAACAGGCCCAAGGCAGTGTTGTGAGGTGAGGCTGTGACCTTTCACCTTTAGAGACTTGGGTTCCAAGCCCATCCAGAGGTTGGTGGTCTCTGCCTAGTGCATAGCAGGTACCTTTTGATGCCACAGAACTGAATGACATTTGGGAGCAATATTACCTTGACCTCAAGAAGGCACAGGATTATGGGGAACGACTCATCATTTTCCTGCATCACCATGGTTTCAGATCTGTTGACTTTCTATTTTGACTTCAGTGACATCCACTTTTGTAGATAATAATTTGTAGAGGACCAGGTGCTGGTGGGGATAGCAGATCAACTTTTCTGTATGGGCCATGGTACTCTTGGATGCATGGTTTTCATTTAGAATATTTTTATATATTAAAATTAATTCATCCAGATTCTAATTCATACTTCATTGCAATTAGTCCAGATTCTAATTCATACTTTCTAATACGAATGTCATTCCTTTGATTCAGGCTTCCAAATCCTTATTTTGTCATTCTTTCAAATTAAAGCTCAGAAACTTGAACTGATACAAAATACAGTTGCTATAGTGATACTACGATATATATTTTTCCACTCTATTTACCTTCAAGGAAACATACAATATCAATTTTATTTATCACAGACCTAGATATATGTTGCTTGGTTTACTTTAGAAAGGAGTTCTTTCCATTATAGTAACTGAGAATGGCTTTATAGTATTACCACAGTTCCAAAATTAAACTCCAGACAATTGGAATACAAAGCCCCAGGTCTTTCTGACCCCTCAGGGTACCAGATCACAGAAGCTAATTATATGTCTAACTCACTTTGAGTGGCTCTGAGACTAGTGGGAGCCACATTGCTTGGGTTGAAATCACATCCCTGCCCCTAATTGTTTGTGTGATGCCAAGCCTGTTACTTCACCTCTAGGCATCGCAATTTTCTTATCTATAAAATGAGACTGATAACAGTATCCTTGTCACAGGGCTATTGTGGAGCAATCTATGCAAAGTGCTTAGGACTGTGTCTGTCACACAGAATAAGTGTTGTGTGTGATAAGGGTTTGTTACTATTTCATAAGAGAAAAGTAACAACAAACTTCCTCTAATTTGAAAAGTATTTTCAGAAGGCCACAAGACACTCTATTTGATAATGAAAAGTTCAGCACATAAAATGTAAAAAGGAAAGACTTATATGAATCTTTTTCAAAGGACAATGAGGTGGGAGCATGCACAGTTAGGCCAATTTCAGGACTACTGGCTTTCATGGACCTGACAGTACCCTAAAGCCAAAATTAAATGTAGAGAAGACAATAGACCACTGCCTCTTCTCCTTTCTAAATGAGGTCTCACCCTTTGATATCTTCTAATGCTGAGTGTGCTCATTTTTATTCTAAAATAATAGTTCACAAATTCCCAAGGGCTCAAATAGCACAAATTCTAGAAATGTACCTATTGAGGCTCAATTCATCAAAATAAGTAAGGCAGCAACAACAACAACAAAAAGACAGTTATGTGGAGATGTATGCACCTTGGACAGTGAATAGAACTTAGGAATTTCAGAAGATTCTAATTGTAGAGAAGTTTCCAGAGCTTTTGATTAGGGGATTGCACTGTTTTGAAAGACATCTAGAAAGAACAGAAATCTTTGCCTGCTAGGCCCAGGGATTTTCTGAAGACAACTGAGCTGAGAAATTCCTTCTTTGGTACAAAAGCCTTATCTCTCTGATCCTAACCATAGCATAGAACCACAAAGAAGTTCAGGCAGTAGGTGAAATGGAGTCTTTTCTCTGTGTCCCTCTGCTTTCTGCACCCTTGGGGCCTTTTCCAAGAGAATGAAGAACACACACGTAGCAACAAAGGAATGGGAGCTGTGCCCCATATGTTGCATTTCAGATTGTAGGCAATAAATCTGGATTTCAAATTGTTTTTATACAAATGGATTTGATTTATCCAAATTTTAGCTAAAAAGATACTTCAAACTTACACCTGGGAGCTGAGCACTGAATATGCCATTATAGAAACACTAGTGTAAGAAGAGCATATTCACAAATGATTTTTATAATTAAAAGTGAGAAAAAATAATTATATAATTAAAAACATCATTCCTTAAGCTATATTGCACTTACATTTTGAGATTGATGGATGAACACTGGTGTACATGGTTCCTGTTTCAGAAAACTGAAGTATTATTTTTTAAATAAAATTTGTAAAAACATAAGATGAAAACACTTGTGCATGCTATCCACACATTATGTAAAAATTTCAAGTTATTACAGAGGTAACAGATTGGCTTGCTAAACTTTGAAAGTTCTATTTGAAGGTTCTACAATGTCCAGCATTTTCAAACACTTTGGGAAATTTGAAAAAAAAAAAAAAAAGAGAGAATGATACTACGTGCCATGTTTATGCCCATGACTCAAGGGCAATATTTCTTAGAAAAATCAAATTTTGGTGGTCAGATTTCCCACTAATAAGAACCGGGGTTTCTTAGAGAAATGGCTGATAGTAGGTCAAGGAAATATATAAGATGAGGCTGGAAGAAACTAGAAATGTATTAAAAAGAAATTCAATCATGTCAAAGGGACATGGGAGACAACTTGAAGAGGATTCCACCAGCCTAAGATGGGAGAGTTTTAGTATAAAAACAAAACTGCAATCGATTAAAACACATCACATATATAAAACTCTATGCATTCATTAGGATAATTTTAAAACTCAAAACAAAAGACACTTTCAGCATCTTTGGGATTGGGGTTACTAGTACCATAACACATTATCTTGAGCATCAATAAATAAAGAAAAACAGTTGTGACTGTCTCAGATGATCTGTATTTCAGAGTAACTAAATAATTCATAAGGTACAATTCTTATTATAGAAAATTTCGGAAATGACAGAATTAGGGAATCATTATTTTGTGAACTCCAGTAAAATAATGGCTATGTGTAGCCATAGTCAATATATGCTAAAAAAATAATTAAGTGAAAGTGTGATGGGGATCATTATAATAGAGAATTGGGCTGACCTCATCTGACCCCACTGATCAATCTTAGCAATACTAAGAACACCAAGTACTCAACACCATGTTTGAATAAGTGAAGCTGAATGTAATCAAGCTTCTTGATCTAAGTACCAGTTTATAAGAAAAACCCCAAAACCAAAACCAATAGGAAGCAACTGGCCATACCCAGAACACAGGGAATTCTAATCTCTTTATCAAAACAATGATGCAAAGCCAGTAGGGTGAAAAAGGACTATTACAAAATAAAATAAACTTAATTGACTAACAACAAAGTGTATTGATCTTATATGAGTCCTTATTGGAACAAACTAGCTGTAGAAAGACACTTTTAAGACAATCAGGGTAGTTTGAATATAGATTGGAAATATGAATATAGATTATACTTAGCAACTGTTGGTTTTGTTGGCATGGGAGCATGGTGGTTAATAGAAAAAAGTTCGCAGCATTTAGAGTGTATGCTGAAAATATTTACAGGTGAAATGACACGTCTGGAATTTTTTTAATATTCCTGAAAAAATGTTGTTGGGAGGTGTCTAAGGATAAAATGGGATCACCACTGAAACTCAGTAAGGGGTAGAGAAGTACATTGTAGGATTGTCTGTATCATTGTTTACACTTGAATTTTTAAAAAATTGGTAGACAGGGTCACAGTGATGACCTCGAATGTCTTCATTCTGCGTCTCAGAATACATTTCACACATCTGGATACCCATAATATTAAAAAGCATACAAAATGGACCCATGAGTTTTCTAGAAAGATTTTCAGGTTATTTTTTTACAGCCACAGTGTAACACAATATTGGGTCATTATTAACTATTCTTGAGGTTTTATGCTTTTTTGGTACTAATTTATTAGGCAATTGTATGACTTAAGCTATACATATTTTAGGTATTTTATCACTAATATCTTTGGCAACAAATGAACACATATTCTGAACAGTTTCCTTTAAAAATAAAGTTGATGGAAAGAGCATTAAGCTCTTGGTGAGGCATTCTGGAGCAGCATATAAATCCATAATAACAAATTTCAAAATCTCTCTCCAAACTTTGGGGTCAGAAGCAGTGACATCCTTAGACAAAACTCAGGAGTGAGGCAGTAAGAACACAACCTCTCACTTCAGATTCACAGCTATGGGAGGAAGAATTGTTTGTTACATTTTCTACTAAAACGGCAGCTTCTAGAAGCACTGAGGTTCTCCTGGATGACAGCTGCACAAGCTTTTATCCAAGGAAGGGCTATCTCCAAGTACTAAACCCATTCTCGGAAAGACACAGTCTGTTAGTGAAACAGTCACAAGCTTGTCAACAGCAGTGACGTCTGGTGTCGGCACGTGGTACAATACTGATATCATTCATCATTTTGACACTTGTATTAGGATATATCTTTACTTGGCTGATTTATAACTCAAATCCTAAAAGTGAACAAATGTTTCACTGCAATTTCCTGGAGCTTAGTAGTATACACCTGAGACAAACTAAATATATCTCTATCTCACACAAACACAAAGAGAGAGGTAATATCATATAGTCCATTTAACATTATTTTCTATAAAGTCATAGACTCCATTTAGAATCTTGATTATTTGAATTCAGGAATTATACTATCATTATCCAGCTTTAGTTTATCCAAACAGCTAAAACACAAATCCTGCTTTGTTGTGAAGCACCAAAGCTATTCAAGAATAAGTGGAAACAAATGCATCTTTCACTTTATGCTGGGCTAGCTAACTCTCTTAAAAATATATAGGGTAATTTTTAACCTCCAGTTCACCCTGTGCCTTTGATAGCCTTTAATTTGGGCATACACTGTCAGACAGTGTGCGTTTTTTAAGAGTAGAGAAAGTCTCTGTGTCTGTGATGGGTCACTTTTTCTTTGTAATGTATGAGCTGAACCACCTGTTCAAAGTTCAAAGAGGGGTAACAAATAGAGGGAAGGACAGCTATCACCCCTATGAACCCCAAGAGAGTCAGGGGATGTCCACTGGGTACATGAACAGAGCTTGGATAATCTCTGGACTCCCATGGGGCTTTTGGCTGCTGGTGACAAACAGTTCCTGATTTCCTGCTCAGGCTGATCTCTGAGGTTCAATCCAGCTCCCATTTACCTGACACTCGCCCGACTCCCTTCCCAAGCCCAGGAGTCTGATAGTATGAAAAACCCTAACCCTCAAACCCTTGTTCTCTTTCATGCGGACCGAGGCTCAGTCTCCTGGTATTCTATATTGAAGTACTGAGTGACAGTCAAGCCAAGCCAAGTGGAGATGAGAACCTCACTATCTATGTACATTGAAGGCAAAGCTTGGGGGACAGTGAAACAATTGTTGTAATTATTACCTTAACATTTTATCCTACCATACATTTTATAAAAATAGAATACTTCCCACTCTAAAGTTTTTGTTGTCATAACTGCACCTTGTGAAGTAAATATCTGGTCCTCAGGTCCTCCAGCCATCCCAACTCAACCCCTGTCTTCAATCTTGGCAATCTATTGGGCTTGGCCATCCTGGATATATCCTAACCCATGAGGTTTTCAATAACCTTTCCCCCAGTTCTCTAAGAATGTACCAATCTTGCCTCCAGGAAAGTCTTATGAACAGCTGGTGAAATGCAGTACATTATTAATTTCATGAATGTGAATGTAGTAATGTAGAGCCACTAAACAAAATCAGTGACTTTGAATAAAGTTACTTTTACAGGTTTTTTTTTTTTTTAAGACACCTAACCTCAGAGGGCTATGGAGGTTAAATTTAATGCATGGAACATCATAAGTGTTGCTCAAATATAAAGTCAGCACCAAGTCTTTGCCTAATATGGGCAGAAGATACTCAGTAAATGTTTAAAAAAAAATGATACCATTTGGTTGAGCCTGTGTTTGGCCATGTTCCACACAAATGAACTATTGTCTTATTGTACATAAGGCCCATATATCTTGTTTCTCAGCACAATATTTTTAAGACATGGAAAACAATTTCAAAATAATTAAGGCCCTTTCTGATAAAGCCTCTTAACAGAGTACATGCAAAAATTATAAATCATACAGTGATTTAAGATATTGATTCATTATATGTACTGTTTGTATTGTTATTCATGTTATAACTAACATAAAGTTAGTCCATGCCAAATTACTTATGTGTTATTAAGTAGACGTGAATCCAGAAGACAACATTTATACCTAAGATAATGCCATGGGTAAGACATATCCTTGAATGAGGAAAAAGGAACTGTGTAACACGATTATCTAATTATACTAATACAAATGTAAGTAGATATAAAATAAATTTAAAATGAGGATGCTAATCTGAGATAACCTACTTACATAACTGCGAAAAAACACAAAAAAGTAAAAAGGAAGAAATACATTAGAAAAGGCACAGCAAGATTTAAAGAAAAGGGAAATCAAAAAACAACAACAAAAACAAAATGATGATCTTATTTCTTAAAACCATTGTTCAACCACCCATATATAAGCTCAAGAAACATATCTGATTGCTACATTTCAGTAAAGGTTGGATGTCCCTATCCTCTAATGATAGCACTATGCAGAGAATAATATTTTGTACACAGGACTTCCAGTGATGTCTCTTTTCCATGCTTAGTGCCAGGGATCGCATGCCAGTGTGGTGATGAGAAAACAAGTATAAATATTTTTATGTTGTGCTTTTAGTGGTTTTTTTAAATTGTGGTAAAAAAAAAGTGGGAACATAAATAAAGTGAAAATATTTTTATAGGGAAAATGAACTCTTTTATAGTCAATTGTACAGCAACAGGAAGCTTCAGAAGCTGAGGTTCCAGGAGCCCCAGTCCAGCTCCTGACCTATTTTTCTCAGCTGCCCAATGTGTAGAGTGAATACACTAAGGAATTTAAGAGCTTACAAACTGATTTTTATGGAAGTCATCAAGAGTGGAGAAGGCTGATTTAAAAATCAACCATGATTTTAAACAGGGGCTGAAAACTGTGGCTTACGAGGCAAGATTGCAAGTTTGTGAAAAGTTTGAGCCAAAGAAAGTATTCTTTATGAAGACAAGTAATTCGATTTAAAAGGAAAATTTAAATGAGGCATTAGGAACTGAACTGTGAATTCAATTAGGCTGTATATTGGACTTTCAAAAGAAGCAGTGAAAAACTCTATAGCTTTTATTGAGGCAAAGAAAGGACATGTGTTAAGGTAGATAATGACCTTATTCAACTATGTAATTGATTATATATATATATATATTTTTTTTAAAAACAGTAAATATGTATTCAGTATTTTATTCAGCAAATATTTATTGATTGCTGACTGTATTCCAGGCTTTAAGATACAAGATACTTCAATGAATAAAACAAAGACCTTTGCTTTCCTGAAACTTGAGATCAAATGGAGGACACACAAAAACAACGCACCTACAAATCACCATATTGTGTGTCAGGAGGTAAGAAGGGAAAAAGGGGTAGGAATGAGGGTGGATACGATTGCAGTTCAGGGAGGGTGTGCAAGGCAGACCTCATTAAGCAGGTGACAATTTGCACAAAAATGATGAAAGAGTTATGGGCAGAATGCTTTCAGGAGGAGGAGTGATGCAGACAGAAGGACCACAGTGGGAGGGGATGAAGATTTGCATTGCATGTGGAGGAAAGGCAAGGAAATCTGTGTGACTAGATTAGGGGGAGGGAGAGTGGGGAGAAGTAGGAGAAGTGATCTGAAAGGTTAATTAGGGAACAGATTGTCTGGGCCTTTGGGCCTAGAGGGAACTTGGGCATTAGTTGAATTCATTATATGCTCACCTAGACACAGAGCACACAGAACTGGAAAATAATACCCACCTGTAAGAAGTTCTCTGCTAGTGGATACAAACAACTAAAATGCAATGTAGAAAATGTTGAAGGAGTGCAGTGGGTGCTATAAGACCCTGTGAGGATGATGTTTTTTCCAGTTCTGCATATGGGAGGTAGAAGATTTCCACAAAGTGACACAATTTTGAAATCGAAGTAAAAATTCGGGCAGGGGAAGAAAGGAGAAGGGTTTTACAAATCCAGGAAGGAGCATGTGTACATTATTTGGTTAACAAACATTATTTGATGCTTAGCAAGTTCTAGGAACAGTTTTAGGCTTTGGAAATATAGTAGTGATCAAAACTGATATTTTAAATCTCGTTGCTTTTCTGGACAAGGGTAAAATCAATAAAGTATAAAGGCACCAAATAATCAAAGAATTTCAGGTGCTTTAGTGTGCCTTCTGTAAAAAGTGCCTGTGGGAAAGTGACAATGGAGGAGGCCAGATGGGTAAACAGTGGCCAATCCTAAAGGTCTAGTTTAGGAAGGTCCCAGCTTGCTAGGAAGTTTAGATTTTATCCTGAAGGAAGGTGGGTGGAGAGGAGGTCACAGAAGGATATTACTGAGGGGAAATACATAGTCAGTTTCTATGAGTTCACGTCAGATAACAAAAAGATTACACAGTTGAGAATAGAGGAGATAGACTCCCATTGTTTTCAAAAGATAGCTCCAAAGGCCTCTCCCTGGCCCCTACTTCTCTTCTTACGGTGTTTGGAAAGAAAACACTACTGGGAGAGAAGATATTAGCACATAACCTTACATATATAAGAAGCTTGGGAGTGTTTACACTGTTTATGATTCATTGCTATTCCCTTCTCCATGGGAACATTTCACTTGTGAAACACTCACATTCTTCCATTGTAAAATAAAGGCTTAAAAATAATACCCATCCATCCTTGTAAAACGACAAGCCAATTTAAACTTAGGGGGAAACAACTTGAAATAGGTTGGGGACCGAGGGCTTTCATTTACTGACTTGTGTTAGTTTACTAGATAAGGATACACTCCCTTGCTTTTATGTCAGCTAATCTCCCACTGACCCCCAGAGCTGCCCTGCAGCATCCATCACAGAAAACAGGGGCTTTTTTTTTTTTTTTGCTTTCTAATTGTATCCACTGACACTCTTTTTCTCCCTCAAGACAGATTTTTCTTCTTCATTTCTTTTTACTATCTGAAGTCAACGTATGTTGACAGAAAATTAATTTGTAGAAAGTTTTCTTTTTAGATAAGTTTGGGTAGGATGATGTATGCAATTTTCATATTAACACATTTTTAGGTATGTAATTTTTTTAAAAGATTCAAGCATCCCTGTCATTATATGCATCACACCCAGCTTTGTGTTTCCAAAAGGGTAGCATAGTTACATGCAGGTGATGTCAAGAACTAACCATGGAATAGAGCCCACAAGCTGGTTTATAGCCTCACAGTTTATGAAGCCAGATGGGAGTGTTTTAAAGCAGCATCCATCGCTAAGCTAACCTTCTGCAAGAGGTGAAATAAAGTTCTTTTTAAAAGTCGCCAAAGAATCTGCCTCACTTAAGAAACCTGTGGCATCTGAGGTGATAACAGAACCAAGTCATTTCAGGCTGGCTGAAAACTTAGCGACAGATAAAACATAAATCAGAGCCCTTATCATTCCCTTCCCTGCTTGCCAAATGGGGAGTTAGTTTATCAGCGACCTATGGGCTCACTGCCTGCTTTCCCCCTTAGTGCTGGGCAG
Organism: Homo sapiens; assembly: GCF_000001405.40. Taxonomy (NCBI): domain Eukaryota; kingdom Metazoa; phylum Chordata; class Mammalia; order Primates; family Hominidae; genus Homo; species Homo sapiens. The sequence continues at coordinate 173,935,121 of NC_000004.12, read as the reverse complement.
CAGGGTAGAGCTGGCTGGAAGCTATATGGCTGTTCTAAAACGTGTTCATGTAAACAAGCTAGGCTAAGACTTCCTTGAACTGCCAGTGAGTGAAGTGTCATCCATCTCACTAAACTGTACATTGGATAGGGGCATATCATCTATATCTTGAAAAGAAAACAAATAAAAGGAAAAAAAAAAGTTCCCTGGTTTAGGCTGAGACCTGTCATGTTGATAAAAGTCCTAAGAATTAAATTGCCTGGCTCAAACAATGGCTGTTCCTTCAAAAGAGGTTAGGGATTGAGATGGGGAAGAAGAATTGTTTTTTAGGACACTTGGAAATATCACTCAGATCTTCCAAAAAAAGCGTGTAGTAGTTATTTTAATTTTTACCAGGTAGTATACTAGGTATACTAGTTGGAGTGCTTTCCTAATATTTAAAGGAACAGTTCCAATAACTTGTTGGAAAGTCCTTTAAAAATATATTATTTTTCGTCTTTTTATAATAGCTTGCTTGCAGCATAAATGTGGTTTTCTAGACATGGATGTAAACCTCACAACACCATCCAACATTGATACTCTGACTAGCAAAGTAATTTATTGATACCTGGAAAGAATTAGGCATTTTCTATACAGACACCAGTATTTTTGTTGTTGTTGTTTTCAAAAAACAATATCAAGATCCTGAGTGACTCACTCTGGGCTCATCATCAGTGAGGCTATAAGGCCCTCCCCTCATTTGGAAGAGTACATATGCATGTTTTCTGACATAGTGAGGGCAACTCTACTCAGAAGAAAAATACGCAACCTTTATAAAAGGCCAAATAGTTATGCGTTGGCACTGAAATTAAAGGAATACATCCAGCCAAAGGTAGACTCAATGGCTGAAAATTAACTATTTTTCTCATTTTTAGAAGTATTTTCAGGTGAAGTTGATAGTTTAGGAAGAAGAAACAATAGATTCCTTACAGGAAAGCCTCGTTAAAATTGCTTTTCCTTGGTAATGGAGTCAGTGTAAGCCCAAATACATTCTGATAAGTGATAAACTCTATTATAAATTCCTTATGTGGCAGAAACTCAACATGCATATGGATGTGCCTTATTTTGGCTACACCTGGTTATTATACCAAGTTTTGTGTGAGTATGGCTTCCTCACTCAAGACTGGCTCATAGCCACTGAAAGCTCAGATGTTTCCATTTAAAAATTGATGTGTGGTTATAAATATAGAGAAAATACACCTGTGATCCACCGAAGACCTCAGCATATAAATTAACTAGGCTTTATAAAAATGGAGGCCAGAAACCTTTGTCTAAAAAAGCCCAAAGTCTTCCACTCAAGAAGTTACCTTGGATGTAGATCAGACAAAGCATCATGTGCTATAAACTAGGCTTTTAACTTGATCAGGAACTTTTATTTAGGTAGAATTTTTAGAAAGAGATTTGTGGTTCCATTTGGTTTTCTCATACTGACCTATGTAGTGACTATTCCTTTACTTACTAATATAAAGCCATGCTCTCTGAGGAAGTTACCTTGCAAGAGATTTTAAAACATCGATATTTTTAGAGAAGTTATTGATAATTTACCAAGGCATAAAATTGTTCTAACACTACATCTCATTGGTAAAATTTCCAAACTTTATTATACCCATGTGCAGCATTTGCTTATCAACGTTTTGCAATATAAATGCACTGGACCAGAACTGGAGAGGCTGGGCTTTCTGCCACACTTCAGCTGCCTTCTCTACCTCAGCTGTGGAAATGCGGACATTTGGTTTTTTTTTCAATTGTGAGTGAACATATATTCACTCATCAAATGTTTTTGAATGGCTACTATATCCTATAGTGCACATACACATTTAGTTATATAACATGTATGATATAGTTACATGCGTACAAGGGTGTGTTATAATAAAAAGGTAATTTTTACTGTTATAAATAAAGACACTGTTTCAGCTTGTAAGGTGCTTCCATTCAATTTCCAGGTATAAGATTTTGATAAGCTTTTAAGTGCAAATTTTGTAAGAGAATGTTGAGATATCATAAAGTAATAAATTTTAAGATGAATTTTATTAACACCTAAGGAGAGAAATTAAAGATGGCTCTGACTGAGGCTCAGTGTGTTTGAAAGGGCTGGTAATCTAGTCCCGTCTCATCACCAACTTTCAGAGGCACTCAAAGTATCTGAATAAGTGCTGATATGGCATAGCTATCTTAAATTGGCTTCTCCAATCTTATGCTTATCTAGGACTTCAGAGGAGGCCTTGCCTTATTATCATTGCCCTCCAGGAAAAGAAGAGTCACAACCTGTATCAAGTGTTAAACAACCCTGACTCTTAAGAAATCATTTAAGTTAACCTCCAGCCTTCATGCTGCAATCTTAACCTGTCTCATATGTCCCCAGGAGATATTTATTAAATTTCGCCTTGTTGTTTTTTCCTTCAATCTGAATAATGCCAGTTCCTGTCTTTCTAAAATTAATCCTTCATTTTTTCAAGTGTACTATTGAGGTTATTATATTTATTTTCCATTTGATATTGTAAAAACACTAGCTCTTTGATTAAGAGCCTGTTTGGCTTAGAGGATTAGAATAGGTCAGAAATGTTTCTCCTCTGGGTTACTGGATCACATCTGGTCCAGGTCAGTGGTGATACCGATGTAAGTGACTCTTCTCATTGGTCTATACAAACACTGTCCAATAGAAATATGATATGAGCTATACACATAATTTTAAACGTCCTAGTAGCCACATTGAAAAGAGTGAAAAGAAACAGATGAAATTAATTTTAATAACATATTTCATTTAACTCAGTATACTCCAAAATTGGTATTTCACCATGTAATCAACAAAAAATTATTAATGAGTTTACATTCTTTTTTTAAAGTCAGTCTTTGAAATTTAGTGTGTATTTCATCTTTGCAGTGCATGTCAATTTATACTAGTCACATTTCAAGTGCTCAGTAGCCTCGTGTGGCTAGTGGACTGCACCGTTCCACACAGGTCTGCAGGAGACGGTTTGAGCGAGCCTTGCTCAAACACAGACATCTTGCTCACCAAGCTTCATAGGCTCAGTGGGTATGAAAACTGAAATTCATTTTTCCTGTTGGAGGTGGTCATTGTTTCCAGTGTCTGTGCTATTTATTGCAAGTTTGAAGAGTGGTCATTAGAGTCAGTTTTTTAAAAAACTATTTATTACTGAGGAGATGCATGTATACAATTTACCATCTTTACCATTTTAAGTGTACAGTTCATGGTAATAAATACATTTATATTCTTTTTTCTCCTTCGTCTTCTTTCCCCCTACACTTCCTGGCCTCTGGTAACTACCATTCTAGTTTTTGTCTTCTAAGATCCACTGTTTTTGCTCCCACATATGAGTGGGAACATGCAATATTTGTCCCTCTGGGCTTGGCTTATTTCACTTAACATAATGGCCTCCAGTTCCATCCACGTTGCTGAAAAAGTCAATGGATGCAGCACACCAACATGGCACATGTATACATATGTAACAGAACTGCACGTTATGCACATGTACCCTAGAACTTAAAGTATAATAAATAAATAAATAAATAAAATAAAATAAAATAAAACAAAATAAAATAAAATTACCTACTACTCCTTAACAAAGAGAGACCTTAAGTGTGCCCTTTGTCTATATACCCTTTACCATGGCTCTGTTTTCAGAGTCAATCAGTTAGTGGAACAATATTTCTTAGGGCTAGGCAGGGTTAAAGCATAAGGAATGAGCCATGGGTGGCAGAGTCCCGGTCCTCCGGGTGAAATTACTTCTCACAAGTTTTGTCCTGTGAGGGGCTAACAGAGATCTTTCAGACTGGCATAGTACTTCTTGAGTATTAAAATTTAAAAAACAAAAGCTTCAGTCATTTTCTTTTTGCACTATAACATTCGATTTGACAAGTTTTCTGGGAAATAAAATCTTCCTGGCAAACAAGTGAATCCAATTGTTCCTTTTTATAAATACCTTGTAAGTGACTGTGCAAAATGATGCTATTTATTTCATCTTGTCTTCAGTACCATATCATATCTGATTTCTTTCCTTCTTAAAAGTAATAGGAAAGGGGAAAATGCCAGAAAGCCAAAGAATAATAGAAATAAAAATCATGAATCTGTAAAATTTCAGGTATTCTGTGGGCAGGAGTATCCTATTTACAGACAGAAGCCCGCTAAGAATGGGCAGAATAGTCTCCTGCTTAACCAAGTGAGGCACGTTGTTCTGATCTCAGCTGAAAGTTAAGACTGAATTCTCATTAAATGTTCTACCAGCTTCTAATGAAAAAGAGTGCTCAGAACTTCCCTTGGCACACCATGCTCTTTTCCTCCATCAGCTGACTTTAATGTTCTCTTTTCTTTTAGCCCTTCAAGTTTCTGTGACCTTAATATGACATTTTAGTTGAGTGATTAATTGCGATTAAATGGCACTGCGCTGATTAAACGAAGGCCTTGTTGGCATAATAGTCAGTTACAATGCTGCAATTCAGTGTGATAAGCTTAAACATACACAATTAGAGGTAGTAATATCTAATTTGTCAAAGCTCTTGTGGCTTAATTTTCTGCTACAAAGCTTGAAAGCAATAGTGACTGGACAAAAAGCTCCAGATTTACTGCTTAAGTACCTTCCAGTAAATTGATCTTGTCCCTCATGTAATCTCATTTTGTACATTTTGGGAGACAGTGAAGCTCAGCTAGCCTGAAACCTCCTTAAAAATGGGCCTGAGGGTTCCTGATCACAAAACTTGAAAGCTAAGCGACGCGATATGAATGTCTCTTCAGAGGCAGACAACAACCAATTTGCCTGGCCAGAGCTTTCCTTTTAGGATAATTAGATAAAATGAATAAATGTCAGTAAAAGGATGAAAGATTCATGTAGGAAAATAAAAATATATACCAGATCCTGAAAACATCATACTGAGACAGGCCGCAGCTCTATCCTGTGAAAAATAAAACAGGAGCAACTGACACTTCTTTTAAACTAGCTGTTACAATCGTAATTATCTTATCCTAACAATAGTCACTTTTCCTGTCATATGTTTTAAAGACAATCTATTTGAAAAAGAGAGAGAAGACACTTTTCTAGTGCAATCTGTGAAAAAACAATTACCCTTTCATTTGGTAAACAGGAAAGGAGTAAATGTGAGCATTTTCTGCTAACTAAATATGAAAGACGTCTGTTTTAGCTAAATAAATACAGAGTATGGCTTATAGTCAGTGAATATCTCACAAACATTTATGGGATTACTAAGGGCCTATTATATATAACATATTTCCCTAGATATCAGGGAGAAAAAAATTAATAAGATGATAGTTTCTGTTCTGAAGCCCCTAGTGGAATCTATACACTTATGCCTATAGTTATTATGTTAGACAAAAAAGTATGTTCTGTGAAAGAAGTACAAAGGAAGAGATTAATATTACCTGGAACAGCATAGAAGGCATAGGGTCAGCTCAGGAGGAGAGGCAAAATTGGTAAGAGCTACTTAAGTAGATAATATTTGAGCAAACCTTAGATGGAAAATATAATTTCTACCCGTGGATAAGAGACATTACAGGGAGAGAAAAGGGCATGAATAATACCTGATGTTGTCAAGGCACAAGGTAGAATTATTTCATACCTGAGGTAATGTTTTATTAAATCATTTACACAAATTTCCTTACTTTGATATCCATTTATGATGGCCTTATTCATTAGGGTATAGACCAAGAGATTCTCAAAAGCACAGTTGCTTAAACAAGAGGGAAGTTTCCTTCTCTCACAGAGAGGCCCATTGTGAGCTGGCAGTCCAGGCCACGTAGGTGTCTATGCTCCACAAGGTTGTTCAGGGACCCAGGCTTCTTCTGTCCTATTGTTCTTCTAGCCTCTAGGTTACCCTCATCCATAGGAATCACATCTGCATTCCTGTAACTGCATAAGGAGAAAGAAGGTGGAAGGTAAGAAGTTTTCCTTCTAAGGAAATGTTGCACACATAACCCAGCAGCAAGCATCTAGCTGGGGGGATAGTGTCCCATAGAAAGTTCAAAGAGTTCTATTACTAATAAGAAGGAGAAATTGCATATGTGGGATAATTAAGCAGCTTCTGATATAGTAGGTGCTTAATCAATGTTCATTGCTGAAATAATGAATGAATAATTAAGTGAACAATTAACAATGTTTCTACATTCCATCCAAATACAATCTAATATGGTCATCAGTAACCTCTCAGTTCCTTTTGTGAATCAAAGAAATTGAAGATGATTAGTTGTGCCAGATGCCTCAGTGGAGGGAGCTCTGTGTGTGTGTGTGTGTGTGTGTGTGTGTGTGTGTGTGTTTGGAGGTGGAGGGTGAAGAGAAAGGTGAAAGACTGAACTGCTAGATAAAGACTTGGATGTCATGGTAATAGCAGCTTCTCTTAGGAAGTATGATGTCTTCTTAATCAGGGAAACAATTTCTCAACTAGAATACAGGAAATAGTTTCTACTATTTGGGACCCTGGAGTGACACTAACTGTACAATTTCTCCCTGGAAGCCATGCCTTCTCTTCATCTTCAGGGACTCCATGTTCATTTCATGCCTTTGATCCAGCTGTTAGGAAATGGGCTCTCCCTTCGGAGGAAGCACGAGGTGCCACCTGTCTCCAGGTCTCCACATCTTCATTCTTTACTTGTATCGATATAATATTTTCATTAGAAAAAATTGTCTATGGTTTTGGAAGGATGTTTCTAGACTTTCAAACTGGATTCTAATTATATTATTTTATATCTATTTCCAAAAAGAAACCTCATGTCAAAAATAAAATACATATATACGTATATAACTTAAAGCTTACAAAATTATAGTAAGTACAAATTCCTTAAATACAAGGACTTGTTTGCACCTCTCATAAGTATTCTGATATAGAACTCAAAGTAGGTAGAATTGAATAAATGTGGATTGAATTTAATGGAGCACATAATTTCAATGTCATGGATTTGTGGTCATAAATTACCACATGTGAACTGTTCATATAGTGTGATTAATCAATGAATAACTATGAGCCAAAGAAAATAGGTAAAGTATACAAGTCTAGAAGTAACCATAGATGTAGAGATAATTTTAAAAACAAACTAAGAACGTTGTCTTTTTATAAGTTAAGTCATTTCTTTTTCTTTCTTTTTTTTAGTGATAGGATCGCATTCTGTCACCCAGTCTGGAGTGCAATGGCATGACCTTGGCTCACTGCAGCCTCGATCTCCCAGCCTCAATCAATCCTTTCACCTCAGCCTCCTGAGTAGCTTGAACTACAGGTACACACCCCCTTTTTTTTTTTTTTCAGAGATAGAGGTCTCACTATTGTTGCCCAGGCTGGTCTTGAACTTCTGGGCTCAAGCGATCCTTCTGCCTCTGTCTCACAAAGTACTAGGATTATAGGCATGTGCCACCATGCCTGGCTAATTTTTTTTATTTTGATATTTTAGAGATGGGGTCTTGCTATATTGCCCAGGCTGGCCTCAAACTCCTGGCCTCAAACAATCCTTCTGCCTCAGCCTCACAAAGTTCTGAGATTACAGGTGTGAGCCACTGCAACTGGCTTTCCTTTTTTAGATTAAAAAATAAGTACAGAAAGAAGTTCAAATATTATTGTCCTCCAATGGATTGTTTTGTGCATTGCACTTTGGAGACCACAGTAGTAGAGAACTGGGATTAAAATAACTATTCAAAGAAACTTGAGTCATGTTTATTTCAAGGAACCAAGGAATCATGGTGGTGAAGTTTTTTTTTTAATTTTTAATTGCTATGGATACATAATAGTTGTGTATGTGATATTTTGAAACAAGCATACAATGTGTAAGGGTAATTGGGATATCCATCACCTCAAGCATTTATCATTTATTTGTGTTAGGAAGAATCCAATTCTACACTTTTAGTTATTTTGAAAAATTCAGGCAGGTCGCGGTGGCTCACGCCTGTAATCCCAGCACTTTGGGAGGTTGAGGCGGGCAGATCACTTAAGGTCAGGAGTTCAAGACCACCCTGGCCAACATGGTGAAACCCTGTCTCTATTAAAAATACAAAAATTAGTCGGGCATGGTGGTGCATGCCTGCAATCCTAGCTACTTGGGAGGCTGAGGCAGGAGAATTTCTTGAACCCGGGAGGCAGAGGTAGCAGAATTGCTTGAACCCGGGAGGCAGAGGTAGCAGTGAGCCGAGATTGTGCCACCACACTCCAGCCTGGGCAACAGAGTGAGACTCTGTAATAAATAAATAAATAAATAAATAAAAATAATTTAAAAATCTGTAAGTTTTTCCTAATTATAGTCACCCTGTGGTGCTATTGAACACTACCTCTTATTCCTTCTATCTAACTGTATTTTTGTACTCATTAACTATGCCTTTTTATCCCTCCTCCCCACTGCCCTTCCCAATTTTCACTGTAATAAGCACTCTACTTTAGGCCAAGAAACAATGACCACAGCAGCAAAACATTGGTTTCAGAAAGAGTTTTCATCGGAACCCTTGGTTCAAGTCCTAGAACTCACAGGTCAGATTAAAAACATAAAGTGACTAGAGAAAAATATAAAAGATTAAATAATCCAGTAGTGCAAATAATCACAAACTGTGGGTTGTGAATGAAGAGTTAATTTGGAGTTACTGAATGAAAGGTATCATTTAAAAAGAATATTAACCAAGGCCAGTAACGTTTTGGCTTGGAGAGATACTTCCTTTTGGGAAACAAAAACAGCACGCGTGTTAATAGAGGGCAAGAAGGCAGGATAATAAAGAGATTATTTTTTTTATGTGATTAATATCTTTCACCTATAAATACAGAATTGAAATGTGAATTGCAAGTGCATCTTGGGAAATGTCCAAAGCTGAGAAAGTCTGTTTTAATTGGGGTAGACCGATGAGAAGACTCAGATTCAAAGTATCTCTTTCATCTAATCTTAAAATTGTTATATTGGTGACAAATATGGCTTGTGGCAAACAATTCTGTAGATTTTTTAAAAATTGCTTCTCCCAGTTCCTAACTTCTTTACGAGAACAAGATTGTTTTAAAAAAATTAATAATTAATATCTATTAGGCATTACATAATTCATTCATTACATAACCACACAGTAAGAAAATCCATATCTTGCAAAGGAGAAAATGGAAGCCTGGAAAGATTAAATGACTTGCTGAGGGCCATAGAAACTGGTGACACCAACGTGGCCTACCTTCAAAGCCCATGATTGTTCCTGTTTTGGGAAGCTATGAGGTCAGGGGAAGGTAATACAGGATGCGATACATTGCCTTCCTTAAAAACAAGAACAGAAGCATAAAATAAAGGAAAGCAACAGAAAAATGTTTAAAAGACATGTAATTTGGACTTTTATAGGTTTTAAAGAGAAATTCTAATTATTCTTACCACAGCTGAGGATGCTATGAAAACCCCTTGAGGAAACAAAGGCACCTTGGGGGCCATTGAGAACTCCTGACGAAGAGGGCTCAGCTGCCAGACCTGCTCAAGAAAGACCTCAGAAATCTCTATGGGGCTGTCAGAAGAAAAGGTTTGAAAAGGGTCTGGAGAGACTGAAATTTGTCTGCCTTGGACTTTTCTTTTGACAATTCACATCCAACTTAAGCAGAATCATTGTTTATTCTTATTATGCCAGGTTTCCTTTTCTGGTCTGCAGGTTCTCTAGGGTTTCATAGGCTAGTAGTTGGAATTTTCATATTTCCAAAGCATTGGGGATTTTGCAAAAACAAAATCTAAAGGATATTCAGCAGCACAGTTTACTTAGGAGGTTTTAATCATAATAATCTGCATAATGTATGAGAATTTCTACCTCAGCTGCCTCCTTTCTTTCTCTTTCGTGTCTGGGAAAAAGCCAGGGATTTTTCCCTTCCTCTGATTTAAATACCTTATAAAATTTTGGTGGAAGCATTTTGTCCTATTCTGTCTTCCTGATTCATTTTCTGCTGTAATGAGCAAAATTAATTTGCAAGAGCTGCTACTGACATAGTGTAATAAACTGGGTCATAGGTAGAATCAGTGCCGCCTTATGACCCTTAGCTGTCATTGCTTTAAGGAATTTGGCATGGTCCTCGAAGGCCAGAAGGCAATGTGGGTTGCATCCTACAGCTTTTGAGATCTCAGAGACTTACTGCACCCATGGCTGGGAATGAACTGTAAATGCTGACACTGGTAACTAGGTGCCAAACTGAAGTGATCACAACCTAATCTGAGCCAAAAGGCATTTCTTTGCATCAGGCATAAAGCAACATCAAACTCCCATAACCCACACACAACACAGAAATCATTACTGAAGAGATTCAACATCATCATGCCAGACACTAAGTGAGTTATTTCTCTCCTTCCCTGTCTCACCACAGTTTCCTCCCACTTGGTCACACATGGTAAGCATTCATGTGTGCGAAGGCATTTTATGCCTTCGACCTAACCCCGACCACAGTCCCCTAGTCTTATCAGAGATCTGCACTCCCCACCATTTGAGCACGATGGAGTGCATATTTCCAGTGCAAAAAGACTGATATCATTATGATTTTCATTAACTAGTTGCCAGCTTGCATTCTTTTTTCTCCCTTTTTTTCTCTCTCAACAGCACTTCTGTCCTCAGCCCAACCCCAGCCAGAAAAGGTGTTGCTACATTCAGTGAAAAATTATTATTAGTATAGACATGAAATTTGATGATAATGTAGATTGTTTTGTGTCATCTGCAGGCTGTCACAATACACTCTGCATCACTGAAATGTGTTGACCAGAAGGATGATGGTGTTGTCATGATACTGAGGTCTTTTAATTAATTACTTTGTGACTTTCATAGCATTTAGAAAACGGAGAACAGGGTATTTTCTTGAACAGCCTAGCCAAATGAAAAACTGGTTACTAATGTATGTTATCTTCATGAATGAAGGCATAAAATAATAAAAACAAACAAATTAAAAATTGTTAATAAATTAATAACTAATAAAAATAAATAAAATAAAGATTGTTAGCATGTTTCATCCATGACAATCATGTATACAATTTGTGATGTGCAAAATAATTTTGTAGTTAGGTATCAGTGCATATTTTTGCACATACTACCTTCTTTAAAGGACTGTATAAATTGACTAAAATATTTTCAGAGACTTAATGAAGATACAATATAGGGACTTGTGATTTACACAAAGGACCTTTTAAATTTTTCAATGCATTTGTTTTAAAGACGGCTTTGACCACACACGTACATTTTCTAACTTGGAAAAGTAGCTTCCTGTTATAATCAATACAGATTACTTTTGGACTTTAAAAAAATCAGGCAAATATTCTAAATTGTTGAACTCTCTGGGTACATGTATCTTCTGCTTTGTTAAGTTTATTTACTTTATACAGTTCCCCTTCTTTCCTTGCTGTAGAGCCTGTTCAATATCACTGACTAAATCACAGAAAGAACTCCAAGATCATCTAGCTAACCCACAATCACTGAAGCAAGCAAATGCTTGTTTAAAGAATCAGGGTAGGTGGTGATCTCTTCTATTTTTAAATCATTATATGGGTAAAAAATTATAAACATTGCTTTTCTTTATAAAATGGCTTCACACATTTTATAGGTTTACAATTCACCAACAAGTCATTTGAAAACCTCTGCACACTCCAGTAGTCATAATTTTAAAAATCAGATTTTATATTTTTCTTTTCTTCTCCTTTCCCTGATACAGTCTTAAGTCCCACATTTTACAGGATGCTTTATCCTCCTAAGTTCTATTTTGTTTTGCACATACATGCAGAATGCCTACTTATAAAGTCATGAGCATATAGATCCAATAGAGTATATGTGCCCAATTAAGTATTGTCCTTCTGGGTAGACATCTTAGAGGAAATGAACTTATTATAGATTTGTCCTAACTTCAGTAACACCCATCCATAAAAGGCCGCCAAGTTGCTGCTTTCTGCAGTAGTACTCGAGTTGAAGAGAGGAGATTTTTCAAGGATAAGATACTTCGTGATCAATAGCGTGTCCCAGAAGAAGGCAGAAAGTAGAAGATGAGGAGAGGATGGCTCCAACTCTTGTAGGACCTAGGGGATATGATGAGATTAGCCCGTGGGCAGTACAGGAGGACAGCAGGCTTGGGCAAAAGTGTACAGTATAAAGAAGATAATGGGAGACAAGAAACCTGGGATTAAAGTCCCAGTGAGCAAACAAATCACTCTTTTTTCCTTTTGGTTCTTCATAAAATGAGAATAGTTACATTCAGTTGAAAACCTTGGTGCCCCAGATATGAATCGCTATAAGCATCTGTCATTTTTGTAAAGAAAAAATATTTATGTTTTATTATGGAATTTCCCACATGTTGCTTTCTTGCTCCTAAATTGTTTGTGAGACTTTAGAAAGCAAATAATAGAATATTTTCTTTTTTTTTTTTTTTTTTTTTTTTTTTTTTTGAGATGGAGTCTCGCTTTGTCACCCAGGCTGGAGTGCAGTGGCGCGATCTCGGCTCACTGCAAGCTCCGCCTCCCGGGTTCACGCCATTCTCCTGCCTCAGCCTCCCGAGTAGCTGGGACTACAGGCGCCCGCCACCACGCCCGGCTAATTTTTTGCATTTTTAGTAGAGACGGGGTTTCACTGTGGTCTCTATCTCCTGACCTCGGCCCGCCTTAGCCTCCCAAAGTGCTGGGATTACAGGCGTGAGCCACTGTGCCCAGCCTAACAAAATATTTTCTTGGCTATTTTAGCAAAAGGAAAATCTGATTATCAACTTATGTTACCTTCATCAATGAGATCCAAAATAAAGAATACCTGGCCATATTGTTAGCTTATTTTATCAATATACAGTTGCACAGAATTAGGTCTCCAAAGAACAAATCATCAAAGAGCATAGTTCCCTGGTGAGGGAATTCAAACCTGCTTAGTCATATGCCTCAAATGACCAAAATATTAAAATAAATACTTTAAAATGTGCCAACAGTTCCAGGGTGCTAAAAAGCAAATCCCTAAATCATTTTTGTTGACTATAGATTTTATCTCTGGATTAGAATTGCTGTCTGATTCTTTCCCTTATTAGATTGTGAAGTGGAATAACTATGTATTCATTCTATATTCATTGGGCCTCAACCATGAAACAGGCTAATTTTTAGGCATTGAGGATATAGCAGTAAAGGAGACTCAGTTTCTACTCTCGGGAACTGTGTGGTGTAATTGGGATGTGGGGACAACAGTGGGTGTATGTAAGAAGACAACGGCCTAAATACGCACTTCCAAAACAAGGAGATAGATGCTATCATTCAGGGAGACACAGACAGCTCTGCGATTTATAATACTGTTCAGCACTTTAAGAGTGTTTGCTGCCAGGCACTGTGGTGTGCGCTTGTAGTCCCAGCTACTTGGGAAGCTGAAGAGGGAGGATCTCTTGAGCCTAAGAGTTGGAGGTTGTAGTGAGCCATGGTCACTCCTGTGAATACCCCCACCACTCTAGCCTGGGCAACAGAGCGAGACCCTATCTCTTTAAAAAAAAAAAAGTGTTTGCTATATGGCAGGCACAGAGCCAGCATTGTACATGTAACATCTCATTTAAACCTCTTAGCAATCCCTAAGGAGTAGGTCCTCGTTCCCACTTTACCAATGAAAAAACAGACTTAATAGCTTGCCCCAAGCTACCTGTTATTTAAAGTGATTGATAGAATTTGAACCTAGGTGCTCTGACTCTAGATGTTTTATGTACCTTCGCAAGATTAAACTGAGAGCTGAAGAATAAAAAATTACGCCAAGAATGGGGACAGTAGTTAGAGCAGGAATATAGAGATTAGTG